>NC_000002.12:68542625-69167625 GCF_000001405.40 Homo sapiens | reverse complement strand
GGGTGCAGCTCACCACAGGATGGCAGGACAGCTTTTAAAAGTATGATCTAGACAGGCTAAGCTTGGAGTCAGGGATGAGAATTCCAAGCAGTAAAGTTGGATAGGCTGTCCGTGAGTGGGCCAAATCCTTGTGCCAAGACCAGCACATGGGCCACCCAAAGGAGTGCTCTGAGCACAGAGACATGTCAGCTTTCTCAGCCCACCCCACTCCCCTCAGGGCCAGAGTCTGTGTTGCCTGGAGGAGCAGCTTGGGCAAAAGCCTGCATTGCTCTGTAGCCTGCGGCACCATGGCAACACGGCCACACACAGAGTAGCCTTAAAAATAGATATCTCCGTGGTTGCTTCAGTACTTAAAACCAGTGCACCCCTGCTAATGGCTTCCCATGGCTTATAGGATATAATGCAAACTGCCCCCATGTCCCACAGGTTCCACATGATGTGGCCTTACTTCCCTCCCACTGTGTCTCTCTCCTTCACTTTCTGCACTCCAGTCTCCTGGGCACCTTCTTGTTCCTTCCACATGCTCTGCTGCTTCTCAAGTGCAGTATCTTCTGCCCAAATGCTCGCTACCTCCTCCACGCTCAGTCCACAGCCCTGCACATTCCCCAGTGAACACCTACTTATCAAACAGATCTCCAGTAAATGCACCTCCCCTGGGAATCTCACAGAAAGGACAAGGTTCTCTTTGTGGGCTCCCATCATGTTTGTTTTCTGTAGCACTTTGAATTGTAATTGAAAGGCAAATTGCATAATTATTTGTTTCCAACCAGCATGACTAGAAATCCTCTGTTTCCAACTAGAATGCAAGCTAGAATCAGCTTCCAAGCTCAGGCTTGGTTTGGCCCACTCTCCTTTTTCTCAGGTTATGTGAGCATCCTCCTGGTTATGGGTGGGCTCTTTGGCGCCTTCCTCATTAGGAGGGACAAAGAAGATGGATAGGGTTGAAGGGTCGTTAATAAAATATTTTAATGGAAAATAATAAACATAAGCATAACATGGAAGAACTGGATGGTAGTATGGGAGTAAATCTGAGAACATTTTTCACATTTCTACTCTGCAGGCTAGTACCACTTCCCCACTTACTACCACCTTTAGACTGGGTATTTTAGAGAAGCAGAAAGTGACCATTTGCCTCCTTGGGATAGCTGCCCTAGAGTCCCTTTTGCACTAAGAGATGGGCTGGTGAGGTAAAGGGGACGGGAAAAATGAGATGGAATATGGAACTCCTGAATTCTATTGGTATTTCTCTGATACCTGAGAATTTCTTGAAACTGCTGTGTGTTGGGAGATGCATCTCCTCTCCTCTCTTACCAGTGACTTTAATTCTGACTTTATCCGTCTCTGTTCAGGCTGACATGAGGTAGGGTCAGATTTGATGACGATCATTGCATAGATAAAGGAAAGTCAGAAAAGACCAGGTAGAATCTGATCAAATTGAAATGTTACTGACAAATTCTCATTGAGTCAAACAAATTCCAGTTTTTATGTGCACTCCTGAGTTTGGCTGTTGGAAATAGTAATGATGGAAGATGTGGAGATGCAGTCAGCATAGTACGAATAGAGTAGAAAGATTGCGTGTTCTCAGGGCCTGTTTCATGCCTGGGAAGTTGAACTATTTTGGTTTTATGAATTAAGTTCAACCATTTGGGTCTCTGTAAAGCGCTCTCTAATAATTCATTTTATTTTTTTATAAATGGCTTTATAAATTGATTTTAGAAATTGTTAAAGTGAGATAAAGCACCTGATGAGTTTATTTTGCTTTTCTTTTTTCTCTAGCAGTATTGAAGTTTGATTCTTAATGTGTAGGCTTTGATCCTTGCCGTTGTGTTTGTCACTTGCTAACTCTACTGTTACAGTCTTGTGCAGTGGAAGAAAGGATGCTGTCATTCTAGTTCTCAACATGGGCACCTTTCCCACCTACCAGATGACGGCTGCACAGGCTCACTAGACGTTCCGTTTGAAGCCGCGAGTCAGGCCCACATGCTGCTTTAGCAGCAAAAGAATGCCAGGCCTAGTGATTCCTTGTGGTCCCCTGTTTTGCCTCTGTCACCTTGTTGAGAAATCCTCCACCACAACTTCACATCTCCCCTCCTCATCTTTCTTGTCTCCTCACTCTGTGACTGGGACTGGTTAATAGGATAAGCTGTATAGACAGGCTCATTGTTGACAAATGCTCATCTCATGGCATGAGAAATGGAACAAAACAGGGGACTCGTTTTTGGCCCCTTTCTTCTTAAGTTGTATTTTTGTGTCTCCGTGTCCTTTTTGCATGAGCTGAATGCAGGGCACTTCCTGCAAGTCCTCTCTGCCGAAGGGCTGGTCTCTTGCTGCAAAGGAGACACTTCCTTGACACACAGGCATCTCTGCTGTTTAGACAAAGTCCAAGAGAGCTGCTTCAGATAACTCCTTTATTAACGAAATGAAGCATTTGTCCTCTAATTTTAATTAGCTCAGTGGTTTCAAACTTTATTGAGTATCAGAATCACCTGGAGGGCTTCTTAAAACACAGCTTTCTGGGGTACACCCCTGAGTTCCTCATTAGTGGGTTTGGGGAGGGGCACTTGCATTTCTGACAAAGTACCTGCTGGTCTAGGGACCACACTTTGAGAACTGTGAATTAGCTTATTTCCTGGAGCCCCATACCTCTGTCAGATATGCAGGGGCTATGTTTAGCTTCAAGTCAGACATTCCCATGAGTGTTCTGTTGAGACTTGCTTATAGCTGATTAGAAAGACCAGCTTTGAAGCTGTTTCATTCTAAAAATTTTGGTGTCCCCGCTCCATTGTCAGGAACTCTGGGCTCTCCACTGCCTCCCGTCCTGTGTTGGGGAAGACATAGAACTATTTCTGGAGTAAATTTTCAGCTCTGCATGCAGGTACTCCTTGGCTTCCACTGATGTGAATTTGTGGTCATCTGCATACAAGGCTGGCACGGCCTGGATTTCTAGATCCAGCCCTGAAACAATCCCAGCCAGATGGCTCCCTGGGAATTAGGGACATGGATCTTATCTCTCTCTGTCTGCACTGTTAGCAACAAACTCACTGAACTGTGTTTATTCCTCTGTCTTCCGCACTGGACTGTAAGCTCTTGAAGACATGGGCATACTTATCTCCTGACACACAGCTTAGTGTTTGTTACTCGGCCACTATTTCTGGAATAAATGAGTGTGTGTTCCTGAAAAGGGAGGGATAAAGGAAGCATTTCTGATTATAATAAACTTCCTTGCCTCTCAAATAAGCACTTAATACATGTTACAAGATTCAATTCTGGTCTCTTAACCCTCCATATAAATGTTTCTTCAGTAGTTAAGATGCTGAAAGTCCCAACTGCCAAGAGTGGGCTGTGATGCTTGGATGCATTGCGTCATGGGAATCTAATCAGAGTCACGGGTTGGCCTTACGGTTAATTGTGCCATCTTATTAGATACCACCTATACCCCCTTTCATCCCCTAACCCAGGCTTCCATGTAAATTCACTTGCCCTGTGATTATAGACTCCATTTTCCAGTTTTGTATCCGAAATTCATTTCTAAGAAGACTTTCTGAAAATTTGAAAACTACACGCACAGTCTGTTTTGTTCCAACACAGATATGTAACTTGTGACTGTTCATATGTGGTAGTTAAACAGGGCATTAAAATCACTAAACTGCAAAACTGTGCCAGCTCAAAATATGATTTTTGCAAGGTAAAGGAGAAGGTAATGTACATTTTTCGTCTTTTGTTCTTCATAGTCAACTTCATATAACATTAACCATTACACATTTAAAAGTGTGAGGTGACAGTATTCGGCGCCACTGAGTAACATCAGGTGAATGTGAAAATGCTGCCCAGCCACCAGTAGTGACCTGGGGAGGAATATGCAGAAACCAGGCATACCTCATTTGCTTTCTCACTTAGGTGTGTCCTTGTGCAAGTCCAGCATGTATGGCGCTCCTGAATGCGTGTTCTTTTCCTCATTAAAAACCTTTTACATAGCACTGTCAATAGGAGCGTGTGTCCTGGTTCGAAAAATGCAGGGGTTGAATGAGGGAGGAAAGCCTTCAGCCTGTGCAGGAGATGTTTGTAAAGATATAAGAGAAGATGAGATACTGTGAGAGCAATGGGCATAAAGAAACCCAAATGAGCTTCCTCAGAGACCATGCTGAAAAACCAAAGAAAGGAGAATGGAACTCACAGGAGCCACCAGTTGCCTTAGAGGGGATTAGAGGCATGTGTGATGGAGTGAAGAAAAGGAGGTAATGCCGAGAGCAGCAGAATAGTACTTTCATGGTTTTCAGTCTTATTTGGAACCACGCAAATTGCTTTTTTTTTTACATGAAAAGAGGAACCTGGCAACACAACAAAAGCTGAAATTCTATTTTAAGCCAGTGCAGAAGGAATAACAAGACGCTGAGTCATAGCCATCTCCCCTTGTGTTGTGACACTTTGCCCTAAGAATGTCCTTCCTTCCGTCTTGTTTCTGTAGCTCAAAGCCACGGTGCTGCATCAGACTCACGTCAACTAAGAAACTTCACCTGTTTATTTAAAAAAAATCAAGGTAAAGAGCCATATTTACTGAAGTATGTTTTATTAAGAATTTAAGGTGTTTAAAACGGTGGCATTTTTATTGAGTTTATTATTTTTTAGCGTTAGGTTGGCACAAAAGTAATTGCAGTTTTGTCATTCCTTTCAATGGCAAAAACCGCAATTACTTTTGCGCCAACCTAATATATTATTTTGTAAGATCGCACAGTTTTGAATGTTCTGCTCTGAACCCATTTCCCCCATTAGTCCTATTATTTTCATGGGCCAAAATTCCATAATGCAGTCATATCTTCAGGAACACATTTCATGTTACAGGAGAAATGGTGATACACAGAGAATTTTCAGTGTATCTGCTATTTAACAATTATTGTTAACTTTGGACAGAGCAAAGGGAATAGTGCTGACAGGGACTGACTTCCTCATCCTTTCTCTGGTCTTTTGTGCTTTCCATGTGTATCATAAAATCCCAAGGGCCCAAGTAATAAATAATATTCCTTGGGTTTTTGGTAATTTGGGATTGTGAGCTCATGTGTAGTAGGCATTTACCTATGGAAATTCTATGAGGCCTGGGTTGAGGGACGAACCTGCCAGAGGTTTCAGGTTTCCTCTTGCAGATCCCTAAGCATTTCCAAACTTTTTCTCAGCTTCCAATTTACAAAACCTCAAGTAGTGTAAGTTTGAACTCTAGACCTCTCAGAGGTTATGAATTCTTAGGGACACAAACATACACACCCACATCAAACCCATAGCCCATCTTTCACTCAAGGCTTTAGGCAGCTTTAGGCAGAAGACTCAATTTCAACTCCCAAACTTTTATGGGCCCATGAAAGGCTATTAAGCCAAACATCTAGGTTACTGAGATAAGAAAATCTCAGGCAGGAAGCCACTGCTTTAGGGTCAGATGACCATCTGATTTCCAGATCCTGCTTTATTTGGGCCCTGGAAACATCTCCTATTTTCTCATGAGCCTGGCTATGCATTTAAGGCAACTTCTATTCTATTTTTTCCAGGAATTTTTGTTTTTCTTTTGCTGTGGAGTCTGCTGCATTGTCAGTCAATAGTAATGGATTTTTTTTTTTCCACAAATGATGACTTCCTGCACGCTCAGAGGTTAGCTCAAATAAATGTGCCTGTATTTAGATGACAAAGGTCTTTTTTGAAGCCTTTGATTTAAAGCACTGTATGTCCTGGGGGACTTCTGGGTTGATCTCTTAAAGCCGGCTCAACTGCTGCCCCCCTGGCCTTTTAAATTCTGCATGAGAAGCCACCAGAACAGAGTTATGTATAGAAGAAATGCCAATCCAGATCTGAAAAGCCATCTAATAAGGGCTTTAATGTCACAGCTAGAAGGAGATGCTTGCTCTGACCCTTTTTACATTCTAGCCTTCCATTCTGGCTCCCAAACCTTGTAAGTATTCTTTTAATTGAAGTCAAGAAATCAAGGGAAAGTAGGCAACTTGATATGGAAAACATCCAGGAGAGATGAGATGCTAGTTGATGGAGGATAAAGGAATCTTTCCACTGTATAGACAGCATCAATTGAATAGAGACCTCATGACTGATTGGGGTGGGTTAATGCTGGCCAAGGACTGCCTGAATCCAGTAATTTTACACTGTAAAAGTTTAGCAAAGGATGGTACCAAGGGTGTTAATTTGGAATGTGGTACCAGAAATTTTCAAAGAAATGAGGTCAACTTTTTTTCCCTCCAATTTGGAACTCAGATTTCAAATGATTTTTGGTCTCTCATCTCATCTCCCTTAAGACTGAGACTATTTAAAAGGCCCAATTCATCACTGTCTAAAGTGAGAGTTGCAGCAGGAGCTTTACCATTAGTCCACAGGGCCTAAGGGACTCACATGGTAATGTGAGAGAATGGCTGTGCATGGTCTCCATCAGATGGTATGCCAGTGTCACTGCAAAAGTCTGTGAAGTGAAACAGCAAAATAAATCCATGATTTCAGATTCCCTGAGGCTTGAAGGAGCAGCCTCTGGCCTCTGCCTGGGTTACGGGAAAGCCGATTTTTAGACACTAGTAGTGTCAGTGGGATCTGAGCAGGGCACAGAAGGAACAAGGGTGAGTTGATGATGTTCACAAGATGTTCAAGCTTGTTGATATTGATACAGCCTCCAGGGAGGGCACAAAAGAGGCTGCATCTTAGGATCCAGGAACCTGCTCTTTTAGCTGCTTCAGCGTTCTCTAGGACTGTGTTTCCCAAATAGTATTTGGCAGAATACTGGTGTCCTTCCAGATGTCAGTATGTTAATAAGTGTTTGGGAGAGTACAGGTAGTGACAGGCCAAGGAAGAGTTCTAGGGTCAAAATAAATTTGAAGAGTCACATGCAAATTATCCTATTAATGACTCTGAGAAGTCCTGCAGTAAAGGCAGTGATTCAACTTAGTTTAAGGATGTCTTTAAAACTCACTGTCTAAATACCTCTTGTTCTGAAGTGCCCCTATTCATACTTGCAGGGTATGATTGCCCTGACATAGTTTGGAAATGCTGCCCCTGAGTACTTGTATCATATAAAAACTCCTCAGATGGTTTCAGTATGCAACCAGGTTTGAAAACCACAGACCAGGGAATCTTGAAAGGGAGAAGCAGATTCACTCAAAGAAGGTACGAATATGAGGAAGCAGCCTTAGAGACAATATGGTTCCAATTTTCTAGTTTTTCACACGGGGGAAATTAAGGTTAAAGGATTGGACTAATCCTTTAACCAGAAGAGGAAGATGCGGCATTGAAACCCAGTCGACTTTGACAACAACTCGCCTCTTTCCATTTCACCGGCAGGCATAAGCATGGGGGTTGGGGGTTATCAGGCAGCCCACAAAGGATGAGGGAAGCCAGAGATGAGAAAAAAATGGGTGTGTGAGGTGTGTGGTGTACCTGCCCTCCAGAGGTGAGGGCAGGTCATGGCAGAGCTCTGTGTGCTAACGAGAAATAATCTTGTCAGCTGTAGCCTGAGGCGTGTCCATATGGGAATGGGTGGAGGCTGGAACAGGATCAAGAAGGCACAATCAGTATTAGGCCCAAGATGCCTGCATCAGAAGTTGCCTGTCCCAGTTGTGTTTTTATTAAACTGTCAGTAAATCCTTTTGGTGATGTTAGGCTTGGGTTGTCTGGCCCTACAAATTAAATGTTATTCTTAACGGTGCGAAGAACATTATTTTAATGCTTTATTTTTATTTCCACTTAAGGTATATCAAGTTTTTGATTAATTTTTGCCCTTTGCAATTTGTCATTGGAGATGTCCAGTGGGCTTATTTGTTGAACTATCCTTGAAATTCAATTAAATGAATTAAAAGTGATCTGTTACGTAATTCTTTAAAAGCTGTTCATAAGATACCTATAAGGCCACTGAAAACAAGACAGGGAGAACAATTTTGTTTATATAGGAAAAAATTCTGAATGCATGGACATGAGCCTCTCCCAAAATACTGAAAAAAAATTGTTGTTATATGAACAGAAATACAGTGATTTGATTTGACCTAAATAGTGTGGTGTTTTAACTAGTTGGATTGCAGAAAAATTGCAGCTTTAAAAGCAGGATTTTTTTTTTCTTTTTAATTGTGGTTAAAAGAACTTAATATAAAACTTATTATCTTAATTATTTTTAAGTGTACAGTTTAGTAGTGTTACATATATTCACATAATTATGCAACTAATTTCCGGAACTTTATTTTTTTAAATAGTGATGCTGTCTCACCATGTTGCCTAGGCTAGTCTCAGACTCTAGGGCTCAAGTGATCCTCCTGCCTCGGCTCTTCCAAAGTGTTGGGATTATAGGTGCGAGTCACTGTGCCCTGCTCAGAACTTTTTCATTTTGCAAAATATGCTAAGATCTTTTCACTTGGGGTTTCTCATATACCATTAACCTCTCAATAAAATGGGCCTATTTCTAGGATTTTATTTAAGAAACTGATTTGAATGTCCTTGTTATATAATATTAGATACATATAAAATATTGCATATAACATACATGTAAGTCATGAAATAGGATAATACAAACCCCCATGACACAACCACTCATTACAGTTCCATAGGTCTGTGGGCTCCTTCTGCATCGAACACTCTTCCCCTAGGAAGACTTAGGTTTTTAGTTTGATTTGGAAAATACACAAATTATAATATGTACTAGGCACTGTACCATATTTTGGGATTAGTTTCTGTGACTAGTTTCTCCTCGCCATGGAGGAGTTCATGGTACAGATTCTCCTCGATGTATGATGGGACTATGTCCAGATTAAACCCATTGTAAGCTGAACATGTCATAAGTTGAACATGCATTTAATATAGCTAACCTAGTGAACGTCATGGCTTAGCCTAGCCAACCTTAAATGTGCTCACAGAACACTGACATCAGTCTAAACTTCGGCAAAATAGATAACACAAAGCCTATTTTATAATCAAGTATTGACTATCTCATGTAATTTATTGAATACTATACTGAAAGTGAAAAACAGAATGGTTGTATGGGTACTTGAAGTATGCTTTCTATTGAATGCACACAGCTTTCATACCATTACAAAGTCGAAAAATTCTAAGTTGAACCACCATAAGTTGGGGACTGTCTGTACAGTGAGAGATATATACATAAATACTTGTGATAGAATGAGCAAATGCTCTAAAACAGGTGTGAGAAAAACGCCATGGAAACCAAGTGAGATAGCAGCTGATCCTCCCCAGGTGAGGAAAAGGTGTGCAGGATGCTACTGAAATGGACTGAACAACAAGCTGGACTTTGAAGGAAGAATTGTATAGAGAACATAAAGAAGGTGAAACTATTTCAGCAAGAGGAAATAATATGAGCAAAAAGATCATGATAAGGAAGTACCTGATATGTTTAATGAGCCCCAAAGAGTAGAGTGTGCCCACAGTTGGTCCTCCATCCACTTGGCTGCTAATGAACTTTGAGATACACTGAGCAGCAGCTTTGAGCCAGGCACTGTATTATGCTCTGGGGACCTACAGCCTTGGCTTCCAACAGCTTCAGCTTAACAGAGGAAGACAGACAAGCAAACAGGCAATTTTCACAGCATGATCAGTGCTATGAAAGAAGCAGGCACAGGTGCTAAGGGAGACCCTGCACAGGAGGGGAAGGTAAGAGGTGAGGCTGGAGAAGTGGGGCCAGGATGGAAAAGCCCTACTCATGCCATCTCAAGGGACGGGAACTCTGTTTTACGGCCGCTGAACACTCAAGAGAATTCTAGGCAGGGTAGTGAGTAGGCTCATCACCTGGCTGCCTTTTTTAAAAATGAAAAGTCTCTTTAATGAAGGTGAGAAAGACTAAAAGAGCAGTTAGGAAATTGCTGAAATAATTCAGGTGGGAGATGCGGAATCCTAGAGTAAGACAATGGTATCCATTCATTCATTCCACAAATATTTCTTAAGCAACTACTGAGTGACAGACACTGTGACTGTGCTGGAGTAGAAGGTGTGAACAGATGTGAGATAAGATGAGGTGTGGGAAAGGATGTGCTGTAGGCAGCTCCAAAGTGAGATAAGACAAGGAGGGACAGAAGAAGACATCAGCGGTTGCTCTGCAGTCCCTAGTCTGGGCAGCCTGGAGAACAATGGCACATCCATTGATGAAGAGCAGGTTTAGGGGGTAACGTGAAGAGTTCAGTGGGGGGTATGTTGAGGGTGAGATGCCTGCATTTGAGATGTCCATTGGTCCCTTTAATGTGGGCTGGTCCTCTGGAGCCAAGGCCAGTGATGGGTAAACACATTAAGTAGTTGAAGTTGTGGGAGCTGGTGACACTGACCAGGAACAATGTGTTAGAGAAGAGGGTGGAAGGCAACCCTGGAGAACAATTGGCAAGCAGAGGAAAGAGAGCCCATGAGGGAGACAGGGAGAAACTGCACAGAGACGTAGGAGAAGAGCCAGCAGACACCAGTGGAGGAGACAGTTTAAAGGAGAGAGAGGTCGACAGTGCCTACTGCTGAAAGAGGTAAAGAAGAATGAGAAGTGAATGGAGACCACTGGCTGGGAAATTCAGTTTTGCAAGCGAAGGATTGGAGAAATAATGGCAATGGTGCTCAGGGTGCAGTGGGAGGAAGAGGGAAGGAGAGGAATTGTGGACAGTGGATGCTCCGCAAAGGAGTGTGTGGGTGAAAGGAAGGTAAGGAGAAGAGAGTAGCATGAAGGAGAAATAAGGCATGAGATTAACATGGGTTGGATCCGTGTTCCCACGCAAATCTCACGTCGAGTTGTGATCCCCAATGTTGGAGGAGGGGCCTAGTGGGAGGTGATTGGCTGATTGCAGCCATCAGTCATCACCTGATCCATCAAGTGATTGGATCATGGCGGTGGGGTTTCTCGTGAATGGCTTAGCATCATCCCTTTGGTGCTGTTCTTGTGATAGTGAGTTTTCCTGAGATCCGGTTGTTGAAAAGTGTGTGGCACCTCCCACCTCGTTCTTCTCTTCCTCCTGCTCCCACCATGTGAGATGCCTCGCTCCCCCTCTGCCATCAGCCATGACTGGAACCTTCCTGAGGCCTCCCCAGAGGCAGAAGCTAGTATGCTTCCTGTACAGCCTGCAGAACTGTGAGCCAATTGAACCTCTTTTCTTTATAAATTACCCAGTCTCAGGTATATGTCTTTGTAGTAGTGTGAGGACAGATTAACATAGACACATTTTTTAAAGGATGAAGGTGGCTGGCGTATGTTTGTAGGCAGAGGGAGGAAGCCAGTGGAAAGGAAAGGAGGAAGATGCTGGGTGAGAAAGGAAGAAACGAAGAACTTCTGTGGAAAGGGAGGGAGAGGGATGCTGGAGGAGGATGCACATATGAGGGTGCTGGAGTGCAAGGATTTCTGACAGCACAGCTTCTGTTTTCTCACGGAGATAGAACAGCAGGTTGTCTGCTGAATATGAGACAGCCAGAGGTAGTACAGGGAACTTCAGAGAAACGGTTGCAGTTTGGGAGGAGTTCTTATCCATAGAGGTAAGTTAGCAGTTTGCTAAAGTATGAGTGCTGAAGCCCTCATAAATGTGCAGTGGCCCCATCAGCAAGCTGGGCTGCTCTCTTCTGAGGTGACTGATATCTTGGGAGCGGGAGGGGAGAACACACACCACCGGGAAGGTGTAGGTATAGGGACAGAGGGGAGATCGGGAATTGGGGTGTTTATCAGAGTGTCAACATGGAGTCATGAAACTGAGAGCCCCAACAGGGATTTCTTCGATACTCCAGATTTCTCATTTGGGGCAGCCAGTCCCCATTGCTAATCGGAATCCTCCAGTGTCTTGCTACCTGCTGAAATTTAGGCAGGATACGATGGCCTTTCTCTGTATACATAAAGCCACCCCCTACCTGGGCTGCAGGCTCCCATCAGGGCATTGGCTCTTGGCTGGGGTGAGGGGAGACTCTCAGGGATACCTGCATTTTCTACAACTTTTTAGTGCCCTAATGTCACTGATTCATTGATGACTTTCCCCCCTACACATTCAAGCCATTCATAACATTTACTCGTCTAATACATTGCAACTTTTTTTAAAAAAATGATCCTTTTCTGTTTTAGATTTCCTAGTCTTCCTCTTTTTAAAGTTCAATTTTGAGATTTCAATAATATCGGACCAAACTTATGAGTAGCTGGAGTGGGCATGGCGTGACTTGAAGGGTTCTGGAAATGTCCCTTGTGGAACTGAGGCAGGACTTTATTATTATTATTATTTGGGAAAATATTAACCCCTTGAATTACCTATTTGAAAATGCGAATAAGCCCAGTGTGCATAGTCCAATACCTCTCTCCCCTTCAAGGTGGGTGTTTTGTGCCAATGAATAGGTATAGGAATCTTAAAAGCCAGAGGTCCACCTGGCGATACTGAGGAACAAGCTGGGAAACACTAAAGGTTTGATTCAGGATATGGTCAGTTTTCTCTCTCCCCATCAGTCATTACTGGTAGATTACATCTGGCAGGCTGGCAACAAGTTAATTCAGGTTCCATTTGGCTGGAAGTTAAGAGCCCAAATGGGGGAGTGGGGTCCTTAGGGAAAGGCCAAGTGCAGTGGGTAGGCATCATCTGTCACCCTCACCCATCAGGTTTCTTCTTCCAGACAGGACCAGCAGGAAGCAGGAGGATGCTGAGCAGAGGCAGGCCTGATAGCAGCCCCTGTGCCTGGTCTGCTCATCCTGGCCAGTACATCTAAAACTGGCCTTTGTAGCTAGTAACTGGGCCTGCTCTCCTACCCAGCCACCCTGCAGGACTTCATCCCCCACCCCTTCACATACCCAGCCACTGTGGGTTAATGTGTGGCTCAGCGGGGGTGGGGGCCTTGCAGGTTGTTAAATATTTTGAGTATCACTCCTAAAGAAAAGATTGCAGCAGGAAGGAGAAGGCACACGGCAGACACGTACCCCACGTTTTTTAGGTCTTTTCTGCTTTCTGGCTTTTCCTCCAGCACGGAGATGCGGCTCTGCTAGTAGGTTGAGGGGCATTCCCCACCCTTGGGGTAGATGCAGGAAGAGTGACAGAGGAAGGTTTGAGGACCATTGTTTACAAGAATGCCCTCTATTAATCTGGGGACTGTGGTGAGGGGTGCTGTATCTCGGGAGAGAAACTTCCCTGTGTCCTCTGAATGAAACTCTGATGGGAGGCCCATGTTTGCCTTCATTCCTGAGTATACTGTTTAGGAAACATATGACCTTAATCTGCCCTGCTCTGGAGCATCACCCCTCATCAAGGAAGCAAGTGATCAGCAAGTAGTTTTAGGGGGCAGACCAAGCACTGGAGCCCAAGCCAGCTTTCAGAAAGAGTGAGAGGAGGCAGCTTAAATAGACATCATAAACAGGAAAATGAATCCCGAAGATCAACCCTCATAAAGAAATCCTTCACGACTTACAAAGTCAGACCACATTAAGACATTTTGGCTGCCTTCCAAAGCAACAGGGACTTAACCAGATAAATTCATTGAAAAATATTTTGAATATTGCAAAACTCAATTTGGCCTTGGGTGACATTGCTTCCAATAACAAAAGGTTTATTTTGAGAAACATTTCCAAAGAATATAAACTGAATGCCATCCAGTATCATAATAGATTCCTATTACAGTAAAATACTTTTAAATAATAATAATATACAGCAGTTACTATGTGTTAGGTGCTTTCTAAGCACATATATATACACTCCTTTATAGTCTTCACCATCTAACGATGAGGTGGGAGCTCTTATTGTCCTCATTATACCAATGAGGAAACTGAGAGAGAGGTGAAGAAACTTGCCCAAGGTCACACAGCCAGTATTTGGTGGAGCACTGCTTGGCTGTTCTAATGTTCCTAGCTGTCCTCACCCAGAGGTAACTGTAAATAATCAAAGGAACTATAATAGTGTTCACTGCCTGCTGCTACCAGGCCTGCCGACTCTTCTTTAAGAACCCACTGTAAGGTTTTTCTTTTCTTTTTCTAGACTTGAAAATGTGCTTGTTTTTGAATCTCCATAGAAAGCACTTGGGCTGACTCATGAGGATTTTTTACCCTCAAAATAAAATGGTTTTGCAGCCTTAAATGTTTAAAACAACATTTAACTCTTGGAGCTGCTCTGGTAAGAATCTGTTTAAAATCTTGGTGAAGTCCAGCCCAGCCTGCAGGGTCCTAATTAACCCAAGACTTGTGCCTGTCCTGGGTCTCTCCTTCCATACTTGTCTGCTGCAAGTCAACCCTTTCCAGAAGTCCCTGCCATATGGTCCACATCCTGGTTGAGCTTCCCATCTCACTCATTTGCCACCTCTTTAACATGTCATCCGAAGCCATTTCCCCTTGCTTTTCAAGTCCAGTGCTCTGTCTCTCTGTGGTCTTGGTTCAGTTGAGCTGTACACACAGATGTGAACTCCCTCACACTGTGTGCTAAATGCTGAAGTTTCAGAGGGAAAATGAAGATGAGTCCCTGTCCTGGAGAGGCTCACTGTCTATTGTGCCTTGCCGGCCCTTCCATGGAAGAACTAAAATACAGGAAATGAAGATGCCATGGCAGTGGAGCAGTGGCCACTTCACATTCATGGGCTTCACAGCACACACTGATTTGTTGAAAGGCAGGGCACAGGCTAGAAATAGACATGTCACAGGGAATGTTTTTTTTTCTTTATTTGGCTATTACTTTGTTTGGACTTCTCCCAGTCTAAGGGCCAGGGAACAGAAATTGACAGCCAGACATTTACCATTTGGGATTATCGTCAGGGTGGATTATTCCAGGCCCTAAGCTATTCTGGGGAGACATTGTCATGTGATGACTCCATATGACACTGATGGGGAGGAGGCAGGTTTTTATTGATCTTGTAGCCAAAGTGCTTAGCCCAGTGCTGGTCACACAGTAGGTGTGTCCTATAAAAGTTGCCAAAATCAATGAATAAAGGTAAATGCCATTCTTCATTGTTGAAAATAAAGAGGTCAGGCCAGAGACACTTTCTCAGATAGGTAGACTAGTTACTAAGACCAGGGTGGCCTTAGAAGAGTATAGGTTGGGCAACTCAACAAATGTGTATGTGTGTATGTGTGTGTACCGTACACAGAGGCATATATGTTCATTACATGTCGAATAACACTCATCATTTGTGTTGTCCTGTGGATCTTCCCTAAGCACCAGAACTAAAGCGGCCACCCCAGTTGCCCCACCCAAGGGGCACGGCCATTGGCAATCTCACACCCTAACTCATACTGACTGCTGGTGACTCATGGTTCCATTGATCAATGTCAGTTCACATCAATTTTGTATAAATTGTATAAAAAATGCAAGATTTGTCTCCCATCTTTAGTTTTTTAAAAATCCCTTTCTCTCTACTCATGGTCTGTGAACTTTATGTCACCCTTCACCTTGCATGGCCTGAGGTTTGGGGCACTTACCACAGTGCAGCAGAGGGGCCAGAACCACCAGAGGAGAGCCAGGGCTAGGAGCAGGAACAGGATCAGCAGGGCGATGGCCAGGATGGAACCGTCAGACTGCAGGGCCAAGAGAGAGGCGGTCAGCAGCGGGATGGGACCATGTGTGATCTTCCCTCCCCAAACTCCCATCACTGATATGCAGATTTAAGGCTCAGAGAGCAGCACAGTTTGCCAAGCAAATGGTTGAAACTCTGCCCATCATTCTGGGGCTCATGGCCCTGCAACACACTCTGTTTAGCCAATTTTCAAGGGAAATGAATTTATCTTTTCAGAGAGGCCCTGTTCTTCCCTTTGAGGAACATTTTGAAAGACCAACTGCATAAGAGACAGAGCAGGCATGAACATGGACTTCCACTGCTCATCTGGCCCCCTGGAACACCATCCCCTGCCTGGTGACAGCCTCCTCACTGGGTCTGATGTCCCAGTCTCTGCCTGGGCTGACTCAGGACCATTGTACTCTGAATTCAGCCTGCTCCCCTGAACCCATTCACACAGGTGCATGTAACAGATTCATAAAGCTGTGGATGGAAAGTCTAGAGCCTGCTGATGGGATGCCTTGTAGGGTCTGTGAATCCAGGGGGTGGGGGCAGAGCAACGGCTGCTGAACCTGGGAGGCGAGGGGCTACAGTCAGATCAAGTGGCTACATGGGAATGAGGGAGGGAGGAAGGCACTGAAGACCAGTTTTACCCACCTAAAAATGTGGCGAGGCCAGTCCTAGACACAGTTTCTGTGGACTGCGATGTCTAACTTTTAGCAAACAGAGACCCCACTTGGTGTCAACATTCTGAGTTGCTGGTTCAAGGAAGCTGCTTAGGAACACGGGTCTAAGTCCCCTCCACCCTGCCTCCCTACAGCTACTGGGAGTGCAAATCAGCAAATCTTTCTAGGAGAGAGGGGGCAAATTGTGATAGGTATCAAAAGCTTCCTTCTGCATAGAACTGGCTATTCCACTTTTAGTCTAAGAAAATAATCACCACTGCACTCCAGCCTGGGCGACAGAGCGAGACTCCGTCTCAAAAAAAAAAAAAAAAAAAAAAAGAAAATAATCAGATATGTTTGTACAGATAATAATAATAATAATAATGAAAACATAAATGGTTAACAATTGGGGAAAGTTAAATAATGCATTACAGAATTACTACGCAATCGGTTACTATGTAGACATTACATTGTCAAATAATTTTATTTATTCATATTTTTTGTGACAGGGTCTCACTCTGTCACTTGGGTTGGAGTGTAGTGGTGTGATCATAGCTCACTGCAGCCTTGAACTCCTGGGCTCAAGGCATCCACCCATCTCAGCCTCCTGGGTAGCTGAGACTGCAGGTGCATGTGACCATGCCTGGCTAATTATTTTTTTTTGTTTTTTGTAGAGATGGAGTCTCACTTTGTTGTCCAGGCTTGTCTTGAACTCCTGGGCTCATGTGATTCTTCTGCCTTGGCCTCCCACTCTGCTGGGACTATAGGTGTGAGCCATTCTGCCCAGCCATATTGTCAAATAATATTTAAATGATATTTAAATAAGATGACAAAACACTCCTGGTATAATGGATTTATGTATATGTATGTCAAGAGTGAGAGAGACATAAAGACTGTCTGATATTTACTAAATTTTTAAATTTATATTTACTAAATTATTAATAGTAATTTTACTGGTAGTGGTTTTATAGTAATTTTCCTTTTAAAATCTATTTTCTTTCTTTCATAGTGAGAAAATAAACTACTGAAGTTTCCTTTAAAAAAATCTGTATCTGGGGGCTTCCCACTTTGGTGTTAGAGCTCACTGGGCCCAGGGATTCTTATCCAGGGGCAGGGGATCTATGGGGTACCCAGGTGGGCTCAATGGATGGACACTGTGACCCTCCTGAAATGACACCTGTGATGTTTAGTGCAAGTGTCTTCAGGGGAGACTGTTCACAGCACTATCAGATTCTCAAAGCTGCTCCCTCTTCTCCATTACAGGGAAGGGAGGCTGGGTGGTCTGTTCAGGGTAACACAGCAGGTGAATAGCAGAGCTGGGATGTGGCTCACTCCCACTCTGAGTGCTCAGCAGGGGCTGCTGGAAGCTGTTTAAAGGCAGCTCTTACTTGCTGAAACTCCCTGGAATGTCTCTGACCAAAAAGCCAGGGAACTAAACACCTCTGGTCCCTAGCCAGAGCTTGGGAATGCCAGACTGCCCCCAGGGGAGCTGCAGCCTCACAAGTGCCGGTGCAGGGCTGGGCAGCCCAGGGGTAGTTGGGGGAGGGAAGAGAGCACAGGGGCCAGACGATGGACATGCCATGGCCGACGGGATGCTCTGGGCTGCAACATTTATACATGGGTGATGGCAGAGAGCGATGGGCTCAGTAGTGACAGAATGAAATTACATGTTTTCTCCAAACTTAGGGCTGGCCAAGGACAACCCTCTTAATCTCTCAGTCTCTACAGCCCACATTCATAACAGGAAGATAATAAACCTCACTTGCCTCACTGCATTGACGTGGGGATAAAATGATGTAAGCTATCTTGTCAAACACTGAGCTGGAACTCGCTCTCCCTCTAGTTCTCCAGGGTAAAAAACATGGTGAGCATTTCAGATCATAAATCTATGTGCATTTGGAATAATAAGTGGTTCTGGTCAGTAAGAGGCTTACAAAACAGCAGTACTTCAATAAAGTCTACAGACTACGTTTATTCACATTATACACAATTTCCCCTCTCCCTGGTTTTATTTTTTCACTTTAGGTAGATGAACTAAAGCAGAAGGGCTGATATATTTTGGGGGAATTTTTTTACTTCCTTCTAGAGGAAGGTTTTCCGTGAAGTAGCGAGAATGAAGGACTTGGTGCAGAATGGGAGAGAGGGGGCTTCCATACTGGGAGATTTCCTGGCTTTGGATAAAGTGATAGCTGGCTTTTCTCCAGCCAAGCTTGGTGCCCCTAATGAGGAACAAACTGTCCCCCTAATGAGGCCCAGTTCCCTCTGGCTGTGGTGGAGGACAGCCGGGGGGCTCAGGAAGGGGAGAGGTGCAGGAAAGGGGGTCCTGGTGGGTGGAAATGCACAGGGGCAGACACTTCTTGAGGAACTTTATCCTCCTCTGAAGACTGCTCTGGGATAAAGCCCCCGAATGCACTGTCTGTTTTTTGAGATCTTCCAGAAGCCCCTGGATATCCAGTTTAAAAGAATGAAGGGCATGAGTTTTTGATAAACTTAGAGCTAAAGCTGATGTTTTAGAAGGAGATAACGTGTACGTGCAACCTCAGAGGTTCATTCATTTATTCATTCAGCAAACGTTTATTGAGGGTCTATTATTTCCCCATTGAGCAGAACCAGGAAATACAGGATTGATTGGCTAGTCAAGATGCTTGTGTTCTGCTGGCTGATGGGGCTTGGGCATTCGTATAAACAATTAACCACATGCAGTGGTCAACGTGTTACTCAACAGCTGTATATCCTGTACCTTTTGTGTCAGGTAGTGAACAAAATAGGCAGTCTTTATTCTTAAAGAGCTTACATTTTGGTGGAATAAGAATAATGACAATGATGGTAATAACATTGTTGTTAGCACAGCGGACATTCACTGAGCATTTACTGTGTGCCAAGCAGTGTTCTATGTACTAACATGCTTTCCTTACGCTAACTCATTTAATTCTCATTAACAATCTTGTGAATTCAATAATATTCTCTTTCTCATCTCACTAAAAATACCAAGGCAAGGAGAGATGGACAAACTTGCTGACAGCCACGTGGAGAAGCCAGAATTTAAACGTGGGCAGTTTGGTTCCATAGCTCCCAGCAGACCAGCGGGCTATTGTTCTCAGCAAGTAGCCAAGTGCTGAAGAGCCGAGTGTCTGGGAACTAGCACTTCACCGAGGAGGTGACACTCTGCAGAGCAGGGCCAAGGAGGTGTCAGCATTCCCGCACAAAAAGGCAAGCACAAGTCCCTGGGGTAGGGCAGGGGCAGTGGAGGTCCACATGCTGGGAGCACAGCATGAGTGCGGGTGGAAAGGAGGTGGGGTCCCCACTGTGGGAGGACACACAAGCCAGGCTGAGGAGTGTGGCTTCTATCCTGAGCCCAGGGGAACCCTTAGTGGCTTTAACCCAGTGACACTGGGGCATCGTGATCAGATTTGCTTCTTGGAAAGCAAATGCTGTTGACACTGGAGAGTATGGACTGGAGGAGGGAAAGATTCAGAATAGAAGACCCAGGTGGAGGACAGCTGCAATTCTGCCCAATTCTTCTGGGCAGTGTCATTTCCCGAGGTCACTCTTGAAACGCCTGCATTTTTACGGCTGTGTCCAATGCTAACTTACTTAACAACAGCTAACCACCGTGCTCAGTGCTATCTATGCATTCTCTCATTTAATTCAGTGAGCCTCGGTAAAACAGCCTTGTAGGAACTGTTACCCCCTTTTGCAGGTAAGGAAAACTGAGACTCAGTGAAGATATGTAACTCACTCAAGACCTCCACATACCACCCACAGACATATTTATTTTTATATGTTCACAATGTTAATGTTACAAAACTGGGATTTGAATCCATGTGGTCTAATTTTAGAACCTTGACCCCCAACATGCACACTTAACCATTACACTATAACTTCAGATTTATAACAATTTAGTTAAGAAATATCTATACTTTAAAGACTAAGCAGATGCAACAGAAGTTGAGACCATGTTTGCAGTTGCTCCTTCCACTCTGACAGAAGCAGTTCACTTACATGGCCCAGTGTGGATGTGCACATAGCATGGGTGAACATGGACTTCAGAGGAAAGTCAGAGAGGGAGGGGGACCATGGCAGAGGCTGTCTTCCCTTTAGATTCTTGGCTTGGAGTCTTAATCAACTACCTTGTGAAGGGGGATTAACAGCTAATGTGAGAAAGGCTCTAGTTACCTGTTGAATGTATATCAATATTAGAATAGAAGTAGATGCACATCTGCATTATTTAGTAAATAGTATTTGCTTCATTCACAAAATAGTTCGGTTATGCTAAATCAGTCCTTTTCCATCTTTACCACGTTCCAAGATGAAGACACTCAGGTGCTAAGGAACAGGCTTTGCCAGTGGCTGGGAGGCATGTAGAATGCAGCAGGGCTCACATGGCATAGCCTGACCCCCATAGAGCCTGGCTCCGCTCTGCACTGTTTTGCTCTGGGGCAGACTGCCTCGACTCCTTGGCCTCTGGCCTCCATGCTGCCCTCCTGTGCCCCTGATTCACTGTCTGTTGGCATACTCCGTGCTAACTGCCACCTGCTTCCAAGATCTCCTTCCCGGATTGCACCCCAGGAGGGTCGGGACTGCTGCTCACAGCCTAACTCGGGACTGGTGTGTGAGCTTGGCCTCTGTCCTCCCTCTTCACCAGGGGAAAGGGTGGCCAGGACAGGTGAGACCATAGGGCCACATAGATACCACTCTGGAACTAAGTGGGACCATCTGGGCCAGAGGTCCCCCTCGCGGAGTTGTGCCTGCCCAGGCCTCATCTCAGATGAGAGCTGGCAGGGTGCAAGGTAGCTTCTGAGAATGGGTGCTCCCTGACTCACAAGTTCAGACTCATTCTCCATGATCCTTCTGAGAGTCCACATTGGGCAGGGGGAATCTGGAGTGGGGACCTGCATGGACCTGACTTTATGACGCAGATGACAGCGGAAGCTGACCTGTCCAGCCCAGCAGACTCTCAGTGTTTGCTGCCCTTGGCAGTGCCACCTGCCCTTACCAGGTAGCCCCTGCATGTAGTTCACCACAAACCTTTGAAAAAGATTCCAGAGGGGGAGAAACAGCAAACAGCCACACGTGGAGTCTTACCAATGTTATTTTCTCAATAGCCTAAGTATCAACCCAAGTCCAATTCTTATTTTATTAAAAAAAATGGAAATAAAGTTTAAAAAATCAATCAACATGGCCTTTAATTTTAACAATTTTAACAGCAAGTGGTGGGGGGAGTTCTCAGATGAGCAACTGGAGCTGGAAGCACTTCTGTGGTCAAGCAGGCAGCCCATGGGGTTGCATCTTCCTGTTGGGGGATCATCCATTTTCTTCAATGAATAGTTTTAAGTCTTGTCAAATGCTCACACAGAGGCCCGCTATTAAGGAGGCAGACAGGCAACATTCAATACGAAGGCAGGACAAGCTCAGCCCCGCTCCTTCATTCGGGCATGTGTCATTAGGGATGACATTCTCTGAAGGCTGCCCGGCTTGAATGGCCAAATCCCTGCATCATGGCTTTCTTTAATTCCCTCTGCTCCCAACTCACAAAATGAGGACCTCTCTTTTAAGACGAGAAGGCACTGTTCTCAAAGGTATACATTTGGAACTTCAATAATGAAAGCATCTCTTGCTTGGCAGGTGGAATATAGGCAATTTTGGATTTTTAATGCATGGCATGGGGCGGGAGTGAAATATCTTGCCAGGGCTTGTTTGCCCTATAATGGGAGAGAACCAGGCCTCTGGATGATACGGTATCAAACACTGCTGCTCCTTTCTGTTTTCTTTTGTGGGAAAGGGAGGAGGATAGAATGGAGAGGAATTAGTGGGAGCCTGGGGGAAGTTCAAAATAAAGAAACTGTGAAATCCTCCACCTCAAAGTTGGGTCTGCACCAGGATTCTGCCTGATGCCCACCGCATGGAGTGATTATGTAGCCAATAAAGTGCCTCCAGTAAGGTCTTGAAAACTGTTGGTTAAGGAGGGAACGTTTCCTGTCCCTCCTGATGTTTCTTTCCATGTTGGGGCACTCAGTGTGCGTAACTCCAGGCCTGTCTCTGCCCTCCACTCATTCAGTAAATAAGGAAAGTGTAAACCGAGCATGTTTGGCTCCTCTCTCCCCGTTTTCAGGAGTGTGCTGTCCGGAGGGAGCAGGCGGTATTCTCTGCTATTCCATGCAAGCAGCTGTTGTGGGGCCTGATGCAATTTTGTGGAGGCTCTTTAAGAAAGAGAACATAAAAATACAAATGCAAAATTATAAGGGCTACTCCCCTGGCCTTAGAAGGGCCTAGCAGGGACCCATGCAAGTGAGGGTCCCTAAAGTTTAAGCGAATCAGCCCCCCGTAACTCTGCCTCTGGCTGTGCATCTTCCCTGGACAGGCCCCCTGCCTGCCATCAGACTGGTAAATCTATTTAACTCTGGGCTTCCGTTTCCAGCCTGTTTGCTGCCACACTCAGCCAAAATCTCCAACTCACAGTAATAAAGGCAATGCTGAGGTTTTCATGTATCATTTTTTGGCCTCATTTTTCAGTTTATTCACAATCAAGGCAGGAAAGAGGCATGCTTTATTGCCCCCACGACAGTGACCCCAATATCTCTATTTTAACTAACCCCAGGATAGGTCCGAGTAACTACAACAATTATATTTCTACAACAACAGTATGGTCAATTTCTGAAGGAAGAGGTTATCAGAAGCCTCTCTGGTGGCTGGTGGGTTTGCTGTAGTTCTACAGTCTTTGCTAGGTTGTGCAGATTCTGAGTAGCAACACTGAATCACTGAGGCCACTGAAGATACTTGGATGCTTTCACACGGTTAGACTATCTTGTAAGCATTTAACATGAAAGAATGAATTAGTAGGTTGATTCTGCCACAATGAAGAGATATTAGCTTTCTCTGCCAGAAATAGGACAGGAAAATTGCTGAGGATCCATTAGAGCTTCTTGAGAGCTGGCAAAGGTCTTTCTCTGGATTCTCCCCTCCACGGGGCACCTGGGGATGCAGCTGATGATGTGAGGCTCCCCAGAGGCCCGCCATCCACTCTCTCTCCCCCTTTCTCTGGTACAGAGTGAGGGTGCCTATGAAGCACTTTGGAGTGCCTTCAAGGGAAAGAGACCTTTAGCGGGGGCAGCTCTGTTCCACTAACCTGGTGACTTCAGTAGCAATCTGCTTGTTCTAATTACAAAGACTCAATCCTGGTGAGAGAGAAACAGCAGAGATCAAGGAACTATGTCCACTTCACTCTGCTCCAAGGAGAGACCCTGAGGGCAGAGGGAGAGGCACATCAGCCACTGGGCAGAGGGAGGCTGGAGGCCTCTGCACACCTGCCGCTGTCCCTCTGTGAGCACCAGGAAGGGATTCACAGGACTGGCGCCTTGGAGGCATCACATTCCAGGGCTCTGAGTGGAATTTAGAACCATCCCAAGCAGCTGGTCTGAGCTGTTTCCTGCCCAGACAAAACTGGCAAAGCATGGGCAATTTTTATTTTGAAAGATGAAATTTAAGCCATTTTATTACTGCTGAGCAGTTCTAGATGGGCAAGCCTAGAGATCTAAATTCTCTCTCTCCCAGAGTTTATATATTCTGTTATTTCTGGTAGGCACCTTAGGGATGATCTAACTCATCCGCCCACTCTGCCCTGCATGTTTTTGAAATTCTATTCCTCTGGCATCTGTGACTCTCCCAATCTCCCTCTTATCTCTGACCGTTCCTTTCCACTTTCCTCATGGGCTTCTTCTTGTACCTGACCTTTAAAGGTCAGCATGCCCTAGGAGGTCATCTTTTTCCTCCTCTTTAAAAATTGTGGAGATATATACACCATTTTGTTATTTTTAAATGTACAATTCAGTGGCATTAAGTACATTTATGATATTGTGCGACTGATGGATCCATTCTTGTCCATGGCCAGTTTTCTTTCTAAAACTCTCGATGGGTTGTCTCATTTCCTCCCATAGTTTAAACTCTCATCTAGATATGGATGAGTTAAGTCTTCATCTCTAGCCTAGATCTCTCCCCATTCTTCAGGGTTGTATTCAGGACCATTCAATTGTCCAGTAGGTCCTATTGATATGTCAAACTCAACCGTTCACACTGAACTCACTGTTTTCCTTTTCAAAGCTGCGTGATTTTCTCCTCTCATTTGATGGCACTACTTATCAGCCCAAGTTGAAAACTTGGAAGTCAACCTCAGGTGCCTTTTCCTCCCTCTCTTCCTTCCCCAATATGACACGTGCCATCAGTATATCCTGATCCTCTGATCTAAATACTTCTCAAATCTGCCCCTGTCTACTTCATCTCTAATACCATTGAACAGACTTAGGATCTCATTCTTTCTTTCCTGGATTATTGCAATGATCTCTTTATTGGTTTCTCCACCACCAGTATTACTGCCAGGAATTCCATCTTCTACACTGCAGTTGGAGCCACTTATGGCTCTAAACCCTAAAATGATATTCTGATAGATTTGCCTGCCCATGAACTTTTTAATAGCTCTTCATTGCCCACAGAGTTCTTAACATTTGAGAATTTTATGGAAGTGATACATCCCTTTCCTAATGAAAGTATACATTCACATTTATGCACAGGCTCACACGTTTTTTATTACCATTTCAGGGGGTCCATGAAATCCCTGGAATCTATTCGTGGACTGCTAGGTACAAGGCTTTGAGTCTTTAGCCCATACAAGCCCTCTCTTATCTCTCCAGCACCTCCCCCTCCCTCCTCACACTTTGTGCTTTGACAGAACTAAATGGCATTAGCTCCCCATACATACCTCGCTCTTCTGTCACGGTCTTCTTCTCCCTGAGACACTCTTTCTAACTATCATTGCGTGGCTAGCTGTTTTTCATCTTTCAAGTCTTTGCTCAGGTACCACCTGATTTATTCATACCTAACATATTTATTGAACACCTACCATGTGCTAGGCCCTCTCCAAGTACTGGAGAACAAGAGCATAAAATGGACACGGTTTTGCCAATCATGGCCCTTGTCATTGAGTGGGAAACAGAGACCAGTAAATACCACCACTGAACTCTGCATTTGTGCTCTTATTTTATCATAATCATAGCTCTGTCTTATCTACTTTATTTTATAGAAATTATATTATTATGTTCTTGTCTCTGCCACTGAATTAGAAGCCCCTAGAAGACACATATCTGCTTTACTCATATTTGTACCTGTGAGACATAGTACAGTGTTTCAAACACAAATTGCCACTAAATGCCCTTCAAGTGTTTAATAGAATGAGGGGAATAAGGATTTAGCAGGCTGATGCCGCCTATAGTTAGTGGGTAGCAGGAATGGCGTTGGAGCCTACGTTTCCTGTGGCTGCTCAATTCCCCTCCATGGTCTCATTCCTGTTAATGGCTGCATCAACCTCATGGCAAAGAGCTTGGGCTTTGGAGGCAGGAAAAGATGATCCAAATCCTAAACTTCTACTTACTAATATGTGGGCTTTGAGTAAGTTGCACAACCTCTTTAAGCCTTCCTTTTCTTTTTATGATGTCAAGTTATTTATACTGTTAGTAGTTAATTTAAAGACATACACTAAAACTACTCCAAGAATGGGACAAATATGTGGACTTGTAAAATTATTTTTAAGACTGACGACATGGGGGACTTCACTGGTTCTCATAACCCAGCATCTATTTGGGGGTATCAGTGGGGCCTGGAGGCAGTGAGAGAAAACAAACTTCATGGGGCAGATGCTGCTGGGACCAGGCAAAAAGCCTTCATGCCCTAAGGTCCTCACTGTCATACACCAGCCCATTGCAAAGTATCACTCATTCATGACAGATGGATGATGACATGAAAGTCAATGTACACAGTTAACCCATTTTGACACATTCATTCTTCAGCATTTTTTCAATACAGTTAATCTTAAATTATATTAAGACATAAAACAGACCTGCTTTTGCACATCCATTACTGGTATGTCTCCCAGGGTCAGGCAGAAGGAAACAGAATGACTGTCACACAATTGCTAATTGTCGAGACCCGAGACAGACTCACTCACGAGTGCTCCTGCACACCAGGTACTGCTTGTTGACTTGCGCACACTGGACTCAAAGACTTTTGAAAACTGCTCTTGCCCCTGAAACCTAAAACTCCACTGCCTGTCCTTCAGAATCATTGTAAATCTTTCCAATGATGGACAGGTGAATGTAAGACTTCTTTTTCTTTATGTATGTGAAATTGAGATAATTCCTGCTTCCCAGATTGGTTCTGTGATGACATGAGACAAGGCATGCAGAGATCCTGGCACATGGCCAGCCTTCAAAAAATGGCACTTCCCTTTCCATCCTCCCTTTCCTTCTACGTCCAAGCCAAGTTCCTGGTGATGTGCCCATGCTTGGCCAAAGTAAATGAAGTTGATTTCTTGAACAACCCTGTACAAACTCTGACTAGAGCTATGGTGTTAGTGGGTGGTCCCAGATTACACATTTGAGAAATTCAGGCCCTTAAGATTGCCATCCATGTGTCAAGAAAAGGGAAACCCAAGTGGAGTTTCCAATGGTAAATTTAATATCCTTGATCAAAGCTGATCAACCATAAATGAGGGTAACATAATGAAACACTGTGATTCATTCTGGCCACCTGAGAGGTAATTTGGGCTAGAGATGGCAATTAAATTGATAAGACACTGAAGATAGTAGATTCCTTAACCCAAAGTGGGGCAGTATAGAAAAAGTATTAGGTACCTAAACCTTTGTGGAACTCTTTCTAAAAAGCATGGCTATAAAGCAATGAGGCTGTTCATGTAGTGAACATAACTGAATTCCCACATCCAAATGAATCTAATTATCTCCAAACTAGTGGCTTTGGAGATTGGAGACTACCTCCAGTGATACAGCCATTGCCCAAAGCAATTCTGAAACACCTCCCTTGGGACTCTTTCTAAAGTCAGTTTATAGGCCCCCAAAAGAAAATCTTATAATCTCTTAGTCATGCTTTGCTTTTCATGAAAGCATTCATGAAAGTTCTGAGCTTGATAATCCATCATTCACCAGAACTGGTTCCTACAGCTTTTGGGGTTTTAGAAATCAAATGATGATGATATTCCCCTAATCCCCTACTGAGGATGTTCAAATATTGTGGCTTTAAAGTTATGACCATTTCAAAGCAAGAGTGCAGAATATATTTGGAATAGTGACAGCGTTGTTGGAGAAAGCATATGGTTTTCCAAAGCAAATCCGTTGAAGGAGCAGAAATCATATGGATGTATAAATCCTAGTTTGCTATAAATCTTATTACTTTATGCCTTATATGAATAATACCAGAAGGACTGAGATAAGCCATCATTAATATGCAGTTAAGGGGAAGATTGATGACATACTCCCACAAACTCAAGCTTTGAGGCTCTTATCACAGAAGGTGATAAGTACTCTTGTGGTACTCTTGTCACCCTGACCCAGTCATGACATTTCATGTTACTTACGATGGTGAAGGTGATTAAAGTAAATTTTGGATTCATTCAGCACTTCCCTTTCTCTCCATAAAATGCATGGAGCTTGTTAATCAAAACCAGTTTTCAGAGAATAATCCAGACAAGATGTAGCTTGTTAGTACTTGGAGTACTTTAGTTCTTGGAAGTGGGGTGTTGAAATAGGATTACAGAGAAGGTACTTAGTAGTGCTCAAATATTATGACACTGGAAGAGAAAGGCTGGTGTCTCATTTTCATTTTTTGTTTTACTAAATATAGTGATTCGTTTACTTACCGTTAATGTAGCCATTTATTTAATGTATATGCTCAATTGGTCTGATTGATCATCCCTCATGTATTAGTTGGCATCACCGTTACCTATTATTGGTAAGTAAACACCACCTACAATATACCATGGGCTGTTGCTTTAGATTACGAACTTGGAAAGGTGAATTTGGGTGGTGCCTCAAAAAGATAGATGCTCTACCCGAGCATCTATCATCTATGATCAACCATGAATCTATCATCCATGATCAACCAGAGGTAACCATGATGATCAATTCCTTAAAGCAATGTCATTAAACTGTGTAATAGGGTGTCAATAAACCAAGAACTTATTTCCCATTGAGTTTCTAATGCATGCTCAACAGTAGGAGGCATAGAAAGATAGACATCAACTTCTAACCCTGAAAGAGGTTGTCAGAGTCCAATTACAAAGTCAGGACTGATTCTCAGGGCTTGCCTGGAGAGCCGTACTGGTGAAATGCAGTTAAACTCTCAAAGGTGCTGCAATGTGCAGTGCCTGAGCTCAGAGCAGAGGGAGTTAGGAGGCTTGCAGAGGCCACTGAGTCATCCTGGGGCAGGTCCAGAAAGCACTGGGCTAGGCCTTAAGGCCACAGTGAAATTGGATAGGTGAAAGAAGAGAGGGCATTCCAGAAGGAAAATGAAATGTGATCAAAGGCACAGAGTAGAAATGGACATAATTTTATTTAGAGTGAGGATGTATGAAATACAAAATTGCCATTCAACATTTTTATCTGTTAGGGATCAGTACATTCACAAATTTTAAGGCCAGTAGGTAGGAGCTAACTGGGGCTGCCAGGTCAAGCTCCATCATAAGGAGCATTTTGTAGATATTTACTTTGGCTGAGTTTGCACCTTTTATATACAATCTCAAGAATCTTGAGCTTTATAGATACCTATAAAGTATTCTAAGTCCATAAATTTGGGCAATGCAGGTAAAATAAAATTGCTCTTTCATATTTCCTCAGCCTGCAAATGAAACAGTTTTCCTGATGCTGGGTTGTGTTGAAAAGAAACTCAGTAATATTTCAGTTGTCACTTATTCAAGTGCTTTTTATTTTTTTAAAAAATGAAACAAAACATGAAGCCCACTGCTTTGGGCACTGACTAAACTAACGTCTGTTCCAGTAGCCACAGTAATGGCAAAGGAATGTTAGTTATGTATCGTTTGTGGCTGACTCTTCTTTCGAGGAGAAATAAATTAACTCCCTGCCTTTCGCATTTCCTTGGTGCCTTAATGTATAGGTGAGAAGATGGCTGCTTTGCAAAAGGGAAGGTGTTTATATACCCTCATGGGACCTTGTCATTCTGTAGGGAACAGAGGGAGGAGTTTGACTGCCTTCTGGGAATGCAAACAATATAAATCCTGTCAGTCCCAAATACTATCCTGATTAGAAAATACACGTAATGACTCTGGGGTGACTTGTAATTTAGTGCAGTATGACTGTAAGCTGCCAACTAGGACAATATGATCCTGGTGGGTCATCTCCCATTCTCAGATAACTTAGCTCACTGATTTTGCCAATGTTGGACTATTTAAAGAGTTGACAATTATTTTAGCATTGGTAGAAAGGAGATCCTCTCAGATTTTCTCTGCTTTTTGGTCCTTTTCCCCAAACTATTAAATCTCTCCTCTTCCTCCTCCTCCCATTTCTCTTTCCCACTGACAACTCCTTCCCCCCTCTACCAATTTTTTTTTCTTTTTTCTTTCTTTTTTTTTTTTTCTTTTTTTTTTGAGATGGAGTCTTGCTGTTGTCGCCTCGGCTGGAGTGCAATGGTGCAATCTTGGCTCATTGCAATCTCCGCCTCCCGGGTTCTAGCAATTCTCCTGCCTCAGCCTCTTGAGTAGCTGAGATTACAGGTGTCCGCTACCACACCTGGCTAATTTTTGTATTTTTAGTAGATTTGGGGTTTCACCATGTTTGCCAGGCTGATCTCGAACTCCTGACCCCAGGTGATCCACATGCCTTGGCCTCCCAAAGTGCTGGGATTATAGGCGGAGCCACCGCGCCCACTGTTTTTTTTTTTTTTTTTTTGAGACAGGGTCTTGCTCTCTTGCACAGCATAGGGTGGTGCAATCATGACCTACTGCAGACTTGGATTCCTGGATTCAAGTGATCCTCCCACCACAGCCTCCTGAGTAGCTGAGACTACATGCACACAAGCCACCATGCCTGGCTAATTTTTCTATTTTTTGTAGAGATAGGGTCTCTACAAAAGACCCTGTTGTAGAGCCTGTTGCCCAGGCTCCCAATGACTTTTCAGATCCTTTTTCAATTTTGCACTTCTTCCTATAATTGTGCTTCTCTCAAATGGATTCACTGAACCAGGGTGCTCAACCCAAAAGACTATCTGGAATAGCCTCAATAACCCAGGAGGTGGCATAAATGGACACATTGGTCATTCACTAAAGCTTGGGTTCTTAGGCCATATGCCTTCTCTCAAGTTCTTAGAGACTAGGAATCCTTATTTCATATGCAATTTATGTAAGCTTGGTTTTCTGATATTCAGGTACCCAGAAGCTTAGACTGTCAAATTAGAAGTGCAGAGGGGAGTATCTAGATTAGAAAACACAGGTATGATATCAAGAAGCGAGAGACCAGAAAAAGTAGAACCATAAACTTAAAAAAAACACAACATAGTGATCAAAGACTGCTGTAGGGACAAACAGCTTTGCAAATTGAGAGTTTCATAGTAATCCGCCAAATTTTAGTTGGTGATAAAAATGGGGGAGAATAAAATGTACACATTTTACAATATTTTATAGCAACCATTTTGTGTACAAAGGCTTTCTAGGAAGGAAAGGGGTAGGTGGGGGATGAACTCAGTTTGCGTGTGCTTTCTTGGTTCTCTTGATCAATGATTTCTCTCCAGTACTACCCAGAACCCATGACAGCATTGACTTCAGCTTATCTTCCCATCCAGATTGACAAGCAAGTACACAGTTCTTTCTATACATGTCTATTTCTCTTTTCACCTCTTCTATGCCCAACTAATAGTTTTCTTTGTTACCTCTCCATTTATCTTGTTTTCTATTCTGTTCTTTCTTGGTCTTGGCCTTCTCTTTTTTGAAAGGGTTTACTCTGTCATTCTTCTCTAATCTCCTGTGTTCTATGCTTGGCTAATTGTCTTAAACTTTTATTCTTTTCTAACATAAACCCTCAAGATGACAAATTTCCCTGTAAGGACCACTTAGCTGCATTCCAAGTTTTGGTTTTGGCATCTTCATAATTGGTCAGTTCTAAGTATTTTCTAATTTACATTATGATATTACTTTGACTCACAAATGCTTTGGGTGTGTGTTTGAAATTTCAAAACATGAGATTTTCAAAATTGATTGGTAACTTGATTGGCTATTGATTTCAATTGTTTTTTATTTGGCACCAGAATATGATCTATATGTCATTTTTATAAATTTGTTGAGTCTTGGCTTACAGTACATGACTGCTTTTTTTAAAGTGTGAAAGTGTACTTAAAAAAGAATAGATATTCTCTGTTGGATGCAGATTTCCTATATACAGTAAGCCATTCCCCAAAGGGGAAAGGCTAGAGTTCTTATTTTCCACTGTGAATGGGGGTGGGCAGTGGAAAATAAGTGACTGATCAGTTTCATTCAGGATATATTTCATTATCTTTACTTTTGGTACAGTACAGACTGACAGAGAATATTTCATTGCATTTCAGATGTATCTGTGGTAGGATGTCTCACTATTTTATGAGCTATTAGGGAAAACACTGCCCATTATATCATGATATATTATTATGATCTGAAACATATCAATTTTAGAGATGTTAAAATGTGGAAAGAAAAGTGTGTCTTAGATTTGATGAAGTATGATATTTTTGTCATTAGTCTTATAGTTGCATAAGTCTTCATTGTACGCAACCAAAAAACTTTGGACCCTATTTTGAATGTTACGCTGAGGCTTTATCATGTGTCCACTAGATTATATTTAATTAAATTCTTCATTTATATTTTATTAATTCTTTTGGCTGCTTGATCTATTAATTACTGAGAGAATTGTATAGAAACCTCCTGTGATGGTGGATTTATCAATTTCTCTTTGCAATTCTATCAATTTTTGCTTTATATATGCTGAGGATATGTCATTAAGTGCAGATCAGAATTATTATAACTTCCAGGTTAACTGTTCCTTTTAACATTATGTAATGGTCCTCTTTAGACCGATAATTTTTTGCCAATAAGTTTGTTATCAAATATTAATATAGCTATACTAACTTTCTTTTGGTATTTGCCTGATAAAACTTTTCACATGCTTTTATTTTCAATCTTTCTGTGTCCTTATGTTTTATTGAATATATGTTTTATTGTAAATCACACATAGCTGGATATTTTAAAAACACAATCTGTCAATCTGAGTTTTTAAACTGCTGAGTTTGGTCCATTATATTTATTTTGCTTGTGGATTATTTTGATTTAACTTCTAGTTCTACCATCTTACTATTGGCTTATCTCAGTGTTTTCTAAAGTATAGATTCAGAAAAATATTTTTTTTCTCAATTTACTCTCAAAACAAGGAAATGTCAAACTTAGGGAAAACATTCTTTAAAATACTTAGATATAAACATATTGAAAGTCAATTGCTCAAACATCCAAGAAAAACAAATCAGCACAAATCATCCAAAACATCTTTTAAAAGATATTTTTATACATATAAGGGTTACAAGGGTTGTCAAAATAGAGATGTTGGCAAACTACTTTTATTTCAGTTCATAAACAATATTTGAGATCTGAGTTCCGCACTCTGATATTCCTGTGGTCTTTTACCGTCTCTAATGATTGTATGTAAAACCACAAGCCATCCTGTTAAAATAATAATAATAGTAATCATAATAATAAAAATACTGGGACATTGTAAAAAAAATACCTTGAGTTATGTATGGCTCTATGGAGACTGGCTAATAAATAGAGGAGACTGATTTGGGACTAATGTGTTGTTTGTAAATTACAGGGTGTGTTTTGAGATTACTTGAAAACAGATTATTCTCAGGAGTTTGAAGTACTCTGGTCTGAAATATGATCCCACTTGTATTAGGTGGAGGTTGGCCAATCTGAACTGCACTAAGAGAAGTTGTCTCCAGTATCACCAACAGAGCTCTCTTAGATTCATTTTCAAGATGTAAGAACCAAACTTATTTGTGATACTGTATAGGACTGGTAGTATTTAGTTTACTCCTTTCCTAACATACTTTTAGGTCTACAGTCACAGCCTCTCAGCAGCATAAGGAGTCTGAAAGCTTTTCTATTCCAATCCCCACTCTGAGGCATGAATGGTGATTACATTATTCTGCCAAGTTGTCCTGCTGCCTGTGCTTGACTGCAACTATAATAGCGAGCTCATTCCCACCCAATGCAGCTAATTAAAAAGGCCTTTTTAAAAACGAAGCCAGAAACTGTTCCTTTGAGCCTATTCTACCCCTTGGATCTATACAACAAATAATCTGTAGAATTAGGGCTCTAAAGGTATAGCTGCATGTGTTTCAGCGCAGCCCTTTGAATATTGTCTCTATGCTAAGTATGCCCCAGGCTAAAGAGCCCCAATTCTATATTCTACATAACATACCGTATTTGGTAGTATTTCTCATACACTCAGTTTCTCTATGTTCTCCCTTGGAGTGTCCTTGGTACTGAACACAATATTCGAACGGAGATTTTAACTTCACCAAGTTGAGAGGTCCCATCACCTCCTTAGTTTCAGATACTATACTTCTGCTAATTCAACCAGAAGTCAGAGGCTTTGGAAACCATCTCACTGCACAAATTCATATAGAGACCACAACATCAGTACAAGAAAACTAAGATTGGGCATCTACTGTGTGCCAGGCCCCATGTCAGCTCTTCTAAGTACATTATTTCAGTCTAAAGTCATACACCCTGTAAGCAGCAGAACCATGATTTTAGCCACATTGATCTGATCCCAAAGCCCACTTTTCCTCTCAAGTCTTTCCTCTGTGTTTTGCTAAGCCACATATTTCAAAGGACCTATCACCTATAATTACAGCAATAACAAAGTGCGTCAGTGGCTATGCTTTTTCAAGGGCTGAGTATGAGGCTCTGATTCACTTGTAGCCCCAATGCTGTGGATTGGTCACTCTTGGTACTAAGTTCCTTTAGCTCAAATAATGGAAAAGTAAACTAGAGCCTACTCCTTTTCCAGATGACCAAATTCACAAATCAGTGGCATCCAAATTAATGCCATTTTGTTACTAATATACTTAAAGCATACACATGCTAAATTAAGCCTCCTAAAATAATGCATTGTGCTTCCCTCAAATGGCTTCCCGTTGCCCAAACTCCATATTCTGTCATTCAAACCCTCTTCAAGGTGAGTCTCCAATCTCCCTTCCAGTTCAGTTTTGCCTCATTCTTCCAGGTTATGTGACACTGAATGAGTAAGAAGCGGTGGGTGTGGGAAAGTTGGACAGGAAGTGGAATAATATTGTTGGGGCGAAGGAACCTACAGGGGAAAGTCAGTTAGTGAGTCCTGATTCTGTTCTCTGCAACTGGTTGTTTGGAAGGGTCTTCTTTTCTTCAGAGGTTGTTTCCTGGTATTGAGAAACAGTTTGGGGAGATCCTTGTTGGGGAAAATACACTCATGGGATAGAGTTTTGGGACTGAGCTAATCATGAGCTGCCTACTTGTTATACCTGAATTTCTGGAATAATCTGTCCAGCTTCGCTTTGCAGAAGGGGTGAAAATCCTTCTTAGGTAACTGGGAAGTAACTCACCAGGCCCATGAAGTGGACACTCCTCAGAGCGTGCCATGTTTGTGTCCATTGACTTATCTAAAGGTTCACGAGTCTTTGGAACAGGTGGGGAATTTTAGGGTACCTGTGTGATATTTGCTTTTATACCCCAAATTGTATAATATTTACCTCTTTAAGTAATATATCCTGCCTTGGCAACTGTATTGTAAGCCTCTGGAGGGCAAGGACTGGCTATTCTTCGAGTCCCTAACACTTTGCCCAGAGTATAGATTTAAAACACGTTGGTCCTGATTGTTATGATATCATTGGCTCCATTTGCTACCAGCAACCTCCTCCCCATCCTTCTTTCCTTAGTAAAGAGGCCCACATGCATAAAGCACTGGAATGAATTGTCTGTCCCAAAGACAGCTACCCACTTGATTGATGGACTGTTTGCTGACCTTGGAAAAGAAATAGAAGACAAAAATGTCTCTGATTTCTACTTTCTCTGAAGAGTACGCAATAATTTTTTATTATGTTGGAAGGTGAGATTGCCACTCAGCACAGGCTACTGAATTCACTCCCTACCGGGCTGGTGAAATTCAAGAGATTTTGGCAAGGGCAGCCATGCCAGCTGTCTGTTTACCTAAAGAGTCATAATGACTACAAAACCAGGCTGGATTTGTATTCTCTCATCGCTTTAAAGCAACTGGTAATGGAAATGAACTGACTTAGAAAACAGACACCTGGAAATTTCCTCCAAAGACTGTGCGGGGGATGGTCACTGCCCTCCTCTGCTGTCTTTTACCTGCAGTCACTGTGGCCTCTATCTCTGGGCTCCAGCACATCCTCTTCTGAGCCAGTACTCACTAAAGCAGACTGTGCATCCTCAGCCCCAGCTGGCAGCATCCAGATTAGCTGAACTGCTGTAATCTATGTTTCTGGTATTCCAGGGTGAGCTCAGGCCATGCCAATGTTCCCTGGGTCACAGCTTTTCTGGAGTGATCTTGAGTCTATCAGTCTCTATGGTTCTGCTTGGCTTCCAACCTTGTGCTGCAGATCCTCACAGACTAGAGGCCTGCCCAGAATCTTGATCCAGTTAGTGGGCTATTTCTACACCCTTCTACCAAGTCTGCACCCCAGGCAGGGGTCTGCTCCTACTGGAGCTGGTGCTTTTATGATGATATCTTTGACTATTGCCCTTCCTGGGAACGCTGGTTATAGTTTCTTACCTGGCAGATTTTTTCCCCTGTTAAATTATGCTCAAGCTCCTTGGATATGAAGATAGAATTGCTGGCCATCCTTTTCTGAAGTCTACCTCCCAACCAACTCAGAGCCCCCTGTTCTGATTCTACCTCCTTCTGGCTCCTTTTCTTTCCTGCCAGTAGGTGCCATCATGGTACCAGTATGACCCTTGATTGGGTTCATTCATTTATTCACTCAACCATCATTATTTGCTGAGTAATGAGTATGTGCAGACATTGTGCCAGGTGCTGGGTTGTGACGGTGAACAAGATGGTCTGTTTTGCCTCAAGAAACATAGGGGCGATACTATGCCTGAGAGACAACCGCTCTTTCCAATGTCTGCGTTTGCTTTATGACAACTCTCTAGTTGTTTCCAAAGCTATAAACTACCTCTATATGGCAGCCGGAGGCCCGCCTTCCTGTGAAACATTGGTAGTCATGAAGTGTTGAAAATAACCCGGATGTTAAGAGGGTCTTTCTTCCTGAAATAATGAACAAGTCTGTGGCTCTCCAGGCCTTTGCATGAGAGGAGGAAGTGAAGGCACGACTTGGAATATGGAAAAGAGGAATTTGGAGACAAAATTTTGGAGTCTTTGTCTGGCAACATATAAGTGAGAAGGTCCCTAGGCTTGTCATCTTGAGCTAAAATTATTTTTTTAGGCAAATTCCTATCTTTATATCAGAAAGAGGGGCCCCAAAGAAAGTACATATAGAATAGAACAAAAGAACATTTAAGAATCCCAAGATTCTGAATGCATGATAGATTTTTTTTTGTGGCAACAGAAATTTTGCATGTGGTAATAATGTATCAACTTTATTTGCTTTAATTCATGTGTTTAATTTGTCTAAATATTTCCCTATGTTACTATTTACTTGATTCATTTATTGAGGAAAACTCTTCAAAAGTAGCAAAGAGTCAGCCTGCCACCCAGTCTTGTTTGACTTATCACCACATCTGATTTACTGGTGTTTTTCTTCCTAGTTATCTTGTGGGCAACATCTTCAAAGATTTTTTCCAGCCTGCTCCTAAAATACAGTCTTATCGTAGAGACTCAAAAGGAGCATGCTTCTTAATCAGGGGGAGATAGCCTGTTTATAAGCCACGGGACATGTACAGTGAATCTAATGGGGCAGGGCATTAGACTTTTACTTGGCAAGGAAAGTTAGGTCAATAACCTAATACACAGCTGTCATTTTTTGAACAGACTATTATGTACCTCAAGCCCCTTATATACTTAATCTTTACTATAAAAATGCGAGACAGGTTCTGAAACAGACTCCAGGTAAACCTGTCCAGGATCACCCTGGAAAGTCAAGGGGCTGGGATGTGAAATAAAGATTTTCGACTCAATATCCTGTATTCTTAATTCCTCCATTATCCTGCAGTTATAGAGCAGTTGTTTTCGCTTTGATGTTTCAGGTCTCAGTTTGTTGAATTTCAGGTTTCATTCAAATGGCATTTCTCTAAACAGTGATATGACATGGATCCGCTCAAAGTTATTGAACCTTGTTGCTACTGCAGTCAGGCTGTTTTTCATATAAATCAGGAGAAAAAAACAGGGGTCTTCATTTATTTAATGTTGAATTTGGAACCTTGTGTCTAACTTTAGGTCATTTTCTTTTCTTCAAAGATTGTGACTTTCCAACCCAGCAGCCAGTACAAAGCAAATCCTGATCAGGGTTAACAGGGATGAGCATCAACTGGGCCGCACTGCCACATCTTGGGTGTTCAAGATCAAGGGTGTAGAGCGTACATCCTACAAAGATAGTTGCCAACTTGAGAAATGTCCCCAAATTGAAAGGCCCCAGAAATGGATGCAAAACAAGAAGGAAAAACAACAACAAAGTCATGGTCTGGGAGAGCCCATGAACAAACTATGCTCAGAGATATATCCATCCCTGGTTCGGGTTGGTGTCTCTTTAGGGCATGGCCTCGTCCCACTTCTTCACCTGTAATTACTACGTTTCAAATCACTCAGGTGTTATCTCTCCATGAAGCTCTCCTGACTCTTCTTGCCTTCACTTATCCTTCCCTGCTCTGAAATCCTATGGCATTTACACCTGACTCATACAATCTTGTTCTTTATTATACATTTATACACTCTTTTTTTTTTTTTGAGATGGAGTCTTGCTCTGTTACCAGGCTGGAGTGCAGTGGTGCAATCTCGGCTCACTGTAACCTCTGCCTCCCAGGTTCAAGCGATTCTCCTGCCTCAGCCTCCTGAGTAGCTGGGATTACAGGTGCACGCCACCACACCAGCTAATTTTTGTATTTTTAGTAGAGACAGGGTTTCACCATGTTGGCCAGGATGGTCTCGATCTCTTGACCTTGTGAACTGCCCGCCTCAATCTCTGAAAGTGCTGGGATTACAGGCGTGAGACACCACGCCCGGCCTATTATACACTCTTTTATATGCTTGTTGGACTCTTTCTCCAACTGGATTTTAGGCTCCTTAAGGACAGTGACTAGGAGACACAGTAGGAGTTCAAGACATACTTGATTGATTTCTTGATTTTTGGACACTTTGGGTGGGAAATAATAGAATTTTTAAGTACCTAAAAGAAAACAATCTTCATGAAAAGTTCTTTATGTTTCTAAAATTTGCTTGCTTTGTTCAAAAGGACAAATCTCTTTTCAATACTTTACTGAAAGCAGCACTATATTAGTAATTTTCTCAACTTCTGGCTGGAGTTTGGTGAAGAAAAGTGAGGCAGTTAAGACTACAGAGATGGGTGTATTTAAATATCTGGTGAGAGAGGACTCTGGATGTTTGACCATTTTCTATAGTCATGGAGCTCACCAAAGTTTACCATTTGTATAGGAATGTTTTAGCTCTTGGACGGAAAAATCTCTTTCCTGTAAAACTCCATGGAATTTCTGCTTCTGGCTCAGGCAACAGTTATTCATTTGCAGACCTTGAAAACTTGTGACACAGGTGTCCAAATGGGCACCAAATAAAGTGAGAAAAGAAAAGTCTCAACTACATATTTTAAAAATATTTTTGGTTCCAGGTGATGAACTGGGCAGGCTGTGACTGGCATTGACAATATCCGTTTACTCAGACCCAGGGGATCACTTTTGATTGAAAAACCTTGTCCTCCAAACCAGCTTCCCAAGAAACAAACGAAAGTCCAAGACCTTACTTCATATTTTGGATACCCACACGTTCCACCTGCATCTCTATTTTGCCCAATGATAGTTTCAGCCTTTAATTTGAGTTGCTGTGTAGGACCTGGTTGGGGACTGGAGTTTTATGTTTGAATATGAGGCCCCTTTTCTGGATGAATTTGGCCATCTCTTCTTCCCCCTTTCAATCACCTGGGCTTGGTCTAGTGATAAACATGTACCCCCGGATACATGTTGTCTCAGAGGAGCCCCTTGGTTATAATGAGACTCTGAATTAAAGAGCCAGCTCTCTAGGAAGAATCTCAAATTAGTTAAAACTTTTTTCATTAAGCTTCCACTATAAAACAGCTAATAATTACTGAGCACTTACTACCTGCTAGGTCTTCTGCCAAATACTTTACAAATATTATTTCATTTAATCTTCACAATACTGATATAAATTTTTTATTATCTTAGTTTTATCGATTGGGAAATTAAAGCACAAAAGGGCTAAACAAATTTTTTTTTTTTTTCCAGAGATGGAGTCTCGCTCTGTCACTCAGGTTGGAGTGCAGTGGCATGATCTCAGCTCACTGCAACCTCCGCCTCCCATGTTCAGGCTGATTCTCCTGCCTCAGCCTCCAAAGTAGCTGGGACTACAGGCATGTGCCACCATGCCAGGCTAATTTTTGTATTTTAGTAGAGGCAGAGTTTTGTCATGTTGGGCAGGCTGGTCTTAAACTGGCCCTCAAGTGATCCACCCGCCTATGTCTCCTAAAGTGTTGGGATAACAGACATGAGCCATGGCACCTGGCTAGGGGCTAAACAACTTATTAAGGTCACATAACCAGTACACAGCAAAACTGATTCCCTGATTGTTCCCCCTCCTCCCTAAGTCTTCTTCTCCCTCTGTCTTCTTCCTGTCTGGCAGCTGATGGCAACTCCATCCTTTCAGTTTCTTAGGCCAAAACCCTTGGGACATTCTTGATTCTTCTCTCTCTCTAAACCCTATATTCAATGCTTTGGAAAATTCATTAGCTCTGCTTTCAAAATAAATCCAACTCTGACAACTTCTCTCCACCTCCATTGCCCTCCCCTGATTCAACCCATCATCACCTTTTGCCTGAAATATTGCCATAACCCTCCTAACAAGTCACACTGCTTCCATCTTTGTCTCTGTCTGCCTTCAGCCAAGTAATCTTCTAAATATAAGTCAGACCATGTTTTCCTCTGCTCAAAAGCCAAAGTCCTTCCACAACCCTGCACATCCTATCCCCAGGCACCTCACTGCCTGCTGCTATCCTGAGAGGGAATAAGGACAGCAGCAGGCGTGGAGATGCCTGGGGATGGCACCTCCCTGCCTGCTCTTCTGTGAACACCAAGGATCGCTGGCCACAGGGTCTTAGCATGAGGGCTCTTGGTTTGGGATATCCCACCCTTCCCCACACTCCCATAGCCTCATGGTTAACTTCCTCACTATCCAGGTTGCTACTCAAATACCACCTTTTCAATGTATCCATTACTCTATTTACAATTGGAACCTACTCGCTTAGGTAGTAGGAAATCCTCTCACTCTCCTCTAATTATCCTATAGCATCTATTACCTTTTGCCATAGCATGTAGTTTGTTTACTATGTTTATAACTCATTGTCTTCCCTTCCCCCATCACACAGGTATTTTTATCTGTTGCATTCTCTGATATAACCCAGGCACCCAGAGTGGTACCTAGCACATGGTGATCAATAAATATGTGTTGAATACATGATTGAAAGAACTTGGATCACAAATCTTAGAGTGGTTATAATTTTGTTGTAAACGAATACAGCATTCTCACATGAAAATGGAATAATGCAGAATATATTATGAGGTGGTCTTGATCAAGGGTCAAGTGAAGAGAAGATTTAGTGGCATGTGCTCAGATGAGGGAGATGTAAGATGTAACTGGAGGCTGCCGTGGGTTGGGAAGGTGTAGTGGGACTCAATGGGAATTCTTCTAATTTTGCAATGCATTGGCAAGGACACCTTTTCTTCTTAATTAGAGGCCCATGATTTAAAGTTGTAGCCCTGTATTTGCCATACCACAAGTTTAGTCCTGAGATGTCTTCCCTTCCCACTTCCTCTGCTCTGTGGTCTCAAGGGCAGTGGCTGTTTCTTGGTGGTATGGTCAGACATAATGAGAAATACAGATCCAACTGTTGGATCACTCAAAAGCTGGCAGGAATCTGAAATGGAGTTATTTGATTTAGAGTATTTTAATCATTTCCTGCAGGTTGGCAGGTCCCAGAAGGGTCAATTTTCAACAGGATCAGGCAGGATACACTTGAAGAAATTTCAACACTTCTGCATACAGTTTTTAAAATTTGGTGGTGTCCTACTGAGGCCTACAGACTGAGGGTTGACCAGATGTCTGAGACATGGACATTTCTCAGTGGTAACACTTCTCTGACACAATCCTAGTTTCTTGCTTTGGTCAAGTAAAACTTTCCCATCATCTGTACCTTTACAATGGGTTACCCTGCTTTCAAGAAAATTGGTTTGCTCCTAACACAAGATGAAAATTGGTGTTGGGGGCATTAGGAGGGAGACTGTTGTCCATCATGAGGACTGGCTTCCTGTTCTTTTATGATAACCCATTTCTATATTATCTACATTCAGTGCATGCCTGCTCTTTCTTATCCAACTGTGATGGTATTAAGGACACAACTCCAGTTACTGAGAGGTTCTAACAACACAGCTTCCAAAGGCCAACGAGGAAGTGACTATAGTATAATAACTTCCTAAGCTGACCATCAGGCCAAACATTAGTTTCTAGAATGAGCTAATGGAGAAATGTATTCAGTTAAAGAAACTGAATACGCCGACAAAGGTTATTTTGGAAATGCTCATGTTAGGGGCTGATGTCTTTTTTTAATTTTTTTTTTTGAGACAGGGTCTTACTGTCACCCAGGCCGGAGTGCAGTGGTGCAATCTCAGCTCACTGCAACCTCCACCTCTCGGGCTCAAGCCATCCTCCCATCTCAGCCTCCTGAGTAGCTAGGACTACAGGTGTGCGACATCATGCCCAGCTAATTTTTGTTTTTTTTGTAGAGATAGGGTTTCACCATGTTGCCCAGGCTGGTCTTGAACTCCTGGGCTCAAGTGATCCATGCACCTCAGCCTCCCAAAGTGCTGGGATTACAGGCCTGTGCCACTGTGCCCAGACAAGGTTGAGGTCTTGACACAAGCTAACTAAGCCCTGACTGCCCCCTGACAGGCTGAGCTCTGAGACATTGACAGTGGGCAGGACCAACTCCAGAGGCTGACGGGTTCTCAGTCACAGCTGCACATGACAACCTCCTGGGGATGCCGTGGAACCACCAAAGCTAGGGCTCATGCCAGAGGCTTAGGTTCAGTCAGTCTCGAATGCGGTCAGGGCACCAATCTTTTTAAAAAGCTCTCCAGGTGATTTTATATATAGCCAGGAATGAAAACTACTTGATGCGAAGGCTCCAGAGAAGGGCTATCTGAGGAGCTGGGAGAGAGAATGCAGTCCCCGCTCTTGCCTCACAATCCCTATTGTAAGGGCTCCTTCCCCACTCTCTCTCCTGCTTCATCAGTTTTCCATTTTCTCCTGGATTATTTCCACAATAATAAGCAAGTTGCAAATTCTCCCATCCTAAATAAAATGACCTCCCCAAACTCCACATTTTCCTTCAGCTCATACCCATTTTCCTGCATCCCTTTAGAGATGAACTCCCTAAGACGTTCTTTCTGTATATGCTGTCCAATTCCCTTCCGTCCATTCTCTCCTAAACCCACTCTATCTGGGACTCCACCCTCATTACTGCACAGACATAGCCCATCTTACCGTCTGGTCAGGCCAGTGACTTTAGATCTCCCCTTCAGCAGAAATGGGGAAGCTGGAGAACTTAACACAGACATGCCTGATACACTCTGGGGTACAGCACACCCCAATCCAGCCTGGGGCTGGTGGAGCAGTGCTGGGATCAAAGCTCAGCAAGCAGAACGAAGAACCAAAAAACTTTCCAGGGTACCTTTGGAGAAGATTACTGCTTAAGAAACGTTGATAGTGACAATGATAATGAGATCTTTAGTAAAGGGAAAGGTTATGACTTACACAGTGTGTGGTGGTGATGATGACAGAACTGGAGATAAAAGAGAGGCCATCGTTCATGCTGACCTGGAGTGCAGCTTTCCTGCAATGACAACAAGGGAAGCAGACTCTCAGCAGGGCGTGCAATGAGCAACAGGCTGAGAGCCAGACACACAGGACTCCTTTGGGCTCTGCTCTTAAATACCCTTGAGACTGGAGTCTCTTCTCCAGGGGAGGAGGGGTCTGAGTTTCCTCTTTTGTAAAATGTCGGGGGTAGTCTGTATAGCCCATCCTCCTTTAAAGTTTAGAGAAGTGTCAGGATATGCTTGGCTGGTATATTAAGGCAGTGCATTCAGACGTTCCGGCATTGCAGTGAGTGGCATTGAATGGGCAAAGCTTACTTTCATTTAACTTGCTTGTCACATTGTAGTTGGACAAAGTATTCTTCAAAAATAGTCCAAGTCAATGGGGGTAGACTGGGCTAACTATAAATGCAATATTCTGCTGTTATCTGGACTCTCAGTGATTTGATGGGGGTGGCTTTGTTACCATTCAACAGACTCACAGAAGTAAAGCAGAAGATGCATTTGTCTTCCATCTCTTCCCACTCTAAGACACTCGCTGGAAACTGACCTCTTGTTTTGTTGCATTTCGCAGCATGGACACTGAGCTAATTTGTGAAATCAGTGGCATCACAGATTGATGCTGGGCAACCAGAGTTGGAGGTTTCACAATATGAACACACGATTGAAGGCAAAATTCAGATGAACAAGTTCAACTTTTTTCCCTTAAAGCCTCCATTCTTTGTCTAGCCTATTATAGACACGGTTTTGGAGAGGTTATTTTTGTTGTTATTGTTCTCTGCACCAGCATTGCCTCATTTCCCATGTATTTCTTTTCTTGCTCAGGGTGCCCATTCTCTTTCTTCTGTTGATGGTTTTGATCTCATCTCACTAGTGCTTATTATAATTGCATCACCATGAGATTTTCCCCTATAAATTAGTTCAGGGAATTTTTTCCGGTCTGGGTGAACATCCGATGCTGCGCAGAGTCAAGGAAGGAGCACCGTGTGGGACATCAGAAGGCGTGAGTCTGGGGTCTTGGCTCGCCATGAACCAGCCATGGCCCTACTTGGCCTTTCTGAGCCTCCCTTTCTCTAAGGAGGAGATAACAATTATCTAGCGGGGCAATGGTGATGACAGAGCGAGGTCAAGTGTGTGAGAACTTTCTAGAAGTGTAGGTGTGATTAAGCCAGACAGACCTTGGATTGAGCCCAGCTCTTCCACTCACTGCTGTGTGACCTTAGGCAAGCTATTTAAAGTCTTGCAGCCACAGTCTCTATGTCTGTAAAACTGGGATAGTGGGAATACCTAGTTAATGGGGAACCTGGGAGAATGAAGTGAGATACTTTGTAAAACACTTATCCTGGCGTCTGGGTCACTGTAAACACTGGCTCCGTCATAAGCTGGAGGAACCTAGAGAAAGGCTCCACTTTCTCTAGATGCTTTCTTTTCCCCTGTCCCCGTACACCTCCTCTCTCTCTTCCCTGGCTGGGAGGTTCAGTTGCTGGTGAAAACTTACATGCCAACTTCTTTTAAGATAGGCGCTGGACACAGTAAATAAGTATCTTCCACAGAAAAGGGCTTCTCATCTGCAAAAAGGAAATCACTGGATTAAGAAGAGGGAGGTGAGTTTATAATTTCAAATTCAATGACTTCTAGAGAACATCAACCAAGTCCAGGGAGATACCAAAAAAACAAAAATCTTTTTGAGCTTAAAAACTTAAGCTGTACAGCAAACTATCGCAAGGACAGAAAACCAAACACCGCATGTTCTCACTCACAGGTGGGAACTGAACAATGAGAACACCTGGACACAGGAAGGGGAACATCACACACCGGGGACTGTTGTGGGGTGGGAGGAGGGGGGAGGGATAGCATTAGGAGATATACCTAATGTAAATGACGAGTTAATGGGTGCAGCACACCAATATGGCACATGTATACATATGTAACAAACCTGCACGTTGTGCACATGTACCCTAGAACTTAACGTATAATAATAATAAAAAAACAAAAACAAAAACAAAACTCTTGAGCTGTAAAACCCATTAGCAGTGAACTCAAGTGCTCCTGCCTGAATCATAGCTTCCTGTGGTATGTGCAGTTGAGTCAACTGGTGAGAAAATAGTGAGTGAACTCCTAGATAGAGCAGGAATCACTGAGGGGAAACAAGAAAATATTAGACTGGTCCTAAGGAGTTCCACGTCTAAGGGTAGTTGGAGAGATAAGCCATATTTGTGGAAAAAGTTTGCTGACAAATGACTTCACCAAAGTATCATTGGGCTTCATAAGACAGGAAGCTTCCTGTACATGGCTGTCATAGTCAGGTCTTCGGAAAGCACAAAACATGAGCTATGCTTTTGTGCAGAGATGGGGAAGAGACATTCTTGGTTGGAGGAATGGCATGAGCAAAGACAGGGCATACTAAAGGCATGTTCCAAGGTAGGATATAAGAAGAATTTGAAAAGATCAGTATAGAAAGTTTGGTCAAGTTCTTTGAGTTAGCCTGAGGGATTTGCACAAAGTTCTGTAAGTTATAGAAAGAACTTTGGTGGGTTTTTGAGTAAAACTGAAGTGATGATTTTGGAGGTCATAGCAGATGTAGCTGTAGAAGGTGAATCAGAGTCGGGGACTCTTGGAGTAGGGAAGTTCTTGTGCTTCTTCTAATGGATGACCAGGAAAAAGCTTAAAGTGGCTTCAATTCAAGCTCACTAAGAACTTCATTGTATCCCAGTTTCTGGGGCCAGAGACAGGGTTGAGAAGTTATTATACTAAGTATATAATAGTCATCCCTTCAAGCCTCAGCTTTGATTGGGTACATGTGCTGTACAAAAAGGCTGTGGTAGGGCCTACAGGTGAAATGAAGATGAATAAGATCTATGTCATTAATCAGGCTGTGACTACAAGTTCCTATAACTAGAAGATACAAAGGAATACATATATTATTAAAGGATAATATTCTGCTTTTGTTGTGACACTGATGTCGCTTATGATATCTGCAAGTCATGACTGCAGAATATAGCTGACATTAAACTCTTGCCTGAGTGAAGGTTAGGAAGCTGCCTGGGATGGGAGATAGAGGACACATCTGAGTGCTAAGCACAACGTCCCCATTGGCAAGAGGAGGAAGAAGATGTACAGGAAAATCTTCAAGTGGTGAAAAGTTAGGGAGGTTATTCCAGGTCATTTGTTTATTCATTCATTCAACAAATATTTATTGAAGACCTACTATATACTAGAGATGCAGGCTTTGAGAAGAGAAACACAGTCTCTGCTTTCATGGATTTTATAGGAGGCAGGAGAGACAGTTATTTAACATAATTAAAAAATAAATTCTTTGAGTGTGTACCATGTGCCAAGCAATGTGCTAAGGCTTGCAATGAACGAAACAGATAAAGTACCTTGTCCAAGGAGCCAACATGCTAGTAATTACACAAATTGTTATGTAATTATAATTGTGATGAGCACACAAAAGGAGGAGGGGGCTGGCCCTCATCTGGGAGGTCAGGAAATGCTTCCCCAAGGAAAGGCTATTTAAGCTGAAACCTGAGGTTGGGTGATGGGATGGAGTGGGAGAGGGGGAGGCACTGCAAAGATCCCGGGGCAAGAAGGACCCCAGATCTTTTGAGAGCTAAAAGAGGGCCAGTGAGGCTGTTGAATCTAAGTGAGACAGACAATGGCTCCAAATGAGGCTAGAAAAGGCAGCAGGGCCAGATGACCACGGCCACATAGGCCATGATGAAGCTTTTGAAATTTTTTCTAAGCGCAACAGGGAACTACTGGAGGTTATCCTCATATTTGGAATCAGCTGTTGGCAGATGATGGAATGTTGCAGGAATGGTGACGCTGTATTGAGTAAAATTATAAAGCTTATGATGACAGTGTAGGATCATGTAGTACCTAAATTGAGCATTATTATTATTATTATTATCTTTTTTTTCTGAGAGTCTCACTCTGTCACCCAGGCTGGAGTGCAGTGGCACAATCTTGGCTCACTGCAACCTCTGCCTCCCGGGTTCAAGTGATTGTCCTGCCTTAGCCTCCCAAGTAGCTGGGATTATAGGCACCTGCCACCAGGCCCACCTAATTTCTATATATTTTTTTAGTACAGATGGGGTTTCACCATATTGGCCAGGCTGGTCTCAAACTCCTGACCTTGTGCTCCGCCTGCCTCGGCCTCCCAAAGTGCTGGGATTACAGGCGTGAGCCACCGCACCCGGCCCAAGCATTATTATTTTCAAGATGTCCTTCCATCGGTGATGATAATACAGGCAGTCCTCAACTTAACAATGGTTCGACTTAAACAATACTGTGACTTTATAAAGGTGCTTTCAGTTGTGTATATTAATGGTGAGTACCCATACAACTATTCTGTTTTTCACTTTCAGTATAATATTAAATAAATTACATGAGCTATTCGACATTTTATTATAAAATAGGCTTTGCGTTAGATGATTTTGCCCAACCATAGGGTAATGTCAGTGTTTCGAACATGTTTAAGGTAGGCGAGGCTAAGCGATGATGTTTGGGAAGTTAGGTGTATTAAATGCATTTTTGAGTTATGGTATTTTCAACTTACGATGGATTTATCAGGACATAACCCCATCTTAAGTCAAGGAGCATCTACAATGACAGCCAGACTTGCCAGCGCATGTTGCATGCAGGCAATCTCTAAGCACTTCCTGTATGTCACTTAGTCAAATTTAAACTTCTAGCAGAGCTATCAGGATGGTGTATTATTCCTTTCATTTTAAAGGTGAGGAACAGACATAGAGAGATTAAGTAGCTTGTCCAAGGTTACACACGGGAGCTTGGATCTGCACCCAGGCAGCCTGGCTGCAGAGTCTGCATGATTATCTAATAGGCTATAAGCACCAGCCTTGATAGAAGCTGTGCTTCGTTTCCTTGTAATGACAACCTCGTGAGTTAAGGCAGGGCAGGGATCATTAGGCTCATATTTCAGATGCAAAATGGAGGCTGAGCGGGATGACAGTGAGCTAAGGTTGCACCGCAAGCCAGAGGCAAAGCCAAGACTAGAAATGAACTCTGCATTACTCTTTTCTCACTAAGAGATTCTCCATTCCAGGAAAGGCTTGTATTAGAGAATAAACTGAACTGGGGACAGGCGTGGCTGACTCGAACCTATATTTATTTCCTCGTGGCCATGGCTTATCCTGTTGCACATGCACCAGCAGTACCTGGGAGTACAGATTCCTGTCCACATAGCCAGCCCACAGAGCCACGGGGCAGCCACAGAGCAGCCACAGGAGGCCATGTGACTCTGGCTGCCTTCTGTGGGGAGAGCTGGGTCACGCCGAGGAGAGCATCCGAGGCAGCGCACTGCAGCGCCACAGCCAGGGAGACTCCAGGCTGGCATGCCCTGCTCCTGGGTTAGCGCCTGGCCTCACTTCCGGCTGCCTCTGGACAACTCCTCTCTCCTTCCTCCATCCCAACTGGAAAGGAGTGAGAGGATGAGTGTGGCCCAGGCCAGGCAGACATTTCTCACTTTCCCCCTCCTTTCCTTTTCCTTTTCTGCTTGGGAGACCAAATATTTCTGGAGCAAAACAGAGGAAAATCTCACTGGGAGGCCTGCAAAGGCTTCGCTGAGGCTGTGGAAGACCTTCCTCCATCCGAGTGTATCAGCCTCCCAGGCTGTGGGCCTGCTCTGTGGAGCTGGCATTTTCTGCTCCGAGAGGATTGTTTGGTTTGGAGCCTGTTTTCATTTTACCACAAAAATGAGTGACTTTTTTCTCTCTCTCTCTAAACAAAGGAGGGCCATTTGGTTTCCATAACTCAGGTCATCTGACTCCTTCCTGGAACTCCATTTGGGAGGCAGGGCACAAAGCCTTCCTTGCTGCACCTCGGCCGTGCCACGTTTGGCCCCAGGGCCGTGCCAGCCTCGCTGCAGCGTGTGCCAAAGCCAGTGGTGTCGTGACATATGTGGGGCCGCGATCCACTCCTAGGACAGCCGAGGCCCCTGCTGGTCCACCCTCTAGGTGGCCATTTCGCTGCTCACTAGCACCGGGTGGGCAGGGAAAATGAAGGCCAGGAGCTCGGACTGGCCCACTTGGCTTTTGTTTGCAACTGGGGAGAAAATTAGGGAGGGGTGGGAGTTTGAAATCAGACATTCAATGAAAATTTTATTTTTATGTTTAAATTTTTGTTATTTTCTTTTGAGACAGGGTCTCCCTCTGCTGCCCAGGCTGCCGTGCAGTGGTGCAATCACGGCTCACTGCAGCCTCAATCTTCTGTGCTTTAAGTGATCCCCCTACCTTGTCCCCCTCACCCACCCCACCCTAGTCACTGCATCACAGGAGTGCAGTGCCACACCTGGCTAATTAAATTTTTTTTTTTTTTTTGTAGAGACAAGGTCCCCTATGTTGCCCAGGCAGCTCTGGAACTCCTGGGCTCAAACTATCTGCCTGCTTCAGCCTCCCAAAATGCTGGGATTACAGGTGTGAGCCACTGGGCCTAGCCAAATGTAATTCTTAGATGATCTTGAAATATAAATTTCTTTTGTCCATTACCAAAGATATTTTAGAATTCTGTGTGTACCTATGACATAGGTTTACCCAAGGCATCTGTCTATAGGAGTCTGACAAGCTTGATAAGGATTTGGGGATTTATCAGGATTTGGGGGCCAATGAGTATCATTATCTCAGAGTGCTAAACGCCCCAGACTTGGGAGCTAGGCATCCCTCAAGCTGCATACCGAGGGGACAGAGAGGGGCAGAGGATATTTCAGATCACACCGACTCAAATCTGAGCCCTTTTCTTACTAGTGTGTGACTAGGGACACACATTCTCCATCTATAAACAGTGGTGATGACATTGTGTGGGGAGTCAATAATATCGCATTCAAGTACAAAGCATGATACTTAGCACTTGAGCATTCAGTAGATGTTATTCTTCTTTATTACATGGGCCTCCACACCTTTAAAATAGACTACATGGATGTATGGTTTAAAATCAGAGGGATTAAACATTAAAATGTTCAAAATGCCTGATTGCTTAATGATATCACTTTACCAAATTAACATCTTTGTAGACATCAGGAATTAATAGGGAAATGAAAAGCTTTAGTGAATTTGTGTGTGTGTATAGATACACACACATATACACATATGCATATCTATACACACAGGTGCATGCATGTTGATTTTTTCTAACATCATATACCCACGATCTCATTTGATGCTTCTACAACCCTCTGAGAGAGAGATTATTTACATTTTGAGAAACTGAGAGTCAGAAGGGTTAGTTAATTGAGTTAGTGCTGCACCACTTGTGAGTGTCAGAGCCGGAATTCAAACCCAAGTTTTGTTGAAATAGCTTGCCCAGTGTAAGCCCAGCTAGTCTTATAATGTAGCTGGAAGCACACCAGGAGCTGAGGCTCTTCATATTGACAGCTCTGGAGGCACATGGCCAAGATCTTCAATGGGCAAGGCTGGATACCAACAGGAGCTTGCCTTCCAGGAGAGGGGTCTAGGGATGAAGAGCTTGAAGAAAAGGTTCAGGTGTCTTTTGAGAGGCCCTGGTCATGCCAACTAGAATGAAGCCATGCTCTGGAACCATACACTCATAAGTGTATATTTACAGGTTTAGACCTTGGGACAATGTAATCCTTTTCAGACTGGCAAAGAAGAAAGTTCCCAGAATTCTTCCCTGCAGTTTGGTGGCTCATGGATCTGGGATAAAACCAGGGTTGAAATTCATTAGCCAATTCAAACACCAATCAGAGAAAATCCTTTTTATAAGGGTGGATTAAATAATCCAAATACTTTTCAAGTCTTGGCAATCTTTTCTTGTTATAAATATTTATTTCTGGCAAATAGGAAGAGAAAAATAATCCCTAGTCTTATGGAGGCAGCGGGAGGGTGTGTTAGAACCCTCCAAAGCTGATGTAAGCCCGAAGCAGAGCTTACATTCCCATAGTGACATTCACATTAGGTAGTGGGAAAAACAGTGGAGGTTAGGGACTGAAATGAGCTCGCCTTGCTGTTTCTCCTAGTGTCCCTTGGGTCTAGGGAGCATTTTCAGGGCATTCCAGAGCCAAATATAACTGTTCAGCACCAAATTATCAGCTGGTTTGGGAATGTGTCTCCAAATGATGGAACAACAGACAGGCCGGAGTTAGGCTGAATATTTCTACCTCCTCACTGCCTCCAAAAGTAACCAGCCTGAAAAAAGTTAGACTTGTAAAATACTGTGGAAAAATCTGTAATAAAATTATATTCAGCAGGACTCCAAGTTGGTGAAATTCAAAGAATCCGGGCTGAGCTTTCTGGAGCTCCAAAGAGAATGGAGATGACTGATTGCCCAACTGGGGCTGCCTCATTGATAATTCACAAATGTGTGTTAGGGGGGTCTTATTACAAAGCAAAATGGGAGCCATTGCTGAGAGTAGAAAGGAATGTACTATGTGTCAGGCCCTGGGCTAGAAGGTTTTCAGAGATGAGTGAGATAACAAGCTTTTGATAGAAGACATTAAACTCTAGAAAAAGAGATTTTGAAAGTGGAGAGAATGGCTTTTACTTGGACAGGCTGAACAGTGGTTGAGAAGTCAAGGAGAAATGAGAAGATTCAAAGCCGAATGGGAATGGATGGCAGTGAAATGTAGGTTGGTTGGGCCAAGTTGGGAAACATCCTCAGAATGAGTATACCCACTGTAATGTCCTCTTATCTTGGGCTAAAGCCAGAGGGATGCCTTTAAAGTGGCAGAACCAAGCTGGCCACCATCCTTTTCCTTAGACATGGCCCATACCCTCGCTCACAACTCACCTTTTCCCTGACCTGGTATTGTTACAGGGTTTCCTTGGAAGCCCTCCCTGGCTAGTTGCCATGAGATCAGGGGATGGGCTTGGCCAACACATTCCAGGTAAGTTTCCTGGGTCTGTAGCTATTTTACCAGTTCCTATATTCTATAGATACCCAGGACATGTCTTTTGATTTCCCATTCTGTTCTCTGAGGAAGGCTGGAGTAGAATGGAGAACACTAAGAGCCTGGACTCTGGAGACCCAACACAGCCTTGCCACTAACTGGCTATGTCACCATGGGCAAGGTTTTTCACTCTATTCATAACTCAAAATTGTCATCTATAATATGGGAGTAATACTTCATAGGCTTTTGTAAATTTTATTGAGAAGATATCATTTAATGCTTAGCACTTAATAAGCACTCAACATATAACTGTCATTACTAAGATGGGGCACTGTTGGGGTCATCGACTGAGGCACCTGCAAAACACAAGTTGTGGATGTGTGCACAAACTGAGTGAGTCTTGCAACCTGTCTGTTAGGTTGTATCAGGGCTTTACAATATTGGTGTGATAAGAAGCAAGTTACTTATCTAAATAGGATCTTTGGACATGAATATAGTGCAGTGTTCTCAAATGGGGGTTGATTTTGCCCCTCAAGGGGCAACTAGCAATGCCTGAGCAGTTTTGGTTACTGCAACTGGGGGAGGAATGCTATTGGCATCTAGTGGGTAGAGACCAGGGATGGTGCTGAACATCCTCCAATGCACAGGACAGGCCCCTCCCCACTCCCCAGCTATAAATTATCCAGCCCAAAATGTCAGTAGTGTTGAGGTTAGAAAACCTGGCGTAATGTCTACCATGGCTTTATATGCTTCTTTAGCCCAATGTAGAGGGGCCTACAGATATAACTCTGTAGTTCATGCCTGCAGGGTACTGGTGTAATGCCCAGAAAAGTTTAGAGGTGATGGGTAGAAAAGGGAGGAGGTAACAGCTAGAGAGGCATTGAAAGACCAGTCCTGGTTGGAGTAAGAGAATGTCTCTTGATAAAGCCCTCCTTGCAGGCTTGAATGGGTCCAGGTTTTCTTAGGGGTAGATGGAATTGCATCTGAGCCACTCTGCCTGGTGGAGCTTTATAATGTAAATGGGGCACTCCAGCAATGGGCCTTATATTGCCGCCAAGGCTCTGACATGACATGGATGGGGGTGCTGTAGAGTCAGAACACCTTACATACAAATACCAATACAGGACTCAGAGCTGTGGGCAGTCTTGGAAGGAAATGAAGTGGGTTATTATTGTTACTGTGTTCATGAGGATCAAGATTACATTATAGCCCCAGATGGAGAGGAAGTAAAAGGTGAGGGACCATGAGTCCATTCCCAGAGGAGTGCAGGCCCAGGGTCTAGCAGCCCTGCAGATATCTGGATTGTCTGTTGGGCTACACACCCCAAGTTCTGCACAAGGTTGTGACCTCACAGCTCTGGGCACACCAGCATTGAGAACTGTTTGTCAGCACAGCTGGTCTGCCTTCTCAGGATGTAAATTATTATCTACCCATATGTGTTGTTATTTGTATTAATCACAAAGTAATACATATTAGTATAAAAGCCTGGGGAATACAGAGAAGTATATAAAAAAGAAATTAAAATCCTTGATAATCTCAACTTCCAGTGGTAAAATTAATGTCTTGGGAAATACTATTTCAGAATTTTTCCATGCATATTACTTTTAACATAATTGAGATTACATATAATTCTGTGGCATTTGGCATTTATCTGAAGTTAATAGGGTAGTTTTAGGCAGTACAAGGAAATGAAATGAAGCTAATGGGGTTCAGCGTTCTTGCAAAGTATTTTCTCCTCTCAATAAATCCACACCCAAAACAATTCTTGACTGTTGACATTTATAGAACTTACAAATTATCTTCTAAGTAAAGCATCAGCTTTTTAAGATTTTGTAATCCTGAGGTCAGAATAACTGCAGCACTTAAAACAGCTATAACTTGCTAAGAATACAAATATTTGCAAAGCTTTGTTTTCACTTGGTAGAGGATAATTCAGGATTCATGCACAAGGTATGTGTCTCCTGACACACGAACCCTTGTGGCAGTATACAAATTTGGAATAATTTTACCTTTGGAATTGGAACTGAGTGGCAAGTCTACCAAAATGGCTAAAGCCTTCCACACACTCATGGCCACGGGTTATGGCAAATGCTGACTGCTCTTAAAGGACACAAATTTACAGAGAAACTCAGAGGAGAGGTGGGAAGGAGAACTTGGGCACACACTTGGGCCACTAAAGTGCTGTGGGATGCTTGCTGGCTGCCAGAGCTGAATGGCATGGGGGACAGAGCCACCAGGAGCACTTTCTTCCTTTCCCTCAGCAGTACCCAACTTCTCTCAATGGATGTTGAACAAATATTTAAAGAATGTCAGTTTGAAGGGACACAGACTATTAGCCTGCCTGGGGTTCCAGGAGTATGGCCTGTCTCTGAGTTAATCACCTTCTCTTCCATCATCCTACTGAAATGGCAGAGGAGCAGTATTGCATGGGGAAGGGCAGCATCCACCTGCTGGTCACCTTACATGAAAACTGAGCCATGGGGTGCAGAAATAGAGGGGGATGCCAACTTACCCCCGCAGGACAGCAGGACTAGGGGGAAGGTGGGTTTCAGAGAAGTTCACAAGCAAATCTCTCCCAGACATGCATAAAACAAATGCAGCACATGCCTGGAGTCCTCGTGGAGCTCACGATTTTCACGTGGAGTCAATTTCAAACTTGGTAGAGCAGGGGAAACATCAAGGATGACTGTCCACCAGGGACTGGTGCAGCTAACTTTGGACTGTGTCAACTCACCCCCAGAATAAACTCTTTTACTCCCAACTGAAAACCTTGCCACCTAGTTACCTCTGGTGGCGACTTCCCTTTTGTCCCCCAACCATTCTAGATTATGGCAGTAAATTTCAACGTATCTGTATTTTTCTAGAACTGAAAGATGGGAACATCCACTAACACAGTCTCTGCAGGAGCCACTTCAAAAATCAGTGGGCAAAGACCAGAGTTCTGTCTGAAAGAGGGCCAAAGGGGAAACACCACCAGATACACAAAATGCTCCTGAAGTTCAAGAAAAAGGGCCACTCGGGGAATGAGGAGAGGTGCCTTAACTGTGGTCACACAGCCAGCTGCAGACACTGACACCCTAATGCCTGGGGTTCTTCCTACCCTGGTCGGGGGCTTTTTCTCTTGATCTTAGGTTCAAGTCTTGACTTCTCTACTAATGTGTCCTGTGACCTTTGGCAAGGAGTTACATCTCTCTGATCTGCGATTATCTTTCTGCAAAATGAGGGGGATCTATTGAAATCAGCATCTCTGAATCAGGCACACATCTGTCACCTGGGCATTTGGAGTCAGTGGTCCCAGGGATCTTTGGGGATCTGTGTCTTGGAGGCAATGTAGGGAAGCAGTCTAAAGCCTTTGGAGTCCGACTGCCCAGGTTCAAGTCCTTTCCACCCCTGCCAACTGCGCGAACTTGGGCACTTCATCTCTCTGAGTTCATCAGCAAAATGGGGATTCAAATAACTCCTCCCTCTTTGGGCTGCGGTGATGATGAAATGAGATAATACAGGAGGGTGCTTGGCCCAGCACCTGGTGCAGAGTAGGTACTCAACAATCAGTAGCTGCTATCACTTGGCGGAAGCTCCCTGGTGATTCTGATGGGCATCCCCATGAAGAACATGAGACTGTACGCTCCTTTACGTCTCTTCATTCTGAGTTACACAAAATGGCATTTCATCACCTTCACATGATATAAAATCCCTAGGGATGTATCGAGATTGCGTTAAGTGCCTTTGACCAACATATGGCAAGACTCTAACCCATAACAAAGGAAACAATAGGCTTTTTTTTGGGAAGTTTATGTTCTCCTGCCCTCGATCCTCCCTCCCCATCTGCACTTTAATGATCTCCTTAGGGTGCCCACAGCAGCCCTGGAGCCCAGGTGTTTTCTAAGATGAAGTTTAGTTTCTGGAAAATTGGGCATGTTTTTGAAAACAACACCCTCTGGAACGTCTACGTTCGAATGAGTGTTGTCTCTCTTCCCCCTAGGAAGTTGAGCCCCCTCCTCAGAACTCCTAGAACTGCCTTCCTGACCGATGTTCAGTTTGGGGAAATATGTTCAAATGGGACAAAGCTTTATCCTTTGAGAGTGTGCAAAAGTAAACCAGAGCCATGCCTGGTGAATAGGATTGAAAATCAAGTTGAGAAATAAAATTTTGCATCAAAAAATAAAGTGTGCCTATAATATAATGAATCTGATTTCTCACATGGCCTATAAACTCAATTTTAGTGAGTTTGTTAAAAATCAGTTTCTTTTGTTTATAGTCATACCTCATGCATCTCCATGCAACACTAGGATAGTCTAGCATGTTTTTCATTATTGCATTAGTAAAACATCCATTTTTAATTTACAGTGCATAAAATGGATCACTTCTCAGCTCATACTCCAGTGTCTCCTTTTTAGCATTTGAATCTCTCTGAAAGTGGATCTCCAGTTGAAAGTGGATCTTTTCTTGGCACAGTACACTGAATACTAAAGGAGGAAAAAGTGCGGCCAGAGTAAATACAGTTTGTGTGAAGATTTCCAAGATATTTTCTTGGCCAGCAGAGTTCAGCCTGGTGACTGAGGAACTAACCAAATGTTAAACTTAAGATGTATTCTAGACCTCAATAGTTAGCAAGAATTTAAAAATTAAGTTTTAAATCAATTTTGTGGGTTCTTTTCTGATTACGTCAGGGACATATGATCCCAGAGAACTTAGAAAACACAGATAGATGGAAAGAAGAAAGCAAAAATTAATAGTGGTTTCATTCAGAGGTGATGGCTGTTAACATTTTGATGAGTATCTTTCCAGTCTCTGTCTGCATATAAATATGTGTGTTTAAAAAACAAAAATAGTGTCAGTGTATTGTTTTGTAACTTTTTTTTTGAGACGGAGTCTTGCTCTGTCGCCCGGGCTGGAATGCAGTGGCCCAATCTTGGCTCACTGCAAGCTCTGCCTCTCAGGTTCACGCCATTCTCCTGCCTCAGCCTCCCGAGTAGCTGGGACTACAGGTGCGCACCACCATGCCTGGCTGAATTTTTTTCTATTTTTAGTGGAGACGGGGTTTCACCGTGTTAGCCAGGATGGTCTCCATCTCCGGAGACCTTGTGATCCGCCCGCCTCCGCCTCCCAAAGTGCTGGGATTACAGGCGTGAGCCACCGCGCCCGGCCTGTTTTGTAACTTATTTATTTATTTATTTTTGCCATATTATTAACATTCCCCACTCCCCACATCAGTAATTATTCTTCTACAACATTGTTTAATTATTTAGGGGTGAAGTATAACTTATCTAACAGATTACCTATTGTCAGACATTTAGGTTGTTACCATTTAGATGTTTTTCTTTTCCCTCTCTCCCTCATTCCCTTTGTTCTTTCCATTTTTTCTTTTGCTATTATAAACAATACTGTGATGAATATCCTTGTGGCCAAGTCTTTGTAAACATTCCCAGTCACCTTCTTTTGATGAAGCTGAAATTGAAATTCTGGGTCAAAATGTATAAAAGCAGTTGACTCATTTAAAAAATTTCCTTCCTAACGATTTAATGGTCTCTCACTGATGATGAATGAAAACACCTGTTTTCCTACAGGTTTTCCAAGACTGCGTGTTGTAGTTTTGTTAATCTTTGTCAGTCTGACAAAGTAAAAATGGCAATTGATTATTTCAATTTGCATTTTCTTGGTTATATGAAACATTTTCTATATGCTTATTAATCATTATTTTCTTAAAAATTTCCTTTGCATATCTTTTACTCACTGATATATTCACCTTTTTTTAACCGATTTTAGGAATTGTCTTTATACTAAGTTTATTGACCCTATGTTTGTTATATATCCTATTTTTCCAGTTTTATTTCTTGTTTGTTTTATTGTAGTAGGGTTTAACAAGAGAATTTAAAAATATGCACTCAAACATTCAAATTTTTCTTTCATGGTATGCTCCTTCATGTTTAACACATCCTTCCCACCTGGAAGATTATATACATTTTTTTGTTTCCCTCTAGAATTTTTACAGCTTCATGTCCCATTAAAAGTTTTCCTTCATCTGGAATTTGTTTGGATGAAAGGTGTGAGATTAAAAATGAACTTAACTGTTTTTCCAAGTGGTTGGCCAGTTGTCTCAACATCATTTTTTGAATAACCCACTCTTTCCCTACAGATTTGAAAGGCTGCCTTATTTTATACTAAATTCACCTAAGTGTTTGGTTCTGTTTATGGGCTTTGTTCCAAAGCTCAGTTCGCCTACTGTGGTGTGATCATACATTGTTCCAATTACTGCAGCGTTTTTATAAATCTTAAAATCGGCCAGGGCGAGTTTCCACATTTTTCTTGGCTATTCTTGTGTGTTTATTCTTCCACATAAACTTCAGATTATTTTGTTAACTTAAAAAGTCCCCTTGGAATTTTCATTTGGATTGTAATAAAAGTAGATATTAAGATGAAGACAATTGATATCTTTACAATACTCAGTTACTGCTCCATTTAATAACAGTGACGATGATATGGTAGTACCAGCAGCCAACACTGACTGACTCTTAACTGTGCATCGGGCCCCATTTTAAGCCCTGCCTGCCACATTTAAACCTCATAACAACCCAAGACATAGTATGGCTATTATTGCCATACTCATTTTACAGAGAGAGAAACTGAGGCATGGAGATGTTAAATAAGACGTCACAGTCGCACAGCTAGATACGACAGAGCCAGAACTCTTTTTCCCTGGTGGTCTGGCTCCAGAGCTTGTAACTATGCCATAAGTCTATGGCTTTCTAACTCTTCACACTTGCTTTATATCCCTCAGAAAGTTTTGTGACTTTCATCATATATGTCTTTACAAATTTGATTAAATTAGTTCTTGTTACATTTTATTTGTCTGCCCGTCAGTGATAGACTGGATAAAGAAAATGTATATATACACCGTGGAATACTGTGCAGCTATAGAAAAGAACGAGATCATGTCCTTTGCAGGAACATGGTTGGAGCTAGGGGCCATTATCCTTAGCAAACTAATGCAGGAAGAGAAAACCAAATACTGCATGCTCTCACTTGTAAGTGGGAGCTAAATGATGAGAACACATGGACACAGAAGGGAATAACACACACTGGGGCCTACTAGAGGGTGGAGGGTGAGAGGAGAGAGAAGATCAGGAAAAATAACTAATGGGTACTAGGCTTAATACCTGGGTGATGAAACAACCTGTACAACAAATCCCCATGACACAAGTTTACTTATGTAAGAAACCTGCACTTGTCCCGCTGAACTTAAAATGAAAGTTAAATAAAAGAATTTATTTGTTGTTGCTATATTTTTCTTGTGATATTTTCTAATGGTCGTTGCTGAACACTGGCAAAGCTACTGATTGTTATAAGCAAGGTATTTATTTTGAAGTCATCCAACTTAATTACCCTCTCGGTAGCCTAGTAGTTCTGTTCACTCTCTAGTTTTCCAGGAAGACACAAGCATTATTTTAGAGCAATGACGTTTGGCTGCTTTTCCTGTATTTATATCTATTATCAGATTTCTGGTGTTATTATAATGTTCATGGCATTGTCTAATATGGTAGTCACTAGCCATTGTGGCTATTTACATTTAAGTTAATAAAAATTAAATGAAATTACTAATTCAGTTCCTCAATTGCACTAGCCACATTTCAAATGCCCAGCAGCCACATGTGGCTTGTGGCTACCATCTTAGAACACTTCCATCATTACAGAAAGTTCTATTGGACAGTGCTGCTAGAACTTTCAGATCAATATTAGATAATAGTGGTGAAATGGATTGTCCTGCTTTTTTTCTTCTGAACTTTAAAGTGAATTCCTCTACATAGTGATTTATTATTAGAATGATGTTGAGTTTTGAATTCAGATATGTAGATACATTTTTATGTTAAAGAAGTCTTATCCTATTCCTAGTTTACTAGAAATATATTTTTAAAATTAGGAACAGATAATGAATTTTAATATCTTCTTGGCATCAGTAACTTTTGCTATATGAGGAACAAATTCCCCCTCTGTCTTCAAAGTTGTCTTAGCTATCTTGGTCCTTTTTAAATACATTGCTGGATTTTGTTTGCCAATATTTGATTTAGATGTTTGTCATCAGCGAGCTTGATCTCAAATATTGTCTACTTTTAGTGCCTTTGTCCAGTTTTTTTTTTTAAACCAAGATTATGTTATTATCATAGAATGAATTTATATGCTTTTTCTTGGCTGGGTGTGGCGGCCCACACCTGTAATTCCAGCATTTTGGGAGGCTGAGGTGGGTAGATAGCTTGAGCCCAGGAGTTCGAGACCAGCCTGGGCAACATGGTGAAACCTTGTCTCTACAAAAAATACAAAAATTAGCCAGGTGTGGTGGCTCACATCTGTGGTCCTAGCTACTCAGGAAGCTAAGGTGGGAGGATCGCTTGAGCCTGGGAGGCAGAGGTTACAGTGAGCAGAGATTGTGCCACTGCACTCCAGTCTGGGTGACAGAGCCAGACCCTGTCTCAAAAAAAACCACACAAAACAAAACGTTTTCTTTATATCTTTCCTCTGGAACAGTACATATCTGATATGGGTCATTTGTCCCTTAAAACTTGATAAAACTTGGGTGAAAAAAATCTGGATGTGGTGCTTTCGTTCGGGGGGGGGATGAAATTTCCTCAAATTCCCTTCTCGTTCATATATTTCCTGTTCATCTGTGTCTAATCACACTGTTTAATCCATCCATGAAGTTTTATTTCAGTGAATAAACTTTTTCAAATCTAGAATTTATACTCAGTTCTTCTGCAAATCTGCTTTTGATGAGTATTCTTTCCCCTATGATCTGTTTCATGTCTTCACACATTTTAAACACATTTATTTTCCATTCTCTTTCAGATTGGCTCTCTGATCCTCTCTTCTTGTTTGTTCTGTTTGTTTCATTCATCTTGACATGGTTTGTCATTTTGTGCCATCAGCCCACCTTTAGGGGGTTGTTTGCTGCAGGCATGCTGTGGGGCTGGGCTATGTGGAAGACTCCCACAGGGTGAAGGTGCATGGCCTCTGTAGGGCCACAGAGATCAGGAAGATCACGGACACATTTTGGGGCTAGTTTCTTGACTTGGTGCTTCTGTATCACATGGGTGGTGTAACATCATTACACCTGTGGATTTTCATCCCCTGCCTGCTTCCTTGCCCAATTAAATGATTGGTGTATCCTGCTGGAGCCTGATTTCTGCAGGGGGCTCTGTTTTTGTGTGATGCCTTGGCACAGACCTGAGATCTGGTGTCCTGTATCTGCATCAGCATCGGGGTCACAGCCCGCAGCCTGGCCTGGAGCCCCTGTGACTTTGTTTCTTACTTAGGTTTTTATTCCCATTTTGTTTCCTATACTTGGAGATTCCCACTTCTTTCCTTTGAGTGAGGCCACACAATGTAATTTTAAAAATCATATTTCATCCAGATTTTTGGATCTATTTTGTTGACCACAAATCTAGAAACTGTCTTGGATTTCTAAGTGGTTGATTTTTTAAGCAAATGCAAGGAAATTGGGAGAGAAGCATGTATTAACCTATCTTCTGGTTATGCTTATCATCTAAGAATGTGTCTAAACAATTTCTACTTTTGGCATTAATATATTGGCATTTTATCCATGTCTTAGCATGATCAATTTGCAAAGTTGTTCACAGTCATTTAAAAAAGTATTATATGCCCTACCTATATCTTTAGAGCATAAAGATATATGCTCTATATCTCTAACTTTTAAATTAAGTTTTAAGACTTGAAAAATCATATTAATATCTCCCACTATCCATATCATTTTTAATTTGTTCTTTTGACAGATTTTGCTTCATATAGCTTGCTATTGCATTATTTGCTGAAGATCCTGAGGTCTGCCTCATGTTTGAAGTGGCTAGAGCCACACAGCCTTAGCTTCATTATTGGGCCTTCAATTAAGTCTTTCTCATTAATAATGGCACTTATGTTCTCTTTTTGTCACAAATTCCAATGCAGCACTTAGGAAAAAAAATCTTGAAAAAAGAAATATGTGATATAAAAATAAAAACAGATAACATTTTAAAACTTGGGGTATAGAGGTGGGGAAGGAAAATGGGAAAGGTAAAGGAATCTAAGTGTATTTTATTTTACAGGGAGGAATCAGTAGAAACTATGACATTTATAAAGTTGACAGAAAAATGTAGATCTAAACGTGCTGCATTTTAGAATTTGTTCATCTTTTCTACCTCCACAGGTTCTTGTTCATATTATTTTCTCCATGGAAATGAACAGGTGAATTACTAACTAAAGGCCAAGTGTTTTCCTCAAACGCTATTTTTCCCCTTAGAATATTTTTAATAGCTGTATGCTTGAGTTTTGGGGTGTTGCTTGCAGCATAGAATATGATCAAATCACTGCCTTCATCTTCTCCAAACTTAGTATTGTGCTAAAGGCACGGGTTTGTGATTTAAGCCAAATCCCTACCCCAACAACCTCCATTTCTTTTTGAATATGAATGAGGTGACAAGCCTGTGCATATGTTTGCAACTATATATTAGGAAAGGAAGAAAGGAGAGAGAGGGATGGACTGGTTTCCCAAGAAAGAAATAAAATTTCCCAAAGAAGTTGGAAAATAGGCCTTCGAGTACTCACTTGACAAATCCATAGTGAGTTTGCATTTCATCTTCTTCCTATTATTATTTGGATGGGGTCTCACTCTGTCACCCAGGCTGGAGTGCAGTGGCATGATCTCAGTTCACTGCAACCTCTGCCTCCTGGCCTCAAGTGATCCTTCAGCCTCAGGCTCCAGAGTAGCTGGGGACCACAGGTGTGCACCACCACGCCCAGTTAATTTTTTGTATTTTTGGTAGAGACAAGGTTTCACCATGTTGCCCAGGCTGGTCTCGAACTCCTGAGCTCAGGCCATACACCCACCTCAGCCTCCCAAAGTGCTGGGATTACAGGCGTGAGCCACCGTGCCTGGCCACATCTTATTTAATACAGCATCTTGTGTAACCTTTGAGCAACGGCACATAGGGTAGATTCTCTCTCTCCCCAGCCCACTTCCATGTATCTTCAGAGAGCTTGGGCCTGAAAGCCTGCTTGTTTGGGAAGTCTTCTTTGGAAGGTATTGATGTCTTTGAGTTAAACCTTCAGGAGTTTCTGATGTTAGACTTGGGATTTTGGTTAAAGAGAAAAGGGGGACTTAAGTGACATCACAATTGACAGGGAGAAAAAAGAAAGAACTCTGCTGGGGGCACACGTCCAACTTTCACACTGTGACTACTCAGGGATATTTCAGAATGTTTTCAAATAGCACGTACTTTTTGGATCTGTGAGAGCATTTCCAAATATTAAGAAAACTAACCGAATGTTTCTAATGTTTGGAATTACTCCAAGGCCAGGAATTCCAGATGTTTGTGAGGAAGACACAGCATGTGTCTGTTTAACTACTAAAGTGGGTTTTATGATGTCAAGAAGGAAATATCCATAGCCCTTCAATTCTTCTTCTTTAAAAACAAGATAACCTCCTTCAAAAGGCTATGAGGAGCTGGGTGTGGTGGCTCACACCTGTAATCCCAGCACTTTGGGAAGCCGAGGCGGGTGGATCATGTGAGGTCAGGAGTTCGAGACCAGCCTGGCCAACATGATGAAACCCATCTCTACTAAAAATACAAAAAATTAGCTGGGTGTAGTGATGCACACCTGTAATCCTAGCTACTCAGGAGGCTGAGGCAGGAGAATCGCTTCAACTTGGGAGGCGGAGGTTGCAGTGAGCTGAGATCGTGCCATTGTACTCCAGCCTGGACAACAGAAGCAAAACTCAGTCTCCAAAAAAAAAAAAAAAATAGGCTATCAGGAGGAGAAAACTAGTGTGAGTGATTAGTCAACAAATGTGTGTCCTCCTGTCCTCCTTGCTCTCTTTACCTCTCAGGGCTGTTGTAGCAAAAAGATGTGAAGCATTTAGAAGGTACATAGCATTACAGAAAATGCAGTATATTATGACAGTTATCACTGCAGATGTGGAATAAATAATTATCTGTGTGACGGATGCCAGATGCAAATCATAACCAGTGCTTCTGGCATCTGTCCCTCATATAATCATCTTCCCCATCTCTCCTGGTCAACCACATGAATCACGTACATCTTTAAATTAGGAACTTGACTGCTACAAATGTCTTGTGAAGAAGCCAATGTTATGATAATTCATTTTTTCTCATGAAATGCACTTAGTTTTACTCCATATTCCTGTATTTCATGTAAGATATTCACCACGATGAGAGTTTCTTGGCTACTCCACGCAAGAATCATCCAGATTGAAAAAAGCTGCAGAATCTACATGTGCAAGCCTAATGGTTTGGTTTTCGGTTTATTCAAGATTAATGCATTTAGACCATTCCTTTTTCACACTTACCCTTAAGAGTCCCAATACTTTGTTAAGGAGGCTCATGTTTCTGCAGTCCTAATTAACCATCACCAGCACTCCCACCTGAGAGTGAGCCACTCGGTAGATGGCAGGGGACAAGGAAACCAGTGCCCCGCTGCTTCCGGAGGGCTGCTGCAGGGCTGGGGCTTGTGGCTCTGTGTTTTGTGGAGGACGGGGACTCAAGTCCAGCCTTGCTCTGCTTACCAAGCTGGACACCCATGGGGCTGTGCCCACCCAAGTGGTGCCTTTTCTGACTGGAACCACTGTAAGGGCTCACTATGCCCTTGCTGGGGGTCTTTCCAGCAAATAAGACTCTTTTCTGCTGGTTTCATGTGTGTGGCCTTGCTGGAAGACAAGGGTGGGAATTCCCTTCCTTGAAGCCACTTGTCGAAGAAACCCATGGACTCTGCAAGGACTTACTGAGTGTGACCGAGTCATTGATCTTGAAGCTGCAGAGGACCCTGTCCACGTTGCGGGCATGTCGGAAGCCGTTTCCTCTCACGACAACTTGAAATGACTCTGAAATAAAGAATAATGACGAGACTCGTTACTTGGCCAATAACCTTAAGCTTCGCATCTGCCCTGATTTAGAGCATTTGTTCACTATTTCACCAGGCTTAAAATATTCAAAAATTAATTTAGGTTGAACACCAAAAGCAACCAGGTGGGTTCCTTTCACTACTTACCAGTGCATCCTCACTAGGTGTCCCAAGAAGGGCCTATCACTTCTTATTTGAATTCCCACCCTTTTACCTTTGGGCTTACTGGTCCTCCTAACGCAGAACACCTTCCTCCCTCCTCTCTGTCCATTCAAATCTTAGCCAGTTTTCAAATCCAGGCAGTTTGAAAATCTGTGATCTCAGTAGCCGGAGGGAGCCACAGGGGAGGGGTCCTCCACTTCCTCTTTAATCAACTCACCTCCTCTGTGTCTGTTTTGCACATTGTACTCCCCTGAAAGGATTTCTTAAGAGCCCACGGTGCCTACATTTTAGAAAGTCACTGCCTTAGGGCATTCACAGCTAGTCCTGAACAATGTAGGACTGTCATTATGTATGGTCTGGTGGTGTTCTCTTGTCTTTTCTTCCCCAGCTGGAGAAACATTCCTTTAGGTCAGGAGTTGTTTGATACCACTATGGCATTCCTATCTCTACTGGGCACACAGTAACAGTACATAGGCTAGGTAGGAATAATTGTACTTAGGAATGAATCAAAGTCTTTCTTAGCAGTGGTCAGTTGCCAAGCACTACCTACTTGAATTGATATCAGCCCCTCAGTGTAGTACTCATTTGTCTCTGCATAGAAGAGATCATATATCTTGCCTGGCCTGCATATTAATTTCTCATTGGCATAATGTATGTTTGATTAATGCACATGAATAAAATCGTTATTAAGTAAAAACAACTCTCCTTTACCATACTCCTACCATGGAAAAAACCCAATAATTAGTTGGCTAAATGTTTGGGAATATTTGCTTAAGTTTGTTGGTATCTAATGGTCAGTGTTCCACTTTATTTCACTTTTATCATCCTTTTGTATCTAAAAATTGGGGCTCGGGATAATGCTATGTGGCATATCACAAGAGAAATAGACTGAAGGTCAGAGGAAAAAATGCAATGTTTGTGAATATGGATCTTACACAGTACATTGCCATCTAAATGTAGACTTGTTGTTGGAGGAATAATGAAATTAGAGAATTAGTATATGGGACTCTCGAAGCTTAATAAATGTCATGAGTATATGCCACCTTCAGTCCCAGGAAACTAATTTAGAGGCCATGTTTGCCAAGACAATAATAACTAATGCTAATTGCTCCCTCAATGTGAGCCAGGCCCTCTGTGAAATATTGTACATGTCTGATGTCATTTAAACCTCACCACAGCCTGGGGAGGTACAGATGAGACAACTGATCTTAGTGAAGTTAAGTAATGTGTCCAAGATCACACAGCTGGTAACTTGTCAGAATCAGAACTGGAATCGAGGTCTGTTAGGCACCAAATGCCATGCCCTTAGAACTCAGCCATTAGCTTCTGAACCACCATGCGAAAAGGGGGACTCACTGCCTTCTGACAGATGAGTCATTTAGGAGTTGAAGTTGTGATTTTTTTTAAAGCTTATTTTATTTTAATTTTAGGCAGGTTTGCTCATTTTGCAGAAAAGTGGAACAGGCCTGGATGTGAAGCAAGAAACTGAAATTTAAGTAAAAGAATACAGAGACACTACATGTGCCACAAGGAGTATAAGTTAGAAAAGAATGCTTTTTAGAAGTATAAGAGGCCTTCACAATAAGGAAATGGAGACTGTGACATTTTGAATGACTTGCTCAGAGTCATGTCATTAGTAAAGCAGAAAAACTGGGACTCATATCCAAAAGCTAAGGTGACGGGCCTATGGTTTTTTCAGGAGCATAAGTCCTATGACTATGAAGGATTTATACATACACGTTGATGCAAATGCACAATTGCTACGTTTAGAAAGATGGGCTTAGTAGTTTTCTCTAGATGTCTGTCAGGCATCTGACAGATTCCTTGGTTGGCTCAATAAGCAATTTAGTACGTGTCAAGCACTTGTAGAAGAATCTTATCTTCTCTTATTTGCTCAGTTAAGCCTATAGAAACCTATTTCTGTGTCCATTTTGAATGCCAGACATACAGACATCTGTTGTTTGATGTTTTTGCTGATTCCAAATGTTTTCTGCCTCACTTCTGTGCCTACTTCTCTTGTTTCCTCAAAGATCAGCAGAGGAAGAGAAGACTGTGGAAATGCAGGCCACATGCCAAACTCTATTCTCTAACACCATGTTCTAACATTACCAGTTGAGTTGCTAAATCCTCTATAAAAGAGGCTGCCTGCATGTCTGCTTGGCCCCACCTCAGGGAGTTTAGGAAGAAAGACAGCAGGAATCCATGATGTGGCAATGGTGGAAACCAAACAATTTAACCCCCTAGGCCAGGGGGAGACGGTGGAGGAAATGATGCTCTGGGGAGTGCACCAGGGCAGAGGCGAGCTCCCATCCTGCCTGATAGGGTTTCTGTGTTAGTGCACACATTTGGTTACCAGAAGAGCTCAAACATCTGGCCCAGCAGCCTGACTAGAATGTCAGCTCTTCACACATAGACGTTATGTAACAAAACCCTTTCGAATGAATCTGCCAGTAAGTGAAAACCAGGACACATTAGAACCAGGACATAGTGATTTAACTCCACTAATCTACAAAGCCCTGAACCCACCTTTCAAAATATGTACAGCTGTGTTTTTAGGCAACTTGTATGTTGGCTTACAGCTCCTATAAGAAGTACCTCAAGATTGCAGGGCTTTAGGGAGGAATTTTCCACCTGAAAATGGTCTTTGATTTAATCTTTTAAGTTATCTATCCTTTAAGGTTTCCTTAAGATCTATATTCTTTTGTCACTGTTATTCCCAATTACATTGAAAGCTTCCTGATGGCAGAGGCCAAGATTTCTATTTCTTCTGAATGCTGGGTTGTGCCTTAACCCAGGACTGAGTCAGTCTCAGGATGAGCTCATTGAGTGATTGAATAAATAACATATCTTGGCATAGAAAGAGAATAAAGGGGAAGGATAGGGTGATCATTTATTCAGGTCCCAACCAGGTCTAATCCTGTTTATTTTCTGAGGCTTAATAAGGTCCATGAATGAAAAGATGTTCAACATCATTAGTCACATGGAAGTACAAACCATAACCATATGGAGATATCACTTCATACTCACTATGATTGCTGAAGAGAAAGAGATGGACAATGGCATCTGCTGGTGAAGAAATTATAACCCACATACATTTCTGGTGGAAATGTAAAATGCTGTGGCCTCTTTGAAAAATAGTTTAGCAGTTCTTCTACAAAGTTAAACACAGTTACCTTATGACCCCCAAATTCCATTCCTAGACATATACCCAAGAGAATTGAAAGTTATATCCACACAAAAACTTACATATTAACGGTCACAGTGGCATTATTAAAAGCAGCCAAAAAATGGAAATAACCTAAATGTTCATCAACTGATAAGTATGGTATTTCTATACAATGGAATATTATTGAGCCATCAAAAGAAATCAAATTCTCATACATGCTATGACATGGATGAACCTTGAAAACATTATGCTAAATAAAAGAAGCAAGACACAAAAGCCACATATTGCATGACTCCCTTTATAAGGTATGTCCAGATTCGCAGATCTACAGAGACAGAAAGTAGATTGGTGGCTGCCAGGACTGGAGGGAGGGAGAAATGGGGGAATAACTGCTTAATGGGTATAGGGTTTCTTCTTGGAGTGATGAAAATATTCTGGAATTAGATAGTTATTATAGTTGTACAACTTTGTGATACATTAAAAACCACTGAATTGTACTTTATTTATTTAGACGCAGTCTCACTCTATCACCTAGGCTGGAGTGCAGTGACGTGATCTTGGCTCACTGCAACCTCCGCCTCCTAAGTTAAAGCTATTCTCCTGCCTCAGCCTCCGGAGTAGCTGGGATTATAGGCATGTGCCAGTACACCGGGCTAATTTTTGTATTTTTAGTAGACACGGGGTTTCACCCTGTTGGCCAGGCTGGTTTCAAACTCCTGACCTCAAGTGATCCACCTGCCTCAGACTCCCAAAATGCTGGGATTACAGGTGTGAGCCACCACGCCTGGCCTGAATTGTACCTTTTAAAAGGGTGATTTTTATAGCATGTAAAATATAGCTCAATTTAAAAAAAGAAAAAATAAGGTCAGTAAGTAGTTCGATAGATTTATTCCATTCTGTTCTCTCCTTTTATTTCTTTGGTTTCCTTTTTTCTTTTTGGAAATGTGGAACACATAGCTTTGAGATGACCTCAATAAAGATTGCATGTCATTCACTGTGTCTGAAAATGAGACATCTGTATATTCTCCACTTGTTCTGGTCACCCAAGATTTTTGTGCCAAATTATTGTCAGTGATATTTCATCTTGTGAGTCAGTTTGAATTTGCTCTCCTCTTAGATGCTTAATGTGGTATGGAACATCAAAAATAAAATGTAGGGACTGACATATAATGGGTGCTTTCTGAGGCCTGAATTGTTCTAGAACTTTTTTCAGTTATAGCTTTTAATTTATAACAACTTGAGTGAGGCATAATTGATATACAATAACTTGCACATAAAGTGTATGATTTGATAAATTTTGACATATGTACACAATCATAATACCACAGTCAAGACAGTGAGCGTAGCTGTCACCCCCAGAACTTCCCTAGTGTTGCTTTGTAATCTCTCCTCCCAGCCCTCCCTACCTCCACTCCCACACAACCACTGGTCTGCTCTCTGGAACTGTATATTAGTTTGCATTTTCTGGAATTTTATGTAAATAGGATCATGCAGTAAGTAATTTTCTTGTCTGGCTTCTTTTACTCAGCATAATTATTTTAGGACACAGTCACAATTATGTTGAGATTTATACATAGTTTATTGCTTTTTATTGCTGAGTATTAATTAGTGCATTCTACAGGTAAACTGTAATTTGTTTATCCACCTACCTGTGGATGAACATTTTAGTTGTTTTTGGCTATTAAAAATGGAGCTGCTATGAACATTTGTACACAAGCCTTTCTTTGTTTGGACATAGATTTCCTTTTCTCTTAGGTAAAACCTCGGAGTGGAATGGCTGGGCCATATGGTAGGTGTATATTTAATTTTGTAAGAAACTACCAAAACTCTTCCAAAGTGTTGTGCTGTTTTGTATTTGTAAATGAGAGTCCTTCCTCCACATAGAAATGTCTTTAAATGAAAGGAAAGATTGAGCAGAGAATGAAGCAATCCATTTAGAAGAGGTGGCCAAAGGTCAGAAATGAATGCTTCGAAAAACAATGAAAAGTGAGAGGAATACACCACTATCTGATGTTGCTTGAATGTGTCTGTTTTAAACATCGAAATTTCCAAATGGTAAACATGACACCTTAAATGACCTTCCTTTTGTGCCAGCTCACCCAGTTTTATCAGAAACAGTGGGAAACACAGTAGGAATACAACTGCTGCTGAAATGACAGTGTGAGGAGCTAATTATAACTTCCTTCCAGTTCTGGAGTACAAGAACTTCAAGTGTAGAGCAGTTGGCAAGTTGCACACTTGATTCCAATTAGTTCCTTCCTGGCATCCTTGCTTACATAGCACATTGTGAACTGTGGAAGTTGGAGGCCAACTGAGTGGGACCACAGAAAGACTGTGCTCAGGCACAGGGTGCATTTTCCAGAGAGGAGCTAAATTAGACAGGGCCAAATGGGTCCATATTCTTAATTAAACAGAGGCTAATCTGCAAAAATATTTAATTAGAAACTTTAAAAAAGAGTCTATATTGGGAGCAGAATTACTGAAATACAAGTAATGTCAAAGTTGCTACAAAGGGTTTCCACATAGCAGGTGACTTCCTGCATGTTTTGGAACAGGGACTGTAAATACAGTGACATAAGCACCATGCTAAATGGCAGCCACATGCTTGGCCTGGGTACTGGGGTGACAATGGAGAGTGGTGAGGAGTATGGTGAACTGGAAAGTGTATACGTTTCTTTTAAAGGAAGTTATTCAGTCCTCAATAATCATTAACTTGTAATAAATACAGGTTCAGTGTTGTCAGTTCTGATTTTTCAAGTCAAGATGAAAATCTGTATTTTTAGGTGAAATCCGATTTTCTAAATGTTAGCAATAAATTTAAGTTAAAAAATGCAGTATGAATCAAGAAGAATATATATGCAGATCAGATAGGACTTGTAGGCTGCCAGTTTATAACCTCTGAGAGTGGAGGAGTTCTGGGAAGGTTCTCTCTCCCTATATATGTTCACCAGTGCAGTGATTGGATTCCTTCCTTCCTCTCTCCCTTCCTCCCTCCCTCCCTCCCTCCCTCTTTCTCTCTCTCTTTCTTTCTTTCCTGATGGAGTGTCACTCTGTTTACCAATGCAGTGATTGGAATTCTTTTTGATTTCCTTCCTTCCTTCCTTCCTTCCTTCCCTCCTTCCTCCCTTCCTCCCTTCCTCCCTTCCTCCCTTCCTCCCTTCCTCCCTTCCTCCCTTCCTCCCTTCCTCCCTTCCTCCCTTCCTCCCTTCCTTCCTTCCTTCCTTCCTTCCTTCCTTTTGACGGAGTCTCGCTCTGTTGCCCAGGCTGGAGTGCAGTGACATGATCTCGGCTCACTGCAAGCTCTGCCTCCCGGGTTCATGCCATTCTCCTGCCTCAGCCTCCCGAGTAGCTGGGACTACAGGAGCCCGCCACCACGCCTGGCTCATTTTTTGTATTTTTAGTAGAGACGGGGTTTCACCGTGTTAGCCAGGATGGTCTCGATCTCCTGATCTCGTGATCTGCCTGCCTTGGCCTCCCAAAGTGCTGGGATTACAGGCGTGAGCCACCGTGCCCGGCTGGAATTCTTTTTGATGGCAGCAGATTACATATTCTCTCCATTCCCTCTCCCCAGTAAGAGTTCCAGTTAAAAATGTGAAACAGTTCCAGGAATACTGGTTTCCTCAGTTATTGAGAAATAATCATCCATTAATATCTTAGTGGAAACTGAATTAAATCTTTAGAAATCTGAAGCTGTAAAGGAGACCCGGAGGAGGTTTTCTCCTGATAGCATCTGCTTACAGATGGCCATTCTGCCACTGCTCACATGATTCTATGGGGGGAGAGCTCAGACCATCCACTCCATTGTTGGAAAGCTTTAGTTGTACAAGTTGCATGTGGTAAGCCAAAATCTGCCTCACTGAATTCCTCCCCAACCCCTCCATGGTGGTCTCCTGGAGCTATACATAATAAGCCTAATAATTTCTTTCTGCATGGGAATCCTCCAAATATCTAAAGATGCTCTTGTGAGTATCTCAATTCCTGGCCTCAGTCTCTGTGATGACTTCAGTATTTCCTCATCGCACAGGCATCTCAGTAGTGCTCTCACTACTCTGTAAGCAGACTTCTGCTACAGTGCTTACTGCGTGGTTTTGTAATTTATTTGAACATATGACTATCTCCCAGAGTGAACTGTGAGTTTCATAGGGGTGTGGGTGGATTTGGGACTAAGTCTTATGCATTTTTGTGTTGATACATTTTCATGTGGGTTGGTGCATAAAAGACACTAAGAATCGATGAAAGGAGGAAGAAAGGAAAACAGGAAGAAAAAGAGGGAAAGAAGAAAGAAAAGGAAAGAAAAAAGCAAGGAAAGAAGGAAATGAAAGAAAGAATGAATCCATGAATTAATTATAATGTGATTTCCAGATCCATTACCTCTTCGCCTATGGACATGCCTTTGTCAATACCATTCTTAAAATTTGGGACTTGAAACCATGGTCTGAACATGGAATAGGACTGTTAGTTCTCCTGACCTGGACACTGGATGGTTATTGATGCACCCTAAGGTTGTGTCAGCTTTTCTTAGTCAGAGGCATTCTTGTTGGGGAGCAAGACAACTATGATCATTCTTGTCTTTTCTGCTATCTTACCGTTAATTGTTACTAAGTCAGGATTTCCTAAACCTGCCTGTATGTGAAACTGGATATTTGAACCCAAGTTCAACGCTTTATATTTGTCCCATTAAATTACACCTTGTTATGTGCAGCCCAACATATAAAGGCCTGTGCTAGATTTTGGCTTTGTTGTCATTATCTCGCTGCCTCGCCCAGAGCTCAGTTTGCTGTCAGAACCATTGCTGGTGTTGAGCTGGGGTTGAAAGCCAGCTGAGATCACTGTCTTAGAGGAATGCAATCATCAGCATAGAGTGTCTTGAGCAGGACAGACCTGGGTAGGGCTCCACAGCAGGGGCTGTTCTAGGGGCCAAGGAAAAGAAGGAATTCACAGAGTGAAGGGAAGAGGCTAAGAGGAAAGGTTTTCGATGAAGGCAAAGTTTACCTTCTTTACATATCTGTCTAGGGATTGGTCCCACCATTATATGTTAGAAATGTGAACAATCAGTTATTTCCTTTTTACTCTCTCCCCCAATACATGTTGAGTTAATTAATCATTTTGCAGATACTCTTCCCCAATTTTCTTTCAGCGGAGAAACATACAGGAATGCTTTTCTCATCTAGGTATGACATTATCAACATCATGATTCTAACACTGGCCTTTAATCCTTATTAAGATGATGCTGATAACAAGCCATCTTGTTCTGCATAACAATTTATACTTTTCAAAGCACTTTCACGTAAATACTTATATCTTTGAACTAGCTTAATGAAAGTCACAGAGGGGCTACGCCTCGCTCTATCTGACAGGCATCCGGACAATGAAATGGGCTCCCAGGCTTCCTGAAAACTATGTTTACTCCAGAGAATGGTCAACAAGAAATCTTCAAGGAAATCTATGGAAGAAATTTTGATGTAAGGATATCTTTTGGGAGTTTCATTCTCTTCTTAGAAATGTTATTCTGTAATCAGCATGTTTAAACCCTTACGACTTGAATTTGAGAGGTGGGAGCTTGCCTTTTACAAAACCTAGTTCTAGCTTTCATCATTGTGTCTTGTTTTAATTTTTTCTCTATAAGAAATAAAGATAATATGATTGGATAGTTTACTCTGATACAGATAACTGTTGTTTGCTTATAAAATATGTAATATTGCACATAAGCCAGAGATTTTAAGAAAATCTAAAGAAAGATTCCTTAGATTGGATTTACCAGATTTGTCTATTTTATTGGTTCTACCAAATAACCTTGGAATAATTTATCTGTTGAATTGCTTTAATTTGTTTAAATTTATTAGTGGATTGTGTATTTGTTTCTTGTATTTTCCTTACCTTTTCCAAAATTATCTTTTAATTCTTAATTCATTTATTTTTCTTTTTCACTTGATGAGAAACATTGAAATCTATGAATTTGATATGATCAGATCCTGTGGACACTGGTATTTCTGTGTCATTTTTGTTTTTGTGGTGTTTTTATTGTCTTGAACACCTTAATGACATATAGGGGATATTGTTTACTTTTTGAGGTTAAAATTACTTACAAAGGCAATTTTCCATTGTCTAAGTGGTGGAGATTTTTCCTTTTACTTTGGTCTTACTCTATCTTTGTCTATTAATTTTAGATTTTGCTTCATTTTAGTTGCAGTTCAAAGGTATATTAACTTCTTATGGTTGGTGAAAGGAATTAATAAGGGTCAAATAGGCAAGTATCAGTGGCATTGTTTTTTTAACGAATACATGAATCAAGACATTTAGTCAACATTTATTGGCCACCTAGTGAGTGCTGGGTACCCTGCTAGGCAGTGGGAAGTAGAGAGAAATAAGTTTCCTTCTCTGTCTTCAAGGAGCCTACAGGAAGGGAATTCATTATACTAGTGAATTAACAGAAATTGTGTTCATTGTCTTTAGACTTTCTGATTCATTCCAAGGTTGCACAACACAGCCAATTAGACTGCTAAACTCAAAGTCTGGGTTTTCTTTATGAAAGCAATAATTGCAGTCAAGGAACTCCCTTATTTTCTAATTGTTTTAAAATTACAGAACTATAAAATGTGTGTTTATAAAACAATTCACACACACTACATGAGATTTAATTAATCAAATATCCTACTCAATTCCTCTACCTGAAGCACACAAAGCCCAGAGGTGAATTTATCTTCAAGGTAAATTCATGAAGCCTAACTGAGGCTCCTCACTGCACAGGCCCCTTATGAAGCCCTGGCACTGCATTCATGTGGTCATATGTTTTTGTCAAATTTGCCTAGGTAAGATTTCTGAATTCTTAAAGAGATTCTCACCGATCTACCTCTGTGGCAATCACATTTACCCCTGCCATCTGTGTGGTCAGGTAGCAATTTATTTAAAGGTCAGTAGGTAATCTTTTGGGATTGCCTTTCTTTGGGAAATTAGCACATATTTCTGAATAGTTAGTTACCAAGTATTTTGCTAACAACTTTATGTAGGTATGCATTTATGTATGTACATATGTATTTATGTATGCATGCTGTATATTTATGTATGTACATAACTAGTTACCAAGTATTGATAACAACTTTATATCTTTACATATATACTTGATGTTTTGCTGCTGGCACCGATTTTTTAGTGCACCTAACTCCCTGAAAGTCTTTCAGTTGTTCTAAACTATAGGCCAGAAACTGGAATAAAATCCTTAAGGAGTTCCCTCATTTATACCAGTAAAATATGCCATAAACATTGATGTGTGTAGTGTTTGAAGAGGCCTGAAAGTTCTTCCTTTAATGCTTCCTACCTTATCAGGTTGTATGACATATTTTCTGTTGGTAAATTAATAACTGGCACTGTATTTTGGCAGGCTGAAAAGGTGATATCAACAATAAACTCTCAATGGTGAAAGATGCAAGTTTCTGGGGGACAGGAACTCACACACACAGTTTTTCCTTCCTTATCTCCAGCACCTAGCACAGTGCCTGGCATGCAGCAGGCACTTAAGAATACTTTTCAAATGAATGAAAGAAGAGTGATGGGGAACCTGTCAAGAATTATACGAGAAGCGCCAATGTGGTTGAAGTTTTAAGCAGTCCATTAAATATGAAACGAGCATGACCCTGATTTTGATCAGTTAGAGAAAATCTTGTGACTCGAAGAAGGCTAATTCTTTACATAGAGACTTCCTTATTAATGACAAAACTATATGGCCCTCTACAGGGACAACCAGAGCCGTCCACTACCATTGTGTGAGGACTGGCAGATTAAACAATTAAGATAAATATATTAACTGTGTGAAAAGGCCAGCATCCAACTAAAAACTTTAGTATAGCAGTATTTCCAGTATGGCCTATGACCACTATGATTGTCTGGTATCTGCAGGGCCTCATGAAAAAGAGGGGTGATTCCATTTCTATCCAGAGGTAGGGTGTTGGTAGTCACTGAGTATTCAGTATAAGAATCCAGTATTTCTACAATTCCCTTCTAATTAGGTCCCATGAAAGAAGATAACTTTTTTTTTTTTTTTTTTTTTTTTTGAGATGGTGTCTTGCTCTGTCACCCAGGCTGGAGTGCAGTGGTGCGATCTCGGCTCACTGCAACCCAACCTCTGCCTCCCGGGTTCAAGAGATTCTCCTTCCTCAGCCTCCCGAGTAGCTGGGATTATAGGCAAGCGCCATCACACCTGGCTAATTTTTTGTATTTTTAGTAGAGATGGGGTTTAACCATGTTGGCCAGGCTGGTCTCAAACTCCTTACCTCAAGGGCTCTGCCTGCCTTGGCCTCCCAAAGTGCTTGGATTACAGGCATAAGGCGCCGCGCCCAGTGAAAGAAGAGAATTTGGACAGATTTTTTTTTTTTTTTTTTAACTTCCAAACAACTGACATGTGGCTTCTTTCTTTCCTTTTCTCCTTGGAGCAAATTTGGTTAGCAATTTCAGCTCCTCTTTTCACCCTACCCCTTCCTGTTCCTCTTTCCCACCCCACCAACAATGAAGTACATACGTGACTTGAACTCAAAATATCATCAATTGTATGAAAGCAATTAGCATTTCATTTCAATTTACCTCCTGCACATATGGTGGATGGTTCAGCTGCTAGAATTTCGATGCAGGACTTCTTCAAAATCTAGGAGGAGCGGAAATAAAAGAGTCAATGCACAGCTTATTTTGTTCAAAGACAGAATCAGGGTTCTGCTTTTAGCTACTGAGATAGAGATAGGAAGGTTCAAGGACATTTGGTTGCGGTGGGGGTGCGAGGAGTCTAACATCTTGACTAGTACCAATACCAAACATTTATTAAGCCAGATTGTGCTAGATGCTGTTGGGTATCCTAAAAGCCCTAAGAATTATTCATTCATTTGCTCTTTTGGCAGGTATTTACTGAGCCTATGCTATGCCAGTCCTAGTTTTTGCAGAGGTTTAACATAGGGTTGCGGAAATGGGACTTAACTCTGGAAATGATAAATGCCAATGGCCACTCCTATTGGTAGGTGCAAGGGTGAAAGAGTAGACAGTAGGAGCTGCAGAGTTCATGGAGGAGATGCTGGGGCAGGTATGCTAGGAAAGGCTTCATGGAAGAGCTGGGAGCTGAGGGTGGGACTCAAATGAAAGGGAGTGGGTTAGGGGAGGATTAGGGTCCAGGCAGGGAATGGTATGAGCAAAGGTGAGAAGGAAAAAGTACATAGATTTCTTGAACTGGAACAAAGGCAGCTTGAAAAGCAGAAATAAGAGAGTGATACTAGATAGAGCTGGAGAGATAGGACGGAAATGGTCAACTCTCCACAGAAGCTGCATAGTCAGATGACCAAGAGTTCCTTTTTTGCTTGGAAAGTCTGGAAAATGTGAGCTTCAAAGGGGGCATTTGTGCCTCACTCTTCAGGAAGACCTCCTGAGACTTAGTTAAATGGAAATGTACACTTGTCCACAAATGAGTCTTATAGGGTTGAGTGGAGAGTCAGCAGAGCACTGTGACTTCACAGGAGTTAATAATGAAGACTTTTGCTGGCTAGAGTGGGGTTTCTCACTGGTAGCACCTAAGTTTCTCTCCACCATTTATAAATCCTACCTTGAGAATATTGATTCTAGAATTTGAATCAAGTATTTTTAACAAGTATAAGACATTGAGTTAATTTACCAACCAAATGCAGTATCTTTACTTAATTTGGAATTTGAGATGGTTTAGAGGGCTGAAGGAAACCCTTTCTCTATTCTTGAAAAGGGCATTTGTTAAAACAACTGACGATATGATTATAAAATTTAAAGTCTGTGAAAGAAGAAAGCATCTTTTAGCATTGGGAAACGCCCATTTATTTGCATCGTTGTATTTCTTTACATATGCTTCTTTGTTACAGCTTAAGTGATATATCACAAGACACAAATGAAAGAGAATAAATGAAAATGTGGGGCTGACTAAAGGGAAAATAAAGGGAAGATGACGCAAGAAGTGAGAATAGCATAGAAAAAATATGCTGAGGAGCTTATTTCCTTGCTAGAGTGGACTTAGTTCCAAGCTTTCTAGTAGCAAACGAAAAGGACAGCCAATATTTATGAGCTTTCTCAATCTGTGGAATGAAAACAAATCAGTTTCTCAGAAGAGGTAATATTTACCCATTCCAGAGAGAAATCTGGGCATCCTTATAGAGAAGCATTGCGAAAGAAAATGAACAAACATGCTTAAGAAAATATTAAGATGCATTCATTGAAATAGGTTATCTCCCAACCATGTATTTTAGGTAACTCTATGTACCTGAATGTCACCAAAAGCAACATTTCTTCTTGACAATTCTAAAATTCAGATTTTCTGACTACTTTTCCTTCACTCTGTAGAACTTCATGGCATTTTTATACTTTGATTCCCCTATTTGTTTGCAGCATCCTTCTGACTCCGCAGTTGGAAGTAATTAGTTCCTTCAGCTTCTGCCTCATTTCCTCAGCCTCTGGCTTACCTAGCCACCTCCACCCACCCCAGACACAGGTGCAGCCTCAGTTCCTCCCTGGTCCCTAAGTCTATCCTGACTGTAGCATGAAGGGAATGCTCCGGACTCCCATGTCCCTTGCCCATCTCTGTTAGAGTCAGCGGTCCTCACACACCTGCTCTGGGCACCTGGGGAAAACACTGAGCTCCTGTTTTCCACTCATTGTCAGTCTAACTTGGGAACAAGGACCCCAAGGATATATCCTGGGCACCTGTGTTTCCCTGCTGGCTTCCCCAGTGCCTTATGGTTGATCTAGTCTTTTCGGTCTCTTGCGCATATAGCACCGTATTAGGACTGGGACTTGCTAGCATCCTGGTGCACAGTGATTCATCCCAGACAGCCCTGCCTGAATTGTGAAGATTGTCCATTTGCCAATCCCTGAACTTGCTGCTCTTGGGCTCTTCCTGTTTGATGGGGTACTTCAGCCAGTGGTTGCCATGACCAAGGGAGGAAGCCACCCCCTTTGACTTGTCCTCAGGCACAAGTCTCCAGACAGCCCACATTTGAGAAATAGAGGTAGCCCAGAGGGAGAAACTTATTAAACAGTGATATTAGAACAACACAAAGCTGTTTTTTGATGTTTTAAATAAAATTCCTCAGGCATTTGACATCTCCTAATAAATCATTTTATCATCCAAAACTAAAGACTTCAAAACAGTCCAAGAATTTAAAAAGAGCTTTTGGACTAGTCCTGTTCCCATTCCCCAAACACACACATGAAATTTTTACCCAACCCGAGTTTCAACCAACCTTTTTGAACCAACTCTGATCCTTAACCAGGGATTGGTAAAGGAACCATCCGTGGATCTTTAACCACAAAGGCACACTAACAGGGGTTGTCATAATAAACACATGCTGTATTATTCTCTCAAAGTGTCTGCAATTAGCTGATAAATCTAAGGGGTGTATGGAGGGCCAAAAAATGCCAGCCAAGCACTGTGATTCAATCCAGTAAAAACACAGCTTTCCCAATCTTAACTTAAAACATCTGGAAGGATGCAATACAGCCAATAGAGTAAAATTTATCAGTGAGGGGGATGGGCAGGATTTGTCTGGGACTGGGGCTCCTACTCATTTGAAATGTCTGGTTTCAAAAGGTAGGAAGTCACAATGGCAGTTGGTGGATTTGAAGGGTTCTCGTGGTTCTTAGCAGCCAAGACTGTATGGTAATCAGCCTGTCTGAACTGTAGCAGACAGCAGATCAGCTCAGGGACTGGAGACTGTGTGGGGGTAGGGAGGCCCGGGCAGTGGTAGCCATGGCAGAGGTGTAGACACAGCACTGGGGAATCGCTGATGGGAAATCACTAGATGCAGTGGAAGAGACTTACACAGGGTAAGGCTGATGTTAGAGGTAAGAGGCTTTAAGGTGAGGGTATGATTGATCTGCAGAGGAGAGAGGGATAAGATAACTGCATGCCTCAAGTATAATCCCATGTGAAGAGTTGGGTCTTGGCCCTGGTCCGTATTTACCTGACCTATGCTCCTTTACAAATCCCTTAACTTTTCTGAACCCCAATTTTGGAAAGCAGTTCAGTATCCTGAGTAATTGCTTGGAATCTGGAATCAAATAGCTGAGGTCAACTCACTCATGAGCAGTGTGACCTTGGGCAGGTTCCATAACCTCTCTGAGTCCCTGTTTCCTCTCTATAAAAGTGGGATAACAATAGTATCTACCTGAAGTACGAGCATAAAGTTGTTGTGTGGGAAGATTAAATGAGATCACACAGGCAGAGCCCATAGCACAGTGCCTAAAACCTGATAAGTAATCAACTAATGGTAGCTATTACTATCAAGAACTTAAGCTCTGGAGACTGAGAAGATAGACTTGGACTCTGAATGGGTTTATATTCAAATCCAAGTCCCATCACTTACTGGCCATGTGGACTCGGACAAGTTATTAAACCTCCAAATCTCAGTTTCCTCTGCTGTAAAATGGGATAAGAAAAACACCAACTTCAAGGGGCTGTATGATGGTTAAATAAAATAACAGTCATGAACGCAGAGATATTTTGTTTGGAAAATCAATCAGATTTAGGTAATAAAATTCATATTGGATTGGACGGTGAGGGAGAGCATGAGATCAAGGAAAACTGACAAGGTTTTTGTCTTATAGACAGAACTAGACAGATGTGATCGATCCACAGAAAGTTAATAACCCTTGGGTCACCAGCCAGCATGAGCACCTTATGAAAATAAGGCACCAAGAAGAGTGGTCAAAATGACCTTGGCAGTAAAGCACTTAAGAGAATGTCTGGCATGTATTCAAACAACAGTGGCTGTTAGCTCTTCCTTTGTCATTACTATTGCTACTGCTGCTACTTTTGGGCGTGGACCGTGGTTCACATGTGCTTACGCCCCATCGCCCACCCCTGGCCTTCTGCTTAATCATATTTGCTGACAAAAGCTGAACCAAGGTTAATGCTATTTTCCTGCCAACTTTTGGACAGATTTCAAAGAGAAAATAGATGGAAAAGTATGTTTGAAATCCATAAAGAGCTAAATAATTGTCATGTGTTGTTTCTGGTAAGTTGACTTTTGTACATCTCATTGGATTATTGGTGGGAGGACGAGTAAGAGAGGCAGCGGATGTACAAGAACTTTGCCAAGTTACAGGAGCTGTTTGATATATTTAAAGTGAAATCCACTGTGGACCAGTCCGGGTTGTATAGAAGAGTTTATTTTTTCAAATTCTAAAAATCTAATGTCCTTTGTCATGAAGTTCTCAGTTTATGCAGAGATTTCTCAAGAATCTTTACAGAACTGTGAATATCTGCACAGAGTTATAAGGAATCCCTCCCTTATCATAGGCACGGCATTTCTTTTTTCTACTTGCTCTGCTTCTTGCTTTAATAAACAACCAATCTTTATTTACTTGGCCATTTCCTGTTGGAGAACTTTTTTGTGTGTTTATAATGGACCAATCTCTTTTATCCCTTGATGGTATAGGTGTCTTTTGCTTTCACACATATTTCAGAAAGTCTTTCAGAGCATGTTCCTTGGTGTCTTATTTGTTGTAAAGGGCAAATTCTGGTTTAAAGATGTATGGGGTTTGAAGTATGCTGGTGTCAAGGATGGTTAAGTATCTACCGACCATTTACATCTGTTCAGTTGTCTAAGACAAAAACCTGAACGTTTAAGTTAGCCTTGCTCTCTCTGTCACTCTCCAAATCCAATATGAGTTCTGCCACCTAAGTGCTGGTGATTTGACCAATGAAATATCTCTATATCCATGCACATTTTAATGTAAACTGCCATCCTTTAGATAACTTATCCTAGTTTATAATTTACAGTGTTTTTTTTTTATTGTTTGGTCACTGTCTTCTTAGATTATAAACTCTACAAGGAGAAGGACTGGGTTTGTTTTTACTTATTATATTCACAATGACTAGCCTGGCACATAGTAGGCATTAAATAAATATTGGATAAATAAATGAATAAATGACACACTTCCTGCACGTCTTAATAAACTGGCATTGTAGCATATTATGTATTAATCTCCCTTTCCCCCTATAAGTGTAACCTCAGGGTCTTCTGAATACAAGTCCATATGCTGCATCTTGTAATACTCCCCTCGTCTGATTAAGTACCACCATCTTTGGGGACTTGCTGCCTTCCCAAGAGGCCAATTTCAACACCTCATTTTTAAAAAATTGCTTACCTTAAAAAAAAATGTTGTAGGCATATCATAATCCCCTGTATTAGGTCGGCCGCTTTGTAAAGGCCTCAACCCCTTTTCTTGGGAAAAACATAGAGAACTGTAGTTGGCAGGTGGGGCCCAGCCTCCCACAGAAGCGCCACAAACATTATTACAGCTGATGGCAGAAAGCACATTGGATAAGCCTGGGGATAGCCAGGCAGCTTGGGACACACAACTGGCTCAAACACATCTTCAGGACTGTCAATGTTGTCCCCATGAATTTTGAAATGATTTAATCTCTAATTAATAAAATGTTTAAAAAGTTGCCCCGTCTCTACTAAAAATACAAAAAATTAGCCAGGTGTGGTGGCAGGCGCCTGTAGTCCCAGCTACTCGGGAGGCTGGGGCAGGAGAATGGTGTGAACCTGGGAGGCAGAGCTTGCAGTGAGCCGAGATAGCGCCACTGCACTCCAGCCTGGGCAACAGAGCGAGACTCTGCCTCAAAAAAAAAAAAAAAAAAAAAAGTTGCCTTTTCTAACTAAATTCTCCACACTTTAATAGGCACACATATTGTTAACCATGGACATTACCCCAGATCCATGTCAGTTCTATAGAATCTGACTTTAAATAAAAATGGAATATGGCCACGTGCAGTGGCTCATGCCTGTAAGTCCAGCATTTTGGGAGGTGAAGGTGAGAGAATTGCTTGGGGCCAGGAGTTTGAGACCAGCCTGGGCAACATAGCAAGACCCCATCTCTAAAAAAAAAAAAAAAAAAAAAACTTTACAAATACAAATATGGAATATTATACACACGTATTTCTGGGATTCATATATGATTTTATGTACACTAATACACTATACCAAATACATTATACCACGCTTACATGCAACAAAACACATTTTGAAGCAGTTTGTGTATCTTAAACAATAAAGCTTATTCTTAAAACATGCCAAAGTTTTTGTCTGAGGGAGGGCACCCCACTCACTTAAATAGATGCTACTCTGTTAGTTTCACACTCAATGAGAATCCGATCCAAAGGAGTGTAGGATAAACAAGGTTCTAAAAGTAGGAAATTCATTTGTTTCCCCACTAAACCACTTTCTTCTCATGTCTGCAGGAGAAAAGCTCAGAGAGCTGGGAACTTCAAAATGTGGTTTATTTAGTAAGATGAGCAGACTGGAAAAGTGAGTGGCCTTTCTTGGGAGCTGATTTCGTTCTAAAATTCTGCTGTTGCTTTTATAGTGGGTCTCAGCAGATTCCTCAATATAGGAGGAGGGGCTGCAGGAAGAATAGGAATGATCTGAGGATTAACTGAACATGCCCCTCTGCAATCTTTGTAGCCTGTTCAAGCTCTGGGAATTCTTGTTCAATTTGGACTTTTTAATAAGCTGAATAGAAATAATAGTGTAGGAGAAATGCCTGGTCTGAGTGTCTGCAAAATCTGAGTCTAATTAATGACTGCTGAGGCAAAAGATTTTTTTGAAAAAAGATTCTCTGCCCACTACAGAAATTACAATTGATTCTATTTATGTTTCGTATCCAAGCCTGCTAATGTGAATGGTGCCCAGAATGCCATGTTTTACAGATGCAATCTTGGAAGAGAGGGGAGGGGAGAGGCTGAGGGGATTTTACAAGAAACGGAGCCACAGACTGCCCTCTTGTTGTGCAGTGTAGGTCTTCCCTGGGTCACAAAAGCTCTATGGTACTCTGGGTTGCTTTATAATTAATAAATATGCAAAGCACAGGGCTGCATATCATGGGAAATATGACACATAGGGCAGTCTTTGGGATTGCACAACTTAGCATGTGACCAGGAGGAATGGCAGAGGCATGGAACAGATCCACATGCCAAGCAAGAGCTTCAAAAAATTGGTGCCACTGGAGTCCAAGGCAGGGAGAGCTCATGGAAGAGGAGAGAGCAGGGCAGGCTTTGTAGAGATGGGAAGACTGAAGGGTGCCTTTGGACAGGATTCAGATGGGGCGAAGGAAGGGAAGGAGGTTGCCTCCAGTGACCAACAAGCCTGATTTATGAGAAGAGCTGCTGCTGCTGAAATGTGCCTCCCCATCTGCTAGCCCTGGAAAAGGGATTAGTTCAATAAGGCAGACACTTTCCAGGACTTTGGGAATGTGACATGAATTCTGATCACAGGAAAACCCTTTGCAGTTCCTGTTGGGGTCTTGGAAGAGTAGCTGGGAGGCAAGCCTGGAAGACAGATTTCACCTTTTATCACAGCTTTGTTAGGGCCTGGGCCAGATTAGGGGATTACATTGCTTCCCATGAGTGGAAGGGACAAATCAGCACAGGATCTGGTTTTCATAAATAAAATAAATTTATATATACCATGGAATAGATTGATTCCTCGGTTCCGTTGATCTCACAGTTTCCCTGATAACAAGGATGGTCATGCCACAGCTTGCGAGAAATCCTTGCAAACATAGTTGTGTTTGCTCAATGCTTGTTGTTTATTGTTGATCAAACATGCAGAAAGCTCTATGTGCTGACTCACTCTCCTTAACAGGAAGCCTGATGTCGGCTTAAATATTTATTCGAGGGAAATTCTCCTAGATGGAGATGGCTTGGTGCCAGCAGCTGTGGGCTCTCCTTTTCAGACAGTGTCCTTGGTTTCAGGCACCACCCTCAGTTGCACACCAAGTGGGGATAGCTGGGAGGAGGAGCTGGCATCACGGTAACCAGGCCGAGTGTTGGGATTCAAAGCTGCTGACCCATCTCGGTGTTATCTGAACCCAGCTTTTATGCGGGTTCCTGTTTCACTGCCTGAAACACTTTTGAAAAGGCAAGCAAAGACCCAGGAGCCTTGCTGGACCTTTGCTTCATACTTTTGCTCGAGGGCTGGTGCTAAATTCACCAGTTGTGGTCGGTGGAAATTCCCTGAAGAAGCCACAATATGAGAAGGCACAGGAATAGTTTCTTCCTTTACAGTGTTACTGGCTTCAAGGGCTACAATCTTCCAGCCATCCAGACTTCTTCTTGTAATTTTATCACCATATTCTGCAGAAGCGAGTGGGAAAACTGTCGTGGTGCTCAGAGGTAGAGTCCTGTGCAAGTGTGGAAGGGGAGATGTTCCTTGCAGCCTGTGTCAATTCTCCAGCTTCTCAGGACGATGGTACTTCATCCGTTGGGCAGTAATGATTTCTGGAGGTGGTCTCTACCTGGTAGTAAGAGGCAAAGTGCTCCCCTGCCCATCCACGGTGTATTCAGATCAGGCCACATGGATTCTGGTCTTGCCTCTGTCAAGCCAGTTCACGTTTTCAGTCCTCAGTGTCTTCCTCTCTGAAATGGAGCTACTTCCTGGCCTGCCTGCATTGTTTAGTAGAACACAGTGGGCATTCACATCGTGGGCATTAGAAAGACTTGAGTCTATTCGGGATCACTACTCACTGTGCTGTGTGGCCTTGGACAAGTTGGTGAATCTCTCTGAACTTTTAGTATCTACTTCTATAAAAGGGGTAATGATTTCTACATCAAATGGCACCTGTGAGGATTCAAGGAGATGATTATGTGAAATGATTTGCACAGTACCTGGCACATAGTACGAACTCACTGAATGGTGGTTTTGATTATTTTTAGCTTCCTAAGAAAATAGAGGTAGGAAAAATCATGGGCTCTAGAGTCAAGGAAAAAGTGGGTTCTAACCCTGCTTTCCCCCTTAGGGCTGTGTGGTCTTGGGCAGGTTATCTGAGCTTCAGTTTCTTCATCTGTAACATTGGAATAGGAATATTTATTTTGCAGCATTGTTATGATTTTTAAATGAAATAATATTATATGGGAAAAAGGGATAATGTCTGGTTCCAAAGTAAGTTCTCTACAGCTGTTAATTTCCTTCTGCCCTTTTCCTATCCCTCTCAGTTAAGAAACTAAAATGGAAAACAAGTGGGAACATTTTGAAAAAATCTGACACATAAGTACTTCCTCTTGAAGGAGAGAGGATTGAAGAACAGTGGAAAGATCAAAACATGAGCATCAGATTGAGGAAGCAGAGCATCTGGGGATTTGATGAATCCAAGCCCTGGGCAACTGGCTTCTGGTAATCCAGTGGTGATTTTCCATTTCCTCAGACATTTATGGCCAAATGTCATGAAAAGAGCAGAATCTTTGGAACCAGAGCTGAGTTCAAATTCCCCACTCCACCATTATAAGAGGGCAGACCTGAGGGCAGTTTCTCCAACCTTCTTGCACCTCAGTTTCCTCATCTATAAAATGGGGATAATAAATCCTTCTTCAGAGAGTGGTGGTTAAGTGCCTGGCAGAGGCGCTAATAGAGAGAACGTGTTCAAGTCATAGTGAGTTTTCTTCTTCAAAGGCCGAAATGCTATTGATTCTGAGTGCCATGATGTCTAGATTTCCTGAGTCTTGATTTCAAGCCTGATTGCTCTATTGTCAGACTCTGTACCTAGCTATAGTTTCCTATTGTCCTTGGATTTAGCTTCTGCCTGCTTCTTCATGTCATCTTCTGCCTTTCTTCACTTTAAGCATTGGTCTTTCATTCTCCTATGCACTGTACTGGGCCGTGCTCTGCCAAGAACATTCTATCCATGCCCTTCCAATGGATGGCTCCATTACGTCCTTCAGTTCATCTCTTCAAAGGAACCTGGGTTCTTTGTCAACCCTTTTACTCTTAATCTCATGGCCATGTTATTTCTTTTATTCCTGTTATCACAATTTTAATTCCACATGATTATTTATTTACTTGTTTTTAATGTGTCTCTCCCACTGGATTGTAAGCTCTACCAGGACAGAGCCTCTACCTGCTTTAGTTGTTACTGAATGGTCAGAGCCTGCCATAAAAGATTTTCAATAAGTATTTGATGTATGAATAAATACTAGCCCCTGCATATTAATTTAAGGTTTAAAAATATGAGCATTATGGGCAGAAAACTTTGTGAAGAATTTGAGCTTATCAGAAGCTGCTCTGCAATCTTATTTTGGATAATTAAGCCCAGTCCTATTTTATTATGAGAAAATAACCAGCCACAAAACAACATTCATGGGAACAAGCTGGGATAGAGGCTTCAGATGGGGGGGAAATTGAGAGTTTTCTTTTCAGTATCCAAAAGGGGAAATGAATCTACTTCTTAAAAATAGTTAGCCAACTTTTAGGCCGTAATTATTTCTGTCTGATTTAAGAAAGATGAGCTCGCTCTACTTGTCCCTGTTTCTCTGTCCAAGCAAACGAATGAACAACTGCCATAAACATGGGTTTCGAGTACTGGAAGGATCAAAACCACTAGCATAACTCACAGATAAAAGCTCACAGGAATGTTATCATTCAGCTAAAAGTTTGGAGACTAAAGTCTCAAATTAGTTTTCTTTCTATTTTGAACGATAGTTTCGCTAAAATTTCTTAAAGATCTTTGCAGTTATTTCCATTTGGGGATGGAGGAAGTTTTACAAACATTTGGGCTCATGTTGAGCTTGGGTGAGTTGCTAAGGCTGATGTATTCAAGGACAACACTGATTTATGCATACAAAAAGAGTCCAATCATCTATGTGGGAAACAACACTTGGAGTTAGGCACACGGCTCATAAGAACGTCTGAACAGATAAGAGTTGTCCCTTTTCAGAATCTAGCCATCTTAAGGCAGGACTATTGCCTCCTAATTGGCCTACAGTCTCTGGGTATCCCCAGTCTCCCTCCCACGTATGCAAGCACTGCCATCAGATTATTTTCTTAACTTGTTTCAGTAACTACACCCACTGCCTATAGGTTAGAGGCAAAACCCCTTCGAGGCTCATGTTAATCTGGTTTCAACCCAATGTCTAGGCTTATTTTCCATTACTCCTGACTCCTTTACCCAAACTGTCCCACTAGATAGATAGGTATTATTATTATTATTGACCCCTGAGTATGCTTTTCTGTCTTCCAGCCTCTAGGTTGAGGTCATAATATCTCTCCTTTGGTGGTACCCATCACCTTTCCCTGGTTTTTCAATGATTCGGGTCTGCGCTGCCTTCTCATGAGGACTCCTGCCCAGAATAATCCACCTCTGAGCTTCTTAAGGATCCATGATCGGCCCCCAGTCCTGCTATTAATCATGTTTTGCATCCCTTGGGTTGTTGTTTTACATGGTTATTGTAGTTCTTGTTGCTTACACTGTCAAGTATGCCACAGTGACCCCAGAAATAATTTAGAGTAGGAGTCCTTCACCTGTGGACTGACAACTGGGTCTGATAATTCTCTATGCTATCAATAATTTCCACTTTCTGGTTAAGGTAGCTTGAGGAGGCATATATTCTTTGCAAACAAGCACTTCTTGAATAAAACAACTGTCATTGGAACATAATTAAGACAGAAATTCCCAACCTGAGGTGGGATGAATTTTTGCAATTCTGTATTCTTAAGGTCAGATATGTCAATGTTCTAAAAGCATACCTGGGGCACTTAAAAAAAAAAGCAGATTTGAAATATATGGATCCCTTGGATCCATCTGAAACTCAATGCAATAGAATCTCTTGGGAATAGGTATTACAAACATAATTCTCAAGTGATTTTTATGCATATTCAAGAATGTTTAGGGGATCAAAGGAAGCTGACATTAATATCCGTCATATGATAGGGAAGAGAAGTGGAAGAGGCAATAATTCATATGCCTTGAGTGCCTATTGTATGTCTGGAAAAGTATTAGGCATTTTCACCAGTAATCCTTGTAATCCTCAAACAAGCCTATGATGTAAGTCATCATCAGTCCCTGTTTCCAAACAAGAAATGTCCAAGGATCTCTAAGTGTTAAGTACGTGGGCCAATGAAACTCTGGGTTGCCGGGCTCTGAGCTTCTTACTTCCCACTCTGCATTCCACTCTGCTGGAGCTCCTAGCAAACCCTGAAGGGAGAGCAGCATGGAGGCACAGCCATGCTGGAATTTTCCTGGGTTGGTCTGGGAGGGCTGGCAGATGCTGAGCCCTTGGCCGGTAACCCCTGGATCAAGACCCCCTTGATGTCTTAAGAGGAAAGTGATCCCCTGAGCTCTGAATTTGCATCCTGGACCCCAAGTCTGTAGCCTGGTAAGCTGCCAGTGAAGATCACAGATGCCTGCCTGATCACAAAACCTAATGGTGGAGGCTGCAGAGCATCTGAACATCATTGCAGGTGCAGCACACATACTGACCTGCTGGCTGAGGCTTTAAGACAGTAGCATCCAATATTCTATTTGGACCAAGGGCCTTGCCTGTGTATGGGAGGTGGAGAATAGAGGCCCTGGAAGCCAGTGTCCTGTTTACTATTCAGGAAAAGGTGTGAAGAAAATCACCTATGTGTGAAGGAGGACTGGTGACCGTGCAAACCCTGGACAACACTGGAGCCCATGTATTTGGGGATTATAGGTCGAAAGCAGTGGGTCTCAACATTAAAATCACCTGGGGAGAGTTAAAGAAACTCTTGAGGTCCAGGCTGCACCCCAGACCAGATGCCTAGGCAGCAGTGCTTTTTAAATCTCTGCAGATGACTTCAATGGACAGCCTGGTCTAAAGTGCATCCAATGGCCAAGTGATATAAGTCCAAGCCTACAAGTGCTCTGAAGGCAGCTTGTGTTCAGTCACAATGGGAAAGCTGAGGTGGTCAAGCGTAAACCACCAGCCACAGTCTGCCCAGTTAGGAGAACGGAGAGGGCCTCCTGAAGCCTGGCTCACTGCCAGAGTAGCGCCCCTTTCAATTGTTAATTTTCCACTGCAGGGTACAATTGAGAAAAGATGTGTAAAAGGCAGAAGGGAGAGATGGGACGTGGCAGACACAAAGATATAGGAAGAAATGATGTTCTCTTAAGCAGAAAAACACCAGGCTTTGAGAGATGGAATTGGGGTATTAATAGCAGATCAGAGACGGAAGGTGCCTGAATGTCTAGTCTCAGAGGAAGAGCTCTACTTACTGAGTGGATGATGCCTTGCAGAGCCTGAAAGCCGTCATTCACGGGAAACACATGATCCTTACTGTCCGCAATCCGGGCCAGCTGAGAACACAGCAAATACACAAACACATGGGGAGACTGTTAGGCTTGGATGTGGAAAATTTAGGAAAGCCGTTGGGGCTAAGGGGCTCTAGTTATATTCAGAACCCAGGGGAATATGAGGCCTTCACTGGGCTCAGGGGCTGCCCTGAAAAGCCATCAGTAATAACAAGCTCACCAGTGGCCTCTCTGGAGCAGGCCAAGGGTTGGCTCCAGCTTTTACATTTGTTTCAATACTTTTCTCCTCGGGAGCAGAGGTAAGAGCGCCCAGCTTGATGAACGCTTGGCCTGGGTTGATATGTTTATAAATTTGGGCACAGGCCATGGGCTCATTTTTCTCCCCTTCACCCAAATTCCTGTTGGCAACTTTATCTGAATCAAGCAGATTCAAGTTCCCTTTCAGAGCAAATTTAAATTCAAGCTTTGGTGTTGGGTGAGGCCACCTTCACCTTTCACCCAAACTGCCCATTAAGGAAAGGGCCCTTGCAGTTGGTTTGGCTGCTCCTGCTTTATGTAGCAGGAAACTGAGGGCCAGGAGAAGCCGATGTAGGGCTTGTCTGCCCCCAGATCTCTGTGTGGTTCTGTGACTGCCACAGAGTCAGTGTCAGCTGTTGTGTATGGCTTCTAAAAAAATATGTTTTATTGTTTTTACTGATTGCAAAAGTAATACTTACTCATTGTAAAAACTTAGGAAAATCCAGGAGAGTTAAAACAAAAAGAAAACAAACGTTACTCATAATCCTCTCTGTTCATCTATCATCTATCTATCTTTATTAGCCATTTGATAGACACTGTTCATACTTTTTCTATGTGAACATACAAATGTCTATTTTAGAAGTGAGCACATACTATTCTCACTGCTTTGTAATTTTGTTTTATTCACTTAATGATATATCATGAGCATTTTCCTATGCCATTAAAACAAAAAGAAACGATGAACTACATTGAGGTACATGTATTTAGATTGCTAGTAAGCTTTTACAACTTGCTTATTATATGCACCTATACACATTTTTTTGCCCACTTGTCCAATTATTTCCATATTTTTGTGTTGAAAATACTTTGCGTTTTTCATGGGTGAAAAGGAACATTTGTTATTTGAATAAGAAAATCATACTTGTCAAATTAAATTTGGCCCGGGTGTGGTGGCTCATGCCTATAATCTCAACACTTTAGGAGGCCATGTTGGGAGGATCACTTGAGCCCAGGAGTTAGAGACCAGCCTGGGCAATACAGTGAGGCTTTATCTTTACAAAAATTTAAAAAAAAGTAGCCAAGTGTGATGGTGTGTGTCTGTAGTCCCAGCTATTCAGGATGTGCACCTGTATACCAAGCTAATCAGGAGGCTGAGGCGGGAGGATCACTTAAGCCTGGGAGGCAGACGCTGCAGTGGGCTGAGACAGCTCACTGTACCCCAGCCTGGGTGACAGAGTGAGACTCTGTCTCAAAACACAAACAAACAGAAAAAACCCGTTTTCCAAGTTAATTCAGATATCTTTTGACATCCTGGCAATTTAATGTTTGCCAAGAAAGATGCTGCCTTGATGGTCTGTGTTGAAGACCTCAAGAGCATCAGCAAATGACTTCATATTCCTTACACAACCAGTAATTCCTTCCTGTTTAGCATTTCTAGAAAAATAACCTATTTCAGGGGCATTTATTCCATTGATCTTCCCTCTGCACTGACTGAACATGTTCTTCATGATTCACAAGCTCAGTATGCTCCAAACCTGAGGAAATCCATTACCATACCTGTGTCTCATTGAAATCTTTCACACCAACACAGTAAACAATTGCACCAAGATCTCGAGACCTATTAGCCTGGGAAAAGGAAAGAAAGGACATTAGAAAGAGAAGCAGTGACAAATGAACTCCTCTTGGAGCTACCTGACTAACTTCAATGATGAGGTATTTAATGAGCACCTACCATGTGCCTGGTGCCATACTGGAGAAGGCAATCCCTGTCCCCAGGAAGCTCAGACTTCAGTGGACATCACATTCTAACATAACACATGGTGGACTTGAAAAGACACACTGAAGTAGAGTCTTGATGAAGGGCTTAAAGATGAGGGGAGGAAGGGAAAACTGCAGACTAAGTTAAATATTCTGGGGAAATGATTACCTTTTCCATTCCTTTGATGGATTTTTACTGACATACGTTTCTTTGTAATGGGGGCGTGATATCACAAAAGAATGGGGCCTTTGGAACTTGATATAGTTGAGTTTGACCCCTGGCTTTACTCTGTATTGTGTTTTGGGGATTAAATGAGAACATTTACAGAGCTCCTCACACAAGGCTAGAACCACGTAGATACTCATAAACGTCAGCATATTTTGTGAATAAAGCCCTTTCATTCCTACAGAATAAAGTGGTTTAATGGTATGGAAATTGTGGTCCATATTTGAATAGGTAAATCCATGATCTCTACAATTAAGCATTGGGATGGCAACATAATGAATAATACCCAGATTTTGGCTCAACTTCAATATTTGATTTATTAAAGTCTCTGATAATCTGATTTCCAGATTCTCCTGTGTTTCAGAATGGAAAAAAAATTGAAAATCCTTGGCACTTACAGTGGGTGCTTAATAACTGATAGCAAACATAGAGCGAGTGCTCAATATATGCATATTGATTTTGATTGTGTTATTTTTTCCCTTTCTTAGTACTCAAATCCATTTCTGTTTAACACTGAATTCTAGAAAGGACAAAAACTTATGTCTTTTTTTCCTTCATGTTAGAAATTTCCCTGCTGCTTTTAGGATAAAATAAACTTTTAGACTCACTGTAGCCTCAACTTTATTTGCAACAACTCTGTGATTCTTCTCCTCCAGTTGGACTTTATATAGAATTGTCAAGAAGGGAAAAGTTCAATTTCTTTATATCTTGAGCTTTATCTTTCTTTTTCAGAAGGTCTCCTTCTACTGGCACTCTGAATATTTTCCCAAGTTTGTATGTGCCATACCTAAAATTCCTTCCCACTAATCCCTATCTTAAGCCTCTGACACCCCATCATTTATTTTAGTTTCAATTCTTTCCTTATTAGGGTTTTTACTTTATTTGACTGTTATTTGGCACCCAATCAAGCCATCTTGCATTCCCATCACATAGTGAGTTTCTACTTTCAAATATAGAGATGTATTATTTTCCAAATGCTCAGGGAGTGTCTGTCATATTACCTTGTGTATTTCCTCATTAGAGTTACTTTTTGTACTAGTGGGAGGAGAGTTTACCTACATAATTTCTCTAAGTCCTCTGCCAGTGTAGGCTTCAAAGGGCTGACCATTATTTCATGGTGACTCACGAGGGCAGCAGCTGTATCTCACTCACCTCTGTGCCTCTAGTTTCTAGCAAATGGTCAAGTATATGCCAAGCTCTCAGTTAACACTGAATGAATAAATGAATGAATATATATTTTGTGTTTGTGGAAAGAGCTGAATTTAAAGTAAATAGTTGTTAAGAGCTTGAGGAAAGTGTGATGCTACCATTAACTCCTCTTCTAGAGCCTGCATCTCTGGGATGTTGTTTCTTTCTACCTTGGGCCTGAATGAACCTTTGTCACTAATAAGGCTATAGTTTCAGTACATTTCTATGGTTAACTTGTTTCCTTTTATACTAATTATGCATATAGCTCAAATGTGAAACTTGAAAGAAAAGAATTTCGTAAGTATAAACATTAGTTTTCAATTCATCAGCAAACTTATTTTTCTAAGTCTATTTATACAAGGTAAAATCTTCATTGAGAGAATTTTTCCACTTGCCTTGAGGAATAATTTTTGAGAACACAAAGAAAAAGAAAAAAAGGAACTATTAAAAGAGAGATGACAATTTAACTTTGCTACCAACTGCTGTTTAACTTTGGTTCTTAGAGTGAAAATCTCAGTGATTGATACATTCTGACAAGACTGGCTCTTACATATTTCAAGTAATTCTTTCCCTTCCTCCTGTTTTAGTAGAAAATATAAGGAAAAATTATATCAATGTTTATTTGTTTACAAGTGATATACAGTATTTAAAAACTGTTAGAGCAATATAATGCCATCAATAAAGGCAGGGTAGAATTTTTAATCCTTCAAAGCAGAGTAATATGTAAAAATTTTGAAAGGGGAAAACATTTACCATGTGTAAAACATGAAAATTCACTTGTAGAACACGAATTATTATTATTATTTCTACTTATGAAACTCTATTTCATTCAGGGGATTTGCAAAGAACACCTATCACATGAATAGAGAGAGTGTGGCCCATTTTAGAAAGGAGAAGCCCCGTTCCATGTATATGTTTAGACACAGCCAGGCCGTTGCTTACCTCCCTCTCTGAATAGAAAAAGAGATCTTCATGGAGTTCTCCATCAGTCAAAGCAATGATGACGCTGGCTGTCCTGTACCCTGTTTAACACAATACAGACTGGCTCAGTCCACCCTGCTCCACCCAAGGAAACACCCTCTCAGTCCCAGGATTCAACCTCTTACGAGTTCAACCACCCAAAGTCAATATTGTGAGAATCACCAACTTTTCTTTTGGGCCTGGAAGCAACTCCAGCATGAAGAAGGATCCCCCATGGGGACAGACTTTAGGGGGAATAGGTTTTGCTTTCTCATTTTTCAGCCTCATCTTGAAAAATGGCCAAACCTGATGAAATGGTCACTAAACCAACATTTGGGAGTAGCACCGGTGAATCAAGTGTGATTATTTTCTATTAGCAGACACATAACTGTTGCCCAAGCTGTGAGCAAACTCCCACCTGGGCTGTTCAGACGTCCTTGTCACCTGCTGTAATGGACCACATACACCACCCCTTGAAGACAGTTTGGTGAAAGTAATAGTCATCATGATTTACAAGTTGACTGGAAGAATTATAGCAGTTGGCAAAACCTACTAGAATTATTTCAGTGATTTTTAGGCTTCTCATATCAACATTCACGGTTGATTTACATTAGCAAGATTTGGTGTTGATATTGAGTCTGTTCTGTTTGTTGCAGTTTAGGATGAAACAAGAAATGGACACCTCTATAGGCCTGGGAGGAAAGTCTCTACTGTAATATTGAATCTCTTTTTTAAGAGATTTGACTGAGATACAGAAATGCTACTCACGAAAGACACTGTAGTAATAATAGCTAAAATAATAAAAATTTCTATGTGCTAGGCACTCTACTGAGTATATTTTATGCAGTTTTTTCATTTAAATATAGGAAAGTTTAAATCAAACTGGTATTTTGATCTTAATGTTATGTTCAGTCACAGTAATGAAGAGGCTTGGAGCTCAGAGAAGAACAACAAAATTAAATTTTACATAAAAATCCAAGACTTTACTAACCTATGCAAGTATTTACTAATTTAGTGAATTCAACATGCAAAACTCTTCATGGGAATTAGACTGTGGCCAAAATGGGATCTTAATTACTTTTATATAACTTTTCTTGGCATCAACAGGACAGTGGAATTTGACCCAATACATGCCACCTTTCTATGCATTCCTTGTTTGTGATGAAATGTGTGTCTAAGAATTACAGATAATATCATACATGTCTTTTGAAACATGAAATGACTGAAGCACTTTTTCAGCAACAAACACGGAAAAAGTTAAATAATTCATAATGGTAGTTCATACTATAGTCTTACCTTGTCTGTTTTCATAATAAATCTGCTCACTGGCCTGAAAAACATATGAAAGAGCCCTTAGACTTATAACCACTGTTTGTCACTCCAAAAACCATAGTGGATAATGGGCTCTGTTGTTGAATATGCAGCCAATTCAGTCTTGATTCCTTATGTAATTCACCCAGGCTTTGCTCAATTATCAGTGGCTGATATCCATGTAAAGTTACCTCTCATTTAAGTAGTATACAGTTATGTGCTGCATAGCAATGTTTTGGTCAAGGACAGACTACAAATATGACAGTGGTCCCCTAAGGTTATAATGGAGCTGAAAAAGTCCAATCACCTAGTGACATCGTAGCTGTGGTAACACTGTAGTTCAATGCATTACCATTTCTATGTTTAGAAACAAATATCATTAGTGTTACAATTGCCTACAATGTATAGTACAGTAACATGCTGTATAGGTTTATAGCCTAGGAGCAATAGGCTACACCATATAGCCTAGGTGTGTAATAGGCTATACTATCTAGGTTTGTGTAAGTACACACTATGATGTCACAATGACAAAATTGGCTAACAAGGCATTTTGTTGAAATCCTTGTTGTTAAGTGATAGATGACTGTAGTTGTCAACATGGATTGATGTCTTATTCCTTATGGCCTAGTACTTGTTAAGTGACAGATGACTGTAGTTGTCAGCACGGATTGATGTCTTATTCCTTATGGTCTTGTTTCCCTTAAAGCTGAAGTCCCTGAAATTCTGCCTCAATCACTGAAGCTGACATCCAACAAAGGACATTTTTGGAGTGGCGGGACTTGTGTGTGGCGTGAATTTGTGACTGCCAGCCAACCATTAGCTAACAAACCATTCATCAGGGTCAGGGAAGAAGGAAGGGAATCCATTTCTTTAGTTCTTTTGGCTAGAGTGGTCAGTGTACAAGCTTATGGGAAGAAAATGTACTCTCTTGCTATTGGGTGCTAGTCAGCCCTCTTAATATAAGTGCCTTATCTCATCAGTCACCCCATGTTGATATTTCAATATCATGCTTTATATTTGGATTTCAAACTGTTTTAAAATTACCCTTTCAAATCCTTCATGCATGTAAGTGTCTCCTCCTGGCAGAACTTTCTGGAGTTCTTCTAGGCCTTGACGGATTTGTTCTCTGAAATCCAAAGACACTCTGTTAGTCTTATTTGAGTATTTTTTACTTTGCTGTTGTAGTCATAAGTACTAGTCTTCTTCTTACCTCTGTGGATACTGCTGTCTAGTCCCAGTAATTCCCCAAAAGCCTATCAAAGGGAAGGCCTTTATATTATCCGTTCAGGGTCAACCATAACACAGGATGAGTGAGATTTCAAGGATTAAGGGGAAAGACTCTTCTGCAGGACTCTCCATCTGCTTGTAAACACTTTCCTTTCCCTTAACACAATGTTTTCCTTCTACATTGGAAATGAGTCTCTAAATGCTGCTCCTGATGGGACACACAGCAACTTAGGCAGCAATACAAATGGCTCATGTGAGCCAGAAAGAGGTGAGAACCAAGAACCCAGGGAAAGGCCACCACAAGGACGCAGGTGGAAGAGGGTGGCATCCACAGCAAACTGCCACCGCACGGGTGTGCCAAAGGAAACGGAAAATAAAAACCCAAGGAATCTCCGCTTTCCAGGACAGCCAAGAGTGTTTTCTGTGGGCCGGTGCCTGTGTTTTCTTACTCTGATTGTTCAAGGTGACAGTGCGGGCAGGAAGAGTTCAACTGGCAGTGGGAAACATAAATGACTTGGGGGCCAAATGGAATCTTTGTGGACCATTCTCTCTGGGATGTAAGAAGTCTACATTCATGTTTCTGTCTTTTAAATAGCTCCATATTGTGCCAAAAAGGGCAATAAAGTAAAATTTCTGACTCACATACCTTATTCATAAACTGTAACCCTATGAAGGGTTTGAAATTTTGCCTTCCTCCTGCTGGGGTCTTTTTAGTGGTACAGGGTGGAGATGCTCTATTTAAATTGGGAAGAGAAACTCTTTTGGATAGGAAAAAATCTAACATTTATTGAGCATCCGCTATATACAAGGTAGTGACCAAAGATTTCTGATTTCACCCTCATAATAACCACTGAAAGTGAGTATTACTGTCCTTACATTACAGGTAAGAAAACTTGGGCTCAGAGAGGTTAAGTAGGAGAGTGGAGACTTGAAGTCAAATCTACCTGACTCAAAAAAGGCTTTCTCCTCTGCAAAGCAGCCTCTAGCATGGAACAATGCTAGAGGAAGTGGGAACCTGGCATCAGTGAAAGGCAATGGCAGTTCCTAACACTGTCTGGGAACCTATGGCTCTGAGAACTTATGGTGCCAGGCTCTGTCTAAATACATGAAATACAATCGATCCACTTAAGCCTTATGACAGCTCTTTGCAGTAGTACTATTGTTACCGCCATTTCACAGATAAGAAAACTGAGTCACAGAGAGGTTACAGAACTTACCCAAGGCCACTCTTACCTAAGACAGAGGTGGGATTTAATCCCAGAGGCCCTGTTCTTAATCAGTATGATAAATACTCTCTTTTTCTCTCATATTTATCCTGGCATTGCTTGGAGGGGGAATTCTAAAGAAAATAGTAATCTTTTGTTAAAACTGATATGATGGGGAGACCGTGGGTGAGGGTGGCTTGCCAGACTGCTGGAGATTTTAAAAGACAAACTGAAAAGGGGTTTGCCTGTCCCTGGGCTGCTGATGCTTCATAGGTGGAATATTTAATACCAAGTAACTCAGACTTTGGAAACTGACTATTCTCTTTTCAATACCCGTGTATCAGACCACATGCCCAGCCGCCCAAGTCAGAAACTGGAAGCCCTCCTTGATCCACTAACTTGACTTTCCTTCCTCTCACCATCATCACATTCTGTTAGTTCTACTTCAAACATATCTTGAAATGGACTACTTCTCTATCTCTTCAGCCAACACCACTGTCCCAGCCACCATCATCTCTTGCTTAGCCACTGGGGTAGTCACCTGCTATCTTTTGAATGGCCTCTTGCCCCCTTTTCCATTCTTTCTCCATAAGGCTGCAAGAATGTCTTTAAAGTACAGATGAAATCATGGCATTCACTCTGGCTCAAAGCCCTTCAACACCAACCCATTACACCTGGGATTATATCCCAAATCCTTTTCATGACCTTCCAGTGCCTATGTAGATGGCTCTTGCCTCCCTGTCCAGCCTCATCTCACATCATTCTGCCCCCACTCTCTTGCCTTCAGCCATACTGGTCTTCCCAAGCCCCTTTCTCCAATAGGCACTTCACATCGGCAATCACTGCTGCCCGGGAACACTATTTGACCAGCTCTTCATGGGGCTAATTCTTATCCAGCCTTCAGTCCCAAGTTAAATGCCACTTGCTCAGAGTAGTCTTACTTGACCTTCCTAATCTGAATTGTCTTCCTCTATTAGACTTTTTCCTGGTACCCCACAATTTTGCTTTATAGCACTTAAGATATTTTATAACTAATAACATTTCATTATGCAATTATTTAGGTTTTGTTTGTTTCAGTTCTAGACTTTAAATTCCTTGAGGACTGGGCCATGGCTGTTTTGGTCCCCATTATATCTTCTGTGCCTACTACAGTGCCTGGAACATAATAGACTTTCAACAAATACTTACTGAAGGGGTGAGTGGAGGGAATGGATGTCTCCACTGTTACTCATTCTGGGAAGAAACCATTTTGGGGCAGGGATGAGCTTCCCTTGGCCATATGGAAGGAGGCCAAGCAGGACCTGATCTGGACATTAGCCAGATCTGGTCATTGACAAGTCTGGGCCCATGTGGTGGTTAAAAATCATTCTCTAGGTTGTATTTCTTATATTACCTCTAATATTCCAATAAATCCCATCAAAAGGCATACTTTAATTTCAAACTCTGTTGTTTGGTAATGAGAAAGGGCATATATCCTGGAGAATAAAGATGAGAGCAGTGTCCCCCACCAAGGCCATGCTGGGGGCAGTGCATGGCACCAGCAATCCCCAGGCAGGGGGCAGCTCTGCCCTGTGAGTTGCCAGTTTCATGAGGGTCCGAGCAGCAGAGCTAGTGGCAAGGGGACATGACGGGGAGGCTGGGATAGGAAAACTGGGGTCTGTTTGTGAGCACACAGAGGTGGCACCATGGAACCCCTCATAATAGCTGGGGGGCACTATGGGGCAGAGGGATAATTTCTGACAGTTAGGTGAGAGACGCTTGGGCATTAAAAGTAAATATGATCTAATTCTTTGGTCACAGACTAGTGAAGTCTGGGACATTTGGGTAACACTAAAAGTGGAATATTGTGTTAAGACTTGAGATTTAAAAAGAGAGCAAAAAAAAAAAAAAAAAAAGGCTTCTTGGGGGTGTGGAAATATTTGCTTGGCTTCACTGTATTTTTTCCCTGCCAAATAAAGTCTGGGAACTGGGATATTTTCTCTAAGCCTATTTCCCTTTCTTTACAAGTATTTTCTTGACTTTTTTTTTTTTTTTGTACCAGAACAACCAAAGGCTGTTTTGGAAAATGTCCTTATCCTTGATGCTTTGTATCTGGCAAGATATGAACTCACTAGTTGCGAGTGGTGATCACAACCTCCCCATTATACCACCCTTGCTGCTCAAAAGATCAAATAACACATGGCCCCATCTCCCTACTCTCTGCCCTTCTTGAAGGACCCACAACATCTAAGCAAACAAAATGGATGGTTTCATAGGAATTGTGGGTGTGTTTTAGTTCTGGGACAACAGCACTATTAATAAGGGTCTATTCTTATTTTCTCTTGGAAACTGAAGGAGATTGGGAGAAAGATCTTTTAGGGGATGATAAGAACCTCTCTGAGGACTTGGTTATTTCAAGTGAAATGTTATCTTCCTGGGAAATGAAAGAGGCAGGGAATCCTATGAAGAGAGGCTGCTATTACAGAGCCCCTGTTTTCCTTGGTGGTTTCACATGTCTGCCAGTGTTCCTACTTAGAAGCTAAGGGTTTTAGGCCATTTGTTTTGTGTTCCTTTTGCAACTCCCACTACACTTAATGATTGACCTCAAGCAGGTGATTGTCAAATGAATGATTCCAGTTTGGGTGCATTCACCCATCATTCATTAATGGCCACTGCTATTTGTTGAGCATACACCATGCACCCAGCACTCTGCTGGTTTGTAGGGGTAGAAGGTGGGGAGAATCAGTCACAATGTCTTCTGGGCTTTCTGTTGTTCTAGGAATTGCTCTACTCTTCATGATTACTCTCTGGGATTCTGGTTGTGTTATGACAGTTTGATAACATTGCTGATGAAAACATTAAAAGATGAACACGTAAGAAAAAAATTAAATTAAAAAAAATAGCTGGGCATGGTGGTGTATGCCTGTAATCCCATCTACTAGGGAGGATGAGGCAGGAGAATCGCTTAAACCCAGGAGGCAGAGGTTGAGTGAGCCAAGATCATGCCATTGCACTCCAGCTTGGGGAACAAGAGCAAAACTCCGTCTCTAAAAAAATAAATAAAAGAAAGAAAAAAAAATAAAAGATGGACACACATAGAATGTCAAGAAGTGCTTCAACAAGCCTTTATCCCAAGTATTCTACTGAGGTTTCCACTGCAAAATCTCCCTTAGGATTCTGCAATGGCTATCATATTTTGGTTCTATAAAAACAACCTCCATCACCATCCAAAAATAACCCAATATCAGCTCTGCATTGTCAACTTCCTAGTCTTCTTGTAAAAGAGCTTATCATCTCTGGTACTCTTCCTTCTTCTTCTTTATTCTGAATTTGTTTTTGTGGATCTAGTTTACACCTGGTATCATTTTCCTTCTGTGGAATTGGACTCTTCTCAAATGCTTTGCAGTTGTTGCCTTTGGTTCTCAACTTACACAGTAAACACCTATCACTATTTATTACCACTAATGCCACTCCTGGAACATTCCCAGATGGCCTTATGGCTCCAATTGTTGACTATAAGAAAACAGTGTAGTGAACAGAAGAACACAGATTAATTAAAGACATTTTGCTGTTATTTTAGGAGTTATGAAGTTCTACAACCAATTGTAATCATTTGTTTACAATGTATATAAAACAGTCTCTTTGGGACTTTTACCTAAGCATAGGCCAAAATGATTAACATAATATCAAGATGCATGCTGAACCAAAGCTCCTCTTGTGTACTTTTTAGTGAAATACAATTTATACACAGTAACATGCCCAGATATTTGTTCATTTCCCTTATAATTGTTGAATATATTTCTATAAAATTGTTTATAATATTCCTTTATTATATTTTAACATTTGTAGGATCTGTAGTAATATTCCCTTTCCTGATATTATCTGTAAGTCGTATTTTCTCTCCTTTTAGAAAAATCACTTTTTTTTTTTTTTTTTTGAGACGGAGTCTTGCTTTGTCACCCAGGCTGGAGTGCAGTGGCACAATCTCAGCTCACTGCAACCTCTGCCTCCCAGGTTCACGTAGTTCTCCTGCCTCAGCCTCCTGAGTAGCTGGGACTACAGGTGCGTGCCACCACACCTGGCTAATTTTTTGTATTTTTAGTAGAGATGGGCTTTCACCATGTTAGCCAGGATGGTCTCGATCTCCTGACCTTGTGATCCGCCCGCCTCGGCCTCCCAAAGTGCTGGGATTACAGGCGTGAGCCACTGCTCCCAGCCCAGAAAAACCACTCTTACCAGTGGTTTATCAATTTATTCTTTTAAAATACTCAACTTTGAGCTTTGTGATTTTCTGTATTATTTGTCTTCTTCTATTATATGTCTATTTTCAATTTTATTGATTCACTTGTTATTATTTTCCTTTCCCTACTTATTTTGAGCTTAATAAGTTCTTTTTACTTTTTCATTGGTTTTAAATCATTTAATCTTTTCTTCTTTTCTAAGAAAAACACTTAAAGCTATACATTTACCCTAGGCACGTGACTTTAGCTGCATCCCACAAATGTTGATATGCTGGGTTTTCGTTCTTTGTTGGATACATTTTCTAATTTCCCTTGTGATTTTTCTTTAACCCATGGATTGTCTTTGACACACAGACTTTCTTCGATAACTTTTTATCTCTAGTAAATACTTTTTATGTTGAAGTCAGCTTTGTCTAATATCCATTCTAACTTTTTATGATTGATGCTTGCACAGTATATCTTTTTCCATTCTTTCACTTTTAATCTATCACCATATTTATATTTAAAGTGTCTCTTGTAAACCATATATAATTGTATGTGGTGGACTGTTATACTAATGTCCCCAAAGATCACTCCTCCCACTGTATGGTCCCTGTATGGTCCCCTCCCATACTGGCTGTGCATGTGGCCATGTAACTTGCTTTAGCCCACAGGACATCTGTAAATATGACAAAAACTAAGGCTCCATTAGCACAAGAATATTGGAGTTTGTTTTGTTGGACTGTTGCAGCCACTGTGAGGGAAAACCTGGTCTTTTCAACTACTTGAGAAGGAAGGACCATATTGAGAGAGAGATCTTCAGCTGTTCCAGAAGCATTGTATTTCCCAGCTGAGCCTAATCCCCAGCTGAATCCTATATATAAGCTGCATAAATAAGTCCAGGTGAAATCAGCATAAGAAATTATTGTTTCAAGCTATAATATTTGGGGTATATTTTATGCAGTAATAAATCAATGATATGCTGGATCTTGCTTCTTTAGCCAGTGTGACATTCTCTGCCTTTTATCTGGAATCTTTAGTTCATTTTATATTTAATGTAAGTCTTGGAGTGGTTGGGTTTGAGTCTACCATCTTGCTATCTTGCTATTTGCTTTCTAATGGTCACTTCTGTTCTTTGTTTCTTTCTCCTTTCCTATATCCTTTTGCATTGATCATGTATTTTTTGGTATTTCATCTAGTATCATCTATTAGCTTTTAAAAACATAAAGCTGTATGTCTTGTCTTTTTTAGAGCAGTTGCTCTGCGAATTATAATATGCATCCTTATTTTATCACAAGCTACTATAAGTCAGTATTATGCTACTTCTCACAAAATAGAAAAACCTTTTAATATTATATTTCCATATAGTTCCCTCTTATCCTTTGTGTTATTATTGTCATACATTTTATTTCTCTGTTTGTAACAAATCCAAAAATAGTGTTATTTCTGTCTTAGTCAATTGTCTTTTTACAAAATTATGAAAAGATAAAAAATAACCTTTTATATTTACCTAAATATTTATCATTTCTGGTACTCTTCCTTCTTCTTCTTTATTTTAAATTTGTTTTTTGTGGATCTAGTTTATACCTGGTATCATTTTCCTTCACCCTAAAGAATTCCTTTAGCATTTTTTTTAATAGCGCAGATTTGCTGCTGATGATTCTCTTAGGCATTTTCCCCCTTCTGAAAATGTCTAATTCTGCCTTAAATATTTTAACTGGATATAGAATTTTAAGTTGATTTTTTTCTTTTATCTCTTTAAAGATATTGGACCTTCATTCTCTGGATTGCATTTTTTTTTCCTAATAAAAAGTAAGTTATTTTTTTAATGTTGCTTCTCTTTAATATATCTTTCCTGCCTTCCCTCTGGCCGCTTTTTAGATTTTTCAGAAATTTGACTATGATGCACTTAGGTGATGCTTTCTTTGCATTTGTCCTGCTTGAGGTTCTTTGAGCTTCTTGGATCTGTGTGTGGATCACGTTTGGTATTCCAATTACACAAATACATGTTATCAAGTAGTATAGATCACTTGATATTCTCCCATAAGTCACAGGACTGGTTCATTTTCTCCCTCCAGCCCTCAGACTTTTCCCTTTCTGTCTTTCAGTTTGGATATTTCTATTCACTTGTTTTTAAACTTATTAATCCCTTTTCTGTGGTGTTCAATCTGGTTTTAAACCTATCTGATAAATTTTTTATTTCAAATAATGTATCTTTCAGTTCCACAGTTTTCACTTGGTTCTTTCTTTGAGTTTTCTTTTTTTAATTTCTGATCACCCATATCTTCCCCCCCATTGTATTCACCTTTTCCTGTAAATTATTTAACCTATTTATAATAGTTGCTTAAAAGTCCCTGTCCATTAATTCAAATAACTGAGTCATCTGTGGTTTGTTTCTATTAACTATGTTTTTCTTTATTGTGAGTAATATTCCTCTGCTTCTTCCCATTTTTCATAACAGTTTACATTTCAGTCACTGAGTATAAAAAAAGCAGTGGAGACTTCGGTATAATATTGATTTGTGTTGTTTACTCACTGCAGAGCATAAGGCTTTTATTCTTTGTGAGCTAGGGCGAGGGGCTGATCATTAGATTCCTCCTTGAGTCAGGGTGAGCTTGGGCTGGGCTGCACCTTTTGTTAGATTCATGTTCCCTGTTATTAGGCCAACTCCTGGACTTTTGCCCTGCCCTGCCTTTGTGATCTTCTCAGTATTTGAATTGGTAGATGGCTAGGTGCAGCTTCAGATATTTTTGCTTGACCTTTGTATTTCACTCTGGTAGGACTCCAGAATCCAAGCACAATGAGAATCCACCTAATTATGTGATTTATCTCTACTCTGCAGGCAATTCCTCCACTGCTGCTTTCTTGGAAAAATGCAGAAATGTGGGTGAGGGGGGATAACTTAGGCTGAGATATTTCTTTTTCATTTCAGATTCTAAAGCCTCCTTCTGGCACACATGTTTATGTAAGACTCAGCTGACTTTTCCTTATCCCTGCAGAGTGTCTGTCTATGGCAGACCCACTCCTCCAATTACCCAAACCTAGACCACGCATCCACCTTTAAGTATGGAAGCTTCTGCAGAACCTTCTCTGCTTAGCTATTATATAAAGGGTTTGTTTCTCTCTAATTCAGTTAATCAGTGCTTCCTGCATCTCTACTAGCCTCACGGAAACATATGAATTTTATTTTGTCTGGGCTTTTCTGGTTGACCATGGAAATGAAGGCTTTTCACATCTCTGAATATCATAAACAGAAGCAGACATACTTTACAGTTCTTTTCTAAATGTTTGTGACTACACATTTGTCTCAAATCAGAAAGAAAAATACTAGATGCTGATTACCAGCATACAAATACACTCTAGTATCTCTTATCTTAAAAACATTTTTTAAAGTCCTCTTTGATCCCACATCTCCCTCTAGCTACTGACCTATTTATTCACATCTCTCTATATGACACAGCTTCTTGAAACTTGTCTCCTCACTCCTTGTCTTTTCTGGTGGAGTCCTTCTTCAAATGTTTAGTGATCTTTGGCTGTCTGTCCATATCAAATGAATGAGACTAAAAGCCTTGTTGGAAGCTCTGCATGCATGGTGGGCATGCCAATTGATGAATGACCAGCTTTTTTTTTTTTTTTGGCAGTTGTTTTTTGTTGTTGTTGAAGACTCTCAAATATCATTTTATGTGTATGTATTTTTCCCTCTAAGACATTTATTTCTACAGAGAAGTAGTTTTCAAACTCTTTTCTTAGATTTTAAGTCTGAAATTGGACAAGGAAGAAGGCTGGAAGTAGCAACATTTGTTTTGCAGATGTCTCTATAATTTCTCTGTGCCTGGTGTCCCTGACTATGAAACCATTCTTGTGCAATTTTGTCAGAAAATATGCTTCTCCTCTCTGGTGGAGGTAAATAAGGGGTAATTTTCAAACTCTAGTGGGAAGGAGGGATGGTTCTGAAGGTTGAAGAGCTTTTAAACAATCAATATTCCAGTTTTCACTCTCTAACCCTTCCTTGCCTTTTGCAATATCCAGGTTTTGAGCTTTCTAGGATTCTACAAGGCTACATGGTTTGTTCATCTTCAGTATTTCCTTCCACAGGATTATATTTGACTTTTCTCCACAGTGCCATATCATTTGCCACTCTTCCTTCCCTTCTATTCTTATATGTGGTGTTTTTATGGTTTAAATATTTCTCAGTTTCCTCAAAGATGGTCTTTGTGCTTTTGTTTCAAGTTTTCCTGGTTTGGGGTTGGTTTTTTGAAAGAAAGGGGAAAACATCTTAACTTATCAAAATATTTTTATTTATTTTAATTTAAAAATCTCATTTTAAAGTTGGAAGTCCTCATTTTTTAACCCACTCTGCTCTGACTTTTGTCTCCACAACTCTGCCTCTGCTGAAACTGCTTCTAGCAAGGCCCGCTATGTTACCAATCCAATGGTCACCTCTCTGGCTTCATGTTCCTCAACCTCTTTCAGCATAAGACACAGTTGATGTCCTTCATTTAAGCAATGCTCTCTTCTCTGAAAGATTTGAGAGTAGATTTGTGTTTTATGGCATGATTTCCATTACACCATACTCTCTCCTTCTACCTTACCACCTGTTCTTTCTCACATTTCTATGTAAGTTGTTCCATCTCATCTAGAACTCTAAAGATTGGAGTTCCAGCTCCAGAACTCAGTAAGATCACCCATCCTCACATCAGCACTGTTTTACAAGGTCACCTCATTCTTCCATGACTTCAGAGCCAAACTCCATCAAAGAAGCATGAGCTTTGGAGGAAGACAGACTCGGGATGGAAATCTTATTCTACCAAGTGCTAGGTATGTCAGCTAACCTCCCTGAACTTTAGCTTTCTCAAAGTAAAACAAAGGTGTGGAATGCTAAGATCTACCAGATTTCTTCCAGCTTAGAATATTGCATCTGATTTGAACTGGGAACAAAAGAGCAAGCAGAAATAGAACCTGGGTATCTTCTGGGAACTGGAGAGGCCACACTTGGCAGACAGGAATAGTCCATGATGTAACACAGGATCCAGTGCAGAGCCAGAAGGGAAGCTGACAAAGAGGAGCCCATCAAGGAATTTTTAAAGGTTGCAGCATAAGCTGGCATAAAAGACAAGAGGGATGGTTTAATCACAGGACAAGATGAATTTGTCCAAACTCTTCTTTATACAACTCTATTTTCATTGGTCACACATTTGTGCAGTAATTTCACCATGTGGTTTTCTATGGCACCATCTGGCTTTTGAAATAAGCCCTGTTAGACCTTCACATACCTTAAGACTTAGCAATTTAACTCCTGGTTATCTACAGGCATACCTTGGATATATTGTGGGTTCTGTCCCAGACCACCAAGATAAAGTGAATATTGAAATATTGAAGTAAAGTGACTCTCACAACATTTTTGGCCTCCCAGTGCATATAAAAGTTATGCTATACTATATTGCAGTCTATTAAGCATGTAATAGTAGTATGTCTTTAAAAAGTACATACTTCAAATTAGCCGGGCATAGTGGCAGGTGCCTGTAATCCCAGCTACTCAGGACGCTGAGACAGGAGAATCACTTGAACCAGGGAGACGGAGGTTGCAGTGAGCCAAGATCGTGCCATTGCACTCCAGCCTGGGCAACAAGAGCAAAACTCGGTCTCAAAAAAAAAAAAAAGTACACACTTCGATGAAAAATACTTTATTGCTAAAGATTGCTAATGATCATCTGAGCCTTCAGTGAATCATAATCTTTTGCTGGTGGAGGGTTCTGCCTCGATACTGACGGCTGCTGACTGATCAGAGTGATGGTTGCTGAAGGTGGGGTGGCTGTGGCAATTTTTAAAAATAAGACAACAATGAAGTTTGACCCATCAATTCACTCTTCCTTTCACACAAGATTTCTCTGTAGTATGTGATGCTCTTTGATAGCATTTTACCCACCATAGAACTTCTTTCAAAATTGGAGCGAATCCTCTCAAACCTTGTTGCTGCTCTATCAACTAAGTTTATGGAATATTCTAAGTTCCTTGTAATTTCAACAATGTTCATAGCATCTTCACCAGCAGTAGGTTCCATCTCAAGAAACCACTTTCTTTGCTCATCGTTAAGAATCAAGTCCTCATGAGTTCAAGTTTTATCATGAGATTGCAACAATTCAGCCACATCTTCAGGCTCCGCTTCAAATTCTGGTTCTCTTGCTGTTTCCACCACATCTGTGGTTACTTCCTCCACTAAAGTCTTGAACCCCTCAAAGTCAGTTGTGAAAGTTAGAATCAACTTCTTCTAAGTTGCTGTTAATGTCGATATTTTGGCCACTCCTGCATGAATCACAAATGTTCTTAATGGCATCTACAATGGTGAATCCTTTCCCAAAGGTTTTCAATCTACTTTGCCAAGATCCATCAGAGGAATCACTATGTATGGCAGCTATAGACATGCATTTCTTAAATAATAAGACTTGAAAATCTAAATTACTCCCTGATCCATGGGCTACAGAATGGATGTTGTGTTAGCAGGCATGAAAATGACATTAATCTCCTTGTACACCTTTATCAGATCTCTTAGGTGACCAGGTGCATTGCTAATGAGTAGTAATATTTTGAAAAGAATGATTTTTTTTTTTCAAGAAGTAGGTCTCAAGAGTGGGCTTAAAATATTCAGTAAACCATGCAGTAAACAGATGTGCTGTCATCTGGGCTTTGTTGTTTCCTTTAGATAGGACAGACAGAGAAGATTTAGCATCATTCTTAAGGGCCCTAGGATTTTCAGAATGGTAAATGATCATTAGCTTCAACTTAGAGTCACCAGCTACCTTCACTCCTTATAAGAGAGCTAGGCTGTCCTTTGAAGATTTGAAGCCAGGCTTTGACTTCTTTCTATCTATGAAAGTCCTAGATGGCATCTTCTTCCAATAGAAGGCTGTTTCATCTCCACTGAAAATCTGTTGTTTAGTGTAGCCACCTTCACCAACGATCTTAGCTAAATCTTCTGGGTAACTTGCTGCAGCTTCTCAATCAGCACTTGCTACTTTGCCTTTTATGTCATGGAGATGGCGTCTTTCCTTAAACCTCATGAGCCCACATCTGCTAACTCCAAACTTTTTTTCTGCAGCTTCCTCCCCTCTCTCAGCCTTCTAGAAATAGAGTTAGAGCTTTACTTTGCATTAGGCTTTGGCTTAGGGAATGTTGTGGCTGTTTTGATCTTCTATCCAAACCACTAAAATCGGCAATAAGGCTGTTTTGCTTTTTAATCATTTGTGTGTTCACTGGAGTAGCACTTTTTATTTCCTTTAAAAACGTTTCCTTTGCATTCACAACTTAGCTAACAGGCACAAGACGCCTTGCTCTTGGCCTGTCTTGGCTTTTAACCTGCATTCCTCACTAAGCTTAATCATTTCTAGCTTTGAATTTAAAGTGAGGAACTTGCAACTACTCCTTTCACTAGAGCACTTAGAGACCACTGAAGTGTTGTTAACTGACCTAATTTCAATATTGTTGTGTCTCAGGGAATAGGGAAGACCAAGTAGAGGGAGAGGGAAACAGATGGAGGAAGAGCTGGTTGATGGAGCAGTAAGAATACACACATTTGTCAATTAAGTTTGCTGTCTTACATGTGTGTGGTTTGTGGCACCCCAAAACAAGGACAATAGATAGTAACATCAAAGATGACTGATCACAGATCACCATAACAGATATAATAATAATAATGAAGGTTGAAATATTGAGAGAATGACCAAAATGTGACATACAGACATATAATGAGCATATGCTTTTGGAGAAATCGTGCCAACAGACTTGCTCAAATCATGGTTGCCATGAACCTTCAATTTGTAAAAAACACAGTATCTGCAAAGTGCAATAAAGCAAAGTGCATAAAGCAATTCTTGCTTTTGCCCACCCTACCCTCAACAGGAGGCAAGTATAAGTACATTCATTTCCTCTTTGTTTATAATAACAAAAAGTTAGAAACAAATTGTCTATGAATAAGAGAGCAGGTAAGTACAGGTGGTATGTTATTACAATAAAATATGACAAAATAGAAAAGTATGCAGTAGTTAAAATGAGCCAACCAGCTATATGTATCTACACACAAAAAAAATCTCAAAAACATGACATTAAGTATAAAAAGCAAGTTCAAGAAAAATACACACAATATGACCATTTAAAAAATAAAGTTTCGGCTGGTTGTGGTGGCTCATGCCTATAATCCCAGCACTTTGGGAGGCCTAGGTGGCCAGATCACTTGAGGTCAGGAGTTTGAGACCAGCCTGGCCAACATGGTGAAACCCCGTCTCTACTAAAATAAAATAAAAAAATTTAGCTGGGCATGGTGTTGCTCGCCTGTAGTCCCAGCTACTCAGGAGGCTGAGGCATGAGAATTGCTTGAACCCAGGAGGCGGAAGTTGTAGTGAGCCAAGATCGCACACTGCCCTCCAGCCTGGGCAACAGAGCAAAACCCTCTCAAAAATAAATAAAATTTTAAAAAAAGTTTAATATGAATATATATTATAGCTTATGCACATATAAAAGTATGCAATATCCATTGAAATGATAAATCCCTAATTCATGATAATAATTATCTCTGGTGAGGAAAGAGAAATGGTAGGTCTACATAGGAGATGCTGCCTGTAACCTCTTATTCCACAAGCGTGGTTGGTGGGTAATGAGTGTTCATTAACCTTTTTTTTTTCTATACTTTTGTTATACCTCAAATATTTAGTCACTTAAAAAATTGAAGTGAGTAGCAAAGACTGAACCTGGAGTTCATGAGGAGGCATTCGGAGGCTATCAGAATCAGCATTAAATACAAGACTCAACAGGTCACCCACACTGGTGGTAAAGGAGCTGAGTCAGGTGACAGCCACGTGGCTTCAGAGGTAGAAATGTGGATGTTGACCAGTACTGGGATTGTTTTTGTTGGGCAATAAAAAATATGTTGGTTTTGGCTAGCTAGCTTTGGATATGAGAATGCTACTGTTCTTTGGTTCTGTTGACTACTTCTAAAGTTTACCTTGCTGTCTCCATCCAGACAACAGAAATGTTTCTGGGCACTGCTTTGTCAGTTTTTATTCTTAATTTGTATTTGCCACATGAGTAGTAGCAGGTGAAGGGTGGTATCTGTGATGTGCTAGGGTCTCTGTTAGGTGCTTTCCATATGTTAATTCATGAAAGTCTCATAACAACTCCATATGGTGGGCATTACTATCTTCATTTCACATATGAGAAAACAGACTCAGAGAAGTGCAATTACATGCACATGGTGGTGGAGCCCAAATTGGAAACCATAATGGGTCCTGGTCCAAAGTCTGTGTTTTCTCTGTTACATCTGTGGTGCCCAAACTTGGTATGTAACAGTGTACTATATACAAAGACACAGGAGACACATAATGTTTTTTTTCTGGAGCATAAATTGTACTCCAAAATTTGAGAAAGAACAGAATTTTTATGTAACATCACATATAATGGAATTATGTTATGGAATAGAATACACATGCATGCACATTTTTAAGATAAAAGAACTTAAAAGAAGTTCTTGCTTTTAACAAGGCACTTCATACTATACCGTGAGGCCTCAGGGGGTACAATTTTACTTTCTTCTACTAACAAGGGTACTCCAGAGGAAGGGATTGAGAAGCAGTGGACTACACTACTCTCACAAATCAATCTGTTCCCAGACCTGCTAAATTGCTCCATGGTGATTTCTTTTTACCATCATTGTGACCAACATGGAGACCCCTTAAACAAACCTTCTGTAGAGACATTGCCTGTGTCCCCTTATCTGGAAGAAGTCTCCCTACAACTATTACACAAAAGAAACAATAATTTTCATCTGGCCTCATGTTGAGGCAATATTTTCTACCTGCATCCCTCTATATAGGGATAGGCTGGCCAAATGTTAAAACTTCAAGAAGGATGTGGGCCAAGGGGAGCTGGGGACTCACCCTTTGAATCACTGTTGGGCCTACTGTGATGATTTGAGGTGGGATTTGTCCAGGAGGATTTGGGGCCATTCCTTAGCTGTTTATAAAAACCCCTAACAACAACCACAATAGTAACAACAACTAAGGTTAATTGAGCACTTACTATGTGCCTGCATTGTTAACCCTTCCAACAGTTCTGTGAAGTGGGGTCATCATTGCATTCACTTTATAGATAAGAAAACTGAGGCACAGAGAGGCAAGACACTTGCCTATGGACTCAGACCACATAATATCTCCCAATCAACAGGACAAGAGAATAAACAAATGCCCCACTCCCTCACCATTTGTCTTAATTTCACCATCAAGCCCTCACACAACTAAAAGAACAGTACCTCAAAATGAAATGAATCCAAGTTCTTTCAAGCACTAAATATCTTAAGACTCTTTCTCCTTGTTGCTTTTAAATTTAGAAAAGGCCTTTAGAACTATGTCTCTTGGTAATGGCAGCCTGTAATCATTCAGCTCCAGGAATCAAGTGATGTCTTCAGAGTATGTCATTTTCCCCTGTGACACTAATAGCAAAACCACACTTTCAACCAAACCAAAGGATGACTGAGAAGGAGAGAGACATGTGGTCTCTTGGTTTTCACTCAGCAGTTGGAGCCAAGTGTTCTTGGCTTCCATTCTACCTCCTTAAGCAATAAGCAAGATACTTAACCTCGTACCCCCATCTGTGAAATGCTGATGCTACCTCTTTACCTCTTTGTGAGGAGTATTTCCAAGTTCCGGTTTCCAAAAGCCCATGAAGATGAAATGTATAGCGGGCATAGGCTGCCTCGGGGAACTGTTTTCTTAAAGATGTCAGAGGGTTTGGGTGGTGAATTATGTATGCTTAGATTTGTTTTAAATTTAAAACTGTACGTAATAGTAAAATCATGGGAAATCCTACAGTATAGTAATTAAGAATATGAACACTGGGATAGCGCTTCTTGAGTTCAAATTCAGGTTCCTACACTTTCACATGACAGTGGCCATGAGCTTTCTCCACCTCGATAATCCCCATCTTTGATAATACATATAATAAATGTAATTCTCAAAACTACCAAATTAGGGGGATACTACTATTTCCTCTGATTATAGATGAGGAAAGTATACTAGGCTACAGGTATATAATAAGCCCTTAATAAAAGATTATATTTAGATATAAACACATACGCATATATATGTACATATGCATATATATGTACATACACATATTGGTGGCTTCCATTTGACTATTACACAGATAAGAAACAAAATAATACATGCAGAGGCAGTATGTACTGGGTAGCTTTGTAATGTAATAGAAAAATCACTGAGTTAAAACTTTTTAATTTTGTGAGTTAAAAAGATGGTGTTGCCAGTGAGTATATGAATGAATTTGAGCAAAGAATTCTGTCTCTCTGGGAATCATTTTCCTCAGCAGTAAAATGAGGTCAGTGGGTTGGATAAGATATAATAATTCTTTGACTCATAGTTGTTCTGTTATGCTTTGTTTTTCAATCTTGCAAAGTTTGGAAGAAAGGTGAAATTTCCAGTCAAAGATAATGATCTTGGTCTGCATATTTTAACTTTTGCTTCTTTTTCCAAATTACTGTAGAAATAGCTAACTGATATAATAGAGAAAATGTTTCTTCACTGCTGAAAAATAGGCAAGGATGCCAGAAACTTTGAATTTCTGCATGATGTGGAGCTGCTGAGGTCAGAGTAAGGGAAGGACCCACCACCCCGGGATCCTAGAGCACAAGAAGAAAAGCATGAGGGATGGCGGGGAAGTGAAGGAAACTAGTTCTTAACACAATAATCCAGCATCTACACCTGACCATCTTCCTTTAGCTTCATCTTCCTCTTTGCCTTGGAAAGACTGCTGGGTCTCTACTCTGCCTAAGATAAAATTATGCTACATATAAATGTTTTCATTTTCCTTAGCCTGAGCTCTTAACATTTTCAACAAGGATCTTGCATGATCTGCTGCAGAACTTTTCCCAAATCCCAGTACTGAAAAGCCCATGTGGTTCCATTTTTAAGTCACTATACTCAGAAAAAGTCTCAGCAGTTGGGAAGAAGAGGACCAATTTTAGGAATTTGAGAAAATATCCCCCTTTGAAATAAAGTCATATAAAAAACAAGGGAGCACATATAACCAATTCTAATTTATATTTATGTTGAAGACATTCTAGTGTATATTTATGTTGAAGACATACCTTCAACAGCAAGGTCATACACATGTGGAAAAATTTAGGAACAGGAAAGTATTCATAGGGATGAAAGATATTGTCAATTGAAAAATGCAATGGAAGCAGTGAAAAGTAAGCTGGGTGACTGTGAAAACAGAAGCAAAAACAAAATAAACAACTTAGACTGGTAATTACAGGATCTGAATGAAACATTCTCTCAGATGTCAAAAAAATAATAGAAAGATTAAAAAATTATACTTAGAATATAAAGAGATATTGGATAGATTCAAGAATCGAATGGACAGAAGAAATGTTAATCACAAAAGGCATAAAAGAGAAATGTTTTAAGCTGAAAAAGTGTATTAAGTCTTCAGATAGAATGGCTCAAGTACTACACAAAGTACTTTACAAAATTAATGAAGGGACTACACCTGGAAATATTCTGTTGATATTTAAAAAAATATGTATGATAAAGAGAAAAGTTCTATAAGCAGCCAGGAAGAGAAAACAGGCTACCCACATAGAAGAGATATATTAAATTGGCATCTCTCCTTTCTAATAATGCAAGTTGACTATGTCTTTAGAAAATGTAAGGGGAAAGATAGTTAAGATGGAAGAGCTTTATATTCAATGGAAATATTTACCTGGAGGTGAATACAAAAAAATTCTCATATAAATGGTGACTTATAAGTCTTAATAGTCACATATTCTTCAGGAAAATCTTACCTAAAAAAAAGACTTAGCAAACTGAGGAATTAAAAATATATAATTAAAACTTAAGTACTGGAAAGGAAGTATGTGTGTGAATGTGTGCGTGTATTCATATATATTCAATGAAATCCGTAAATCTTACAGTAAGTTTAGATAATTATTGTTGATATGTTTCTAAAATACAATGCAAATATTTCTTAAAAAGAAATTCAGCAAGAAGAATCAGTAGATATTTATTCAATTCTTGTCACTATCGAGGCAAGCAAAATTAACTTGCAACTGTTACTAGGATGCAAATGAAATTATACTTTTCAAATCATTGAAAAATTACACAAAATATCAACGAAAGTAAAAAATAAATGAATGAAAAAGATATATCAGGAAGTGCAAACAAAATTCAAGTTTAATAATACTAATCTTGGACAAAGGATATAAAGCCAAAAGCACTAAAGGTGACAAAAAGATTATTTTATATTGATTAGATGCACACTCCATAATGAAAATACACATAAGCCAAGTAAGATGATGTAAATTAAAAAGCAATGTGTTGGAAATTAAAATAAAACAGTCATGGTGGAAAATGCAAAATGTCTATCTTCATAGATCAAGTAAACAAAAATATAAAATATTTAAAAATTAATGTTTCTTATAACAAAATTTTAATCATCAAAGTGTACATATTTTCTAACATCCATGGATACTAAATAAAATTTGATCATGTAGTAGTCCACCAACAAAAATTAATAAACTAAAAAATAGAAATTATATAAATTGAATTTTTAAAAACTTCCATGACTCTAGAAATTGAGGAAAGGGTAAACAAAAATGTGAAAATTGTGAAACACTTTTCCTAAATCATCTTAAATCAAAAATAGTAAATATAGCTATTAAAAAATTAACAATAATAAGAACAGGACATGTCAAAATGTATAAAATTCAACAACCATATCAGATTTAAAGTACAATTTATACTGTTAAAGCTTTTATTATTTAGAAAGAAATAAAGTATAGTGAATAATCTTTTTTTTTTTTGAGACAGAGTCTTGCTCTGTTGCTCAGGCTACAGTGCAGTGGTGCGATCTCAGCTCACTGCAACCTCCGCCTCCCAGGTTCAAGAAATTCTCGCCTCCCAAGTAGGTGGGATTACAGGTGCGCACCAACATGCCCAGCTAACTTTTATATTTTTACTGGAGATGGGGTTTCACCATGTTGGCCAGGCTGGTCTCAAAATCCTGGCCTCAAGTGATCAGCCTGCCTCAGCCTCCCAAAGTCCTGGGATTATAGGTGTGAGTCACCACACCGGGCAATTATCTTTTATTTCGAGAAACCAGAAAAACTTGCAATATAAGAAGCAGAAGGAAGGAACTAATAATAGTAATAAGATAAAATAATGAATCATAAAATCTAACAATATATAAAACAGAACTGATGAATACATTTAAGAAACAAACCATTAGGTAATCTGAATGGGGCAAATAAGAGAAAAGAAAATAGCTTTATACAATTGGAGGAAAGGGATATAACCAAAGATACAGAAGAGCTTTTGAAAATTAAAAAGATACGTGATAAATTTAAAATGTCAACATATTGGTAATTTCTACTGTTTCTCAAGTTAGAAAACACGATAAAAGCAATAACACAAAAAGCTGAGGTAACTGTCAAAGAGCTTCTTCAATAATAATTTAGGCTTTGATAGTTTTCCTCTGAGTTATATCAAACTTTGAACAAACGTTTGCTCTCTTTATTAGTTAAGCAATTCTGCAGCTTACAGCAAGATTGCCTACTCATTTTTCCAAGCTCATGTAATCCGTTTACTCCCAAACTGACAGAGATTGTATGAAATAAAGCCCCAGAATACTCTCAATATTAAATATTGATAAGTAATATCTTTCAGCTTAAATCAAACCAGAAACACAATAAAAACATAGCAAACCATGATAAAGTTTATTGTAGGAATGTAAGGTTAGTTTTTCATTAGAAAATCTTTTATTTATTTATTTATTTATTTATTTTTGATACAGCACACTCTGTTGCCCAGGCTGGAGTGTATTGGCATGATTACGGCTCACTGCAGCCTTTACCTCCCATGCCTCAATCGATCCTGTCACCTCATTCTCCTGAGTAGCTGGGACCACAGGGGTGTGACAACATGCTTGGCTAATTTTTAATTTTATTTTTTGTAGAGATGGGGTCTCCCTATGTTGCTCAGGCTGGCCTTGAACTCCTGGGCTCAAGCGATCCTCTCACCTCAGCTTCCCAAAGTGCTGAGATTACAGGTGTGAGCCATTGTGCCAGGCCCATTAGGAGAGCTTTTGATTTAAAATTTTTACAGACAGGTCAAAGGAAATAGAAGAAAGATATAACTATTTTGATATGGCAAAAGGGTATTTAATATAACAACTATTTCAGATAAAAAGTTTTAATAATCTCGCATTTGAAGAATCCTTCCTTAACAAAGTAGATAAAATGTATGAAGTTAGCATCCAATAAAATGCATAATTGTAAAACCCAATTGGGAATTAAAGTCTGAAAATTTTAGAATGTAAGAAGATACACAGGAAGATATACTAGCTATAAATATTAGAAAAGAAGACAGAATTAATCACAGATACTACAATCACCTTATTGGAAAACCACTTAAAAATTAACTGGAAAACTATTAGAACTAATAAAATGTTTCATTAAAGTGGTGGGATAAGAAGGCAGATGTGGTGGCTCACACCTGTAATCCCAGCACTTTGGAAGGCCGAGGTGGGTGGATTATTTGAGGTCAGGAGTTAGAGACCAGCCTGACCAACATGGTGAAACCCCGTCTCTACTAAAATGCAAAAATTAGCCTGGCATGGCGGTGTGCACCTGTAATCCCAGCTACTAGGGAGGCTGAGGCAGGAGAATCGCTTGAACTTGGGAGATGGAGGTTGCAGTGAGCTGAGTTCGCACCACTGCACTCCAACCTGGGTGACAGAGCAAGACTCCCTCTTAAAAAAATAAAAATAATAAAAATAAAAGAAATCAACAAAAAACCTGTTAGAAACCTATTGTTTTCCCCAAAACTAATGTTTCTGAAGCTCTTTTTTTGGCAGGGGATGGGGATGGGGGCTGCATGCATGGTCTTTTCTACAGAAAACCCACTGACATGCACGTTTTTGTAAATCATTTTATGGAGTTCAGTAGAAGCCCATGGATCACAAACTATAGGTTCACCAGTCAAGAGTGAAGAATGACAGTTTGGAGAATACAACAGCAAAGCATTTCTTTCACAATGGAGGCAACTTAAAATGCCTGGGAAAAAAATGTTGACAATTAGACTAATTTGAAGAAAAAAACAAAATCGTACTGAGGGACGTAAACGAGACATGGTATATCCCTAAATAAGAAAATAAGTATAGAGAAAATGCAGCGCCATTGCTGCTGAGTTAATCTGTATTTTTCACACAGTTCGAGTGAAAATCCCAGGGATATCTGGGAACATAAAAAATTATTTAAAATGTATGTGGTTGGAAAAATCCAGTAAAGACCAAGGAGATTTTCACCCAAGATTAGAAATGAGGATAGATTGGTCCTCCAGATGTTAAAACTAATTAAAACAATGTGATCCAACTATAGAAACAGACAGAAAAACAGAACAGAATAGAAAATCCAGTAATGAACCCAAGCCTAGCAAAGAGTTTAACTGTTCAAGTTGTTGGTAAAAGATTATTACACAGTGGTGTGGGAAGAACTGGCTAATCAATCGGGGAAAGAAACACTGGATGTTGACCTTGTACCTTATATCATAATAAATTCTAGAAGAAGTACTAATTTAAATAAAAAAGAATCAAAAGTACTGTAAAGAAAGGTAGTAATAAAAAGGACAATGGCAGCCCAATTACAGTTATAAATAGGGGTGCTAAATTTCTGAATAATATTAAAAATACAGAATTCAGATATACATTAAAAGAATATATCATAACCAAATGTATACAGAAATACTAGAATGATCCAATATTTAAAAATGTTTTTTATGACATTCAGTGTACTAGTAGGTAAAGGAAAAATATCACCATCTTAACAAAAGGCAAAATTGCATTTGATTAAATTGAGCATCTATTTTTTTTTAAATGAATAGTTGAACTTCCTTCACGTGGTCTTATTTCTTATTTCTAAATGATGACACATTTGAAGTATTTCAATTAATGTAAGAACAAGACTCTCCTTGGAGTATCCAGGGACTCATATGCAGTAGTTAACATCATTTTATTCTAACAGTACTTAAATTGACATTGTATACTCTATTATACTAAGGAAGTGACCTGCAAACTTTGTTACAATCTATCAACTATTTAAACTGATGAAGCCAGGAAATCTTGGAAGAGCAACATGATACAGTACAAAGTACAGGAGTTGGACCAAATTTAGAATCCAGAATCAGAATACTAATTTGGCAGATTACTAGCTATCTGACCTCGGCAGGTTACCTAAACTTTTTGAACCTCAGTGTCCTTATCTGTAAAATTGAAGTAGCAGCAGCCAAGATAGAGTATGCTTGCTACTGCCTATATCACCTGCTGATTACAACAGAAAAAGCAACCAAGTAGACTGGAAGGTAAACAAAACTGGTGGACTGGGGAGGAAAATTTAAACCTAGAGAAATGACCCACACTACCATGAGGTCCAGAATTTCCCCCCCCAACTCAAGTAGCTGCAAACTCCCCAAATATGGTGACAGACAAGTTTATAGATTCAAGAAGCTCTGCAAAGTCAAAATAGGGTACCCTGAAGGAAAACCATGCCCACACAAATAATCAAACTGCTAAGAACTAAAAAAGAAGAAACTGTGAAAACAGAGAAAAACGACACATTCCATATATAACAATGATTCAAATGACCGCATAGTTCCTTCCCATTAGAAAATAGAGTAACAATGGTTATATGAGGATAAATAAAAAAGGATAAAGTGCTTGCAGATAAAAGACACAAATCGTAGGCATTATTATTCTAATTGGAGTTTCTTTACTATATCTTAACACATTATATTTATTTTCCATTCTATTTTTTCATCTTCTCATAGCTTTACCCTACGTGTATTTGATCCCAAGAACTGAATGCGAATACAGTCATTCCTTGGTATAGGCAGAGGATTGGTTCATGATCCCTGAGTATACCAAATCCATGCACTCAAGTCCTGCAGACAGCCCTGCAGAACCTGCATATACTAGAAGTCAGCCCTCCATATATGTGGATTTTGCATCCTGCGAATACTGTATTTTTGATCTGCATTTGGTTGAAAAATACCTGTGTATAATTGGACCCATTCAGTTCAAAATGTTGTTCAAGGATCAGCCGTATATCTTTGATATTATTTCTTTTGATTTACCCAAAACTTTTGCTGAAATGAAAGTCTTTGCCAATTCATGTCTTGCTTTTGAACAAGTTTTTCTTAATTCTATAAGGTCTCTCAAGTATTATACAGGTATCTTAATGGACCCTTTACTGTTTTATAGGGATATTGTGACAATCAAGTGAGATAGAAAAATACAAATTCCTGTGCCCAACTAAAACACTGCAAGTCATATATTTCAGAAGCAGTACTAGCTTGGAAGATCTGAAAGCCTGATTCTTTTAGCCAGTCTCCTGAGAAAGAGTTTCAGAGAGATCTTGCCCACATTTCTTCCATAGGCTGATGAGGTTGGGGGTGTGTCCATAAACCATGCTGTGCTTTCCCAGCTGACCTAGGCCAAGCAGTCACCACATGAAATCCACACAGCCTTCAGCAAGGCATTTTTGGCTGTTGTTTGATGCACATTTGACCCATACAAAATGCTGCTTCCAGCAAACCAGGGACTCTACCCTCTGTTTTCTCTTCAGAACAGGAAACTAGCAGTAGTGACGTTAAGGTACACAAAAATTAGATTCCCAGTAGATTCAGAGGATGACTAATTCCAACAAGCATAACAAACCACAATGGGTCTGGAAGACTTGGCATTCTGATAGTGTTTATAAATCCCTGACCCCTCTGACCCTGTCAACTTCCCAGAAGCTGTGAGCATTAGCACACAAAGCACCTGCAAGTGATGTGTGAACCTGGTCTCTTGGCCAAACTCTTATGCATGGGGCATGGACAGCATGAAGCTGCACTAGGAAGCCTCGGGTTGTAGGAGGATGTGAAGAACAGGCGAGAGGGGTGTTTAGCTCCCCATCGCAGAACAAAAAACATCTCTGCATAAGGGGTGGCATCATCTAAAGACTGAGCAAGATGAGGAGTCTTGAGATGGCCAGAGACACCTTCTCAGAGCTTCTTAAAATCCTTGGCCAGTATTGAAGGCAAGTCACACAAGTGTCTTGGATTTTATGATTCTCTGTTGAACAGAAGGCAGCAAGGTAAACTGGAAAGAATGTGGAGCCTGGGTCTGGTCTGGGTTCTGTTTGCTATTCTTGGGAAGGTGACATGGCCTCAGTTTCTCCTTCTGTTAATAAGGGATCAGAAACTCCTGTTTTTTTGAATGAAATGCATGCATATAGTAGATCAGGTTGAAGGAGTAACAGGATTTGAAAACTCCTACATGGTACAGAGCACTCTTTCTGTTACAAATCCTAACAAAGTCATGGGAAAAAAAATAGGGACTAGCTCAAGTTTGCTGACTTCAGCTAGAAAATTTTACTCTGTCCTGTTAGTCCTATATTCATTTCTATAAGAACGTTAGAGAATAAAGTCTTCCTGCCCCCCCTGTACTGGCCCTTCCTCCTTTTCTTTTTCCAACACATCCATATATGAGTCTCCCAATAATCCCACATGTGTTCCCCATGGTGCTTCTCTCATGTGGGCCATCTCACTATTTAAAAAGTGTACAATTTCATAAATGGGGGAAGACTATCCTCTCCACTCTCTAGTATACCATCCTAACTATGAATAAATGACATGACTCTGTTATTGCTAGTTTTCATCTGCAAGTAAAATGTGGCAAATCCTAAAATACTTTTGTTAAGCTAGATCTACCTAGTTTAACTTCTTTGTATCAACAACATTCTTTTACACTATTTAAATTTCCTTTTATTTTGTGGTACCATAAGCCCTCCCTTTCTACTCCCTTCCTGGGTAATTATGAACAGTAAATATTTCAAGCTCTTACCTGTCTCACAGTGCACTTGTATCTGAAACCTTAATCCAAAATAAGTCTAACTTAAGTAAAAGAAAATATAGTCCCCCAATAATATGGTTTGCCAACATTTCGCTCCAAGTTAGCAGATGGAATCAACAATCAAATGTGAGATTTATCTTAATGTAATTTCATCATTTATAAAATTTCACCAATATCAGGAAATTCTATCAAAAGTAACTGAAGAGTGAACTAGCAGCAGGACCCATGTGCCCATACGTAAGGTTAAAAACTTAGGGTAAAAGAAGGAACTATTAGATTAAAGTGATCAACAGGTCAAGGCTGGCACCAGAGCACAAATCTCAGGGCTACTCAGGAAGTGATGGACTTTTTAACAACAGAGATAAGAAGTATCCTTACCTGTCTTCTGTCAGTTTCATTAAGGTTGTTCCTCGGGTGGAGAAAACAATAAAGGACATTCTCAACTGTGGGCTGGAAAGGAAAAGAAGCTCTATTAGGACAGACAATAAGACTGCGCATGCCACTCCCTTCAGGCTCCCTCCCTGTCCTTCCCTTTCTATCACGGCTGCCAGAACTGAAGACCCATAACCCACAGGGGGCCTCCTAGGCTGGTGCTGCGGGTGTTGATTAGCCAGCAGTGGACTTGAAGTGTGGGTCAAAGAGAAGACACACTGGATCTTCCTGAGGCTGCTTCTGACCTGATATCATTGCTTAGTGAGTGTGGATTACGAGTAAGAATGATAAACTTCATTGTTGCCCTGTGTTCTGTTTGAAGTGTGTCCCAACAAGGGGACCAATCTGTATGGTGTCTATAAAAGGGGATCCCGATAGGTAAAATTTGATAATGTTTCCACGGTAGCCTGGTGTATTCTCTAATGATGAGTTGCAGCTTGATGCCATCAGCTATTAACATTATATAACAAACTCCCTTTGATCTGAAAGTGGGATCACCATCAACTTTTAATTTCTCCTTGGCTTCCCAAGGAGATTATCCTATAAGGAGAGAATGTGCTGACTGGTCATAAGAATATCTATTCCACTTGGTAGTCATACTTCTCATTATTAATGAATAAATTGGCATGGTTTTTATATGGCAGTGCTCAGGAGCATTCTCAATGTAAGAGTCACACTCTGGAGACAGAAGCACTCTCACCTGAGGACGAACTTGTTTCTCAGTCTGCAAGATGGACCATCAGACTGCAGTGGATTCAGCAATGCAATGCCGTTCTGTGTGTCCAACTTGTTCTTCCGTCATAGCATCAATCTATTTCTTCACAATGCAATAACCTCCCACACCTGATCGGGCTCTGAACCTTGTAGTTCCAGTTCCCCAAGTGTTTCTCAAACCTGCCTCACTTCCCGTATCTTAGCTTAGGATCCTGGCCTCAATCGTCTGACCACTACAATTTCCTAGCTGGCGTCTTGCCTAGGAAGGTTCTTTGCTCCAATTCACTCTTCACACTGCTCCCAGAATTATTTTCCTAAAACAAAAATTAGAACCTGTCACTTATCTGCTATAAAATTTCCAATGACTCCTACTGTCTCCAGGATAAAGTCTGCATTTATTACCACATGGTAATAAATGCCTGATGCATCTTTGGAAGCCCTTGGCATGGTGTTTAATATTTGATAGGAGCTCAGGCAATACCTGGTGAATTGAATATTGGTCCCTAAAACAGATCTCAGTTTTCTGTCCATGACCCCGTGCTGCCTGGGACTACTTCCCCAGCACTGGGGCAGCAGGACACCATGTCCTAAATGATAATAACAACAATCATAATGATTATAATAATATAATAATGGCCAACCTTACTGAGTTCTTACCATGTGTGAGATCATAGTGATTTGCACGTATGATCTCATTATACTTGAACAACTGTATGAGACTGGTACCTATAGTACCAATCCTGATAGTTCATATCAAACTAACAGTTCCTATTTTCCACAAAAGGAAATTGAGGCCCTGAAAGATGAAACAATTTCCTTGAGGTTACACAGTGGGGGAGTGGCAGACCTGGGGCTTGAAGTCAAGTGTTTTAATTCTAGAACTTGGGCTCCTAACTGCCACATTATATACTGCTCCCCTTCTGTCAAGTTCAGCTCTGGAAATAATAAATTTGAAATGTGGAAAATAAAGGTCTCCAAGAGGCAACTGGCATATAAGTCTAGGCTAGAGGCATAATTTGGAAGTCCTCAGCGTACTGATGTGGGCAAAGTTGTTCAGAGAGAGTGTCAGCAGTGAGGAGGGAAGTGAGCCAAATACAAAACCAACACTAGTATGGGAAGGGCTGGCTGAGGCCAGTGAGATGGAAGCAGAATGAGAGCCAGTGGAGGAAAGAGTTTCAAGGAAGGATAAGTCTGGATCCAATGAAACCCCTGCATCCAGTGGACTAAAGGCTGCAGAGTGCTCCTGGATTTTTCCTCTGGGTCATCCCTGGGTGAGACCTTGGCGAGCAAGCAGGTGAAGGGTGGGGAGGAGGGCCAGACAGCAGTGGGTTAAGGAATGAATGAGAAGTAAGGATATGGAGATGGCCAGTCTTTAAAGACAAATGAGTGAGAAACTAGTAGAGAAATAGGGTCCCATCTATAGGAAGACAAGATCAAGAGTTTCACTGTCATTGCTTTTTTTGGGACAAGGGGCAGGAGAGATTAGTTTGTGTTTGTAGACTGTGGGGAAGGAGCCAGGGGAAAGGTAGAGAAAAATACAAGACAGAAACAAAGACCTGGAGGAAACTGGAGACAATGGGATAAAGTCAGACTAAAATGGAGAGGTTGGCCTTACATGGGAGGGATACTTGGATCTCAGAGACTAGTGGGAAGGACACATATGCATCTTTTAGGAGTAGATTGGAACTTGAACTCGTGTCTACTACTCTCTGGATTCTTGGTGAAGTAGGAGGTGAGGTTATTTGCTGACAGCAATGGGTGTGAGGTGTAGGTTGAAGGCTTGAGGAAAACAGCAAAGCATAAGAATCATTATTAGAAAAATGATAGAAGGTCAGAATAAAGATAAATAAAAGGACTCAAAATGTCAAAAATCCCACTGAGATTAGAAATGATGTACTTGTACTGGCATCAGCCACTGTTATTGAATGAATTTCCCCCCTGTAGTCCCAGCTGCCTTAGACTTTTTATTAAAATGAATAAATAAATGAAAATTGCCCATTCATTCACTTATTTAAAAATACTGACTGAGCATGTACTATGTGTCTGGCACTGTTATGGGCACTTGGGCTGTGACTGTCAACAGACGACAGCCCAGCCTCTGCCTGGTGGAGTTTGGGTGATGGTAAGATCTTGGCTCCACACTTTGAGGGGCTCCATGGCCAAGCAGGGTTAGCGGAGACAACCAGAGAAGGGTGCCTTGTCTGGATTAAGCCATGTCAACCTCCCTGGTCCTTGGTTTCTTCATCTATAAAGCAAGGGAATTGGATTAAGGGTTCTCTTAATCCCCTCCCTTGCCCCTGCCCACAATTTTCTAAGATTCTAAGATAGTGAAGAGTCTGGGATTGCTGAGGGAACTGAGAAAGATGTTGTGTGCCCACTCTAAGCCAGGTGCTGGACTGGTGGGCTTGCACATGTTTTCTCTTATAAGCCTCATATATAAACTAGGGTTCAGCCAAGGTTGGTGAATTGCTACGGTTGCACAACGGAACTTAGATTCAAACTCACATCTGCCTGACTTCAAAGCCTATCCCACTAGACTCCTCCACTTCAGAGAGAACAGAAGCCCAGAAGAGCAAATGAGACACAGAGCAGTTACTGTGAAGGGTGTGGAGGCAGACTTGTTTTATATCACTCCAAAGGACCAATGGCTGCGAGTGAAGAAAGGACATCTTGGCCTAATGACAAAAAGACTTATGAAAACTGGAATTGTCCAACTATTGGACTTTTGCCTCAAAGGCAGTGAGTTTTCACCAGAGCTATTCAAGTAGAGAGTTACACAATGCCTCCTAGGATAGGCTGGGAAGTCTCGTTCCTTTTAATTCCTAGTTTCTATGATCCTTTCAAACATTTTCTAACACCACCCATGTATTTGTTTCTCTCCTTTTCCTGTACTTTTTCTCCCTTCTGTCCTCTCAGCATCTGTTTTTCCTAATCATCTGGGTTTAGATGCTTCCTGCTGTAGCTTCCAATTTTTGGCATAACAGACAAGCTACCTCCTAACCCTTTCCCTCCAATTAGGCAGGTAGGCATGCGTTGAGGTCAATAACCAAATTTGAGGGGAACATGTCTGTCACTACCCAGGGCTTAGAGGATAACCTGTATTCTGAGACAGAGAACCTTACTCAAAGAAGAACTTTATGGTCACTCCTATCAACCGGAAGACTCTATGGAGGCCATCAGCATGAAGTGGAGCTGTGTTAGAACTTACGATGATCAGACCAATTTTACCAAAGACTTTGACAACTTGCTTCAAGCACTCTATGAAAGCTATTACTGTTGTGTTATCCCTTGGAGGCTGCACACAGTGGGGTGAAGTGACCTCATTTCCTTACCACTAAGTCCAAGACTCCCATGATATTTGCAGTGACTATGTTCAAAACTGCATTGCCTTGCCTGGGAAAGTGGTGTTGAAAATGCTCAGAGGATTCTACCTGATAATAGTACACACAGCTAGAGAGCGACCAATTGTCACATTTTGCTCAGGACTAAGGAGGGTTCCCCTTAGGATGTGAGACTTTCAGTGCTAAAACTGGGAAAGATCTGGGCAAACTGGGATGAATTGTTCATCCTACACACTGTACACCCTACACGTGAGTCCAGCTAAAATGTGCCAATTGCTGCTGCATGATGCAGTGTGCAAGAAAAATGTTAAAGGTAATAAGAATAGGCTATTCAACAGAGAAGGGAGAATGCTAAATATTTTTGGTCTCGTAACCAGATTTGGCTCCTCCCAAAAACATAAAGCCAAATGTTATTCTAAAATGTGGCAAAGATGAAAACAAAGCAAACAGTCTCTGGTCCGAGATCTGAGAGCCCAACTTAGTCAAAAAACATCCCCAAAGTATGTAGTAATTAATAGAATAGCAAACATGGACTAGTTTGACTCATGACAGAGAACTACAAGTGAACAAAATGCATAGTGTTTCTCACCTGATGAATTTGTGAGCCAACTGTTCCACAAAGTAATAGATTTCATTCCAGTGGTGCAGCACACTTCCTGATCTAGGAAAACAAAAGCAGGTGTTGCGTGACTCAGGTGTTTACTTGTCTTTACCTTGTATTATTTATCTTCACATTCTGTTATTTTACATTTGACCTCTCCAATAACTGGACTCATTACTTGAAACTTCTGTAACTTTGGAAATTATTTGAAAGGCTGTTTCAACTTTCTGTTAGGGTTCTTTAAGATGTTGTAAAAGAACTCCCCCAATCTCGCACTGCCCCCACCCCAAATCCACACACCCAAACCCTGAAAAACAACAACAGCAACAACAAACGCTGGGCCCAAAGAGATTCACAAATGAGTTTTGCGTCTTCGAGAAACAGCTATTTTTGTGCTATTAAATTATTTCTCTGATTAGGGAAGAAAAACTGTTCTAATCCATTTAAATGAAATTAGCACACACGATAAACACATCCCCTCCCCAAAGAGTCCAACTTCATTTGTAAATATAGATGCAAAATCTGTAAATCATATTAATGAAATGAACACAGCAGGAATCCAAAAGAATAATAATTAATTAATTGGTGAAGTTTATTTCAGGAAGGTAGTGATAGTTGAACACTTAAGGAAATCTAATTTAGTCGTATTAATAAACAAAAGAAGAAAAACGACACAGCTTTTTGTTATACGAAAAAGGAATCCTCTTAGTGACAAAAGAAGGAAACTGTTTCCCTAGGACATACGGAATCATGAGATTTTAGATTTGGAAAGGGGCTTCTTTATTTCCCAAGTTTGACTTCTGTTTCACTGGTACCATTTCCTACTGCTTCAGTCAGCTTATATTTTCCATAGTGCTCATATTCAGTTTGTTGCAATGGCTCCGATTAGTTTTTTCTATTCGAACCCACTCTTTTTAGTAGCTGTGATGCCTCCTCCCTTTCACCTAAGGATCAATTTCAGGCAAGCTCTGCATTTCTGCTTGCCATTCTAATAACTGTTGAGGTTAGAGTTTGCTCTTTCTACTCTGACATTGTGTATTGCAAACATTTTCCACTGATTTCTGATTATTTTTATTTATTATGCACTCGTTTACAATTTTAACATCCAGAGAGCTATTTGTTGCTGTTTTTCCTTTGTTTCAAACTATTTTATAGAGATTTAAGAGGACTTTTTGCTTTCCTTTTAATGGAATGATAGTCAGAAGAATTCTCATTCTGATCGGGTGTATTCCATTTCCAGGAGGGCAATTTATTTTTCTTTGTCCCATATCCAGAAATGATATATCTGTCTGACCTGAAAAAGTGGTACAATATGCTCTGGTCATACCATTAGATACTCTGTGTCATAAGGATGTCTCACTTTCCTCAAATTCACATTCAATTCTAGAGAATGTACATAGGCATCTTTTACAGTGATAGTCATTGTTCCACTGTTAGAGAAAAAAATTATAAATCCACCAGTACACAATTTCTATGAATATATTCACATACACATTCTTATTTCTTTAAAAAAATGGGAAAATAAGTTAACATTTGCTCATTTTATGTGGAGAACACATGGGTGTTCATTATATTATCCTTTGTTCTTTTTTGAACAACACAGATTGTCTAGAATCTTATAATAGGCACTGTAAAAAGGGTCAAAAGCAATGATTCAATCCTGGATTCTTCTCCTCATACAGGAGATATTCATTATAATTATGTTTTTGTGTGCTCATCTTGAACCCCACTTTGGCTAATTTGAGATGATATTTGGCATAACCAGAGGCAGGAAGATTATACTGGGGATTTAATATTTCTTATTAACTATTAAAAATAACATCACCCAGCACTACTCTAGCTGCCTAAGGTGCAGAGATGGCTAAGAAATGGTGCTTTCCCCTCAAGAACTCAGAGATGAGTGAGGAAGACAGAAGAATTAATATGTAACCTGTCATGAAAAGTGCTGTAGTTGAGGACTGTGCATTTGGAAAAAAGAAAAGGGGAATGGCTCTCTGTGCTGGTGCAGGCTGTGAAGGGGGGTGGTTTTTAATCCCATTCTTGAAGGACAGGTAGAAACTTGTGAGGAAGACAAGGGGAGAAGGATCATCCTTGGTGTAAAACATGGAAGTTGGGGAAGAGCAAGTGGTTTCATGGTGCAGCACCATGCAGCCTGTAGAGGGGAGGTGAGGAGCTGGGGAGATGGGGAAGGGATCTGGAAGGAGCGTGCCAGGGTCCCCTCCTGTCAAAAGCACCCCTTTGTCTATTCTGCTTACTCAGCCTTTATACATACTGCATCTGCTTGGGATACTCATTGTCCGCAGTGGCAAGCAACTCTTCATTCAAGACTCAGGTCAGTGGACGCAGTGGCTCATGCCTGTAATCCCAGCACTTTGGGAGGCCAAGGCAGGTGGATCACCTGAGGTCAGGAGTTCCAGACCAGCCTGGCTAACATGGCGAAACCCCGTCTCTACTAAAAATACAAAAATTAGCCGGGCATGGTGGCGTATGCCTGTAATCCCAGCTACTCAGGAGGCTGAGGCAGGACAATCACTTGAACCCGGGAGGCTGAGGTTGCAGTGAGCTGAGATTGCACCCTTGCACTCCAGCCTAGGCAACAAGAGGGAAACTCCATCTCAAAAAACAAAAAAACAAGCAAACTCAGGTTGGTCTCTCCGTGTTGCTTTTAACCAACACAGACAGGACTCACTACCTTATGCATAAGGCCCTGCCTTATGCTCTCAGGGCCACCGTGTCCACCTCTCTGTCAGCATCCCCTGATACTGGGTGGCAATCGGTCTTAAAGAAATTTCCCTCCCAAGCATTACCTGTTTATTGAATGAAAGAAAGAAGAGCATGAAGAGGAAAAGCCTCTATTGCTCATGGAAGCTTCCTGATCTTTTGCCAACTGAACCTCAACTATTCTGCCTTGGCTTGGATAAACAGCCTGGGTTTGGGACTCAGATGGCTCTCGCCAATTCCCGTGACTTACGTGAAGTAAGAAGCCTTCCCAGATGGGTCACTGATTCTAGGGCATAGCTGCTTGGTGACTGGGCCCACATGATCATCAGGAGATCTCTGAACAGAATGGCATCTGGAGTCTCCCACGAGCTCACCAGAACTGCATATCCTAGCCCTGGGCTTAAAGCTTTAGAAATCTTCTTTCATAAAGACCTGGCCATCCTCCTGGACAGGGTTCACTTGTATACTTCAGGTCACATAGACTGGTCCAGGGTGCCATCCTTCAGCCATAGGGTGGATGCTCTGGCCCTGGGGGTCCTGGGTGGTGATCTGGCAGAGATGGCCCAATGCTCTCCAGGTGCCTCAGAAGATATGCCACATGACTGCCTATAAGCCATTGCCAATCCAGAATTCTACAACCCCTTTCCACTAGAATCAAGAGATTTCCTTAAAGACTGGCCATTAGTGGCCACTTCTGAAATGCAATGCTGTGTTTTGGTCCATACAACCAGAAAAATTAATCTTTGAAATTCTGGTTACTGAGGGGGTAGGGTGAGATATCTAATGATTAGAGAGGAATCTCCAAACCTCCTTTATCCCATGTCCAATTTCCTCATCGGTAGAGAATTTCTGCCGGGAGGAATTTATACTGGGAAGATGGTTAATGGGTACAAAAAAAATTAGAAAGAATGAGTAAGACCGAGTATTTGATAGCACAAGAGGGTGGCTATAGTCAATAATAATAAATAATAATTTAATTGTACATTTAAGTGTAACTTAAAAAGTATAATTGGATTGTTTGTTACACAAAGGATAAATGCTTGAGGGGATAAATACCCAATTTTACATGATGTGCTTATTTCACATTGCATGCCTGTATCAAAACATCTCATGTACCCTGTAAATATATACATCCACTATGTACCCATAGAAATAAAAGAATAAAATCAGGAAATTATACTAGGAGGAGAAGCAATGTGTTGGTGAAATAGGAACTTGAATTAGAATTGGGAAACTATTATTGACTCCCTGTTTAAGGAGCAAGAGTTTGAAGTAAATCCTTTTTGTGTTAATATTTCCTCATTCTCAAGGAGTGGCCCTATTTCACAGCCACAAATTAATTTGCATTCCTTTACTTATTGAAAAGTGTCACCCAATGATAATTCATACTTCCAGCTTTCTTAAAACATGTCATTTTCACTATACTTCTATCTGACTGATGTAAAGTTTATACCATTTTGATGTTCACCTGATTTGTTGATGCCAGATATAGGGAAAGATCCAAAATATATCCTTGGGTGTTGACAAAAGTCTACATCCATCAAAACTCTTGCTAATGGGCAAAAGCTGAATTTTCTGAAGAAGAAAATAAAATGAGAGCTTTAAAACAAAACTGGAGGCAAAAAGGCAATGACAGGCTTGCTCCTCTGCTAACAGCTGCCCTGTCGCTGCTGGGGTTTGTCACTTCATGTATGTAAGTGATCATTCTTTACACAATTATTTAAGCCTTGACCAAAATATACACCCTTTGAGCCACGCTGGAGATGTACATAGCCTGCCTCCTCAATCATCAAAGGTAAAACCACAAACTTCTAAGATTCTAGGAACCAAACTGGGTTTGTCTTCTCTGGGTTACCCTGGGATTCCAAGGGGCCTCAGCTGCTAAAGGAAAAAGAGAGTAAAGGGGTATCTCGATCTGCACCTTGGACTCCTTCTACTCTTTATTTCCGAAACTTCTTAACCCACACATGCAGGCATTGTCCTAGCGCAAGATCAAACCACCTCTTGGAGAAAGAAAGAGCCCTGTGTCCGCTGCTTATGGTTTCAGCATGGCAGCAAACTTGTTGGGGGTACTGCTTATATTTCTTTAACCCAAAGCCCCAGTGGCAGGAGGCTTACCTGTCTGATGCCACAGTCCTCTCCCCTGCCTCACCACCACCCACCAATCCCAGCTGACTTCCTATCCATGACCACTGGGACCTCAACCAGACCCCCACCCCGCCCCCCGCTGCCTTCTTGCATAGGGATGAATTTGCTGGGTCTATGACTCAGTTTAGACTTTCTGTTGAAACACGTATGTCTCACCTGCACTTGGCCTTGTAACTGATCTTCTGGTGTGGAAACTGCCCTAGTAGCTACTGCCAGAATAACTGACTCAGGGTAGTTCAGACCCTGGGCTTCCTCTCAATCCTGAAGACCTAAGTGGACTCCTGGTCACAACCAGGTAGGTGTTGGCTGGGGGAAATGGCAGAAAGTGGATCCAATTCCAGTTTCTTTCCACCCTACAATGTATAGAACATGCCATTTATCATGTCAGTCTCTTTATAAGTCAATGACCTTAAACTCTGGCTATGGAGTCCTGATACCATCTTCAGATAGTATGGCCCACCCACTCATTATCACCAAAGCTGCAGGTGGAAATTAAAACCTTCTAAGCCCAAATATAAATAGTACTAGAAAGTGTTCCATTGGACTCTGTTGTAGATTTTTTTTCCAGAACTGCCTTTAACACGTAACTGCTGGGCAAGCTGTAGTCACAGAGAGTTGCAGTGCCACGTTCTAGAAATCAGTGGATGTAAAAGGTCCCTAATTTCGACTCCATTAAATCCTAACTCAAATGCAGTTCTAGCCCCTGAAGGCTATTATAGGTCAACTTGGTCTCAGAATGGCACAGAGGGTCCAGACCTCTTCTTGGGATTTTGTGCCTGTGTTTCACTGCACAAATCTCAGCAGAATTTGGAATTCAAGTAGCCTCCCAGGAATTCTGCTTGAAGATAGTCTTACAGAGTTCTGTGCTTGAAGATTCTTTCAATACTCTTGGGTCCACTCAAAACCAGAGTCAATGTCCTCCCACACTACCATCTGACTTGGCCTTGGAGAAGGGCTCACTAGACCATGGGGAGGGAAAGCCACCAGTCTTCACTACTAGACCCAGAAGGTTGTTGCTGAAAGCAGTTCCAGAGTGTCTTTCTTATTTTTGTTTTACTATGCTCTCTCTTGTGTTTGGAACATGATAAGAAGTCAAGAAATTTTTGTGACATTGCACTCACTGTGTGTTCCCAGTGCAGGGTTCTGCATGGAACCTGACACTGCCCTCTGATTATTGTTTAATTACTTCCAAGGGTCTAATATGCAAAGAGTAGAAGCAAAATAAGAGCTCCAAATCTCATTCTGACTTGTTTTCTGAAGTGCATTCTTTTCTGTTTATGTGAGTTTCCAAACCTCCCTGTGGTTAAGCTCCTTAGAAAACACAGGCTCTTTCCATTAGCCACACATACAACCAGAGTCAGAAAGAATCAAGTTGGCCAAAATGAATTTAAATTATCCTCCCTTCTTTTGCACACAGATTAGAATAGAATAAAAGGGAAAAAGAAAGTTTGCAGTTGGAACCATCACCAAGGAGTCTTTTAATCCTGGAAGAGCAGAGCAGCTCTAAGGATGGAAATTATAAAACTGCCAATTTCTACTTGTCCTTAGCCCCACCCAGTTGAAGTCACTGATGTCCTCAGCAACCCACTTGGGTCCCAATCCTGGAAGGATACAGACATGTTCAGCAGCTTCAGGCGCATGTAAGTGGGACTCACACTTGATTCTGCTGTCAGAGACCCTGCATTCATTTGCTGTTGTGCTCCCTCCCCAGCTTCTTCCAAAGAAAAGAGTGCCCTTTAGAAGACAAGTCAGAATGAGATTTGGAGTTCTTATTTTGCTTCTACTCTTTGCATATTAGACCCTTGGAAGTAACTGAACAATAATCTGAGGGCAATGCCTTCCTCTGCTTCCTCCTAGCCTTGCCCTGTCCTCTGACTGCCTGGAGTCTTAAACCTGGCCCAGGCCTTCAGGCTTTGTCCTCCTATTACTGTTTCAAGTCACAGCCATACCTCCCTCTTGCTCAAAAAGCTTGACCTTGACTTTTGCCTCCACTCCAACTTCTTTAGACATCAATACAGACCCAAACCTAGTCACTGAGCACTGTACTTTGAGTTGGGGCTGCCCGCTCTGCTCCTGTCTGTGTCACAGAGACCCCAGGACAGGGTGCCTGGCCCCACTCGACTGACTTGTGATGAAATATCCTGTTAGTATATCTAACTGATGCCTATGGAAACAATGATTTTTAAGCTGCAGAATGGAATTTATTAGTGATTTGGGAAAGCAATGTCATGGGACATTGCTAACATTAAAAAAATAGAATAGAATAGAAATACCAGAATATACTGCATACAGTAACTAAAAGAATGTTATGTGTTAACTTTTGTTCAATTACACATAAGTATTGTATATGTACTGTGTCAAGATATAAAATGTATTTTTCTTGTGGATCATGATCAAAAAGGTATTACAGCAAAATATGCACTCCTTTCAACTCCACTCTGCCTTTTTCGACAGGCACATGCACACACACACACACAACACATGTACACCAGGAGAACCCTAAAAACATTTTCTGATATCAACTATTGGTACTTTTGGTGCAGATTCAACACAAAAGCACTGTTGTTAAGAATACAGACAATGGGTTAGTAACCCAAAAGGTATTTCCCATAATTGAAATGCACAGCTGCGGCTCCATTCCTCACACTCGCCAGATTCACAGAGATGAAGCCACAGTAGCCACTTTGCATCCCCCAGAAAGATCAAAGGGGGATGGGTCAACATCGTCGGGTGAGAGTGGCTGTGGATGATGTTACTTAGGAGGAAGTGACGCAGAATGAGGGCACCAAGGGAGAGGGTTTACAAATATCGTATCACAAAAGCAGCAGGTCCATTGTTGGAAATTTTGGGGGGGTGGGTAGAGAGGAGGGAAAGACAAACAAAAGGAAGAAAATAAAAATCACCCATCATCCCACAGCTCAGATAGAACCATTGCCTTCACTGCAATGATTTTACTTTCAGACTTTTCCCCAAGCATCTTCACTTTGTGTATTTACAGGTTATGGTCTCTGCTTTTTTCACTTAATGTCATTATGGTTATGAACAAATTTTTATTTCATTCACTAATCCTTCCCAACATCACTTGTAACATCTGCATTTTCTCCACTTTATAACTTGTACAATTATAACTTTATAATAGCTATAATTCCTTTTTGTACATTGAGTTGCTTCTACTTTTTCACCATTATAAAAGAATTCTGATGAATATTTTTTAACAATATCTTTACATACATAATGGGGGTAATATTTTGAACTTTGTACTGTGCTTTTCTCTTTAGCAACTGCACAGAAAGTGACCCTGGTCAGTCGGAGACATCCATCTGGCAGGAGCCACCCTGGAGCAGTGGGGGATTCTGTTTTTCCAGCAGTGATGCAGAAAAGGGGAAAAAGTTAACATTTGAAATTCAAAATATGATTTTTGCAGCAAGACAACTGGTTTGGAAGCAAGACTTTGTCAAAGAGAGATTTTCTAAATTCCTTTAGCAGTTAAAGAACAAAACTTGGAGGATTAAGATCACAATATAAGGAGGACATAATTTCCTCTTGTGTCATTTGGTGAAGAAATCCATGCCTTAGGCTGGCAGTACAGCAGAGGGACAGAAAGCCCTTTGCTATCTGAGGATTATGAAAAGAAAAGAGAGAGGGAGGGACAGATGCTAAGAATGAGGGGTTCATGTTTGGCTCTCTAGGAGCCAATTACCCTATAGACTGTCCCCACATCAACGTAATTAGACTGTGCAGTGAGGGTGGGCAGAGGAAGGACAAACTGATTTCACTATTGTTTTAATTTGGATGTATTTAACTATAAGCCATAATTTTTTCACATTTATGGTTCATTTTTCTTTGTATCAATTAAGATAAGCTACATAATTTGCAGAACCTAGGGTAAAATGAAAATGCAGTGTCTCTTGTTCAAAACTTAACAAAATTCAAGATGGCAAGATGGCCCTTAAACCAAGGGCCAGGCCCTTTGAAATGAGAGGCCCTGGGTGGCTGACTGCACAGGTCCCATGCCCATGAAGCTGACCCTGGTCTCAATATTTTTGGCCCATTTTATATTCGGTTGCAAATGTTTTCTTAGTCCAGGGGTGGGCAAGCTTTTTCTGTGAAGGGCCAGACAGTAAATATTTCAGGTTCTGGGGGCCATGTGGTCTCCGTGGCAACTACTCAACTCTGCTTTTTGTAGCACAAAAGCAGCTATTGATAGTACATGAACAAAATGAATGTGGCCGTACTACAATAAAATTTTATTTACAAAAACAGGCTGCAGGCCATAGTTCGCCAGCTTATGTCCCAGACAATCACTTTCTTTCAGACTCGTTTTTTTCTAAATTTCTGTATTCACTGTCATGTCTTTCTCACGACAAGATAATATACAAATCTGTATTTTTTTTCCTGATAGCTGAAGTTTTGGTGTACTTTGCTATTCATTTCCTGTTATTTATTGCCGATAATGCAGACTGGAAAAATTGCGCCTTGGGAGATATATGGAGGCATTCTTTGTGACCTAATAAATATTTCATGGGCATTTGAAAGGAAAGTTTATTCTCTGTAGGGTATAGGGTTCAAAATATATTTTGAATATATCCTTGAATGCTTAAGTATTCAGAGATGTCTTTCAGATTCTGCTGAGATACAGTTTTTATCTTCAGCAGTCAAAAAAATTGGAGTTATCTTAAACATTTCTCAAATATTGAAGCCCTGTTGCATTCCTAGGATAAATTTTACTTGGTCTTAGGATATTATTCCTTTACTATACTGTTAGTTTTTTAACAATATGTATTTAATTTAAAATTTAAAGTTTTTATTCAGAAGTTGGTGGGAAGTTTTGTGTATGAAGGTATTATCTTTGGTAGATATGGTTATTAGATCTATGCTAGCTTCATAAAGTGAATTGAGAAACTATTTTTTCCTGCTGTCTGTATGCGTTTAACACTAGTACTGAAATTTTCTGTTCCTTGAAGATGTGACAGAACTTTCCATGAAACCAACTGGTCCAGAATCGAAGGACTCCTTCACAGAGACAAATCCATCTCCTTCAAATACCCAGATTCTATTGGTGAGGGAAAGGCAACATTTGAAAGACTGAGCATTTTACCTAAAGGGATTTTAAAAAATCACCACAATGGACTATTATCACAACTTGGATTCAAAATTTATGGATTTCCCTCCCTCTTGCTACCCAGAAGGTGGACTTGGAAGAAAAGAGGAGTTTGGGAGCTAAGAATAAACCGCATCTTCTTGCATATGTAAATGTAATATGAGTGATTTTTGCTACCTCGCATAAAAATTTTACATTTTTCATTTTCTCTATTGACAATCCATTCTTTCAGTTTTATATTTTGCTACAAAGTCTCACTGATGGCCTTATTATTGACTTCTTAACTTTTCTAGAGCCATTCCTTCTGTTTCTTTTATGCCATGTCTTTTTCTTATATATTTTTTCACATATATTTTCCATTCCGATGTCAATATTTTTAGGTAATTTTTTCAGTAAGTAATACAATTTTAAAATGTGTATCATTTTAAAGCCTGACTAAGGAATTTTAAAATCACATTTCACTCAAAACCTTATAATTATTGAGCTTTTTTGGAACATTTAATGTGTAGAGTAAAAAAACTAACGCCAGTCTGAATCTCACTTTCCTTTTTGTTGAGCCTATTTTTTTTTCTTTGTTGGAAGAATGTAGACTTTTCTATTCTTATATTTTAAGAAATTATCGAAGATTGTACAAGTTGTAGACCATTTAAAAAAACTAATTAGGCTGAGTATTTTACCTAAATCTTCCAAATCTAAAGACTCCAATCTTTCTGCAGCTCAGGAAAATTATCTTCCTTTATTATTATTTTTTATTGTATCTCTTATAAGTGTTCTCTGTCCCCAGAATTGTTATTGTGTATATATCTATATCTATATATATCTAATATATATATATATTAGATATTAGATATCCTGGATCTAGTCTTTGACCTACTTTTCTCTTTACTCATTATTTTATTTTATTTGAGACAGGGTCTTGCTCTGTTGCCCTGGCCGAAGTGTAGTGGTGTGAACTTGGCTCACTGCAATCTCTGCCTCCTGGGTTCAAGCAATTCTTGTGCCTCGGCCTCCTGAGTAGCTGGGACAGCAGGCACGCGCCACCACGCCTGGCTAATTATTTTTGTATTTTTAGTAGAGATGGAGGGGGGGGGGTCTCAACATGTTGCCCAGGCTGGTCTCGAACTCCTGACCTCAAGTAATCTGCCCGTCTTGGCCTTCCAAAGTGCTGGGATTACAGGTGAGAGCCATCGCACCCAGCCTCTTTTCTCATAATTTTAATCTCTGCATCCTTTCAGCTTAAGTTCTGAGGAATTTTCTCAAACTGTCCTCTGATGAACTGAATCTACTTTTTTGCAATATTCAATGTGGTGGTCATTATTTCTAATGGATTTGAATATTCAGAAACAGTGTATTTTTTTCCCCCAAAGCTTCTTATTTTCAGCTTGTTCCTTTCTCACGACAGACTGGTTTTGTCTGTTGATGCAATATTATGTCAAAATTTATTGAAAATACTATTTAGACATATATTTGCTAAAATTGATTCAATGGTCATTTCCACTTCTTTTGTGTAATAACTATTATATTTTATATTTTTAAACTTTGATTCACATTTCAGATAATTTCCTGAAGAAAATTATCCCATTCCCCTTTCAGAAAGAATCCATATGTATCTGAAAATGCTTTTTTATTTTTTTTCATGTGTAAGTGATATCTTGGCTAGGTATAACATTTTAGTTCATAAATCCATCAGAATTTCTTCATCAAAAATTTTATCCATCATAAAAGATTAATTGTGTCAATCAAAATTCACCATTTAATGTTCAGAGCCTTCGCAGGTACCATGTGTTTTCTTCCCACTTATAAAGTTCTTCTTTTGTCTTTTAAAGATTGTCACCAGGAAATGTTTAAATATTAGTGTTTTTTAATGAATAATTAATTGAGATTATCACTTGGTGAGCCTACTTAATCTGCATTTTCAAATTTTTCTTAAGTCAGAAGAGTTTTCTTCTATTAAAGCATTGAAAGTTTCTTCTAGACTATACTTTAGCAATGAAAAGTTATTTGGTCCTTTGAATAGCTATTTTTTTCATTCATTATTTATCATTTTATCATTCATCACTTTCCTCTAGCTGTGTTTTCCTCCTGAAATTATGAGAATTCCTTAAACATGCCTGCATCATTTATTTCATTTTCTGCATTGTCTGTTCTGCTCTTTACTGCTTCTTTGGTGACTTTAAATTTTTCCATATTATTTTATATTTCCTTAACCGTTCTAAGTCCCTTCTCACTTCATATTTTTTCTCCTGTTTCACAAATTTACTGTTTTATTTAACTTAATTGAAGTCATATGGTGCCACAATTGACCTTTTTTTTTTTTTTGCTACTGAAAATGCTTTCCATGAATATATTATTCTTCCACCTCAGGAATTTTGTTTAATCACTTATCTTAAGGTGCTAAACTTTTGTAGGCCCTATTTTCATCCTTGAATGTGGAAAGGTATAACTTGGCTTGGCATTTGCTTCCAAAATAGCTTACACACACACACACACACATACACACACACACACACACTTGCATCATCTCACACTTATAAACTTCTCTAAGGAATTAATCTGGTGAAAAGGAGTTAGTCTTGATGGCTAAAGTAAGATCATGTTGTTGTTCCATCAGTTAGGGGAGAGTGGGGAATGGAATCAACCCCAGTCATTTCCACAAAGGAACTTCACCTTTGCAAGGTTTGTTTGCTTGTTTTGGACACAGTTACATCATTCCAGCTTGCCATATGTAGGGGATGCTTTGGCCTGGCCTCTACTTCAGGTTCGCATTGTGCTATACCTGGCCTCATCTTGATCCCCAGTACATCCACATAATTAAACACAAAACTCTGCCGTTTCCCTGGAGGCGCGCGATCTGGCGGGAGGACTCAGCAGCGCTGGACAGGATCACAGTCATGGAGGTGCCTGGTTTTCATAGGCATCTCTTGTGGCTTGGTTTCCCCTTTGACCCCCACAGAGCAGCTGCCACTGCATGATGCTGATGCCCAACAGCAACAGGGCTCCAAGGGGATGGTTCTCATCTCTCTCAGGTCCCCACTCGACTGCAAACTCACTTCCAGATCTGGGATTATTCTAGGGGCTCCTCACTGATCTTTCTCTCCATATTTTTTTACAATTTGGCAACAGAGTTGAAAGTAGACCCTGGCTTGACCTCTTTCATACTCAGTCCGTCTGCTTTATTTCTAGTGAATTTCTAACGCATGTGTTGCATGTCAGTGTCAACGCCCTTAGTCTCTGGACCCGATGCAGCGTCTCCTAGACACTTTCTTCAGGCTTTTTCTTTTGGGAGATGGGACAGTTTTAGATGATAGAGGGGAAAGGAATGAGGGAGAAGCTAACTGTTTATGCTCCAGATGCTCCAGATCTTTTTCTGAAGTCATAAACTTGCTTTCTCATCTCCCATTAAGCCCCTCAGCTCATTAATTTTTAGTTTCTGCTCTTATGATGCCCCAAAACAGCACTTCCAAAAGTCACCAATGCCCTTATTTCTGCTAAAGTATATGGCTTGTTTTCAGTTCTCATCTTGCTGGACCTACTTATAGTATGCACATATTGATCAGCAAACTGATATTTGAGTGCCTGGTTGGTCCTTTGTAGTCTATATAAAGATGAATAATTATGACACTTCACATTTACTGAGTACTGACTAAGCAGCAGGCATTGTGCTGGGCACTTTACATTCATTGCCACTTAATAATAACAGCTAGCATTTCCAGTGTGGCCAACGCTGTTCTGAGCACAACCTTATGTGACACATACTATTATTATCTCCCTTTTTCCAGATGAGGAGACTGAATTCATAGAGAGGTTAAGTAGCTTACTCAAGGACATACAGCTAGTATGTGGTAGGGCTGAGATTTGAACCCAGGTGGTCTAGACTTAGAGTCCATGTTGAAGTCCATGCTTGTCCAAACGCTATGCTCATAAAGTCTTTCTGGGTTTAACCCTGTGCTCTTAACCATTAGGCAACACTGCCTCCCCATGGAAGGGTCAGGAAATGTACAATTACAGTTCAGAGTGTTAGGTGCTAAGATAGTGAGAGGTATTAAAGAACTTCCGCTAATTGTTACGGGAATTTGGGAGTGAGGATTCCAGAAAAGACTTAAAATTAGAGCACTTAAATGGAAGCAGGAGTGCTGAAATGGCTGCCCATTTTAATGGAACAAAGTGTGCAAGTTGCTTTACCTGTTTGACCTTCAATCCCCTTTCCTTTTGATATTGTCTTTTACAATAGTTAATAATCAGGATGACCATATAATTTAAAATCCAAACTGAGAAACTTTTGAGAGTAAAAGAAGAAGACATTCATAATTATGCTGGGACAACAAGCATAGACCAGGCCTGTCCTGGGCAAATTAGGATGTTTGGTCACTCTGTTAACAATGAACTTTAACGGTTATTTATGCTTAGTGTTGTCTAATAGCATCTGAAGTTTCATTTTACCTTATATTGTTTATTATTGTGACTGGTCTAAAGTTACAGTTAGGAGTCTTCACTTTTCTCTTATTTGCTATAGAATTCTTATTTACTATATAATTTCTGCAGACCTGGAATCTGCATTATTTTTAACGTCAAGAGCGATGGTAGGCTGACTATGATTCTGATCATAATCCTTTTGCAATCAAGATGTTGGGAAAGCCATCTTCCAGGAGGTCTCTACAGGTATTTATTAATTAGGGCTGCATATCATTAAGCATCAGGGGAAAAACAGGTCAGGTCACTGGATGAAACCCCATAGGACAAACACTAAGGGTTTTTCCTCTCCATCTCTTGAAAATGGACCACTCCACTGCTTGTCATGCAATATGAGTTGTTATGGGGTTAGGAGATTCTGAATAAGGAAGGAACTTTGAATGAAGAAATAACATAGAAAAGTGGTTGTTCTTATTATTATTTTTTTTCTTACCACAGGGAGCCCGCAACTAGTAATAGAAGGGGACCATGCACTAGTAATCGTCTCAAAGGATAAATGGGCAGGCATCACCTAGGTAAAGATGGGTGTGGTGGTGAAGGGCATTAGAGCCAAAGGCAAGAGAGGGCATGGGTTAGTTTGGGGAACTATGCAGTACAGTTTTTTGAAAATTAAAAAGATGTGGGATATGGTAAGATATGAAGTTTTGGAAATGCATAGTGACCTGAGCAATAAGGGTCTTGCATACTTTGCTGAAGAGTTTACACTTTATCCTGAAAGAGCTTCGGAAATGTCTAAGGGGTAAGAGGTGAGAGGGAAGATAGTATCGACATCAGATTTGTGTTCTAAAAAGATCAATTTTAGAATTGATTGTCAAGAATACAAGGTGGGGAGAGGGGTAAAGAAATGAAGCAAAGAGACCAATAACTGGGTGAAAATGGTGAATGCCTGAGCTAAGACAATGACAAGGTAGAGTACAAGGTCAACCTGGGAGAGATATGGCAGTGGATATCATCAGACTTGAGTGTGAACAAGAGATTACTCTCATATCTCTGGCTTAAGCAGCTGGACTTATAGGGCCACCATTCACCAAGACCATAAATTGAGGAGGAGATGATTTCAGGAGAAAGCATCTGAATGATCACCCCTTCCCCCCATTGAAATTCTGTCCCTCCTTGCCTCACTAATACAATTCTTTGCTGGTTCTCTGACTGTTCTGCTTCTTCTCAGCTCTGTTTAGTGTAATTTCTTCTCTTGCCCAGACAATTCCTGTTAGCAATTCCTTTGGGTTGGACTTTGGCCATCTTCCTCTTCAAACTCCACCTCTTCTGGGCATTTAAAAATCCTGATATTATCTTGATATTATTTATTATCCATACCTGCATTTTCAACTATTACCCTTGGGCTTACAACACTCAAGTTTTTATTTTCAGCTCCAGGGTATCAAGCCAACTGCCTACTCAACATCTCCATGCACATGCCCTACATGTTCAGACTCAGCATGTCCACACCAACTTCTCTTTCCTTCTGATGCCTGCTCCTTACTGTTGCAACCCTTTCCTCTCCCATTCACTCACAGCCAGTGGCTCATCCAATCCTGCTGATCCTTAATACAAAAGAGCCCCCAGTCTCATTTATTATTTTTTTCCTTCATCCTCACTGCAAACATAGATGATAGATATGTATTTCTAAAACACATACATAAGCTTGACACTTTTGTCCTTAGAAACCTTTAATCTCATAACCTATTCCTGATGGAATAAAATCCAAACTCTTTCCAGATTATTTCCCTGTCACACTCATATTACAAAGAGTATGTGTTAGTTTGCTTTCCTAAATGTTGCCTTTTTCTTTACTTTGTCACCTGACAAAATCCTGATCAACTTCCAAGTTCCAGATCCAAAGTCACCTCCTCTATGAAGCCTCCTAAGTCCCTCTCATCTCAACCAAAATTAAATTATTTCACTGTTTCCCCATGTCTTCTACAAAACTTTGAGCTCCTTGAGACTTGGCACTTGTTTTAGGCATTTTTTGATTCCAGAACTCTAGCACAGCTTGATAAATATTGAACTGATATATTCCTTATCCTAGCCAGGCAGTACTGCTTGGAATCTATGGAGGCATCTTTTGTTAGAGGACCATATTCTGTTTCTGCACTAACACCACCACCACCATGACCACTGCCATCATCATCATCATCATCATCATCTCCACCTCCACCACCACCACCATATCACCATCACCATCATCACTACCACCACCATCACTATCATCACTACTACCATTATCATCATCACTATCACTATCACCACCACCACCATCACCATTATCCTTATCACCATCATCATCTTCATCACAACTATCAACATTGCCATAATCACCACTATCACTGTCACCATCACCACTACCATCACCATCATCTTTATCATCACGTCCACCTCCACCACCATAACCATCACCATCACCATCTATCGTCTCAGCACTCATGTGCCAAATGGTTAATTAAAGGTTTTAATCTTTACAACACTTTTGTGAGGCAGACATTTTAATGCCTATTTTATTAACAATACTGAAGTTCGGAGAGGCTAAATAATTTGCCCAAGGTCACAATGCTTGCTGAAGCATTGAGCTGATATTTAAAGCTGCAGATGCCTGATTCCGAAGGTGGCCTTCTTAAGCCCTGTGTTAAGCATTCCCATGAGGCACATTTCATGTAGGGAGACTTATGAGAAAGGAAGCAAAGGAGTGTCCTGGCTAGTAAACAACATGGCTTAAATGTATATGTACACACAGCAGGACCTGGCAACACTGAAGGGCAAAACATGGCCTCTCAGTGACCTTTGCTCTTCTGCCTTCATATTGTGTGTGGTTTCTTCTGCCACCATCTAAAATAAGAGCTCTGCCTATAGCCCAGCTCCAAGGTGTGTGCTGCCTCAGCTATATCCTCATCATAAGGCCATAACCATGAGCCATCATTATGGGGCAACTTTTCTTGTCTTCCTGTTCAGTCTTATGACTCACTGAGGGAGGGACCTGAATCAGAATCACCTGGGAAGCTTTTCCAAAATACACGTCTGCCTCAGGCCTCTGAAGTTGTGATCTGGCCCTTGGTTGAGAACCTCAGTTTAGCATATTCATTCCCAAGGTCTACAATTTCCACTGGAGCTTTTATCATGGAAGCTTCCCAATTTCTTCCTTCAGACAAATGCCCAGATGTGGTTCTTGGATGCTAGGAATCAACATCAATGGCATACCCTGCTCTGCCCTGCCTTCTTTTAGTCAGGAGTTCTCAACCAAGGTGGTACCAACCTTAGAAATAAGTATAGAGGCTGTTATTTATTGGTCATCACAATGACCAGAAAGGCTAATGGTATTTAGAAAGCAAGGATGAGGAATGCTAAAGCATCCCACAGTCCATCACAATGAAACACCGTCCCATCAAAAATGCTAACAGCACCCTCATTGAGAAGCACTAGTAGGAGCCCAGATACTCTTGATTCAAACTCAGAATCAGCCCCTGCAGTGTACAGGCATCCTCTGAGCTCTGCTGCTGCAGTGGTCTGTGTTCCATGGGCTGCTGTCTTTCCCCAGCCTTTCAAATTCCCTCGTATTCCATAAACTATGGAAAAAGAGAGTTTTATCTTTCAAATATATTCATGTAATACTTAGGTGGCAGGAGAGCATGTCTAATCTCCATTTCTACTTTCCATTTAATCTAATTTAATCCCCCGCCCACCTCACTGAATATTTCATCTAAAGTATGCAGAGAATGGGGAAGGGAGGAAAAGAGAAGGAGCTATCATTGCCTCTTGGGCATATTTGAAACATCACGTCTGACAGTAATTCTAGGTTGATGAATGCTGTATATCCAAGACTTGGCTCAAAACTGACCTTTCTCCAGAAGTCTTATCTCTTTATTCTCTCTCAATGGCTACTTCTTTCTTGCTTATTCAAGCCAAAGCAAGCTATAATTATACGTTTTCAGTAGAAGCTTTTATTGTCCACCCATATCTGGCTTTCCCTTCCATCTAGGCACATGGAGGATTATTCTTCAAGTCTTTTTCCATAAAGTGAGGCTATCTGACCAGTTCTGACCAACAGGCTGTGAGGAGAAGGATGCACGTCACTTCTGGCTGGAGCATTTCATGGCCAGCAAGACATCATCTAGCATTCTCTTCCCTCGCAGCCTTGATGGTGGCAGGAGGTATCAGGAAGGAATCTCCACCAGCCTGGCTCCCAGAACCATCACCATAAGAAGAGCCCTGCTGACTCCTATCAGACATGTAGTATATGCAGAGAATAAAACTTTTGTTGTTTTGTGTAACTGAGATTCGGGGGTTATTTGTTATCACAGCATAACCTGACCTACCTTGATTGATTCAATGTTCTTTTGCATATTTAGATTCTTTTTAACTTTGTGCATAGATTATGAGTCAGAGGGGCTTGGGTTTGAGACTTAGTTTCACCATTCAGAGTGACCTTGGGTAACCTCTCTAAACCTCGGTCTCCTCACGTGTGAAATGGTAATGATGACTGTACAGACCTTATGGGGGTTGTAAACACTAAACAGGGTCATACAGGCAAAGTGTTTACTATAGCGTCTGGCAGGTAGCAAGGGTTCAGTAAATGTTACTTCTTATTTCTTACTGATCTAAAATTGACTTTACTTGGCCCCTTTCCCAAATCCTCACTGAAGCCTTTAGCTCTGGCTGCCTAGAGTCCTCTAACTTTTCTCCATAAAAACCTGACAGCCTGGGACTTCTTCCTGTTTATTTTGCATTCCTTTTACCTCCCATAGCAGGACATTGCTTGCAATAGGCATTGTTTCATCCACGCATGTATTGGAGTACACACTTGTGATCAAAACTGAGTATGTCATCTATGCCAAATGAATGGAAGAATCTGCTGAGTCAAATTGGAGAAATCTAATTACTTTTTCAGTATGAACCTGACGTGTCTGAAAAACGTGTCAACAAATGTTTAAATATTCTCTTTGTCTTTTATTGCAGAGTAATCAGGGGGAGAGGCAAGATCCAGTCTCTTGGCCGCATACCAAACATAGACACACATTCTAAATTAGCATAGAGCAAATCCCATTTGCATTTATGTGACAGCCAAGTCTCCCTAATTGATCCCAGAATTTGTTTCTGGACCACTAGGAATCCTTTAGCATTTGGACATAATTACAGGTTATCTTGGGACAGGTGCCTTCCTCCAACACTCCTTGACACTGAGTTTAACCAGGTCTCCACAGCTAAATAAAGTAGAGGTAGTTACTTGGCTGACCCAGACAGAAACACAAAACAAAACAAAACAAAACAAAACAAAACAGTTTTGCCTTATTTATTTTTATTTTTGACCCATATGCCAAACTATCCAATTTGCAGGCAGTTCTACCAACTCTTGCCTGGCCTCAAAGGCCTTCTCCAAATGTGGAACTTAATTAGAGGAGCATTTAAAACCAAGCATTAAGTCCACCTCAATACAAAAATAATAATAATAAAAGAAATTCCTGGCCCCTGATAACTATTTTTCTGATGCCCTTTAAAATTATTATTGTAAAAGATAGTGTGGCAATTCCTCAAAGACCTAAAGACAGAAATACCATTCGACCCACCAATCACTTTACTGAGAATATACCCAAAGGAATATAAATTGTTCTATTATAAAGATACATGCATGCATATGTTCACTGCAGCACTATTCACAATAGCAAAGACATGAAATCAACCTAAATGCACATCAATGATAAATTAGACAAAGCAAATGTGGTATATATACACCATGGCATTTTATGTAGCTATAAAAAAGGAGATGATGTTCTTTGCAGGAACATGGGTGGAGCTGGAGGCTGTTATCCTTAGAAAACTAATGCACAAACAGAAAACCAAATACCGCATGTTCTCACTTGTTAAGTGGGAGCTAAACAATGAGAACACATGGACACATAGAGGGGAACAACAGACACTGGGGCCTGTCGGAGGGTGGAAGGTGACAGGAGGGAGAGGATCAGGAAAAATAACTAATGGGTACTAGGCTTGATACCTCGGTGATGAAATAATCTGTACAACAAAACTCCATGACACATTCTTATGTAATTTCTTTTTTTTAACATCTTTTATTTTAAGTTCAGGGGTACATATGCAGGATGCGCAGGTTTGTATGTACCCCTGAACTTAAAAGTTGAAAAAAAGAAATTAGAGTATGAAATGAGAAAAGAGGAGATAAAATTGTTATTTGCAGGTTATATAATTATATATCCAGAAAACCCAAGAGAATCAACTAGGAAATTATTTGAAACAGTAAAATAATTCACAACAAAATCAACACAGATACTTATACTCTTTATATGTCTAAGAGCAAACAAGTTAAAATGGAAGAAAATTTCCCATTACAATAACCAAAATGATCAAATACTTAGGAATGAAATTAACAATAAATATACAAGACTTATACGAATTAAAATCCAAAAATATAAAAAATATCTGATTGTAGCACCTTCAAGGTGCCTTCTATTGAACTCTTTGCTTTCCTTATTCAGAGCCAATTTTGCAGACACTAAGCCATCTTCCAATGTATTTCTGAAAATAAGCTACATCTGTGTGTTTTAGCATATTTACAGACTTCAGTTTCCTTTTTCTATCAGATTCAGTCTGAACAAATTACGAATTTATCATAATAAAATGTCCTGAACACACCTTAAAGTCTGACTCATCAATTAACCCCCTAGATCTCTGGAGCATTTCTCTGGGTTGCAGGGGGTTGGAGTTCCTGATACTTTCCATCAACTACAGCTGATTTAACAGCAGAGTAGTAGCTCCTCAATTAAGTAACTTTAATCGCCTTATGCACCATGATTTACTGAAACTCTGATGCGGGGATTTTGAATTCCTGGAATCTACCCAGTTCCTCTAGTTGTATTGCCATGTGCTTCTCATTATGGCCCAACTCTACAGGGAAGATGAGTGGAAAGAGCTGGTCTGGGAGTCAAGGGCAGACACTGTCCTAGCTCTGTCGTGATCTAATCCTAGGTCCTTGGGCAAGTCACTTAACCCAGTGGACTGAACAAAGGTTTTCTTATCTTCAAATTAGGGACAGTCATGCTTCGCCCTACCTACCAAACAAGGTTGTCTTTGGGACCCTTGTGAGAGAGCATGAGTCTGCAAGACTCACACAAGTTCCCAATCCAGTATTTCTTTTGTAAGTTAGTAGTTGGGAACTCAGAAGATATTTTCCCAGAAAAAAGCCAGTACTATACCTGATGGGGAAATTTCCAGCCTAATGCTACAAAAATCTATCTGATGATCCTGTCCCTGGAGTACAACACATAACAGTGGTCCTGCAAATCAGCACCAGCAGGGCATCATCCAGGTGTGGGTGCTGTGGTTGGAACTCTGGGGGAGTGGCAACATGGAATCCCTTTGTACAGTGGAAGAAAAAGAAAACTGGTGCCGAACAGAAGGGAAATGGCAGGGGGAGTCGGAGGTCTTACGGGGAAGGAGCACATGGTGAGCCTGTGGGGGGCCTTTAGACATATAAGGATTTATTAGGTGCAGAAAATGAATGACAGGCTGTGGCTTTGGCAAGTCCTATAAATAAAGCTGCTCAGCGTTTACTCCTGCCTTCCAGACCACCATCTCCACTCCTCCTGCTCTCTTTCCCACATTCTATTTTTGAAGTCTTCAGGGCACACATAACATAGCCAGCCACTTGAGATTCATGATGCAGAATCCACTATCTCCATTCAAGTGACTAATAGCTCCATGTAAAATAGTCCAATATGTAATACATAAACATATACGTAATAAGAGAGGGTGGGGGGGTGCTGTGAGAGAGGGAAGGTAGTTATGTCTGTGGGTTGGTCAAATGGGTGCATTCATCTTGGAAGATCCCCTGGAAGACTTAAAAGAGGCTAGCTGTTTCTTTGCTTTTTGTTGAACAGAGCCTTCCAAATCTAACTTTTCAAATCCCCGACTGAATTCCCAGCAATCTATTTTTCCTGACTATAACCAGAAAAGCATGTTTAAGTGAACATGAAATTCCATCAGTATAAAGCCTTGTGCAGCCCAGTCCACCAGCCCAGTCGCCAAAGCCACTAATAATGCCCTATTGTGTTACTGTGGTATTTTCTAGGTTATCATTATGAAGTCTTTGCTCCTGGTTGAGAAAACATGACGTTCCATTAAATGTATAATCTGGGTTCCCTCCAGGCCAGAGATGCAGCTTGCTTAAAGCTGAAATGAGCTGAGATTTAATGTCATGGGAAAAGAGAACCAGTTGCAGGGGAAGAAGGAGTTGCAGGGATTGGGAGAAGAATGGTGGATTCAGTCCCCTATGATCCCTCGGTTTCAGACTGTAGACAGTGTCTTGCCAGCGAAAGGATCTAAGAAGCCCAAGGAAAAAATGAGTCAGCATTTTTTCACTTTCCACTCTGGCTGTGGTTGGGTGCTGGACAGCACTGTGTGAGGAGGTTCTCTCTAGGACAGAAGATCATGTCTTTAGCGACCACCCAGGGGTCTGTTTGCCACCACTGCGTTTTGGCCCATCCCCTAGCTCTGGACTCATCAATCTCATAAATTAGCCTGGATGGAGGTGGTAAGCTGGTGGAGTGTGCACTACCGCACCAAGTTCTAGCAAGTTTTTCATTCAGCACAAAAATATCCTTCTCTTCCAGCAACAGAACAGCTAAAGGAAGTCAGAGGCATCCACCTGAATGTCTGTAAAGGTCTCCCCACCATTTCTTTTCCTGGAGCATTTTTGGGTCTCCAATGTGCTTCATAGAATCCTATGATGCACTCAGACATTTACTCCAGGATTAAATATAAAAGCAGCAGCATCCTTTACAACAGCAAGGGGCTTGGAAGTGAGCACACTGTTTAGAGACCCACTTGACATGATTTTCAAAACAAATTCAAAATAACTTATTTTTGTTGAATATAAAAGTAATGTATGTTCAGTACAGAAAAATTAAGAAAAACATGTAAACAAAATTTAAAATTCTACCTGCTAGAGACAAATAGTAGTACCATATTGGTAAATAGAGACATACACATGTGTGTGTTTAACTTTTTAAACAGGTGGAATCATAACGCAGATGACGTTTGGTAATTGCATTTCCATCTAAAAGTGTATAGTATGTTAAGAATTATGTATTTCTCCTAAAATAGCTTACAAGCTTGTATAACATGCAATGCAGGTTCAATACTATACACATATCATACCTTAGTAAATCCACTGCTGTTAGACACATGTAATCCTCAGCTTTTTATTATAAACAGCACCTCCATAAACATACATGTAGGTACTTCTTTGTGACTATTTGGATTTTTTTTCTTTAGGACATGAAATTGCTCGATGGAAAGGAACACCCCTCATTTTTTAAAAGCATTTTATATGTGTCGCCAAATTATCTTCTTGTCTGCACTATCCGGTATGGTAGCCACATGTGGCTATTAAAGTTCAAATTAGTTAAACTTATATAAAATTAAAAATTCACTTCCTCAATCGCACTAACTACATTTCAAGTGCTCGAGTCACATATGGCTAGTAGCTACTGTATTGAACTGCACAGATATAGAACTTTTCTACCGACCTAGAAAGTTCTACTGGACAGCGCAAGTCTAGAAAGACTGCACCAATTTACATTTTCCCTAGTAAGAAATGACAGTGCCTATCTCCCACAAATTGGCCAATACTGAATATTGTAATTTTTAAAAAAGTTTTTGCCAACCTAATAAAAATCATATTGTTTGATTTTTTCATTTCTTTGATTAATAACGACCTTTTTAGTTCATTTATTGACTCATATTTTTTTCTCTTGTGAATTATGCACTTAGGCTATTTCCTATTGGGATTTTGCTTTTACTGCTTTTTATATATGAAAATCAATCTTAAGAGAGTGATTTATGTGGCAATAGTTATTGTAACTTCTTATGTTTTTTCATGGCTTATTTTTCATTTATAGAAGTGTAAAATTTTAATATATTCAAATCTCTATTTTCCTTTATGGTTTCTTCCTTATCATGTTTTAAAAGCTCTAAACCTAAGATTACAGTAATATTCATCTAAATTATCTTCTAGTTCTTTGATCATTTCATTCTAAATATTTAGATTTTCAACCTTTCTGAAATTTATTTATGTGTATGGTTTGTAAAGTATAAATCTAACCTTTTTCATTCTCCATGTTATCAATCACTTGTCCAGGAACCATTTTTTTTTAAATTAATGAATCATTATATACTGATTGGAAATTCCACTAAATGTTTACATGTGTTTGGATCTACATGTACTTGTCTTTTTAGATTTTCTACTCTATCCACCTATTCTTTGGCCTTTACCATCCTGTTTTTATTAATTTACATTATAATACATTTTAATATTTGGAGAGAGAATATGGCTTCATTATTCTTTTCCAAAAATGTTTCAGCTCTTTTTACCTGTTTTTTTTTTTTTTGCTAAGATAAGCCTAGAATCATTTTGTTAAATTCTTATCATCAAAACAAACTCTTTCAGAACTTTGACTGAAAAGTTGAATTCAATTTCTAAATTAATTTGGGGAAAACTGGTTATCTCTACAGTATCCATATCTCTATAGTATCTCTACAGTCATCCATTCAGAGACATGGTGATTCTGTCCCCCTTTTTTTTTTTTTTTAGATTTTCCTGAATATCATTCTGAATTGGCTTTTTAAAAAAGCACGGAGGAGGAGCACCTCCGACTGTTTTCATGCACTGTCTCTAAGTCTGTGAGCTGATGCTTCCAGCCACTAGAAGTAACAAAAGAAATTCCATTCCTTAGCACTGGAGCATATTTTCAGTATCCACCTTCTCATAAATCTGCAGAAAAGAAATCTCACTTTTCATCCAAAGAATCTGGAGTTCAAAACAGCCTTTACGGAAAAATCAAACTCCAGGGGCAACTGCAAAGCACATTTGGTGTCTAGCTAGCCAGCTTATTTTGCAGGACTCTTTTTCCAACTCCTAAATACTTTCCAGTCTGTGAAATCCATCTCCCCACCACTGTAACAGCAAAGCGCCTCTCCTGGCACTGGAGAGCTCACTCAGTTTTAATGAGCACGGATCTTCTGTGAGGGGCTTTTTATCGTTGAAGCTGGTTTTCAGCAGATAGCATGAAGCTTCCTTGGGTGACTGTGGCTTGGCAAACTTATGCGGATTTGGGAAGTGCTTCATTGGTCAGAATTCAGCTCTCCCTTGAGCAAATCCTAAAGCCTAACCACTTTTTGCAAGGAAACCAGGGCTCCTGCACCTCCCTGGTAGCCCACCAGTCAAATGGCCAAGAGCTTGAATTCACTACATCTGGGGTACTCAAGTCGAAGGGGAGGGACATTTGGCAATGTCTGGAGGCATTTTTAGTTGTCACCACTAATAAGGAAGGAGTGGGGGGCGGGGGATGTTACTGGCATCCAGTGGGCAGAGGCCAAGGATGCTGCTAAACATCCTACAACGCGCAGGACAGCCCCCACCACAAAGAATTACCAGGTTTCAATCTCAGAAGTGCCAAGGTTAAGAAACCCTGCCTTTCATTCTCACTCAGTGCCCGGTGAGAAGTATGCATTACATGATTAGGAGCAAAGATAATGCCTTCCGTGGGACAGCGTTTCAAAACAAAACAAAAAAACAAAAACAAAAACAAAATGCGACGATTGGCTTTAAAATGCCCAAGCCTCTAACTTTAGGAGTGCCTGTGCCTGCAAGTTCTGCCTTTGGTAAGCAAGCCTTTCCCACCAACACGGGAGGGAGTCACAGAAACTCAGCAAGACAATAGCATCCTCCAAGCCCCTTGCCTGCTCCTGGGACACAGAAAGCAAGACAGAAAAGAAGTCTGTCCCCTTCCGAGCAAGCGGCGTCGCCTCGGCTGCGGGCTCTGGAGCCGAGGCTGGGAGGAGCGCGCCCCAACAAAGGCGCAGCACTCCGCCGCCGCCTGCCGCGCGGTCCCTCTGTGGCCCTGGAGATGCGCTCCTGTCCCCAGGCGACCCTGCCAACGAGCCCGGCCCGGGGCGAAAGCGTTTTCGCCCGCTTAGCCTGGGGTGGGGGGGACAACTCGCGGCACTTACTTGTCCAAAATGAAGTACAGGTCAAATCCGCCGTAGCAGGCTGGACCCCCATCCTCCCTGCGTCCCCCTTGCCCGGCGCAGATGAGCACCAGAGTGGCCAAAGAGAGCCACTGGAAGCCGATGCCGAGGGCTCTCCGCTCCGCCGTGGCCATGGCCCGCAGCCCGGGGAGAGCAGGGTCCGCTCCTTCCCACGCTCCGCGAACTCGCCACGACCCTCAGGGACGCGCCATCCGCGGGCCCTTCCTCGCGGGTCCTTTATTCCCCCTCGCTCCCTCGCAACTCCCCGGAAGCAATTGTCTGGAGGAGTTCAAGGTTTCCCCTCTGGTTTCCGCTCCGATGCTGTTTCTGGGTTTCGGGTTTCAAGGATCCCAATCCTGTCCTCCGCTTCTTTTAAAGGGGAGGGCTGCCTCGGTCCGGGGCCGCCGGGCAGCTCCCGAGGCCGCGCCGAGCTTTTGCAATGGAAGGAGTTCCGTCCCGACGGTTCTTTGTCCCAGATTTTAAATATGATGGGGGGGGGGGGGGGTTTCAAATTGTTCTTGGTGGGGGCAGTGCTTTGCCTTCTCTCCTTCCTCTCTGCCCCCCTTTCGCGTTCTTACGGGGAAGAAAGTTCAAAGGCTGCCACCTTGTGGACAAAGGCGGCGAAAGCACGCGTGGGACCCGCGGGAGTGCGTCGGGGGCGGGGGCGCTTCCAGGCTTCGCGTATAAATTTCCTTGTCCTTACCATTCTCATGTGAGCTGTGCGTGTTTTCTTACTCCTTCCTTCTTCCCACGCACTTTCCCTTTCTTTTTCCGTGACCGCCTCTCCATTCTCTGTAGTCCTTCTATTCCTTCTTTTCCTTCCCTATCCTGCATCTTTTGATAAGGTCACTAAACATTGGATGAGAATTTGTTTCCTCCAACCACGGTGACTCCGGCTCCCCAGGCTAGGACCTTTGCAAACAAACCATTGTGCAGATGAAGTAGGGGAAAAACGGGACCTTTGTGGTATGAGTCATCAGAGTGACCTTACATGGTCTTAGTCTGTCTGGACCATAAAAGAGACTGTTGGGGTCCGGTCTGAAACCATCACAAACAACCCCACAGAGTGTGGTACTTAGGGCTGCTCCCGGCATGGAACAGCTGAGCCTTCTAGATGGCCACCATCTCCATCTTTTAGGGATTCTATGATAATAGTTCTTCTTTTCAGCCTGTGAACTTTGACATTTTCTCTCTATCTTTGATTTAGGATGGAGGAAGTAAACAGCTTACAAGAGTAGAGACGCTCCAAGCAGTTTGGAATTGGCAGGGAAGTTCCGTGCTAGCCTCTCTAAATTGGAGAATCAGCCTCTGAGCCCCAGTTCCGAGTGGTACCCCAGTTCTAGCTTCCTATTGTCTTCCGCTCTGGGAGCCCTCAGTGCATATGCATGTACTGTTTTCCCAGGATTCTTCCTCCAGACACACATATTCCCCTCCACTTGTGTGCCTCCCAGACCCTTATACCCCAATGTGACAGTCCATGGTGGTTTCCCCCAACATGTGTACCATGGAATCTTAGTGTCTTGGAATGCTCCACTAACCAATAATCATGTTGTCAAATCAGCCTTGAAGATTTGTCATGCGTAGCACTGACCTGCCTCCAAAATGAACCCAGTGTTTCTCACCTCCTGGAATTCACACCCCTTCCACCTTGGGTGAGACTGACCTGTGAGTAATTAAGAAGATGGTGTGTGGCTTCTGAGGATAGGCCATGAGAGATGTTGTGGTTTTTCCCTTCTCTCTTGGATCACTCACTGTAGGAGAGCCCACTGCCATGTCGTGAGAACACACAAGCAGCCCCAAGGAGGGGTCCGTGTGGTAAGGAACTGAGACCCCTGCTGGCAGCCAACACCACTTTGCCAACATTGTGAGTGACCCATCTTGGACATAGGTTCCTGACATCCTGTGAAGCCTTCAGCTGACTGCAGCCCTGTCTGACATCTTGACTGCAACCTCATGAGAGATCCCAAACAAGAACTACCCAGCTAAGCCATTCCCTGATTCCTGATCCACAGAAATAAGCGAATTTTTATTAGTGTTTTAAGTCTCTAAGTTTGGGGGCAATTTTAAATATAATAAAAGATAACTAATATATGCCTAGTATCATATTAAAGCCTTGAGAATTTCTGTAGGAAAAAAATTGCTGAACTGTGTTTCCCAGACTTACTTGACCATGAAACTGTTGTTTCATAGATAAAATGTATTAAACCCATACTTTGGGAATTATTGCTCTCAGGAAAAAAATAATTGGAGGGAGATTAAAATACCCTAACCATCCAAGTCTTCCTCTTCCATGTCTTCTTTCTCCTCAAAGGATTGAAAACCCATGCTGACCCCACTGCAGCTCGATGACTTGAAAGACAGTGAGGAAATCTATAGAAATCAGATGGGTAAGGGAAAGCAGAAACACTGGTGGGAGCTGGTAAGAGAAGAAAAGGGATATGACAATGTGATGGAGAGAGTGTTTATGGGATTGGCAAGGAATAGGAAAGAGCTTGAATGTGGAAAGCGGGTGGAGGGGTGAGATGAATCAGGGAAGCATTAAGAATATCTTCTCTCACCGTCATGCCCCCAGGGCCGTCTCAAGTTGTTAAGAGTTTAGGTGACAGAGGAATGTGTTGAGAGCTTTACAGGCAAAATAGTTTAGGAAATTACCCCGGAAGGAAGCAGGGGGTGTCCTGATAGAGCTCTTCAAAGTTACAGACACCATTATCCAAGATAGATGAGGGCATAGTTCTTCCAGGGGTGGGAGGAGAGAGGATATTCTGTGGGAAACAAGGTTATGGGGAAGGGGAGAAAGATCAAGAGGCTCCTCTGGACAAAGATGGTATTTTCCAGGGCAGACAGGCAGTGAGAGGAATTCAGATATTTGAGTGTCCCAGTGCCTCTGCCTCTCTTCCAGGATTCTAGAAAGAAGTCCATCTCTAGATCTTAAAATGCCTCTACCCTGCTCTCCCTCCAGCCTGAGGAAATACATTCCAGGCTGCCTCTTCTACCTAGAGGGCTTTGTGCCAGCCTCACTCACTGTAGGGAGGTGTTCTCCAAACATTCTTGAGAAGTGAGCTTGAAGTTGAGCTGCAGAGATATGGTTATTCGCAGGGAGAGTTTAAATACGACAAAGATGTCCATAGTCTATAACAGTGGTAAATGAAGCCTCTTCTGTGATCCCAGCATGTTCGCTCAGCGGGGGATGTTGTCAGGTGTCAAAAATTGGCAACAACTTTTGCCTTTGTTTGTTAGGCTGTAGTGGCCTCATAATTAGTGCTTGTAGAGAAATGGGAGAGGTGGGTCAGTCACTGCAGGCTAGAAGGCGGCTTGGGGAGAGTCTTGGTGGGTTCCTGCTAGCATTTTCCAGAATGATTTTACAACTCAGAGACATATAAATGTCAAGATCTTCCTACACAAATGTTACCATCCTCTTGAGGTAATTCTCAGTGTTCTGACTTGATTGGGAGTGTCCTGGTTCCTAATGCCTTCCAAGGCCTCCAGTGTTCTGGAAGAGGTTGATCAGCCTTTTCAAGGCCTATAAAGATAGATACATGAGGTTTGGAAGGGACTCTTCTGCTTCTTTAATTCAAGGCAGTGGAAGAACGATATACATGGTGATGTTCAGCCTGTGGATGGATATTTCTGGACTTGGAGAAGTACAGGAGAAAATTAACCATGCACGTGGGAGCATTTGAAGGGTAACCTGGAAGCCTAGGCAGGAAAGAGTTTCTTGCAGGAAGAAGTAGTCAACAGAGCCATATGCTGTGGAAGTCAGGAGGATAAGCCCTAAGAAAACTCCAGTGATTTGGCACAAGTGTCACTGTGTCACAAAGGAGCATTCCAGTAAAGTAATGCGAACAATGTTAGACTGTGCTGGGTTACCAGGAAGCAGAAAACTCTCTTTCAAGAAGATAAGGGGATAAGGGGTAACTTGTAAATGTTCAAATGTTTTATTTGCCACAAGGAAGAATCCCAAGATATTCAAAGGTACCAGGAATTTCAAGGTCCCTGCCTTCCAAAAGATTGGAGAGTTTGTCTGACTAGACTGATTGTCTCAAGGCTTTAGTCCTGCACTCTGATCACTGTTCTACCTGAATTTACTAGGCTTCCTTCCTTGAGACAGTAATTATTAAATATGCCCTGCCTATCTACAATATCAGCCTCTTAGTAACTCGCTCTCTCTTACTTGCCCTCTACTTTCAAACACATGTGAGCGAGCCCTTTTCCCCGGTTGTCAAACACAAAGTTTACTGTCCTAATAATCTGTCAAGAACTCACTGGGCACTAAGTGCCATTTGTCTGCATTCTTAACATTTTAGAAAAGGTTCCAGGTAACCCAGACTACCCCAAAAAAATTTGAGTAAAAAACAATTTTTTTTCCCTAGAGAAGAAATATTTGCCACAATGTGGAAAAATCTGATACTCTCCATAAAGTTTTATGTCAGTCAGGTAGGTCCAGTGTTTTCCAGGATCTTGGAGGATCCTGTAGTCTCTGGGACCACCATAGGCAAAAAGTGAAGTGAGTGTTCCCAGAAGCAATTAATCATCTGGAACAACAAAGTGTCTTAAGAATCTGAATCAGCTGAGTATTGACTTTTGGTGATAGGGAAAGCAAAGATACAGTAATAAAATTAAGCCCAGGGGCAGAACCATAGGCTAGAGCAAGATGTCCTGATGGTATCTTATAGGTCAAGCCAGCCACAACTTCAGCCTAGAAACAGTCAAAACCTCTTTGAACTCAGCATCCCATTGATACCCTATCCAAAGCCCAACCAAGTCAACCTTAAAAATAAATTCAGTTCAATAAGTCCCTTGACTCATTTACGGACACTCCAAAACCCATCCCAAAGCCCTGCTAACACCTACTCCAATGCAGTGATGAAACCCATTCAACACAGGCCCAATCAAACTCTGACCAATTCAGAGCCCTGCAAAAAATCAGCCTATTTCCTATATCATTGTCAGCCCAGAGGCAGATCCTGTTTAATCTGGTTTGCATCCCAGCTCAGCTAAGGCCACACAACATCCCTGTGCATCTTAAGTCACAGCCAAGCCTCTGAAGAGCACATTCTTACCAAGGATCCAGTCAAGAGTAATCCATAGTTTATAACAACCTAAAACGTCCATTTCAGATGCTCAAAAGGACCCAAAGACTTGCTGAACAAAAAGTTCGTTTCATTTAGACCAGAGACCAGGCCAATCCAACTCAGAACTCAGATGACAGTGGAAATGGACCAGTACAGTCCAGGGTCCTGACAAGCCCAGAGAGTACAAATGCCCAATGGAAACCTGTATTAAGCAAGTCAAGGCCAACACAAATCTAGCCACAAGACCAATTCAGCCCAATCCTGTCCAATTCTGCTCAATTCTGACATAATTAAACATATTTAAGACTAGGGTCTTACTTGGAGACACCAGATCAATTTACAACTGAAGATGCCAGGAAAAATCTACCCAACCCATCAAGCCTAACACTCCTTTGATCATTTTGCTAATGGCCACCATCCAAGTCCCAAGCCAGAGGGACTAGTGGTTCTCAAAATGCGTGAGTATGTGTGTGTTGTGGTTGATGTGGGGAATGGGTACTGTGAAGGTGGGGACAAAGAGATTTGCTCAGTCTGAAATAACCAGTGGAGCTTTATCAAGGTACCTTCATCTGAAGAATGTCAATAATGAATGTGGGGTTTGAGGAACACATATACTTTTAAATAGTCTTAAAGTGACCCATTTTGTTTCCTTCTTGCTTCAGACCCTCTTCCTCCTGATGCAATCTTTTGAAATAGGTAGAATGGATGATAATTCCCATATACTGTTTGAGGCCTAGGCAGGACAACACACTGACTAATGCTGTAACCTCATGTCAGGCTATCTGGGGCAAAGCACAAGTCCACCAGTTTTAACTGGGTGACTGTGCAAGGTACTTGACCTGTCCATACCACAACTTCCTTTCTGCAAGATGGTGATAATAATATTATTATGTACCTCATTGAGTTGTTATGCAGTTTCCATGAGATAATGTATGTTATGTGTGGCCCTCAGGAAGCATGCAGTCAATGCTGGCTTTTATTGTTATTGGAGGGTTCTGGGAAATTGCTCATGAATTTCTTCTTGATATGAGAAAAAATTTTAGAAGAGCCACATTCAGAGTGGCTCACCAGTGAACCAAAGCTATTTCTCTGCTGTGGACATTCACATTATCAACTTTGAAAAATGCAAAGATAAATATTCTAGCTCACCCAGGAACTACTGGGAGTTGTTGGTTTCCTAGGATGCATGCAGAAAACAAATAGAAAACATGCTTTGGGGATATCAATTATCTATTGGCAGCCCTGCTGTTTCTGCTAGCCAAAAATGCTGGATAGCTAAGCTTTAGTGGAATGTCTTGAGTACATTGTAATAAGGCATGATGCTTCTTTCTGATATTGGGTGTTGAGACCTAGGGATTCATAGGAAAGAGCCATTATTATTCATTCTCATTAACTCATTCATTCATTTGAAAATAGTTTTTGGATATCTATTATTATATGGCAGGCCTTGTGTTTGAAGATAAAAAAATAAATATAACCTGGACCTTAACAGAGTTTAGTTAGGAGACAAAACACATAAAACAGGTGTTGGTACAATAACGTGGTTTAGTCTGTCTTTTAGAGGAAGCTCAGCATGTTCCAATCACTGCACTGTGCCAATCCCAAGTAGTTCTGATATAGTGGACTCCTTAGTGAGGCACTGTTGGATCACAACTCGTGAGGGCAACTCGTGCCAGAAGATGAATGAATTAAAACATGACAAATGTCTCTTCCTACTAGTAATGAGACATTCTTTCACTAAGAATATTCAAAAGTGATCAGGGAGCAGCCTGTGGCAATGAGACCAAGATCTGGGCTAATTAAGCCACTTCCAGTCTGAGTGAAAGGGATCTCTAGGGTGCTTACTCTTATTCATAATCCATCATGACTTACCAGGGCACAGAAGGGCTTGGGGCAGAATTGTGGCTAGTGACAAGGTGTGCATTTACCTGATGGGTTTGCCTCTGAGCAGTGACACCTTAGGGAAGTGCTTGGGAGCACTCAGACCTGGGTCAGATTTCTGGCACAGGTTTTCAGGCTGAAATGAATATGTCCAAGATGGGGGTCTAAGAAGTAGGCTTATCCTGGAACCTCATATGTAAAAGCATTTGTTCTTTCTGTGGCCAAAGTAACAGTGGGGAGATCATATACCATTCTTATAAGAGAGTCTCTGTGTCCCTGAGATAGGGGTTGATTCATGAAGCTAGGGCAGACTCTTCTCAAAATAGGGAGAGCTGAAGGCATGAATGGTGTTGCTACCACAGGTCTTGTTTTCCTCTTCATTATATTTTTCATCAAGTGTTGAAGACTCACCTGCTATGCAATCTTAATTGTAGTCATAAATGTAGGTACTTAAATTGTGAGCTTAACCCAAAGAAATAGTGGGGTCGATTAATTAACAGATAAAGAAGACCAAGGGACTTTATAGCATAGGGGAATTACTATCTTGGCTTGAAATACAGGAAAAAACTCAATGAGATTATTACAAATCCAAGGACCAATAAGGAGGAAGTAAAGGTCCAGCCCTACAATACTGTCCTCTAAAAACCGAATTTGCTCAGAGGCAGAGGCAAAAACCTCAGGTGGTAGACAAGAAGGCTTTTTAATTTGCTGTCTGAACAGAAAATTATAAAACAGAAGTATGGCAGGAGATTATTACAACCTTGGTAGGTAATGGTGTCAGCTTAAAGCACAGTGTTTAATCATATAGTCAATTCAGGAACTGTGGAAAACAGAAAAACAAGGGAAAAAATCCAAATCCTATACATAGCAATATGCTATGCATATGTAGTAGACATATTTGGAATATTTTTTCCACATTTTGATAGTTACCCATAAATCATATTCTCCTAAGAAACAGTTAAAACAACTACACCCTCTAGTCTTCATTGCAGCTAGAATTCAGATTTATAAACTGCAATCCTACTATGCATCTTCAGTTGAATTACTTTATCCCTCTCTGAGATGTTTCTTTATATCTTTTATTATTATTATTATTATTATTATACTTTAAGTTTTAGGGTACATGTGCACAATGTGCAGGTTAGTTACATATGTATACATGTGCCATGCTGGTGCGCTGCACCCACTAACTCGTCATCTAGCATTAGGTATATCTCCCACTGCTATCCTTCCCCCCTGCCCCCACCCCACAACAGTCCCCAGAGTGTGATGTTCCCCTTCCTATGTCCATGTGTTCTCATCGTTCAATTCCCACCTATGAGTGAGAATATGCGGTGTTTGGTTTTTTGTTCTTGCGATAGTTTACTGAGAATGATGATTTCCGATTTCATCCATGTCCCTACAAAGGACATGAACTCATCATTTTTTATGGCTGCTTAGTATTCCATGGTGTATATGTGCCACATTTTCTTAATCCAGTCTATCATTGTTGGACATTTGGGTTGGTTCCAAGTCTTTGCTATTGTGAATAATGCCACAATAAACATACGTGTGCATGTGTCTTTATAGCAGCATGATTTATAGTCCTTTGGGTATATACCCAGTAATGGGATGGCTGGGTCAAATGGTATTTCTAGTTCTAGATCCCTGAGGAATGGCCACATTGACTTCCACAATGGTTGAACTAGTTTACAGTCCCACCAACAGTGTAAAAGTGTTCCTATTTCTCCACATCCTCTCCAGCACCTGTTGTTTCCTGACTTTTTAATGATTGCCATTCTAACTGGTGTGAAATGGTATCTCATTGTGGTTTTGATTTGCATTTCTCTGATGGCCAGTGATGGTGAGCATTTTTTCATGTGTTTTTTGGCTGCATAAATGTCTTCTTTTCAGAAGTGTCTGTTCATGTCCTTTGCCCACTTTTTGATGGGGTTGTTTGTTTTTTTCTTGTAAATTTATTTGAGTTCATTGTAGATTCTGGATATTAGCCCTTTGTCAGATGGGTAGGTTGCGAAAATTTTCTCCCATTTTGTAGGTTGCCTGTTCACTTTGATGGTAGTTTCTTTTGCTGTGCAGAAGCTCTTTAGTTTAATTAGATCCCATTTGTCAATTTTGGCTTTTGTTGCCATTGCTTTTGTTGTTTTAGACATGAAGTCCTTGCCCATGCCTATGTCCTGAATGGTAATGCCTAGGTTTTCTTCTAGGGTTTTTATGGTTTTAGGTCTAACGTTTAAGTCTTTAATCCATCTTGAATTGATTTTTGTATAAGGTGTAAGGAAGGGATCCAGTTCCAGCTTTCTACATATGGCTAGCCAGTTTTCCCAGCACCATTTATTAAATAGGGAATCCTTTCCCCATTTCTTGTTTTTCTCAGGTTTGTCAAAGATCAGATAGTTGTAGATATGCGGCGTTATTTCTGAGGGCTCTGTTCTGTTCCATTGATCTATGTCTCTGTTTTGGTACTCTTTATATCTTTTCTCCAAAATTTTCAGTGTATTCTCCTTCACTCTTCACTGATACTGCTGCTTCATATTTAATTGCAAAATTATAATCCTGAAGATACTTATATGAATTTTATACACAGGAACTGTGCCTAGGCTAAGGGGCTTTTGAAGTCATGAATGTATGAGTTGAAGCTATGAATGTGCTTAAATCCCACCTTGGGCTAAGTGAAGAAAGTAATAAGAAATGAGGGCAACGATGGAGCCCAGGGGAGCACCAACATCTTTACAGAGCTTGACATAGAAAGAGGAAACAAGAAGTGAAACAGGCATTTCTAGAAGAGAATAGTCATGAATATCAATTGGCGTAGGGAGGTCAAGAAGATAAGAACTTAAAGCTGTTCATTAGATTTGGCAGTTAGGAGTTCTTTAGTGATCTTCATGCAAGAAGCTTTGTGGAAATTTGGGAGAATAATTTATATTTCAGTGAGCAGAAAAGTGTGTGAAGTATCAAGGTGAAGATGGTGGATGGAACACACCCATCTAAGTTTGCTCTCTCTCAGAATCTCACTAAAACCAAAGTATTGGAAGTAAACATCATCATCATCATCAACAACAACAACAATAACGAGTCCCACAAGGATGGGAAAAAGGAAGAGGGAACAATGTCAATACAAATCTAACAGCTGGAAAGTTGCATCTAACCTGACAATGGGAAAAGTGGTGAACCCTCCTTATCTGTACCGCAGAATCACTGGTACTGAGGGATACAGCATGGGGCTAAAATAAAGAAAGTAATTGAAAGCTCTTTAAAAAGCAGCTAGATCCCCAGATGCTCTCTGGGTAGTCAGTCTTCCTCAACCTCAGCAGAAGATTGGAATGTCGTTCTCTGATGAAAATAAAACAGAGGGTTTGGACTGGGGGATGCTAGGCATAGCTGAGGCCATCAGTTCTCTACTGAAAATAGGGGAGTTGTGGGAATAGAGGAGTACTGAATGTACTGAATGCTGAAGGCTCAGACCTTCAGCTCTATTCCCTCACTGATCTCCATGAGTGCTGGCAGCCAGACCATTACCTTCCAGGCAGGAATTTATTTTATTTTATTTTATTTTATTTTATTTTATTTTATTTTATTTTATTTTATTTTATTTTATTTTTAAGATGGAGTCTCACTCTATTGCCCATGCTGGAGTGCAGTGGCACCGGCAGGAGAATGAAATGTTTTCTATTGGGAATTTGTCATCCCAAGAAAAAAACTCTAAAGATACTAACATCAGGGCTTTTTCAATGACTGACTCAGCCCAGTCACTCTGCAAAGAAGCCTAAAGAAGACAAGCTCCACTCACAAACTTTGAGCTTCTAATCAGTTCCCACACTTAGACATGAACAGATGAACCATAATGACCACACATTCATAGAAAGGATGTGTAATGGTTTGGCTCTGTGTCCCCACCCAAATTTCACGTCCAATTTTAATCCCTAGTGTGGGAGGAGGGCCCTGGTGGGAGATGATTGTGTTACTTCACCCTTGCTGTTCTTGTGATAGTGAGTGAGTTCTCATGAGATCTGGTTATTTAAAAGTGTGTAGCACCTCCCTTTTCTCTCTCTTCCTCCCGCTCCCACCATGTAAGATGTGTCTGCTTCCCTTTTGCCTTCCACCATGATTGTAAGTTTCCTGAGGCCTCCCCAGAAGCAGAAGCCTGTATGCCCACAGAACTGTGAGCTGATTAAACCTCTTTTCTTTATAAATTACCCAGTCTCAGGTATGTCTTTATAGTAGTGTGAGAATGGACTGATATAGACTGTGTTATAAAAGATTGAGACAAACACACACATACACACAGAGAAAAGCACTTAGAGGTAACAGAGACCATGTTGAAAGAAGAGCTTATTTCCCAAATTGCTATTTTCAGAGCTTTGAGAGCAGATATTACATCCATAAAATTAAAAAAATGCTAGAAAAAGGAACATTCAGATAAAAAAAGAACTTTGAGAAATTATGACACAATAGTATAATTGAAAAAAAAACACAACAGAATATTAGAAAAATAAGCTTGAAGACTTTTTTGTAGGAAGTAGAGCAAAAAAGACAATGCAATGAAAAAGAGAAGAAAAAATGTGAATAAAATAATGCACAAATGCAGAAGGTCCAACATCTGAATAATAGAATCATAGAATGGGAGAACAAGGAAAATAAAGGGAAAAAATGTGGCACACATATACACCATGGAATACTACATAGCCATAAAAGAGAATGAGATCATGTCCTTTGCAGCAATCTGAATGGAGCTAGAGGCCATTATCCTAAGTGAATTAATGCAGAAACAGAAAACCAAATATTGCATGTTCTCACTTATAAGCGGGAACTAAATATTAAGTACACATGGACACAAAGAAGGAAATAGTAGACATTGGAGCCTACTGAAGGGTGGATCGGGGGAAGAGGGTGAGGATCAAAAAACAACTTATTGGGTACTATGCTCATTATCTGGTGACAAAATAATCTGCACACCAAACCCCCAAGACATGCAATTTACCCATGTAACAAACCTGCACATGTACCCTCTGGACCTAAAATAAAAGTTGGAAGTTTTTGGCCAGGGCAATCAGGCAAGAGAAAGAAATAAGGGGTATTCACATAGGAAGAGAGGAAGTCAGATTATCTTTGTTTGCCAATGACATGATCCTATATCTAGAAAACCCCATTGTCTCAGCCCAAAAGCTTCTTAAGCTGATAAGCAACTTCAGCAAAGTCTCAGGATACAAAATCAATGTGCAAAATTTGCTAGCATTTCTATACACCAATAATAGGCATGCAGAGAGCCAAATCATGAATGAACTTCCATTCACAAATGCTACAAAGAGAATAAAATACCTAGGAATACAGCTAGCAAGGAAGGTGAAGGACCTCTTCAAGGAGGGCTACAAACCACTGCTCAAGGAAATCAGGGAGCATACAAATGGAAAGACATTCCATGCTCATGGATAGAAAGAGTCAATATCTTAAATATGGCCATACTGCACAAAGTAATTTATAGATTCAATGCTATTCCCATTAAACTACCATTGACATTCTTCACAGAATTAGAAAAATCTATTTTAAAATTCATATGGAACCAAAAAATAGCCTGTATAGCCAAGATAATCCTAAGCAAAAAGAATAAAGCTGGAGGTATCACGCTACCTGACTTCAAACTATACAGCAAAGCTACCATAACCAGAACACCATGGTACTGCATAAAAACAGATACATATACCAATGGAACAGAATAGAGAACTCAGAAATAAGACTGCACACCCACAACCATGTGATCTTTGACAAACCTGACAACAACAAATAATGGACAACAAATTTCATATTTAATAAATGGTGCTGGGAGAACTGGCTAGCCATATACAGAAAATTGAAACTGGACCACTTCCTTAAACCTTATACAAAAATTGACTCAAGATGGATTAAAGACTTAAACGTAATACCCAAAACTATAAAAACCATAGGAAAAAATCTAGGCAATACCATTCAGGACATGGGCATGGGCAAAGATTTCATGAAGAAAACAACAAAAGCAATTTCAATAAAAGCAAAAATTGACAAACGGGATCTAATTAAACTAAAGAGCTTCTGTGTAGCAAAAGAAACTGTCATTAGCATGTACAGACAACCTACAGAATAAGAGAAAATTTTTGCAATCTGTCAATCTGACAAAGGTCTAATATCCAGAGCCTGCAAGGAACTTAAACAAATTTACAAGAAAAAAACAACCCAATCAAAAAGTTGGCAAAGAACGTGAACAGACACTTCTCAAAAGAAGACAGTCATGCAGCCAACAAATATGAAAAAAAGCTCATCACTGATTATTAGAGAAATGCAAATCAAAACCACAATGAGATACTGTCTTATGCCAGTCAGAATGGCAATTGTTAAAAAGTCAAGAAACAACAGATGCTGGCAAGGTTGCGGAGACAAAGGAATGCTTTTACATTGTTAGTGGGAATGTAAATTATTTCAACTGTGGAAAGTAGTGTGGTGATTCCTCAAAGATCTAGAAGCAGAAATACCATTTGACCCAGCAATCCCATTACTGGGTATATATCCAAGGAATATAAATCATTCTATTATAAAGATACATGCATGCGTACGTTCACTGCAGCACTATTTTCAATAGCAAAGACATGGAACCAACCCCCAAACCCATCAATGATAGACTAGATAAAGAAAATGTGGTACATATGTACCACGGAATACTATGCAGCCATAAAAAGGATTGAGATCATGCCGTTTGCAGGGACATAGATGGAGCTAGAAGCTATTGTCCTCAGCAAACTAGCATGGGAACAGAAAACCAAACACTGCATGTTCTTACTTATAAGTGGGAGCTGAACAATGAGAACACACAGACACATGGGGAGGTGGGGAACAACACACTCTGGGGCCTATCAGGGGCTTGTGGGGAGGGAGAGCATCAGGAAGAAAAGCTAATAAATGCTGGGCTTAATACCTGGGTGATGGGTTGATCTGTGCAGCAAACCACCCTGGCACATATTTACCTATGTAACAAATCTGGAAATCCTGCATATGTACCCTGGAGTTTAAAATAAAAGTTGATTTAAAAAAGAAAAAAAAATCATGAAGAAAATTTCTTAGAATGAAGGACATGAGTGTCTAGTTTGAAAAAATGTTCTGAGTTCCCTGAATAAAGCTAAAAATAGATCTACTCCAAGCTCATTATTACATTTCAGAATATTTGGGACAGAGAGAAGGCTTTGTAAGATTCTAGAGGGAAAAATCAGGTCATGTAAGGAGAATCAGGAATTAAAATGACCTTGGGTTCCTCAACAGCAACATTTGAAGCCAGCAGGTAATAGAGGAAAATTATTTACAACCCAGAATTGGGTTGTATGTCCACGCATAGTCAAACTATCAGTGAAATGCTGGGATAGAATAAGACATGTTCCAATATGTGAGATCTCAAGAAATTTACCTGCCATGCATATGTTCTCAAGATGGTGCTAGACAAGATGCACCAAAATGAAAGAGGAAAGCCAGAAAGGAAGACTTGATACCAAGAAAACAGGGAACCAATCTGTGATAGTTAACTTTATGTGTCAGCTTGGCTAAGCTGTGGTGGCCAGTTGTTTGGTCAAATACCAGTTTTGACTTTGCTGTGAAGGTGTTTTTTAGATGGTGTTAATATTTAAATCAGTAGACTTTGAGTAAAGCAGATTACCTGTCCTTTGCGGTGGGTTTCATCTAATCAGTTTAAGGCCTTGAGAGAAAAGATTGAGGTCCGTGAAGAAGAAGGAATTCTGCCTCCAATGCACCTTGGGACTCAAGACTGTAAGAATTCAACTCTTCCCTTGGTCTCTAGCCTGCTCTACAGATTTTTGACTTGCCAGTCCCCACAATTACATGAATCAATTCCTTAAAATAAATCTCTTTCTTCCTCTTTCCCTTCCCCACCTTCCTCTCTCTCTCCCTCTCTCTATCTCTCTCTCTCTCTCTCTCTCTCTCTGTCTCTCTCTCTCTTTCCAAACACACATATCCTATTGGTTCTATTTCTCTGGAGAACCCTGCCTAATACACCAACTCAGGAGAAAGGCAAAGGGAATGCTTAGGATGACAGCAAAGGGCCACCCTAGGAGGATGGCTGTGCAGGTGGCCTGGAGAAGAGCCAGTCCAGAGAGAAGCAGAAAGAAGGTTCCTAAAAGGATACTGCCAACAGGGAAAAGAGAAATTATTAATAATAGTTACCTTGATGTGATTGACATTGGAGAGCTGAGTATCACTTCTAAAATAGAAAGTCAATAGATAATGTCTGAAATTGATGAATCAAAATATATCAGTGTATGCATATCATTGAGAAACATGGCAATGTAGAAATGACAATATTTAGTTAAAATAGTTGAAAAGGTCTAGGAACAGGGAGAATGGTGAGATAGAAAATGAGAGCATTTTGTTTTGTGACTTAAAGACAATTTGACTTTTTTTTTTTTTTTTTTTTTGAGACAGAGTCTCACTCTGTTGCCCAGGCTGGAGTGCAGTGGTGTGATCTTGGCTCACTGCAAGCGCCGCCTCCTGGGTTCATGCCATTCTCCTGCCTCAGCCTCCCGAGTAGCTGGGACTACAGGCGCCCGCCACCATGCCCGGCTATTTTTTTGTATTTTTAGTAGAGACGGGGTTTCACTATGTTGGCCAGCATGGTCTCGATCTCTTGACCTCGTGATCCGCCCACCTCGGCCTCCCAAAGTGCTGGGATTACAGGCGTGAGCCACCGCACCCGGCCTGGACAATCTGACTTTTAAACTATGTGTATTTATTATTTGGAGTAAAAATTTACAGCATTTTATTTCATTAAAAAAAAATTTTTTTTTTGAAATGGAGTCTCTGTCACCCATGCTGGAGCGCAGTGGCGCGATCTCGGTTCACTGCAACCTCTGCCTCCTTGGTTGAAGCAATTCTCCTGCCTCAGTCTCCTGAGTAGCTGGCCACCATGCTTGGCTATTTGTGTGTGTGTGTATTTTTACTAGAGATGGAGTTTTACCATGTTGGCCAGGCTGGTCTGTAACTCCTGGCCTCAAGTGATTCTCCTTGGCCTCCCAAAGTGCTGGGATTACAGGCATGAGCTGCTGTACTTAGTCAAAAATTTACAGTATTTAAAAAAATGAGATGCTTCAGATTTTTCTAATGGTTCTGCTAAGGAATCCTGCTAACATTGCTTCATCCTAATGAGCTATTAGCACAATGAAATGCTAGGCCATTAAAAGTGACAGTCACATGAACTAGATATCAATACATGAAGATATTTATAAAATAATGTTGACAAAACTGAAAGAGTTGAAAAAAAAACACTGCACACAGTAGTTTATAAACATTGAAAGCAACACTAAAAACCATATATATATACATAAATCATGAATACATACACAGTAAAAATTATATATAATACATTGCCTTCAATGTTTATAAATTACTCTGTGTGTTCTTTGTTTTATAAACACCACATCACACACACACATACACCACTTAACAGTTATAATTAAAATGTAAAATAATGCCCAACATTATGAGAATGATTTAATAAGTTTTGGATCAGTAATAAAATCTATGTAGCCATCACAAATAAAGCACATGAAGCCTGTAAAACATGAGAAAGTGATATCATTGTGCATTCTTACAAAAAATAAATGTACGATATATGCAGCTTATGTTGGCAACTATGAAAAATGTTCATATGGATAAGAGCTCAAAAGTAAATGTTACAAATCACATAGTGTTAAAAACAAACAGTAAATTGAAGGGGAGGCAGTAGATACAGTGAGTGTAAAAAGTTAACTGTGAAGCTATAAAATGGGCAATAGTTGGGGTAGAGTTGGAGGTAGGAAAGAAATACAAGGTTGAAGGAGCTTTTGTGTTTGCTTGTTTGTGTGATTTTTTTTTTAAGTTGGGAGTTAAGCAGATATCCTTGTCTGAAAAGGGAATAAGGAAATGTAGAGGCTGGCAATGAGAGAGAGAGACAGAAAGAAAGACAGAGAGAGCTAGAGAGAGTTGGATTTAGGGGTTAGCATTGACCAAAGAAATGAATTATTGTAAGACAAGAGTTCTGTTAAAGGCTTACATGAATGCCATAGTTCCATTAAGACTCACAACTGTGATTTTGATATTATGCTCCTCATTCTGTGAATGAAAATCTGACAGTTGCCAAATATCTTTGTTAAAAATACATGTGCCTGTAAGGGATAGAGCTGGGATGTTCCTTCGCCCATGTCACCCATTGAGACAAAGGAAAGCTTGCTGATAACGTCTGTAAGTGGGAAGGTGAGGAGCTGAACAAGTTTTGAAAGTTTAGGTTTAAACCTGATAATCCTTTTTTTTTTTTTCTGCAATTTTTTCCATGACTGGAATTTCTAGGAACTAGATTTTCTGAATCCCATTCATAACACGGTGCTTGGCTTTGTTATTTCTTTATTCTACTGCAGGATGTTGACTTTTGTGTCACCAACTTGCAATTTGTCTAGTTCCTTTGAATCCTTTAAATGACTGTGTAACTCTCATGTTTAGATAAGTGGATGATGGGGATTCTTCCTTTGACTTACATAAGGGCTGAAGGTCCTTGAATTCCAACAAGGGGTTGCTGCTTTATTTACTGTAAAATTACTTTTGCAGAGCAGATGTATAAAGCAAGTCAGCAGGAAGAAATCACTTGAATGAAAGTGTTGTAATTGCATTTGGTTTCCAAGAACGTTGTTGGGCTCCTGTGGACATCTATGCTCTGATGGGTGGAGTTCTCATGGGGAGCTGAGCCCCACGAGATCCACCAGGGCCTTTTCAGTGGCTCTCAGGCACTCTGTAGAGCTTCATGTGCCTGCCCATGGGCTTGTCTTCCCCAGAGCTTGTGAAATAGGAGAAGTCAGTGCAGAATTCTGGGGAATCAGATTCTCAGATGCCTCTTGAATATGGCATCAAGTACATTTAGGGTCAAATGCAAAGATCATCTACTAGTCAAAAGTCTAAGAGTCAATTCAATTCATCTTAAGTCTGAGTCATTCTGAGTCCCATGAATGAAGAGCGTTAGGGAAACATACATGCATCAGAACTCTGAACAGCCATCCCCTTTCAGCCCCTCAAAAGGCTTGAACTTGCATGTGTCCACTCTCAGTGAGTTGCTGCCAAACTAATTCATTTACCTCCCACACCATAGACACCTTCCCCACTTTGAAGTGAAAGGGGTTGGAGAGGGAGCTAAGCTAATGCTAAAAGCCTTTTTAAAGGGCTCTGACAGCCCTGGAAAGGGGAGACAGGACCAACACGAAGAGGGAACTCTGGTGAGTTTAGGGATGAGAAGATTCTTTAGCCACCAGGGTTCTGCATGGCTTCAGTGACCGGTGGAAATATTAGCATTGGCCAGCCTTCTGCCTCCCTACTGCTGCAAAATAAACCATCCTAAAACATGATGACAAAACAATGAATTATTATTTCCCATGGTTCTGAGGGCTGACTGGAGCTCAGCTGGGAAGCTCTCATTTGGGGTCTCCCATGTGACTGCAGCAAGATATCAGCTGGACTCTGGTCATCTGAAGGATCAACTGGGCTGGACGTTCAAGTGGCCCACTGGTATAGCTAACAGCGGATGCTGGCTGTTGGCTGGAAGCTCAGCTGGAGTTGTAAATTTTGGCACGTACTTGTGGCCTCCCCATGTGGCTTGGGCTTCTTCCAGCTTGGCCACTGGTCTTCAGAGGGAGCGGTCCTAAAGTGAGCATTCCAATGACTCAGGCAGAAGTGACAAGTCTTCTTATGTGTTAACCTTAGGAATCTCAGACTGTCACTTCTGCTTCTCTATCTTGGTCAAGGGAAGTCACAAAGTTTAACTTAGATTTGAAAGAAGAGAATTATACTCTACTTTTTGATTCATGGAAAAGCATGCCAATAGAGTAAGGGAAGAAATTGATGGAAGCCATATTTGACTGCCTCCCACAGCCTGAATAGACTTCAGCCAGGGCACTATAGCAATGGGTCTGGAGTGCATGTAATGAAATGACACAAATGATTATTAAATGCTTAATATGTATATGTATCACACATCATTGCATTTTATCTTTTCCACAACCCTATGCAGTAGTGGGGCAGATTGAATTTTCAGCTCCAATTCTTCACCACCCTCTTTTGCCATCTAACTGTTGAGTGCCTTTCACATGAGAAGTACACAAAGGGGTTATTTACCTGCACCACCTTGACTTTTGGCTTGATCGTAAAACTTATTTTGGCCCAAGGGATAAAAGTAAATGTGATGCAAAGAGGGATTTATGTGGCAGACCATGCTCCATGAGAAGGGCTTCTCCCTGGAGGTGCTGCCCTTCCACCTGTAGCCAGAATGAGAGGCATGGCACACATTGGAGCCAGATGGACTTATAGCTTGAAGGAGAGATGCTCAGCCAAGTCCAGCCTCAGTCAGCTAGTTTCCAGCTACCTGCCCATAGATGGATGCAAAATGCTTGTTATTGAATGCTACTAAGATTTTGTTGTTGGTTGTAATAGCTGACAACAGTAGGCATTATTAACTCCATTTCCCCCCTGAGGCCCTGGGAAGTTAATTAACTTAGCTAGGAACCAGTTTTTGAATCCAGCTCTGGCTAATCCACTGCCCCACACTGTCTGCCACACGGGTATCATAGGCAGGTGTGGCCAAGCCCCTAGGAAGTTCTTAGAGATTGCTGACAATTTTGATCTTGGGGGGTGTGTGGGTTGGGAAGGAGGTTGCTGCACTGTGTTTCACTGTTTATTCAATAATTTCCACTGAAGAGATGAAAAGCTGAGTAGGGAGGACCCATCTCCGTTGCTCAAGCATGAAAGAGAGCATTGTTGATTTGACTGCCTTGTGCAATTAGCTAAAGAACTCAAAAGGCCTGGGAGGGCGTCGGTCTCACTGAGATTAGCTCGTGTGTGTGTGTGTGTGTGTGTGTGTGTGTGTGTATGCGTGCGCCCCAAAACTCTGGCGCTTGATACTCTTGACAATGAGAAATAAGGATTTAGCATTCATCTAAGACTTAGCTTTTGTTGTTGATGCAAATTAAAGCTTTTTTTTTTTTCCATAAGCTATGTTTGCTTTCCCACTGAATGATATTTGAATAAATGTCTGAGAGGAAAATACTGGAGTCAGAGAGAGAGCCAAACCTGAGACCTGGTCCTGGTTTGGCCTGGGTGGTTCTGAGTGAGTCCCTTTGGCTGGCTAAAGCTCAGTCTCTGCATGGCATCATGGCATCTGCCCGCGCCACCTCATGCCATGAGAGGCAGATGACACCCCCACAGTGGAGAAATGCACACCTTCATCCAACAGGTGGTAGATGAGCAAATCTGCATATTTCTGGAAAATAAATTATTAATTCATATCTAAGACCTAGATAGTTGATTTTTAATCTTTTTTTGTCTTTTTAATAAAAAAATGCATGTGGGGCCTGCCTCTGTTAGAATCTGGCCGCAGTCTGTCCAGGTCACTGCTAAACATGGCCATTGTTCACTGCAGCCAAGCCAGACCAAAGACAGAGACATCAGCAGCTCAACAATTGCCCCTCCCGTTCCTCAGCTTCAGGGTCACCACAGGCCTATCACACGTACCAGTCCCACTGGCCACCAGCCAGACCCTCAAAGCCTCATGACAAGGCCATGGGTGGTGTCTGCCATTGACTCATCTCCCTTTCTAGCCCCTGGCCAAGGCAACATTTTAAGCCTATATATTAACTCCCCTCTCTTCCATATTCCCTTTGAATTGAACAAATAATACAAAAATAGAGTAAAAATTTGTCCTAGCAGTAGAATAGATGAAGGATGCTATTGAAAAGCCAAAATCTAAAAAGTTTTTGTTACTATAATACAATGTAGGACCAGTCTGAGGGAAGTACCAATGAGCTCATGATTAAAAAAAAAACAGTACCTGAACAGTACATTAATGGGACTTAAAGCTAAGCCCCAACGGGGCTGGATGTAAAAGCAGGACAAGGAGCATCTAGATGCAGTCAAACCTCTAATCTGCAAATGATTCGTGGTCCATGCCAGCAGGAGAGCAGGTGATTGAAGCAACAGCCCCAGCTTCCATTTCACTCCGGTAACCTGCAAGTCATTTCAGCAACAGGGTTATGATGAGAATTGTCATTGCAGGCAAGAAAGGGGCCATTGCCCAAGCCTAACGTCAGCAGCACCGACAACAACCTGTCAAAGAAAACATTTGGCATGGTGGGAATGTTTCCAACATTGAGGGTGCCTCTGGCGAGACCTCTACCCCAACACAAATACTGCTGTGTTCAGAAAAGGAGAGGACAGAATTGAAGGCAGTTGCCCCTGGGCAAGGTCTGACTCTGCCCATGACATCAGGATTTTCAAGAGTAATAGGTGTGCAGGGTGTGATGGGCTTTGACACTTGTTCCAAGCAAGAGAAGCATGCTGATGTAGGGAAGACAACAGGGGTGTCAGTTGCTTTAATGGTCCCCTAACTAGAGAATCCTATTAGAAGACCAAGTTAAGTGTAGGCAGTAACCAAAGTTGTGCTCAGTTGGGACATGCCTGCTATGCTAAGGTCCTCTGTTTTGGGGCTTTCTGCATATTACTCACACATAATATGTATCAAGCAAAGTAAAAAATTCAGAAGATTTCAGGGGGATTTTAGTTGTCGAAATTAATGAAGGTGGGGGACACACTACATACCCAAGTTGTTTGAAGGGATGTTCTGCTAACTTTGTTCGATTGTGTTTACAGCTGCATGCCATGAAAACTTGTCCTGTGTTCCATCTGATTGTAATTTTCTGAGATGAGATATGAACTTGCTTCCAACATAAAGAAATTGACTTTGTAACTTTTTAGTAGGCACCAAAATTTTCAGGAATGCATGTAAATTTAGGGAAGGCTGTATTTCCTTTGTTTAGAACACTATCAAGAATTGTTTGCTGTTTCGGAAAAATCATGTCATCAGTGCGACACAGCTTGTGACACTTAAGCTGTTGCCAGCAGATACTTATATGAGTCTGCATTTCATGGAGCTTCCACTTCCTGGTGCAAACATCTAAATATTGAAGTTTTTAATATTTTATTTTTGTGAATTTGAACTGTCGGAAACTGATAGAAATCTCTTCCCATTTTGTAGCTTTGCTAGTTTCTTTTAGCATTTCCAATAGATTTTTTTTTGGTGTTATATATCTTCAATCTATGTAATTTTGTTTCTAAAGTTGACTTCAATATAGATTGAATGTTTTGTTATCCCAAAGGACCTTCTATTATTTTATTCACTAATTTTGCCACAAATTCTTCTTTTTGACAATATTACCACCCCTGATTTTATTATTTATTTAAAATGTATCTATACATTCTTTCCAATTTCTTTTTTCACATATCAGTGTTTCTTTAGTTTTGTCTTTTCTAATATCTAGATTTTTAAACAAAATCTCAATCTTTATCTTTGAATAAAGTAGTTCAATCTAGTCACTTTAAAAACTTGTGAGTTTGAAACAATTTCAGATTTATAGAGAAGTGATAAAGACAGAGTTTTTATGTACCTTGCTCCCAGCTTCCTCTAATATGGATGAACATCTGAACATATATATATATATACATATATATATATATATATATATTTTTTTTTTTTTTTTAGATGGAGTCTCACTCTGTTGCCTAGGCTGGTGTGCAGTGGCGTGATCTCGGCTCACTGCAACCTCTGCCTCCTGGGTTCAAGTGATTATCCTGCCTCAGCTTCCTGAGCAGCTTGGACCACAGCCACATGCCACCACACCTGGCTAATTTTTTGTATTTTTGGTAGAGACAGGGTTTCACCGTGTTAGCCAGGATGGTCTCCATCTCCTGACCTCGTGATCTGCCTGTCTCAGCCTCCCAAAGTGCTAGAATTACAGGCGTGAGCCACCGCACCCGGCCCCCAATCTGAACATCTTAAATAACCATGACACAATGATCAACACTGTGAAATTAATGTTAAGACATTGTTAAGCAATATTATGAAACTACCATTGTTATAATATTGTTAACTCACCTACTGATTTTCTTTGGATTTTTTAAACCAGTTTTTTCATTAATGCCTTCTTTCTGCTCTAGGATCCAAGACAGGATCCCACATTGCATTCAGTCATCAGGGCTCCCTAGTTTTCCCCAATTTGTGACAGTTTCTCAGTCTCCTTGTCTTTCATGACTTTAGCAAGTTGAATTGGGTTCTCCAGTAAGATGTGTCCAAACCCTAACCTCTGATACCCCTGGAAGAACTTATTAGGAAATAGGGTCTTTGTGGACATAACTAAGTTAAAGATTGCAGGATGAGATCATCTTGGATTTAGAGTACGCCTTAAATCTAATGACTTATAAGAGAAAGGAGAAGAGGATTTGAGACAGAGAGACATGCAGGGGAGAAGGCCGTGTAAAGACGGAGGCAGAGATTGGAGGGGTGCTGCCATAAACCAAGGAACACCAGACACCACCAGAAGCTGAAGAAGCAAGGAGGGACTCTCCTCCTGTAGCCCTGCTGACACCTCAACTTCAAATTTCTGGCTTTCAGAACTAGGAGAAAATAAATTTCTGTTATTTTAAGCCACTGAGTTTGTAGTAATTTGGCATGGCAGCCCTGAGAAACAAATACAATAACCTTGACATCTTTGAAGATTTCTATCAGATCTTTTGTAAAATGTCCCTTGGTCTGGATGTGTCTGAAGTTTTCTCATGATTATACTGGGGTTATGGATTTGGAGGAAGAATATGAGCAAGGTGAAGGTCACATCATATGAGAGGACACAAGATATCAACCTGTTTAATATTGATGATGTTCACCTTGATCACTTGGTTAAGGTGGTGTCAGCCAGATTTCTCCACTGGAAATTCACTATTTTTTCCTTTCTATGTTCTGTTGGCTAGAAGCATGTCACTGAGTCCAACCTATGCTCAAAGAGAGAGAATTAAACTCCACCTTCTCTAATTTTACATTCTACTTTGAATCTTGGAGCTGACACATCTTCTTTTTAAATATCCCTGGAATGTTTTCAAAAATTGATCTAGACTTGAGAAAAGCTCTATAAATTCCAATTGGAGATTCACATGCCACAGATAAAACTATAAATTAACAATAAAAGAACAAATGACATAACAATTCAAAATACAGTCCTACAGTATTTTTTGTAGTTGAGGTAATAAAACATGTAGCTATTGGCTTTTAAAATAAATAATAATGATGTTAAGAATACATGTCGAAAATTAAGGAATGAAGTCAGTTATACACAGAAGAAATTAATGGTGGTAAGTGATTTTATTGCTTAATATAAAAGGAATGATAAGCTTAAGGAGAGTAAGAATTTAAAAATTAGTAAGTAATATTAAAGAAAACATACACTGATGAATTATAAAACAGAAAAACGAGAGAATTGATAAGCAAACCCTGGATCAATGTATTTGGTTTGGAGCAGAGCCCAGTGTTAAGATGACACACACCTGGTTGCAGAAGTCATCTGGCTGAACTATTGCAGCTTAGGCGGGAATCTGCACCAGGAGCCAAACCTTGGCAATGCAGTGTTCAACCTTAACCTCGTGTCTGACAATCACAAGTTTCAGGAGGGGAAGCTTTGTTCTGATTCAATTGTGGGCCACAAGAGCAAGCAAAGACCTCTCTTTCAAGTATCCAGATTTCAGCGTCAGAACCAGACCTTCTGTTTAGGGGACGGCAGCAGCTGCAATTCAGCTTATTCTGGCAGCCATCGAGGAGTCTTCCAGGCTCAGTGAGACATGTATGGTTCTGGCTTCATGTAGAACTGAGAGTGACCAGGAAGGCCCTTCAGACAAAAATATACTCCCAAATATACAGACTTGGTAGGCAAAGCCCTAGGGAGACAGAAAGTCTAGAATCTGGCAAATCTTGGCAAATGAGTTTTGAGCGTATTACCAGGGAGCTATTATTTGCACCCCAACTGTAAGGCAGGATACTCCAGTTATCTAGAAATAATTTATTAGGCGCTGAAGTCCATTTTCTGATTAAGCTAAATGTTTTGTCTTGCATTATGAAACTGACCTTTTAATAATGTTCAAATCATAGAAAGAACATTAAAAAAATCTGAGCGAAGTTCTATCCTCCTAGTTCATTTAAAATAATCCATTCAAATATAAACATTTAAAAGTTTATCTCATTAATTTCTTTCTTTTTTTCCAAGTTAAGGTAATCTAACAAATATTAGATAAATTAGATAAATCTTTCAATGTATCTATGACAAACTGATTGTTGGAACTCTGTATGGCGATGAAAAAAATAGAAATACAAGTTGAGGATATCTGCTATCACTTTTGTATATTCTTTGTACTTAATGGTTTAACCAATTCAATTAGGCCAAAAAAAAGTGAGAAAGAGAAAAAAATGAAAGAGAGAAAAAGAGAGAAATGGATGGAGGGAGAGACAGAAAGGAAAAAAGAAATAATATACAGTACATACTGTAAAAAAGAAATACATGATCAAAGTCCTAGGCATTATTATCTCCACAAGAGTACCTTTACTTTGGAAACCAGTCGCATGTCCAAGAGTCACCAGGCCACCCTCCCCTCTGACCAGCTGGCTACAATTTCAGCCTAGTTTGAATATGTGAGTAGATATTATTTAAATGTAAGGTCTGGCATATTTTCTCTTCTGCCTTACTTTTGTTTTCTTTTTGAGACGGAATCTTGCTCTGTCTCCCAAGCTGGAGTGCAGTGGTGCGATCTCTACTCACTGCAACCTCTGCTTCCCAGGTTGAAGCGATTCTCCTGCCTCAGCCTCCCAGTAGCTGGGATTACAGGTGCCAACCACCACACCCAGCTAATTTTTGTATTTTTAGTAAAGACAGCGTTTCGTCATGTTGGTCAGCCGGGTATTGAACTCCCGACCTCAAGTGGTCCACCTGCTTTGGCTTCCCAAAGTGCTGGGATTACAGGCGGGAGCCACTGTGGCCGGCCTCTTGTGCCTTAATTTGATTGTGCTGATATTCTTGATTGATTATTTCTAAACTTTCAAATATTTGGGAAATTAAAACTCAGTTAATGAATATATGTATATATCAATATAAAAGTTCCTTAGAAAAATTGACTTATAGGTTAAAATGTATTCGTGAATGTTCTGGAAGGATCCAATTGCTGGAGGTTTGTTTTAAATGATCTAGTTATGTCAGATAAACTCTTAGATAAGCCCTTGCCTTGCCCATTATTGCAGTATCTACAATTGCGCAGAGGCCAGAAAAATACTGTAATAATGGGCAAGGGCTTATCTAAAGTATTTTTTGTTAACCTCGCTCTCTGAGAGGCCTCTGATAGGATATTATCTGCTCCTCTCCGGTGTCTCTTGGGGTCATGAAGTCAGGAAAACTTCTGATGACCCTGCAAGCCAGCCAGCTCTGTGTACATGCTGCATCTCCCAATCCCAATAGGCCAAGTGCGGAAGGTGAACCGTGGCCTGGCGTTAGTTACTCAGGTCATCCCCAAGGCCAAACAAAACTGCAAATGGAAAGCTGTGCACAGCAGGCTTCTCAGTGGTGATTTAGAATCTTGCAGAGGGCAGGGCTTGGCCCTGGCATAGCCCAGGAACAGTGAGCTCTCTCTGCAGTCCTCTTGTATCCTGGTGCTGAATGAACTCATTTTCACTTACACCACTCTTCTGGGAATATGGGTCAAAGGCTGAATGTTTGGAACCAACAAACATTGAGTTGAGCCAGCAATGAGAGGCCTCTGCCTCATGTTGGAATGAAAGAGCAGTTTCTTTCCATCTGCACAGGTCTACTCTCTTATTGTCTTCATAACATGATCTTACTTGTGCTTTCAACTTTTTAAAATTGTGATTAAGTATTGAGTAAGGACAAAGACTACTTTAAAATATATGTAAGATGTGAAGAATAATGTTACAATACACACCCATGAACACCCCTCCCCTCCATCTAGTTTGAGAGAGACCATTACTACCACCTTGGAAGTCTTCCATGTACTCATCATGAACACTTCTCCTCATCTCAGGGGTTAATATCTATACCCAATTTTGTGTTATTATTCCCTTGTTTTTCATCATAGTCTTACCACAAATGCATGCATTTCTAAAATATACATACTGTCTATTTTGCATGTTTTTGTAGTTTATATAAATGCTGTATGTTTTCTTGTGCAATTTGCTTTTTGGGCCCCAAATTATTTTCCAGAGAGTCATTCATGTTGTTGTGTGTGGCTGTGATTAATATAGTTTTCTTTTTTTTGATGTTTAGTATTCCTACTAAATAAATATATTTGTCTGTTCTACTGTTGGCAAATATTTGGATTATTTCCAGTTTTTTGCTGTTTCAAACTCTGTTGCTATGAACTTTTTTGTACATGTTTCTGGATGCCCATGTGCAAGAGTTTCTCTAGGATATATACCGAAGAGTGCAATTATTGGATCAGGATATTTACAGCTTCAACTTTATTAGACAATGCTGAATTGTTTTACAAAGCAGTTGTATAAATTCACAGTTGTTCTGGCCATTTTCTGGTTACTGAACATTCTCTTCAACACCCGATATTAGACTTTTTCATTTGCCACTTGGATGGGTATACAATGATCTTCCCACTATGGCTTAAATTTGCATTTTTCTTATTACTAATGAAGTTAAGATCTCTTCATATCCAGATTCACCATTCAGGGTTCCTCTAATGTTAGAAACATATTAATGTCCGTTTTTCTACTCATCTTTTTCTCATTGATGTGTTAGAATTCTTAACATCGCTTTTGTACAAATCTCTTACCCAGTTTATGTGTTGCAAATATCTCTACTAGTTTATGTCTTTCCACATGATTTTTGTTGTCTTTGGGTAAACAGACATTCTTATTTCTAATGTAGAGAAATTTATTAATATTTTATTTTATGGCTAAGATTTTTTATGTGAAGTTTAGCAAATCCTTTCTTTTCTCAATAGTCATGTAGTTATTATTTTATATTACCTTCTACTTTTTCGCCTTTTATATTTAGAGATTTAATATACTTGGGATTAATTTTTTAATAAGGTATGAGGTAGAGGTCTATTTCATTTTTTAGTTTGTTTTTATTTTATTTGGCTACCTAATTGTTTTAATACCATTGATTAAAAAGCCCATGTTTCACCCACTGAACCTAGAGTGCAACCTGTGTCCTATTCCAGCCATCTATAGATGTGTGAATTTATTTCTAGGCTTTCCATTTTGTTCCATTGATGAATTGGAATATTCTAATACTCATATCACACCATCTTAATTATCATGTCTCTATCATAATTATGATAGGTCAAATCACTCACTTCATTGTTCTGCACCAGTAACTTGGCTATTTTTGGCCTTTTCAGGAAGGGTCTGAAATTTTATCCTACTTGAAAGCTATCGTTTCATGGATGATGACAGAAGACATGAGACTTCTGGATCAGAGACAAAGGACTTTATTACTCGTGTCACAGCAAGCAGTGTGAGCATGAGCATGTTTGTGTCAGTGCTCGTTGCCTATAAGTCTCATAGAAGTGATGATGTAGACCAAGATTGATGCTTGCACACACAGTGGATTGCATTACTGAGAGAAACCCTGAGCTTTGGGAACTCGAATCTTTTATAATAGCATGCTTGCTCTTTCTTCTAAAGGAAGACACTATCTCTATCTTCCAAAGCTATTTGCCATACAAAAAATCTTTGCAAAAATTAGTTAAGAACAAAGGGCAGTCAGTGCTTCTACTCACAAGATGTATAGAAGCACCAACAACTCATGGAGAACTGTCTCCCAACTGGCCCCTGATCTTCCATGTATATTCTAAATTTAGTTTGTTATGTAGTAGACACACACACACACACACACACATGCACACACACACACTATGTTGAAAATTTGTTTACAATTTGCCTTAAATCTATAGATTGCAGAAGAGCTGACATTTTTGTAATATTACATCTTCTAATTCAAGGCTATGGTGTATTTCTGCATTTATTTAGTTTACCTTAACATCTCAATAAAGTTTCCATAGAAGTCTAGCACTTCTTTTGTTGGTTATTACTTAGCAAAATGATATCTCATCTCTGCTCAAATTCCTGCAATGTCTCCCTATTTTACTCAGAGTAACACCCAAAGGGGCTCTTCATGATTTCGTTTTCCATTACCCCTCTGCCCTCATCTCCTATTACTCTCTGCTTTGCTCATTCTGCTTCAGCCACATTGATCCCCTTGCTGTACTTTTAATGTGCCAGACACGCTTCTGTCTTAGGCCTTAACACTGGCTGTTTCCTCTGCTCATAATGCTTTTCTCTCAGAAATATTGGCATGGCTAAGAACTTCATCTCCTTCCGTCTTTGTTCAAATGTCACCTTCTCGATGTGTATCCCAAATACCCTATTACAAATTGCAAACTGCCTCTTACCTCCTGACACTCTTGATTCCTCTTACTCTGCTCAGTACTTTTTTTCTTAGCATGCTAAGAAAAAATACTATGCTATTATGTTACAGTATAAATTACTATCCTACAAAATATCCTACTATTAATTAATTATATTTATCATTATTTCTGTCTCCTCTAACTAAAATGTTAGCTAAAAGAGGCAGGGATCTTTGCATTTTTATATGCTGATGGATTTCTATAGTGGAATAGTGCTATGGATGTAGCACTATTAAGGTGCTTAAGAAATATTACTAAATAGTTTTTCCTAGGTATGTCATATCTTTTGCAATTATAAGTGTATCTACAAAAAATTAAAGTTTCTATATTTGCTGCTGATGCATTAAAAATACAATTCATATTTGATTGTCATTTTGGTACTTAGAAATCTCTAAATTCTCTGACTCTCATAACTTATATAGGTTTCTTTGAGTTTTTACACAGAAAATCATGTCATCTGGGCAGAATGATGGCTTTTTTCTGCTTTCTTTCTAATCTTTATGTCTTTTTATTTATTTTTCTTGCTTTACTAACTTTCAGTACAATGTTTATAGAAATTGTGATGGCAGGCATTTTGTTTTATTTATTTTTTTAATAGGAATGATTTCATTGTTTTATATGATACTTACAGTAGATTTTTGGAAGGGATGATCTTAGTTTAAGTTTCTTCTGATTCCTAAATTTCAAAGAATTACTTCTTTTAAGTATGAATATTTGTTGCTATTGAGATACATCACAAAATTGTTGTCTTTTAATGCAGCAAATTACATTATTTCCTATGATCAAATCAACTTGGATTGCTATGAAACATCCAACTAATCATGCTATATTATCTTTTGTATACATTGCCCAACTGATTTGCAATGATTTTGTTAAGAAATTTTGCATCTATATTTATGACAGAGATCAATCTTTAATTTCACTTTTTCATACAATCCATGTCAGGTTTTGAAATCAAGTTAATAATATTCTTATGAAATGAGTTGGAAGTACTCCTGGTTTTGTTTTCCCCTTATACATTTGAATAGTTTGTATAAGCTTAGAGTAATTTGTATCTTCAATATTTGTTAGATTGCCTGTAAAAACCATCTTGGTCTGGAATTTTCTCTTGTGAAGTTTATAAACTTTTGACCCTATTCCTTTACTACTATTGTACATTTGTTTTCAATTTTATTAATTTCTGAATTGTCAATATTATTTCTTTCCTCATATGTATTTTGTATACATTATGCTTATCCCTCATTTGTAAAATTGAAGGCCTAACTCAATGTTCAGCCATTCTTCTATAAAATAAAGATTTAAGGCTACCAGTTTTTCACTACACATTGCTATAGCTACTACTCATAAGGTTTTATATGCAGTGTTTTCATTATTGCACAGTTCTAAATGTGTTTTACTTTTATTCATGAATTTTTTGTTAGCGCTTGTATTATTTAGAATTAGTATACCTGATTTCAAAACAAATGGGTAATTTGGTTTTATTTAGAGAAAAATGTTTATTTTATCCTAATTAAAATTAGGTCATAAAAATTTCTTCTTTTATGATGCCAGTCATTTGAATTTTTTTGAGATTTTATTTATGTCTCAGCAATGACCAATATTTGTAAATGTTTCTTTTCTTTTTTTTTTTTTTTGAGACAGTCTCGCTCTGTCGCCCAGGCTGGAGTGCAGTGGCGCGATCTTGGCTCACTGCAAGCTCCGCCTCCCAGGTTCACGCCACTCTCCTGCCTCAGCCTCCCAAGTAGCTGGGACTACAGGCGCCTGCCACCACACCTGGCTAATTTTTTTTTTTTTTTTGTATTTTTAATAGAGACGGGGTTTCACCGTATTAGCCAGGATGGTCTCGATCTCCTGACCTTGCGATCCACCCGCCTCGGCCTCCCAAAGTGCTGGGATTACAGATGTGAGCCACCGCGCCCGGCCGTAAATGTTTCATACATGCTTAAGAGGATATATATTCTGCAGTGTTCTACATATGTTTATTAACATAAGCTTGTTAATTGTGTTAAACATTTTTTATATCTGTAACTACTTCATTTCTAGCTTATTGAAAGATATATGTTAAAATCTTCAACTAAGATAATTAAATTGTTAAATTCTCCTCAATTCTTATAATTTTTCTTTTATGTATTTTGATAAGTATATATAATCTAGAATTTTTATATATTCCTAGTGAATTTAATTTTTTATCATGAAATAGGGGGTAGACAATTCTTCTAAGAAACATGGGATTTACCAGTTCCCAAAAGTCAGGTAGATGACATTGTATCCAGTTTATGAGTCACAGTTTTCTTTCTTTCTCACTCACAGTAGGAAAATATCTAAGGCCATGACCTTTGATGGGGTTTTGATAAGTTTTTACCTCTCATGGCTTCAGAATATTTTGGAAGTTCTACTAACCTCATAGTGCACTTCATGTGAACAGTTATGAAATAATATCAGTATGAGGAAAAATATAACAGTTTCATCCCAATAAAAACTGGTAAATATTAGCATTTTTCCAAATGGTGAGAATCAATGTCTTTAGTTTTATTTGTTAGGATTATTTGTGGCTATTTCACCTGAAGACATGAGAATGGATTAGATATTCCCCTATGGCACTGGGGATTAAAAAAAGATGTATGGGGGCAGCTTTGAAAAGTTAACAGTTTTATATTGTAATACACAATATTTAGAGTCTCTATTTTCTCTGAGACCTTTCACTTTCCTGGCCATCAGTGAATGGAAGTTGCTAACTTTGAGCCAAACAGGATCAAGGAAAATGGAATTGGGATTCAATATGAGTTATTACCTCTTGAACTGGAAAGACATGTAAACACGAGAGATGAGGCTGAAAATTTGGGTCAGCCATTCTGTGCCATGAGCACAAAAAAATCCATCCGCAATATGCGAAAAAGAGGGAAGTAAAATTTAGAGAAGAAGAGAGAAAAGGTAACGCGTGGCTTCAGGGAGAGAAGCAGACTTGGGTCTTGGTGTCAGCAGAGTTCCTGGATGTAGTTTTTTTGATAACCAGCTGCTTTTCTTGCCCTCAGATTTTTTGAGATATTCTTATATCCTTGCAATAAACCACCCTTTCTTGCTTATGTGACTCTGAGTGAATTTCTGTCCTTGCTGATCTGAAACGTTACTGTGCACAACAACTATAGAGCAGCCTTCAGAGCAGTTGGAGAGTATTGGAACCATTCCCAGGGTTGTGGTTAGTGGTGTCTGAAGCACCTGAAGGGGTTCTTTACAGGAGACAGGTCTTGAATATAGGCTAGCAGTTGAGTCTAATGCACTTCAACAACTTGCCACCACCACATTGCATTTTTGATCCTGTGCATTCCAAGTCATAAGAAATTGTAAGAAATGTGAGTATACACTGAATTCAATGCTAAATGATTTTATTGAAACTTAAAGAAATCAAACATAACTAGTAGAGAAAAATTTCAGAATGACATGGTAAAAACCACTGGAGCCCATATTTTTTCTGCACAGCATATTCAGATGACTAAATCCATAGTGGCTTTAAAAAATTGTTTAGTTCTCCACCGTGTCTCCACAGAAGGAAATGTCCACAATCCATAGTACACTGGTCGTGTAGCACGTTCCTGAGTAAAAAAACAGGCTTGCCTCTAATAAAGAGAAAAGAAGAAGCCTATATTAATGTCTATTTAAGGACTCTTTTCTTGGAGGGGATTGGGGGAGTAGGGGTTTCCAAACTAGCTATGTGCTAATGTCAAGGTTTATCTACTTGTTGTGATGAAATCAATCAATTCAGAGATCTGGAAAATTGCCATTAAGTTAGGTCCCTAGGTAGACACTTTGTTTGTGTGCAGCTGTTCTTTGAATGTCCAGAAATTAAGTGATTGTCTGAGCTATAGAAAGTTAATAGATTCTATTAGCATTCTTCTTTCATTTAGCCATTCATGCATTCTTTTGAATATGACTTGAGTCTACTCTTGATTCACACTTAAAAGGCAGTGTTCCATAATATTTAAGAGCACAGAATCCACAGCCAAAATGCTTGGAATTGACCCAGGCAAGGATTTTGTGACCTCTCTGTACCTCAGTTTCCTCATCCATAAAGTAGGATTAAAATAGAACCTATAAGATTGCTGTGAAGAACCGAGTTAACACACTTAAAGCACATAGAACAGTACCTGGCACAGAGCAAGCACTGCACAAATGTTGGCCTTGATGACCATCCCTGCATCACTGGTGCCCACTATGGACACGCGCGAGGATAGTCTGACAATCCCACCAGCACTAACTTGGGGTGCACAGTAGGGATGCTACTCACCTTGCATCTCCTCAGCCATGTATGTTGGAATCCCACGACACATGTTTGCAATGTTTTTTCCGAACTTGCTCAGGTCATCGACTTTGTTTGGGTTGACTGAGTACATCAGGCCCTTGGGAGGTGGTCCTCCTGGTCCCTTACCCTGAAGCTGAGTGTGGAAAAGAGAGGTAGAAAGGAAGAATGGGAGAGAATGAATGCCAAGCCCAGTGGTTTGTTGACTTGAGGGGTATACGAGGCCAACAGTGAGTGTTGCTCAGCTAAATTTTTCCATAATCAAGATGAAGAAGAGCCATTTCTAGCTTATTCTGTATATCTTAGCATTTCTAAGTGTCCTAAGGGATTTAGCTGGTTTGAAACCTCAGCTTCTCATAAACACAGAAGTCTGAGGCTTAATTTATTCTGCAACTTGGACCTCATTTGGTCATCATAGATTCCTTGGATTAGACTATGTAATAATCATCTTCTGAGAATGCAGTTTATTTATTTTCTCTACCTTGTCAATGAAAGGTACTCATTTATCAGTTATAGGAATATGAACTCAGGCAAATATTTTAAAACATTATGGATCTCTTCTTTCCACTCACCTGGATTAGTATGGCCAGACAAAATATACAATACCCAGTTACATTTGAATTTCAGATAAACAATGGATCTTTTTTTAGTATATCCCAAATATTGCATAGGATATATTATACTAAAAAGACCTGCTGCTTACCTAAAATTCAAACCTAACTGGATATCTTCTATTTTCATTTGCTAAATCTAATAACCCTAACTAACTCTTGCAGAAAAATGTCCTTGGCAAAGTACTGAGGCTCCTATTGGTGTGACCAGAGCTTTGCTCCTCTAACAGTCAAGGTTTCAAGTGCTTTGCTCAGCGGTTGTAGAGGTAGGTGTGAGCCACAGCATTTGATGTGGCAGAAGTTGCCTTCCCTCAGGCAATCACCAATAACTTCCCCCTTTGTGCTGCACACTACAACATACTGTAGTCAAGAGGGAATGACTGTGATCTTCTCGTTATTTACTGAAGGATGTAAAACCTCTCCCCTCACCAAAAATAAAAAGCCTTTTATTTTTACCTTCTTTTCCTTGACCAGTGCATCAAGGGATTGAATGGAGGGCATGACTTCCTTGTTCATTTTGTGCACAATGCATGTCTTCTTTTGAAAGAGTCTGGTTGCAGCAAAGCCCTGTTAAAGTAGATGGCAAATAGTGAGGCATGTGTTCTCCGAGGAGCTTTTCTTATCAGAGGTCAGTTCCACCTGCAGAGAGAAATGGGAACTCCAAGATCGTGATGAGCTGGGATAAGAGCACTGGATGGGGCACTGCTTGGCAATCATATCTATTGCTGACATTTGTGAGGACAGACTGCAATTCTGTGAGGGCAGAGACTGAGCATCTAACTGGTTTGCTTTATTTCCAGGTTCCAGCATGATAAAAACCCCTCTATATAAGTCTGTTTTACTGAAATAGACTTTAAAAGCTATCATGTTTTAGTCTCCTTTGATCCTCACATTTCAAGGAGACAGATAAGACAAAAATTATTTTTCCAATTGACCAGATAAAATTGAAACAATAAAGAGTTTGCTATTTAAAAGTATAACGTTTGTTAAATATATAGCTGATAATTCCAGAGTTGGGTCTCCTAACTAGTGCTAAGTGTTCCTTTCTTTGCTCCTCTCTTTCTTTGCTTCTCTTTTCCTTTCCTTCTCTCTTTCTTTCCTTCTCTCTTTCTCTCTTTTTTCTTTTTCTTTCTTTCTCTCTCTTTCTTTCTTTCTTTCTTTCTTTCCTTCCTTCCTTCTTTCTTTCTTTCCTTCCTTCTTTCTTTCTTCTTTCCTCTCTTACCAATTAATATTGTCATTTACATTTCCCGAGTTTTAGGTGAAATGTCAATTTCAATCTCTTTAGAAGGTCGTAAAACCTCCTTTGAAAACAAAGTGAGATAGTCTAAGCTTTGGAAGCAGTAATGTTGTATAAGTCTTTCAGCATTATTGAGGGTATCTGCAGGCAAGGCAAAAGGATGTTCATATTTGTTGTATATACCCACAATCCCTTGAACATAGTGTTTGTTGGTTTGAATTTTAACTGATCATGCAACACTTATTAACAGTAGTTATCTCTAGGGAACAAAATCGGATGAGCAAAATGGTCACCTTTACTTATAACTGTATGCTATGTGTAATTAGAATTTATTTTTAATTTCTTTATGGTTAACATGCACATTTTTTGTTAAAAAGAAATCGTATTTTTAAACAATAAAGTGAAAATTGCACGTTGACTACCTACATTTCCATAATCCCAGATGGAATTCCAGGAGTCCCATCCGTTGTTATTGTCAACATTGGCCACATTGTGTTCATTGTTGACACTCACTGACTGCTGCCCACTTCCAGCATTGTTGTTGTCATCATTGACGTTGATATTCTGAAGTTTATAAGAGATTGAGAGTGATTTAATATCACATTTCCTTGCAAATGCATTTTGGTAGCAAACTTGAAAAGGTGAGACTTACATAGTTAGCTAGGGCAGGAGCTAGAAAGACTCCAAGAAGTCCAGCAAAGACAATCTGAAATCACAAATAACATTGGTCTCCTGTTACATGGCAAAATGATGTCTTCTTTCTTCCTCTATCCAAGCTTATGAAAAGTATTCACTAATTTTACCAATGTGTTCAGTTCTAGTTCAATGTGTTTTTTTCTTCTCTTACCTTGCATTTTTTAACCATAAAGGTTTTAACGATAATGTGAAATTGCTGATTAATTATAAGTAATTATATTAATGTGATATATAGTTTTAGAATTTTTAGTGTAGGCCTTATGAAACGCTGGAAAAATTGATGAAGAAGGGAAGTTGAGAGCCAGGAAAGCTGCTTTCATCTCATTGCCATCCAGTACTGAGGAAGAAAATGTAATTTTCAAGTAGTGATAAATCAAATTATTGAATCAAATCCCTTTTAAAGTAAAACCCAGAATGTACCATCTTGTTTCTCTTCAGTTTAATAAGTGGTATCATAAAGATGACTTTGCTAAGATAATACTTCTGGAAATGTCAGAATAGAGTTTAAAAATTTTTAAGATTGGTCAAAATATTAACTTTATAATAAAACATATACTTGGCAAATGAATTTCCTATAAATTATCATTGGTCAGAATGCTGTTTTGTTGAATTATATTATGTAATATAAACCATAGGTGTTATTAGAAAGTAGAGAACTGCCTTTCTTATTTAGAGCTTTCAAGGACTTGCTATAAATGATTATTTTTAAAATGCTTTATAAATCTTCATGATTTTTCTATTTTGGATAAACTCAGCTATAGTTAATGACAGCATCCTACCTTGAGTAGATATTTGGATTATTTAAATCTAGTAAAAGAAGAAAGTTATACTTCTTCGAGTATTAAGAGATAGGAGTAAAGATTCACTTTTAAGTTATTGAAAATATGTGTATCCTCCTAAATATTAACAAAAATGATTTGGGATAACTGACATGGCTTGGTTATTCAGCTTAAATTTGTACTGTGGCTTATGTTACACAGGTTGTTGATGCTCACCTCTCACTCACTTGTTTCTAATTGTTTTATAAGGTTTAAAATTCTCTCTTTAGAGAAATTCAGAAAATTCACCTGGCACATATTTTGACCTCCTAGGTAACATATTTGTACCAGTATTGAATTTTGGTCAGTGCCCCAATATAAGAAAGTTACTGTTTTAAAATAAAGCAAACTATCTTATTTTCCTTGGAAAAAAAAAGAAGTTTTACAATAAATAGCATAGTATAAATGAATACTATGGTTTGAGATGGCTATAAGTGCTAAAAATCACATCTGAAAATGATTTCAGTTAATTTTCCTATTTAACATGGGATGTTTTCTTCCTAATAGAAATAATCTTTTTATTAAAAAAAACTTTCCAAAGCAATGGATTAGTAGGCAGTTTGGATGCCAATGATGAGAAAGCAAGTATAGAGTGTCTCGCTGGCAAGAGTGATCAGCAGAGGCGATGTCACTAGCAGTGTCCCAGGATACTTGGTTTAATTATTTATCACAGGGTCCCTGACATTGGTTTTCAGAGCACAGAGCTTTATGCAGGGTGCCTCATTCTGGGTACCTAGTCTCATTTCCTTTGCCTGGGACAAAATAGTTTTGAGAACTGCTCTAGAGATTCAAGGTAACTTTTGAAAAAAAATTAAATTTTTCTCCCAATAGCTTAAAAAGGAGTTAAAAATTAGTCTCCTAAAAAGTCAGAGGTAGAAGAAATTTTAGAGAACACCTAGTACAATGCAATCATTTTACAGATAAGGTAACTGAGCTTCAGGGGTTAAGTGAGTTGGCCAAACTTATACCTCTTGTTCACAGCAGAACTAGGAGAGAAATCAAATCTAACCTGTGTCTGGAGCTCCCTCTGACCCTTTTAAACTTTGCTGCTATTAAGAGGACCTAGTTCTAGGTAGTCATTTTACATTTGCAGCCCCATTATAAAGTAGAGTCTGCCGTAACGTTTTCCAGTGTGTAGTATGTTGAAACATGAAAATAGTCATCTGATTCTAGCCCCTTTGCATCGTGTTGTGAGAAACCCGGCACTACTAGTTACTTTGGCAGGGTTTCTCGGTCCACCTCCTCCTAGACTCTCAGGCTTCTGTCTGGAACCACAGGAGAGATGCTGTGGTAGCTTCATGTTTCAGATGCTTTCTTAAATAAATGGCCATGCTAGAGCCCAAGGCAAATCTTTCTTTCTTGGAGACCCATTTTACTGTAACAAATGTGACAAGAAGTCTATCTCAGCCACTTATTTTGATAATAAGCTTTTCATCTTTCCTGAACATGCTCAGGAATTTTGGTAAATAAAAGGAGGAATTCAAGAATGAGGGATGATCGGCACTTTCTAGGGCTTAGGAACTGCTTACCCTGCATGGAGACCGGAATCAGGTGATGCGGAAAGTCATTTTGTTAAAAATAGGTCAGTGTGAGGTGCTCAGACAGCTGTCTAATCTCAGCACAATTATCCTTCTCTATAGAGATGCTTATAAATGCCATGATTATATAAATAGAAAAAAGATTTTTTTTCATTATTTCTTCTTCTAAAAAAAAGGGATACATGTGCAGAACGTGCAGGTTTGTTACATAGGTATATGTGTGCCATGGTGGTTTGCTGCCCCTATTGACCTGTCCTCTAAGTTCCCTCCCCTCACTCTCCACCCCCCAACAGGACCTAGTGTGTGTTGTTCCCCTCTCTGTGTCCATGTGTTTGAAGAGAGAATTTTTTTAAAACAAATTTTCCATGATGGGGCCATAAGAAGCAGACCTCCTAAATCTCAGAATATTGACAGTCTCCAATCATTTGGTGGTAAATTCAAAAGGAAAAATCTACTCACTGTGAACTTCATCTTGTCTTCACGAAAGCAGTGGACAGAGGAGTAGGCAAGCATGGACCTGAATGAGAAGCCTTCTCATATTTGTACTTAACCAGGTTGACTCAAACTAGGTGTTATCAGGTGGGGTCAAAGACTTACCTTCCTCAATTTCTCCTATCTGTGCCATGAGCCAGTGTACCAGGAAACCTTTCAGAATATCTGCATGCTTAGCAAGGAACTTTCACATGGAGTTGACCTGACTCATCACTTGTTGAAGCTGAAGGTATCACAACAAACTCAATATGATTTATGATAACTTCTCACCCAGTCAAAGCTGTGGGCGTGAGTATTTTACACGCTAACATTGCTCAGATTCAGAAAAAGAATAATCCCTAAAATCAAACAAAATCACAGCTGAAAAGCCACGTGTATACTAGGCCTTCCAGATAGCAGCTCCTATAGGAATGTAGGAATGGTTTCCACTTCTTAACTTTTATCTGAGCCCATGGCAATGGTTTTGCTTAGACTAAACATGTTTTGTGAGCAACTCCCACCAAACCTACCCCTTTTCTGCAATGTTGAGCTCACTTAATGATAGCACCATATATCTGGTACAGCCCTTTCTTCTCAGTCTGACATCTACTTAGTTACTGTCATTTTATCTCTGAAATGCCTCTCAACTCTGACCTTGCCCACAGCTCCCCTCACCTGGACTTTCACAACAGTCATGCAATTGATCACTCTGGTCACCAGTTTCTTATATTCCAATGCATTTTCTTCATTAACCCTGAGGTTGTCTTTCTGAAGTGCATAGATAGACATGACTCTATCACGCTTGGAAATTTCGCTGGCAGCCTACAGAAAATTCAAAGTCATTGGAATGGCATCCAGGGTCCTATGTAATAAGATTTCCAAAGGCTTCCCGTCTGCCACTTTATGCTATGTACCTACATTCTAGCTCCACCAGCGTTCCCACCATTCCTGGAAAAGTCAAGATGTGTATGTCTCCATGCCTTTGTACATGCTGTTGTTTTATCTTGGAGGGCCACCCGCTAGCCTCTCGCTTGGTAGACTCCTGTTCATTGTTCAAGGCTCAGCTCAAATATCACTGCCTCCATCACATCTCCCCCATCTGATAGATAGAACTTTCCTAGTGTTTGTTTTTTCCTTCTGGGAACTATAAAAGCAATATCTTTTTATTTGCTTCTAGATAATTTAGTTTTCAGAAGTTACATTAAAATAATAAAAAATATTTTCATCAAAAGCAGAGAGTAGAAACTATCAATTGGGCAGACAAGTAAAAGCTCAAAACAGGTTTGGAGGTGAGTTGGTTTTAATTTTTTTCCTGCTTTTTCCTATACAGTGAAGCTAGTAAATTAAATTTGCCAAGGAGGAAAACTGTATTTCATTAACTACCAATCTATAAATTTTCCCTTTGGAAACTTCGTGCCCACAATTTTCCTCCTGTGCATGGATTGAAACCATAAGATGGGATCACATGGTTATAAAGCTTGATTCGCTATCAACATCTCTTCAAAACTGTTGGTAGGAGTGGATTAGAACAGCTGCAGTATTACTGGATATTTTTTAATGTGTCCACTGATTTCTTTCAAACTCACTCTTTATCCACAGAAGGTAATAAGCCTGGAGTAAGGGGCAGACATGTGTGAAGAGGCCTTCATCTGCTTTAGGAAACTTCATGTCACTGAGAAGTCAATGAGTGGGTAGCATGGTCTCTACGTTTAAACTCAGCCACCAGTAGTCATCTTGGTACACAGGTGCAGTGCCCAGCACACATTTTGCATGTCATACCAAGGACAAGGGCCTGAAGTTCTGCAGTGGACCTGTGAAATGCTGGTCTGGAAGATGTTCCATGACAGACAGACAGACAGATAGATAGATAGATAGATAGATAGATAGATAGATAGATACATACATACATACATACATACATACATACACACGTATACACACATAGATACACACACATACATAGATACATAGGTAGAGTTCCGGGTCCAATAATCCCCCCTTTAGAGACTGACAATTCACATTCACACATCAAATGGGCTAAGAAATTTATAGGGGAAAAATCTCTGTTTCATCCAGGTTCTTCTCATCTTAGTTGACTACAGAACCTGATCGTTTTCCCTTTTTCTTTTATTTATTTGTCCTAACATCTCATAACAACTCTGGGGACCCCTGCCTTAGTGAAAAAATTGTGCCACCTCTGAGGATGCACCCTGGATTTGAAAACCCATTTGGGGAGCTACTGGATGAAGCTGGGAGCCAGGAGACCTAGATTCTATTTTCCCATCTTTCAATGAGTCATTTATTTTTTTGGTTTAGGCCTTAGGTTTCTTGTGGGTAAAAGAGAAGAAATTCCTCCTTTATACAATATTTGTTACTTCAATGGCTCTACAACCAGAAAAACTTCTTTTTCTGTACTTTGTGTGGTGTGGGAGGTTGGGGGAGAGGGAGTGTGGGGGTCAAGGTGGGGGTCAACCCTCACCTCAATCCTGGTCTCATCCAAGGCCAAAAGTCCTAATGAAGCATGAGCAAGACTTTTGCCCTGAGAACTGTGTTTTATGTTTCATTCTTCCCTTGAAGAAGAATGTCTTCCCAGGAAGACAGAACATACCAATGTTTTTGGTCACCTCCATAGAATCTAAAATATGCAGACACATATATGGTGCTCAGTAGGCCCCTTGTAAAAATTTTACTTGCGTAAAGGAGATGTTAAGCTACAGGATAAAAAGTGCGTTATATTTAGTCATTTCTGGTTTTGGTGCCAGCCTGAGAGGGGCTGCCCTACACTGGCTGTGATGACACATTGAGGGAGTCTCAGTTGATGGTGTGACCTCTGTGGCTTGGGGTTAGTGTGGAACAAATCAGCCCATGGGTAAATAGAGCCTGCCCTGCCTACAGAGATTGATGCTGGGCCATGCCAAGAAACAAGCCCCTATCGTCATTTTATCTCACAATGCACACACACCCAAGGCTTCATTCTACTCCACACCCTGTGTTGTGCTCAGTGGAAACTCCCTCCGTGTGGAGCAGACGGGATGCATCCCATGTGCAATATGCTCCTGTGTGCAACTGGAGGGAGGCCTGCAAAGGACTAAACTGCTCATTTAAAGATGTCAATCAGATCCCAAATGGTTGGAACCAAAGTGCTTTCCCACAGAAATCAGACTTTTCACATTCCTTCTTGTTCTCTGAGTGGAAGGGAATGTTTGCCTATAGGGTACATTTTAATCATTAAATATTCTCATTCAAGATTCCGTCTCTGCACAGACCTGTTAATGGGCTGACCTAGAGGTTATTAATACCTATGAAGCCCTTAGTAACCTTGGCTTCCTTTTCATTCTTGCTCTCCATTTTCTGATAGTTAGGACTCAACTGGCCTTAGTCCATTTGCCTGCAAATGATAATTTATTTGTTTGAGTGTGGAAGTCCCTTCATGCAGACTCTATTTCAGTCTCCTTGCCTTTACTTTTGTCTTTCTGAGCAAACTGCACACCAGTCTGATGGTCCTTTTGATGGTCCCCAGTCAAGTGGTTCATTATGAGGTCTGAATACACTTCGCTGTGGAGAAATTTCTGCCCCTCTCTGGTCTTGATTTCCCAGCCTGTAGCTAAGACTCTCATGATGGTTCCGGTGACTACAGCCTTGGTGCTTGCAGCAGTGACACACCCTTATCAAAGCCTCCATATGTACTTATGGCTAGGAATGACACGTCTAAAAAATAGCGATAGAAACATGTAAAATAACGTTTTAATAGTTATTGCTAGAGGAGCTTCAAGTTCCAGAAAATCCAAACTTAATACATAATTATTTTTATATAGGGGAGAAATTCTTTTCGAGTTACAGCAGAGTGGAGGGAGCACTTTGCATTACTGAGCAGATATTTTTGTTGTTTCCTCTGGGACCGTTGCCTTCCAAAATACATATAACTCTGGCTTTCTCTGGCTGTTTGTATGTCTGTTCAATTGCGTTTGCCAAAACTTCTGGATCCCCTCAGAGGCAGGCAGTGATATATTATGCCTAAGATTAGTTGTTACCTTGAGTGATAGAGTAATATAAATGGGGTTTGGAAAAATCTTGCAAAAAGAAGATCTCCTGAGTAATTGCATCATGTGTATGAAATATATGAAAGTAGAGGTAAAGACAACGCTGACCAATAACTTCATGTTTATCATCGTGAAGGACAATCAAGCCTGGTTAAACAATTCGTTCTGAAAAAGATTTAAAGAAAGTATGCCCATATGAGGAATAGAAATCATAAAGTGATAGCAACATGTTGCTTTATAATTATGTCCTGGCTAATCCAGAAATAATAACACTATACTTTGTTCAGTGTTCAAATTGAAGCGGTTTAGAGATAATGTTGTAAAAGCACTCATACTGATGGTGTGTTAATTAAATAACAGCAGTCAGGCTGGGAAATGACTAAACTGCTTATTAAAAGATGAGAATAAGATCCCAAATGGTTGGAACCAAAGTGCTAGCGCTGGCAGAGCGGTGCCTAGAGCCAGGGCCTTGCGAGGACCCCAGGCCACCACACCATGGCTTCCCTGGCAGAAGAGGCCAAAGTAAAGGACTTGCCCTAAGGCCAGTGAACAATGAAGCACAGTTTTGTAAATCATCGAGTTTTCTGTAGGGTGACCGGTCAGAATTGGTTTCCTTTTCTATGTCTTACATAGAACACAATACACACATATGCAATCTTTTCACTTCTGAAAGAACACATCTTCAGATGGTGACATTGGATCCTCAAGGGTGCCTCAGAGAATTTTGAGTTTCCATGTTTATTCAATTATGCTCTCTCCCTACCTACATTCCTAGTCTGTAATTCCTGGAAATGCTTAATAAAACGTATCCATCAGGATTCATTCTGGAGTGTGCTTTTCCTTCAGAGGTCCCACTGGATTTGAATAAAAACCTCTCATCCATGCCAGGAAAGTTCTATCATTTGCTTGCTCAGAAATGGGTCACTGGGCCTACAACCCCCTACTCATTTTCTCTTATTGAAAAATAGCCCATTAATAGCAATGCATCATGCTGCAGCTAATGCCATGCCCCAATTAAGCACAAGTGCTACAGAAGATTTAAAGATGTAAAACAAACAATGCTCACACTCCAAGATCCTGAAATCTATACGAGAGGCAGGGCTGGCTTTATAGATGTGTGACTAGTGCAGTCGCAGAGGGCCCACACTTGGGTTTAGTGCTTTGCAGTTGCCACCTTGAAAATCCTAATACTTTTATTTTTGAATTTTTGTTTTCTAAGTGGAGTGAATGGGACAACGGAGCATTTCGTTCATCCTTTGCATTCTTCCTGCTTGGAGCTTTGGTTCACACGTAGTCCTGCTATGCCCACCTCCCTGGATGGGCTCTTGATCACCACTCCTCTACTTCTCTCTACTGGTAGTACACAGCTAGAGGTACAGGAAGAGTTAAGGTCAGACACATATACCCAGATGCTGAGTTGCAGGGGCCACTTATGTTGCAAAAATCCCTATGCCCAAGGGAGTGTGTGACAATAAATAGCAAATCAAAAACACCATCACAAGTTGAGAGACAGAGATAACCTATGGATGAAAGGAAAAAGCTTTTTTTCCCTGCTATCTGAACAAGGAGTCCCACATTTTCATTTTGCATTGGGCATTGCAAATTGCATAGCTAGTCCTGATGGGAGGCAAGACACGCACATAGTATAGACACACCAAAGCAAGATGAGAGGAGGGTGAGGTTCTGAGAGGCTTTGACCTGTCCAAGGTCACATGGCAGGTAAGAATGGAGTGATTGAATTCACATAACCCTGGAGCCTGTGCTCTTGCCTTTATGCCAAATAAGCAGTAGAGACAGACATTCAAAAGAATGTGCTATCTCTCAGCTGGAGTGGTTACAGAGGCTTCATGCAGCATATGGGCTTTTGCTGAGTCCTGTGGGATAGACTGACAAAGACAAAGAGAGAGAGAGGGTCAGGCCACTCCAGCCTAGAGGAGCAGCAGAGCCAGGTGGTGTGAACTGGAGGTTCAGTAGTTGTGAGGAGACTGTTTTATGGCATTCTTAACACGCTCAGATTTGCTTTTAGGGTTGCTAAATATCTCATTTAATCACAGTAGATAGAGAAGAATTGACTCAGGATTATCTAACTTATCAAAAACCTACAATTTACTACACACTGAGATCAAGATATTACAGGGATTTAATCTTCACCAACTGACACTTGAAACTTCCCTTTCTCTTTGGCCCAGTACTTCCCTGCATGTCTGAAGGTTCTTTTCTCTTTTCCACACCCACACTTTTCAACAGCCTTGAGCTCCTCCCAGTAAATTAATATTTTAGGTAGTGGCCATGGGTGTTTCCCTAAAAACGTAGTCACTTAACTTTTTCATAATTGACACACCTTTCAATTTGATTTAGCTTTTTCATAAAGGACCATCAAGCACATATAAAGGAAAGTATATAAATAAGTATATACCTTTTAGAAATGTAAATACACTTTATTATTTAGAATTTCATGACTTACCTTGAAATAGAATGTGTATGGAGATGATATATGATGGAATCGCTGGATATCTATTAGGCTGTGATTTTCCTTCCTTCTTTCCTTCCTTCCTTCCTTCCTTCCTTCCTTCCTTCCTTCCTTCCTTCCTTCCTCTTTCTCTCTTTCTCTCTGTCTTTCGACAGAGTTTCACTCTTGTTGCCTAGGCTGGAGTGCAATGGCGCGATCTCGGCTTACTGCAACCTCTGCTTCCCGGGTTTAAGCGATTCTCCTGCCTCAGCCTCCTGAGTAGCTGGGATAACAGGTGCCCACCGCAATGCCTGGCTAATTTTTTTGTATTTTTAGTAGAGACAGGATTTCACCATGTTGGCCAGGCTGGTCTCGAAATCCTGACCTCAGATGATCCACCCACCTTGGCCTCTCAGAGTGCTGGGCTGTGTAGTTTCCTGAGACAGAAACTGTTTTTCTGTCTCAAGAAACTCACACTACTTGTGTCCAGCACACTTCCTGCCCTCAAATGAAATTCTGATACAAAAAAGGTTGTACTAATGTTTGTCACTTTTCTCAAATCTGGAAGAGGCCAATTTCCCAGAAAACCCCTTTCTCTCTTCTTGGGTGGGAGCCAATATAGAAAAGAATTTAAACTTAAAACTGATTCCTCTTGGACCTATCATAGCATCAGTGGAGCTCAGCTTTTGTGACTTATCGCCAGCTTCTTCCCTCTTCCCTTCAGTGGCTGTTCAAATCCTTGCCAGATTATCCAAGTCCTCTCTATCACTCCGATCTTCAACCTAACAGCCTATTGCATGGAGAAACTCAAAGGTATCAGGCTTCTTGAACTGTCATCCCTCCATCTTCCATCTTTGTCTTCACCCAAACTTCATTCCCTCTCATCTTGGAGGAATATGTTCTTAATACATCATTTCTAAGACCAACAGTTCTATCTCTGATTTTCATCTTTCTCCATCAAATAGCTGTCCTTTTTCTCAAACTTCAGTCTCTTCCTTTTTGATTTGCTCCCTCTTTTTGATTTGTATGGCCAAATTTTCTCAGTAGTAACAAAATAAAACAAAACATAAAAACTTTCCCTTAAGTCTACTTTCCTCACAAATGGAGACCTTATATCTTCCCTCCTCTTTACATCCCTTAAAAGAATCACATACATTTTCTGATCCTATTTCCCCGCCTACCATCATGGCTCAACCCACGGCAATTGGGCTCCAGTATTGGTGACACAAAAGTGAGGAAGACAAAGAGCCTAACTTCAAAATTGCTGAAATGCCGCTATTTTTTCAGTACTTATCTAACTTCTTTGTACTTTTCGATCCTGCAATTCCTTTATTTTAAAAAATTATCTCCTTTCTTTACTTCTGTGACATTGCTTTCTCCCATTTGCACTTCAACTGCTCCTTCTACCATCTCAACATTTGCTTTCTTCTCTTTCATCTTTCCCTTCAATGTTGGCATTGGAGTCCATCCTTGGTCTTTTTTTCATCCTTCGCATTCTTCCTGTGTGACCTCCTCTATTCTAAATACTTGAGCCACCCATACGAGATGGAAAAACAGGTCCAACCCTACTGAGCTTCAGGCTTTAGTTTGTTGCATACATTAGATGTATTTAATAATCATATTTCAAAATCAGATAGACTCCAAACCAAATTATTTTCGTTACTTCTCAAACATGCTGTTTTTCTGTTATTTCTATTTATTTTAATGGCACTTTAATCTCTGAATCAATCAAAATAGATAGCTCAGCTACTGTCAAATTGATTAACAATGGATAACTATAGCCTTTAAATTCTATCTTTTAAATATCTATTTTAAAAAACCATCTAAAACTCTTTTCTGAGCATAAAAGTAACTCATAAGAAATTATGGAAAACAAAAATAATCAAAGAATAATTGACACATATCATTCTACTACGCAGAAATAATCACTGTTAACTTTTTATCATATTTTAACAAAACTTATCTTGTGACTTCTTTGATTCATTTATTATTAAAAACGTGCTGTTCAGTCTTCAAATTTGGGGGGATTTTTCAATTATCTTCCTGTTATTGATTTGTAATGTAAATTCATCATGATCTGAGAACGCACTTTGTATGATTTATATTCTTTTAAATTTGTTAATGTGGGTTTTGTGGCCTAGCATGTGGTCTATCTCGGTAAGTGTTCCATGGAAGCTTGAGAAAAATGTATATTCTGCTGTTATTCAATGAAGTATTCTATAAATGTTGATTAGATACAATTTATTGATGATACTGTTTAGTTTAACAATACCCTTACTGCTTTTCTGCCTACTTGATTTATTAGTGCTTGGAAGAGGGGTATTGAAGTCTCCAGCTATAACAGTGGTTTGTCTATTTCTCTTTGCAGTTTTATCAGTTTTTAAAAAATAGACTTTAATTTTTAGAGCCATTTTAGGTTTATAGCAAAATTGATTGGAAGGTACAAAGATTTTCCAGCTCTATTAGTTTTCATCTCACATATTTTGATGCTCTGGTGTTAGGTGCATACCCGTTAAGGATTGTTATATCTTCTGGGAGAACTAAATCCTTTATAATTATGTGATGCCTCTCTTTATCCCTGATAATTTTCTTTATTTTGAAGTTCACTTTGTCTAAAATTAATACAGGTGCTTCAGTTTTCTTTCGATTAGTGTTAGATGGTGTATTTTCTCCACTCATTTACTTTTAACCTCTCTGTGTCTTTATATTTAAAGTGAATTTCTTATAGACAACATATAGTTCGGTGTTATTTTTTATTTTATTATTATTATTTTTGAGATGGAGTTTTGCTCTTGTTGCCCAAGCTGGAGTGCAATGGCACGATCTTGGCTCACTGCAACCTCTGCCTCCTGGTTACAGGCATGTGCCACCATGCCCAGCTAATTTTGTATTTTTTGTATTTTTAGTAGAGACAGGGTTTCTCCATGTTGGTGAGGCTGGTGCCGAACTCCTGACCTCAGGTGATCCACCCGTCTCGGCCTCCCAAAGTACTGGGATTACAGGCATGAGCCAGATTAACTCTGTCACTTTCTATCTTTTACTTGGTGTATTTAGATCACTCACATCTAAAGTGATTCTTGATACAGTTGGATTAATATCTATCATGGCTGTAACTTCTCTGTTCATTCCATTTGTTTTTTGTTTCTGTTTTTCTTCCTCTCTTTTTTGCCTTCTCTGGTTTTAGCTAAGGATTTTATATGATTCCATTTTCTCTCCTCAATTATACCTTTTAAGAAGTTTCTTAGTGATTGCTGATTTTGCAATGTGCATTCACAACTAATCTAGATCTACTTTCAAACATCACTCTACTGCTTCATGGGTAGTACAGGTACCTTTTAACAGAGTACTTCCAATTCCTCCCTCTTATCCTTTATAACATGCTGCCATTCATTTTACTTATTCATATGCTATAACCTCAAAATACAGTTAATGTTATTACTTTGAATAAATATTGATCAATTAAGAATAATAAAAATGAAAGATTTTATTTTACCTTCATGTATTTCTCCTCTGATGCTTTTTTTTTCTTTATGCAGATCTGAGTTTCTTACCTATATCCTTTTCCTTCTGCCTAAAAAACTTCTTTTGATATTTCCTTAGAGGGCTGGTTTGCTGATGATAAATTTCTTCACATTTTGCTTGTCTAAGAAAGTCTTTGTTTCTCCTTCATTTTTTTAAGGATAATTTTTGCTGAATGTAAATTTTGCTGACTCAATCAGTGATTTTTTTCTTTTACCACTTTAAATATCTCACTCTAATGTCTCTGTGCTTGCATGATTTCTGAGAGACATCCACTGTAATTTTATCCTTTTTCCTTTATTGGTATGGTGTTTTTTTGTTTTGTTTTGTTTTGTTTTTGTTTTTGTTTTTTTCCTGGCATCTTTCAAGATTCCTTTTTTGTCTTTGGGTTTTTTTTCCAGTTTGAATATGATATGCCCAGGTGTAGATTTTTTTGGTATTTATTCTGCTTAGTTTCATTAAACTTCCTGGATCTGTGGTTTGGTGTCTGTCATTGTATTTGGAATGTTCTTGGCTATTATTAGTTCAATGGTTTCTTCTGCTCCTTTTTCTCTTTATTTCCGTTCTGCTATTTCAGTTATATATATTGTACACCTTTACAAAATGTCCCATAATTCTTAAATAACTGTTCATTTTTAAAATTTTTTCTTCTCTTTGTATTTCAATTTGAGAAGTTTCTATTGGCATACCTTCCAGTTCACTTATTCTTTCATCCTCCATGTCCAATCTATCAATGAACTCATCAAAGGCATTGTTCATTTCTGTTCCAGTGTTTTTGATTTCTGTTTTTTCCTTTGATTCTTTCTTAGAGTTGCCATCTCTCTGCTTACATTACCCATGTCCTCTTGCATGTTGTCTACTTTTTCCGTTAGTGCTCTTAGCATTGTAGTCATAGTTATTTTAAATTCCCTATTTTATAATTTCAACATCCTGCCATATATGAGTCTGGTTCTGTTGCTTGCTTTGTCTCTTCAGACAGTTTTTAATTTTTTTTGGCTTTTAGCATGACCTGTAATTTTTTATTGAAAGTTGGATATGACCTATCGGGTGATAGAAACTGAAGTGAATAGGCATTTTGCATGAGGTTTTATGTTAGTCTTGCTAGGAGTTGGATTGTGCTTACCGTTGTGTATAGGTGACAAGAGCGTCACTCAGCATAATGCACTGAGATTCGTATGTGTCATGGCACATTTTAAAAATTGAGTTATTCCTTTTTTATTGTTAAGTAGTATCCTAATATATAAATGTACCACAGTTCATTTGAAAGGCATTCGTGTTGTTTCCAGTTTTGGGTAATTACAGGGAAAGCCACTGCAAATATTCATGTACAGGCTCTAATGGGCCCATATATTTTCATTTCTCTTTGGTAAATACCTAGAAGTGGGATCGCTGGGTCATATGATAATTATATTTAATTTTATGATGAATTACCAAATTGTTTTCCAAAGTGGTTTACCATCTTGCATCCCCACCAGCAATGCATGATTATTCTAGTTGCTCTGCTCTTTGACAATGCTTGGACTTTTCAATTTTGTTTTGTTTTGTTTGCTTATTTGTTGTTTTAGTCATTCTAATTGGTGTATAGTGGCATCACATCATGGTTTTAGTTTGCATTTCCCTAATTACCAGTGATGCTGAGCATCTTTTTACACACCTATTTGCCATCTGTATATCTTCTTTGGTAAACCATCTTTTCAAATCTTTGGCCTGTTTTTAAAATTGGAATGTATGTTTTCTTGTTATTGAATTTGGGAGTTACATATATATTCTAGATATAAATTCTTCATCAGATGTACATATCAGATATGTATTTTACAAGTATTTTTTTCCCAGTTTGCCTCTTATTTTTATATTTTTGACTGTCTTTGGAAGAGCAAAAGTTTTTACTTTACTGAGCTCCAATTTATTAATTTTCTATTTGTGAATTTTTAAGGATGATATTAACTCAAGGTATTTCATAGGTGTTCTTTCTTAGAGTGAGGACATTCCTTTCTACTTCTAGTTTTCTGAGAGTTATTATCACGAGCGTATGTTGAATTTTGTCAAATGATTTGCTGCACCTATCAAGACGAACACATGGTTTTTCATTTTAATATACAATATATTAGATTATAGTAAGTCCTCACTTAACATCGTGAATAGGTTCTTGGAAACTGCAACTTTAAGTGAAATGATGTATAAAAAAATCAGGCTGGGCACGGTGGCTCATGCCTGTAGTCCCAGCACTTTGAGAGGCTGAGGCAGGGGGATCACAAGGTCAGGAGAACGAGACCATCCTGGCTAACATGGTGAAACCCCGTCTCTACTAAAAATACAAAAAATTAGCCGGGCGTGGTGGCACTTGCCTGTAGTCCCAGCTACTCAGGAGGCTGAGGCAGGAGAACTGCCTGAACCCAGGAGGTGGAGGTTGCAGTGAGCCAAGATCGTGCCATTGCACTCCAGCCTGGGCAACAAGAGCGTAACTTCATCTCAAAAAAAAAAAAAATCAATTTTACTATAGGATAATTGATATAAATGAGAGTTAAGTTCCTGAGGCCTATTTCTGGTCATAAAAACATCATCAAACTTCTAAATAAAGACCCAAACATTTTTTATATTAAACATTGAAATAAATATGAGCTATACATACATTTAAGAAACATTCATAAAAACAAGTAAGATAATTGTTTTCCCAGGTTCTGGTGCATCAGCAAGTGAAGCTGGTGTAGTAGTAGTGGGTTAAATCAAGGAAGAGATTTTGCTAAGAGAAAATTTATATAGAGTGCTTCTTGCCACCATACAGTATAAAACAAACAATAGCAAATATAGTGGGATCACTGAGCACTGTTTATTGATATGCATTTATATGACTGGCATATACTTTATGAGTTTTTATTTGACAAACATTTGTATTCATTCCTTCATTTTCCAGCTGCTATTCTGGTTCAGGGTGGTAGGCATCTGGAGCCTATCCCAGAAGCTCAGAGCATAAGGTAGGAACCCACCCTGGACAGGATGTCATCCCATTGCAGGGCACACTCACGCACACACTCACCCTCACTCATGTTGGGACCATGTAGACATGCCTATTCACTGAATGGGCACATGTCTGGGATGTGGGAGGAAACTGGAGTGCCTGGAAAAAACCCACACAGGCATGGGGAGGACACGCAAACTCCACACAGACAGTGAGTGACCTTGGCTGGAAATCGATTTTTTTCTCATCAGCATTATAACGAAACACTTTGAACTAAACAGTGTTATTTGATAACCTGCTGTGTATTGATTGATTTTCAAATGTTAAACAAACCTTACAGTCCCAGGAAAAACTTCACTTATGTATTATTATTATTATTTTTATATACTGCTGTATTGAATATACTAATATTTTTTATTTTTTTCAGGAGGAATACTGATCTGTAATTTCTTTTTTTATATTATTTTTGTCTATTTTTGGTGTCAAAGTAATATTGGTCTCATAGAATGAGTTGGGAAGTATGCTCTCCTCTTGTATTTTCCAGAATAATTCGTATAGAATTCAGATTATTTCTTCCTTAAATGTTTGGTAGAGTTCACCTGTGAAGTCACCTGGGCCTGGAGCTTCCTCTGTGGAAAGGTTTCTAACTACAAATTCAATTTCTTTCATTGATATAGGGCCATTCGGGTTATTTATTTCTTCTTGAGTCATCTTTGGTGTTTGTGTCTTGCAAGAAGTTTTCCATTTCTTCTAAGTTGTTGAATTTGTGGATATAAAATTGTTTGTAATATTTCCTCGTTATTCTTTTAACAGGTATAAGATCAGTATTGATGTCTCCTTTTTAATATTGATATGAATAGTGTACGTCTTCTTTTTTTTTTTTTGTTCTTGAACAGTCTGGTGAGAGATTTATCAATTTGATTGATTATTTAAATAAGCCATTGGTGTTTTTCATTGATTTACTTTTGTTTTTCTATTTTCAATTTCATTGATTCCTGCTCTTATCTTTATTACTTCTTGCTTTGTGCTTGATTTAGGTTTAATTTGATATTTATTTTCAAATTTAAGGTAGATGCCTCGATAATTTATTTAAGATCTTTCCTTTTTCTAATATAAGTATTTAATGCTATAAATTTCTCTGTAAGTACTGCTTAAGCTGCATCTCATAAATATTCATATATTGTATTTTCACTTCCATTGAATTAAAAATATTTTTTAAATTTCCCTGTGACTTCCTGTTTAGTCTATGCCTTATTCAGAAGTGATTACAAAACAATAATTAGGGATTTTTTGGATGTCATAGTTCCATTTTAATTTAATACTGCTGTTTAAATGTATAATTCCCTAATAATTTATGAGGTTTGGTATGTTTTACTTATAATAAATATTGATAATATTATTAGATAAATTTATTGAGAGCTTACTCTATGCGAGCAATTATTCTAAATATTTTATATATGTGAACTTTTCAATGTTTATAATGATGATTTGAGGAGGTATTTTGTTATTCTTTCTTTCCAAATGAGGTTACTGAGGCACACAGTGAGAGATAGGGAACATGGAATTCAAATTGGAATTCAAATCCAGGTAGGATGTTTCTGAGGCCTCAACTCTTTACCACCTCCTGTGATTGCTCCTCTCCTTCGAATCAGGTCATTTGCCCATTAGAAAAAAAAAAAAAAAACAACCCTGGCCAGGCACGGCGGCTCAGACCTGCAATCCTAGCACTTTGGGAGGCCGAGGTGGGTGGATTACCTGAGGTCAGGAGTTAGAGACCAGCCAGGCTAACACGGTAAAACCCCATCTCTACTAAAAATACAAAAATTAGGCGGGCGTGGTGGTGCGTGCCCGTAGTCCCAGCAACTCAGGAGGCTGAGTCAGGAGAATTGCTTCAACCCGGGAGGTAGAGGTTGTGGTGAGCTGAGATCTTGCCACTGCACTCCAACCTGGGCAACAGAGCAAGACTCTGTCTCAAAAGAAAAAAGAATCCTATGTGTCAACTATTTTCTTGTGGATTTATTAAAACTATTGGTAAGTTGAAGATACCCTACTCGTTGTCTCCCTCATACATTAGAAGTATTTTAATTCATTACCATGTCATTTTCTGCCATACCCAAAGCAAGGGCTCAAAAACTACTATTGGGGAGAAAAAGACTCTGCTTTAAATAGCCTTGGGATGAGGGTTTAGTTATTTGGGAAAAGCTGATGTATAATAGATCCGACCATAAACAAAAATTAATTCCAAATTAATTTTAAAAATAAATGTAAACAATATATATGATATGAAATAATCCATAAAAAACTGGAAGAAAATATACGTAAACTTTAATCTGATTTTGGCAATGCAAAGGATTTTCTAAGCCTAAAAATATTGAAATAAATCATATGAAAAAGGCATACAAGCCTAACTGCATGAAATGCAAAAGATCATTAATTGCTTTTTTTAAAAGCAAAATTTAAAAGCAGGTGTGACTTCTCCATGTTGTCAGTCTGAACCTCCATCTGCCAGCTGAGTAATGCCAGGAAAAACATGAAGCCATGTGGGAAGATGGTGGCCACATAAGAAGGAAGCTAGAATCCACAAATCATTCCTTGGAGGAGAGTTACCCACCATGAGCATCATCTGCTTTGAACTATATGTGAGTGAGAAATAGAAGTTTATTTTGTGAAAGCACTGAGATTTAGGCATTGCTTGTTGGAGTAGTTAGTGCCAATATTCTGACTAATGAAAGTCACTGTGATAGGGACACTGTGCAGTAATAAGAATGTGCAATAGAGCTTGGGCTGATGGATTGGAAAAAAGACATAAATGAGAGAGGCATTACAGAGGAAAACTGGCAGAAGAATCAAGGAAGACTTCAAGGGTAGCCCAAAGACCTAGATAAATTGTCAACAGAAATAACAATGTTCAGAAAAAAGAACAGCTTTGGGAAAGGAGTGCAACAATTTTTATTTTAGACATGGTGAGCTTGAGATAGTATATGCTGCCTGGAAAATAAGAAAAGAGTTGCAGAAGGAGAGAGCGAGAGAGAGAGAGAGCGAGATCATGAGTGTGCTTCAGAGAAATATTGTAAAAATAGAGGATTTAAGTTTTGTAAGTTAAAAAGTAATAGTTACAATGGGTCTAAATAGGTCTAATCTTCAAGAAAGGCAACTAACCAAATCAATAGTTAGAGCAGATTTTACTGTTTGGTTTGAACAGGAGAATAGTGAGAAAAAGACATCTGTAAAGATGTCTAAGATACTTAAAGATATAAATGAAGGTATTACATATATAAGGAAGAATAAAATTAGTAAATAAAACAGGCTGAAATAAAACAGCATATTACTGTGAAAAAAAAAACAAAATAGAAACATTACATTACACTGGGAGCAGGTTTCACAGAAGCAATAATAAGTGCCAGAAGGCAATCTAGTAATATCTTCACAATGCTACAAAGAAAATAACTGTCAACCTATAACTACTATCCAAAAGTAAGAGGCAAATACTTATTTAAACATAGAAAAACAAGAGAATTTAACATCAATAGGCTTCCAATAAAAAATCTATTAAGAGATATATTTAAGCAAAAAGAAAATAGAGTATTCAAGCTATAAGAAATAATTAGCATAAGATTGATAAAGTATTTTAGTAAATTTAATTATCCATTGATGGTACACTTAACTATTTTGAGGTTTTGTGTTTTCTTTGTTTTTTTTTGTTTGTTTGTTTTGTTTTTGTTTTGAGACAGTCTCACTCTGTTGCCCAGGCTGAAGTGCAGTGGCATGATCTCAGCTCACTGCAAACTCTGCCTTCCTGGTTCAAACAATTCTCCTGCCTCAGCCTCCCAAGTAGCTGGGATTACAGGCACGCACCACCATGCCCAGCTAATTTTTGTATTTTAATAGAGACAGAGTTTCACCATGTTGGTCAGGCTGGTTTCAAACTCCTGACCTCAAGTGATCTGCTGGCCTCGGCCTTCCAAAGTGCTGGGATTATAGGCAAGAGCCACTGCTCCTGGCCTGTGTGATATTTTTAAAGGTGAAAATTAAACTACATAATTATAACACTCTTGGGATAGAAAGCATGCTCATAAAAGTACTGAGTTTCTATGTCTTTGGGGAAGAACAAAATATAGGATGCTTTTTGGATTCGTAGGAAATATGGATAATTAAGTATATTTGTTAAAATTTCAAAGGAAGCCCTAAATAATAAAAATTTACATATTTCAAAAAGATAACAGGTAAAGACTATACAATCTTTATCAGTACAAAGAAGGCAAAAAATAAAGGAATGAATGCTAAGAAAGACAGCAATAAGTATACAATAAAATACGACTAGAAAGAAGTCTAAATTGTATTAGTAATCACAATATAGGAAACGGATGACATTCACATATTAAAGGAGTTTTTCAGACTGTAGAATAAATAAAACTTGGTAAAATACTATAAGCTAGAGAAACATCTAAGGTAATGCCACACAGAAAAGTTAAAAATAAAATGAGCAAAGAAGTCTACTACCCAGATAGTACTAAAAAAAAGGCAAACCAAAGGCAAAAAGAAATGAACATAAATAGGGGCACAGTGGGACATATTACATAAGAATGAAAGACAGTTCTCCAGGACGATATACTGAAGATGAATTTGCATTTTCCAAAGAGCATTGCTGTGAATGTCATCAAACAAAAACTTATAAATATTACATAGAAACAGACAAAAGTACAGTCCTAAGAAAGGTTTTTAACATGCCTCTAGTAGAATTAGTTAGATCTGGTAGATAAAAAATTAGGAATAATGTAGAATATTTGAAAAGTAAAATTAACAAGCTTGATCTAATGGAAATATCCATTTTAAATGTAACCTGATGATATAAAATATACATTTATTTCAAATATTGGAGTGTTTAGAGATGATGAAAGAGAAAGAGAGAGGGAAAAGAGAGGAAAAGGTGAAGAAAGAGCAAGAGAAAGGAGAAAAATCTTTACTTAAGAAACTGAAAAATATTCTCAACAACTTGTGGATTAAAGAGAAGATCACAGTGGAAATTAAGAAATATTAAGAACTGATCAAAATAGTTGTGAGATGCAAATAAAAAGTACTTAGAGGTAAACATTTATTGCTGAATGCTATCCTTTAAAAATAGCAAGAGATTTAATAGAAATAGGTGGGTTTCAGCTCAAGAAGTTAGATAAATAACAACAGAATAGTTATGAAGGAAGTGAAAATAAAGAAAAACTAATAAAGGTAGAAATCAATGAAATGAAAAACAACTAAGCAATACAGAAAATTCACAAAAATAGCCAAGATGGTTTTTAAAAATAGCAAGGCTGGAAGATTTCCTCTGCCAGATATTAAAACTTACTTATAAAGACAGTGAAATTAAGACTGGGAGGCATTGTCATTTGGATGGACAAATAGAACAATAGAATAGAGAGACAATAAATAGACTAACACATACATGGAAACTATATGACATTATAAATTAGTGAAAAAAGCCTGAATTATTCAATAATGGATGCTGGGACAACTGGATATCAAAATGAAGAAAAAAATTAGATTGCAACCTAATACTATATTCAAACATAATAGTAAAATTAAATGTAAAACGCTAGACTTTAAGAAAATGTAGGAAAATACATTAAAGACCTTGGAAGCATTTCTTAAGCAAGACTAAAAAGCACAAATTAGAGAAGAAAATATTGCTCATCTCAACGACATCAAAATGTAAATAAAACTTCTGTATAGCAAAGGACACCATAAACAAAGTTAAATGATGAGCTATATGGACTAGGAGATTATTAGAGAATTCTTATTCAGAATATGAAAAGAACTCCTACATAGCAATAAAAAATGGACAAGAATTAGAAAAAGGGGAAAGGATATGAACTAGCAAATAGTTGACTCTGCACACTCCTGTGACCCAAGCAAGCCGTACACTACAGGACGATTTTGAACAGGTACGAAAACATCTGTGTCAGCACCGATTGTATCAGCAAAGCAATGGACCATATAGAAGAGTGAATAAATGGGCATTTGGGTTGGTTCTGAGTCTTTGCTATTGTGAAAGCCTGGATAGAGAAAATGTGGTACATATATATGATGGAATACTATGCAGCCATAAAAAAGGATGAGTTCATGTCCTTTGCAGGGACATGGATGAAGCTGGAAACCATCATTCTCAGCAAACTAACACAAGAACAGAAAACCAAACACCGCATGTTCTCACTCATAATTGGGAGCTGAACAGTGAGAACACATGGACACAGGGAGGGGAACATCACACACCAGCACCTGTTGGGGAGTGAGGGGCTAGAGGAGGGATAGCATTAGGAGAAATACCTAATGTAGATGACGGGTTGATGGGTGCAACAAACAATCATGGCACGTGTATACCTATGTAACAAACCTACACGTTCTGCACATGTATCCCAGAACTTAAAGTATGATAATAATTTTTTTAAAAAGAGTGGATAAATGAACATTAATACCTTCATTCATTGAAGTGTTATTTTAAACGTTTTGGTGATTTACCAACTAAAGAATATTGGACTTAATGTCGGAAGGCCTGAGGGAGAGTTATTTTTGCCAGAAACTATATACTAACTATATACGATCCTAGGCAAATTCCTTAACCTGTTTGGCTCTTAGCTTCCTTGTAAGAGGTTTAGATGAGACTTGAAACAGCGTTCAATCTGAATAACCCACGGAAGTTTTAGACCTACTACGTCAGGGTATCCAAAGGTGGGCACCGTCAGCACCAGGCCCTTCCAGGTCAGCAATTTCACTCCCTCGGCGGGGAGCTGGGAGTGAAGACAGGAATTTCATTCATAACAACGTTTACAAGCACCACTTCTCATTTTAGTTTTCACTCCTGAGTTGTGGGTGGGCCTGACAGTTTCCAAGTCTATCTTTCAGTTAGGGAGCATTCTGGAAGCAGAAGCCTCCTTGCTAATGCTCCTGTCTCAGCAAGGCAAGGAGAGGCTGTATCATTTTCAGAATTAAGAGTGTGGACTCTGGAGTTAAATTGGGCTCAGATCCCAAACACTGCCTTTCGAAGCTGTGTGATCTCAAAGAGTTACTTAACTTCCCTGCACCTTGGTTTTCCTACCTGTAAAATGGAACAGGTTAGAAGGTAACTTCTAGAGTTGATATGAGAATCAGATGAATCAATATATCCGAAGTGTTTGGAAAGTGTTGAAACATATTGAGTGCTCTACAAACACTAGCAACAATCATTATTAGACTATAGAACCAGAACTCCTGAGGACGGGAGGGGGACATGGTAGAGGATAGCATGTGATACTTTCATTAGCCCTAATGTCTATGGGCATTGCTGGTTTGCTTTTTTGAGTCTCTGAAGCCAGATATGAGAGAAAATTTGCAGGTGCCTTAGAAAACTGTAATCCTTTCTGCAGCTACTATCTGAGAAAGATTTAATAAAGCTGCGTGTTTTACATCCACCCCCACTGAACAGCCAGGGTAGGGAGATTCCAGTGAACTAGGTAACCCTTAACTTGCCCAGATGTCTACTTTTTGAGAACCCCATTTTTGTTTAAAGCTGCTAAAGTTAGAAAGTTGTTTCAGCTATAGAACAAGGCCATTATTTATGTTATCTCTTTGTTTACTGTGGTGATTCTCAATATTTTACAATTTTGCAATTTACTGGGGTTTTTTGTTTTGTTTTGTTTTGAGATGGAATCTTGCTCTATCACCCAGGCTGGAGTGCAGTGGCATGATCTTGGCTCACTGCAACCTCTGCCTCCCGGGTTCAAGCAATTCTCCTGCCTCAGCCTCCTGAGTAGCTGGGACTACAGGCGAGCACCATCACGCCTGGCTAATTTTTTTGTACTTTTAGTAGAGACGGGGTTTCACCATAGTAGAGACGGGGTTTCACCATGTTGTCCAGGCTGGTCTCAAACTTCTGACCTCAGGTGATCTGCCCGCCTTGGCCTCCCAAATTGCCGGGGTTACAGGCATGAGCCACTGCGCCCAGCCGCAGTTTATTGTTTTTGTTGTTGTTGTTGTTTGTTTTGTTTTTAAATTTCCCTTCCTGAGTTCATGATTATACCCTGACACTAACTAGCCATTTCTAATTGTCATGTTAAAAAAATTACACAAATTAAACTTTATTCTCTTTCTCTCTCTTTTTTTTTTTTTTCAATCTAAGAATTTCTTAATACTCTGCAAGATAACTAGAGGTCTCTAACTTACAGTTTTGTGCAGTTTTGGGCGAAGCTTAATGTAAAAATTTGGTTAAACTTGGTAATTGGGGAGAATGCTTTCTGAGTCTTGTTCCTCATTAATTTCTGGAAATTGACACCAAATCTAAAGGGAAGAACGAAGAAAGTCCTAGGCTGTTTGTTCTCCAAGCAGGCCTCCCCAGCCACTGTCTTGGCACCCCGTCTCATATCCGTTCCCTCTGTGGAAGAATTCAGCCAGCAGAACAGTGGTGAAAAGACATTGAGTTGGGGCCCAACTCAGGCCTTAAGGAAGCACTCTTCCTTTAGGAGGAGATGTTAGAAGTTTGTCCTTGTAGAGCTATAAAATGTATGCATAGAACAAGCATCATGCAATATTTTTAAAGGGTGGAAATTAAAATGTCAAGTGCAGCATAGTACAAATAGCAGGGAATATTTACAGAGTGACCAAGTGGTGAATTTTCATTACTGACTAATGAACTTCATTGATATCAGGTATGTGGTTGGATCTCAATTCTGATAAAGGAGTTTGCTAGGGTGTGTCAGAGATATAGACATGGTCTTTTCCAAAGTGATCATTTGAAAAAGAGATATCCACATCTTCAAGCCCATATAAAGGATAGAAGCTGCACAGGGCAGCTTTACTTACTCCAGCACCTTCCTCTCCCAGGCAAAATGAAAATACTTGTGAGTATTTGTTTCTGCTTCTTGATACTCTTGTGGTGACTGCTTGCAGACAATGCTCATATCTAATATGCCATGGATTTTGGGAGTCTTAGACAGATACTGTGCATGCTTCTAAGCTTCTGTGATTGAATTAATGACATCTTTGGCAGAAATAGTGTTGAATAAGTCTGACTTTTTTTGTCCTTTTCCTGTTTTGAGATGTTTACTTAAAAGAAAATTCAAAAATACAAAGAAATCTCTAGATAATTTTGATTTGGAGGATGTTTAATAATAATCCTTTATTATGAGCTTCATAGGGAATTTGGGCTATTTAAAACAACTACATTTGCTATCTAAGAGAGAAGCTGTAGTTTAAAAATAATATCAGTAATAGTAATAATAGTACCTCTCATTTCTCAAATGCATACTAAGCCTTAGACTAAGCATATCACATGAATAATTTCATCTATTCATTGCAACAACCCTATGAGTTGAGTAGTATTCTCCCCGTTTTACAGATAAGGAGACTGAGAGGCAGAGGAATGTGATTTTCCCAAGCCCGTAAATGTGGGATTTAGAATGTAATTTATCCATCTGAATCCCCACTTGCAGGCGCAATCATGGCAAATTTAAGCAGCCAGAGTGTCTTCAATGTCCTCTCATTATGACTAAATTCTCCCTTAGGACAAAACGTTCCTTCTATGGCCACTCCACCCCTCCATCTGATCCCAGCCTCCGTAGTTCCACATTGCAGTGCCCCATGGACAGTGGGCTATGTTCTGACCTAGAATGGAATTCGCTCCCCTAGTCTCTGTCCTTTATTCTCATTCAGCTGCTAAGGGAGAAAGCAAAATGTTAAGTACCTCTTTCTAAAGTGTTAAAGACTATCAGCTTAAAGAGCTCCCTCTCTCAGGGCTGTCTTGATTTTCCAAATTGAGACCTAACCCTGAAGCACAAAAGTATTATATAACCATGGTGTATTAACCACAGTGTTGGAAGGGAGATCATTTTGGGGCAGAGGACACTCCCCAAGCTCTCTCTAATCATACCATTAAAGTGGTTTAGTCCTTCGACTACTTGTTCAAACCACTATTTTAGACTCATTAACTAGAATATACGGGAGTATCATATGTTGCTGGAGCTGGTCTGTGGTAAGAGAAGATGTATCCCTATGGAAGGCTGAATATCAGCACACAGGTCTTTGTTAGATGCTCTACTCCCAGTCCCCAGAAGAGAAATATTAAGGGTGGGATGGAAAGGGAAGTAGGAAAGTCCCACTGACAGTTCTTAAAAATATCCCCCTTCCCCAAGACTCCTTTCATCAGCAGTTTTCAAATGACAGTGCAGTCAACTATGTACTGATGTAGTTTTCAGCGATAGTACAGTTCACTGATGTTCAGAAGAGAGGGTACAAAACCTGGGTTAGCATGTTGGAACAGACTCTTACAGAACTACAGCAAAATATCAGAACTGCTTCAATGTCAGCTCACGACCTGTGGGCCCAGCACTTGTGTGATAGTATCACTAAGGCATAGGAGAATATGGGGGTTTTACTTGATGTCAGCCTCAAAAGTTAATTGTGCTCCCAAGCATTCTATTTTCATAGTTTCCCTTAGGAACCTGTCAGGTCTTTATCACCCATGATTCATTTTAAATCTGTATTACCCTCTCAGTCTTAAGGGATTAAAGTTTTTTAAAATTAATTAATTAATTAATTATTTTTTTAGAGGACACAATTTGACCACTGTTATCCAAAGCTAGTGTGAATCATACCAGAGTATTTCCATAGTGAAATGAATCCTTCACTGCTCATCTGCCCCGGGTTTCTCCTACTATCTACATGGTTATAATGCTAGAAAGAGTTGGGAATTAGGTGGCAATTGTAGCACCCTGTGTCTGGCAAATAGAATGAACTCAACAAATGCCTGTTAAATGAGCCAATGTGTGAGCCAATCAATGTGTGCGTGGAAAGGGAGTGCTGACCATCTGTGGCCACTCAGTGTCTCTAGGTGTACATTTTCTGAGATATCTGTGCCTTTCCTGTCCAGTGTTTCCTCCTGTCCCACACTCAATGACTACCCTATAAAGAATGGATGTGGTGGGTCTGTTTTTCAGGTGGCATTTCTGGTGGTGCTGACCATCTTTGGGATACAATCTCATGGATACGAGGTGAGTTGGTTCCTTATGGACTTTATCTCTTAGAGATGTTGGGAGAGGAAAGGGAAGGTACAAGAGAGCCTGAAGACAGTAGAGAGGCCATATGCCTTATTTGGGATGGAATCTCAGAAATAACCAATAATGGAAATAATGAGCTTGGCTATTCCTCTCCAACCACAATACCTTTGCAAATGTAAGCCATTGCTTTAAAATGTGGTCAGTCTCATTTCTCTTGTGATATCACTGCTTCTCCCATATATAATATAGTAAACTCTAAGGAAAAGCTTTGCCTTCTTATGGCATCATAAGTTTTTGGATTGGGACCCCAGTGGACAGTTTTAGTTTTTAATCCCTTGTTCATAGCAGGCAGCTGCTTTATTTTGTTGGAAGAGTTGCCTTTCAAATATATAAGATTTATGGAAAAACATTTTGTCTTTCTTTTCAATCTAGGTTTTTAACATCATCAGCCCAAGCAACAATGGTGGCAATGTTCAGGAGACAGTGACAATTGATAATGAAAAAAATACCGCCATCATTAACATCCATGCAGGATCATGCTCTTCTACCACAATTTTTGACTATAAACATGTAAGCAGCAAATGAATTTTCATATTCATCAGGACTAGTTTGCTAAAGAGCAGAGGGATCTATATATATATGGGGCATATATACTTGAATTCTTAGACTTAACCTTGCAATTCTTTAAGAATTCCTCACTTTCACTTTTCTCTTTAAATAATCAAGCAATTGGTTAAAAAAACAAAACCATTTTGAAGAAAAACATATGACAGGAAACATATGCATTTGCTTGACCTTTTCAGGTAGAAATTGGAAGAGTAATGCTATTATCCCACTACAGGCTCAGAAAGTGCAAAGAAGAGTAACCAAAGTCCAAAGCAAAGCCCGGCATGCAGACACTCAAACTCATTTGTTGAGTGAACAAATGAATGAATAGGGCTTCTAACACAGAACATCATGCAGAAAAAGAACAATTGGTCAGGCACAGTGGCTCATGCCTGTAATCCCAGCACTTTGGGAGTCTGAGGCGGGAGGATCTCTTGAGCCCAGGAGTTGGAGACTGGCCTGGGCAACATGGCAGAATCCCATCTCTACCAAAAATACAAAAATTAGCTGGGTGTGGTGGTGCGGGCCTGTGGTCCCACCTACTTGGGAGGCTGAGGTGGGAGGATTGCTGGAGCCCAGGAAGTCAAGGCTGCAGTGAGCTGAGACTGCACCACTGCACTCCAGCCTGGGTGACAAAACGAGATCCTGTCTCAAAAAAATAAATAAATAAATAATTAAAAAATATAAAATAATAAAAAGAACAATCACAAAGCAATCACAACATAGCAGAAATCCAGAGCAACTATACACATTTAATTATGTACATAGGGTAGGCAAAAAATCATACTTTTTCTGTAAGAAAGAAAATCTGCTAACTAAAAGCACTAAACTATTTTCAAGTGTTAGATACTGGCATTAACAATAAGTCACAGAAACCTGCTCAGAAAACATATCCTTCATCAGTTATTTATTCATTTGTTTTCCATTTCTTCCACCAACGAATTATGAACCTGCTTCTACCTAGGTTCCAAGCTATGCACTATGGATATAAGTAGGTTCCTGCTCATCTCACTAGACTTTTGAACATGATTTTCTGTCCCTTTTCTTCTAGAAATGTCTTCACGTTCCTCTTTCCCATTGGTGTTGGCAGTTCAATCACACATTTGAAAGTATAGAGTCATTAGAAAATGTGGTTTAAAAGGAAGTGGCACTGAAATTGTTTTTAAGCAACTGTCATGGAAATCCCAAAACTGTCTTTAAAAAAAAATGGAGAAGTGAGGATTTGCTTTAAGCTTCTTCCATTATCACCAGGCTCAGCCTCTGTCTATTTTTTGAATTTTAGGAACTGACAATTTGTGAGAATTGAAAAATAAGAACCAGAAAGATTTCTATTAGATACAGCTTTCTAGGGTATATCATTATTTGGAACTCTGTAGAGACAATTTTCACTCCAGGTGAAGACTCAGTGGCCTTAGGTCCCATCTGGCCCCAGGGTCTTCACCCTCCATTGCTCTTTCAATCCCACCTTATTGCAACCCATCCCTCTCCAGCCAGCTTGGGTTTGAGATGGAGAAGGGATGGGGAAAACTGGAGAGGAAGAAAAGATGGCAAATGAGGGGAGGATAGATGAGACGTGTGTGAGCGTGCATGAGTGTGGGTATGGGTATGCTTATGAGAGCTCCTAAAGCAGCACTGTCTAACAGAACTTTCTGCAGCGGTGGAAGTGTTCTAGATTTGAATTTCCAATAGGGAAGCCCCCAGCCGCCTGTGGTTATTGAGTACTCAAAATTTGTAACAGAAGTGCATTTTAAATTTTACCTAATTTGAATTTAAATTTAGATAGTGGCATATAGCTAATAACTATCATATTGGACAGCACAGTTTTTTTTTTTTGTTTTTTTTTTTTGACGGAGTCTCGCTCTGTCACCCAGGCTGGAGTCCAGTGGTGTGATCTTGGCTCACTGCAAGCTCCACCTCCCGGGTTCATGCCATTCTCCTGCCTCAGCCTCCCGAGTAGCTGGGACTACAGGTGCCCGCCACCACGCCCGGCTAAATTTTTTGTATTTTTAGTAGAGACGGGGTTTCACCATGTTAGCCAGGATGGTCTCGATCTCCTGACCTTGTGATCTGCCCTTCTCGGCCTCCCAAAGTGCTGGGATTACAGGTGTGAGCCACTGCACCTGGCCAGGACAGCACAGTTCTAAAAAATATTCTATTTACCCCAAACTGGGGAGGAAGCAGAATAAAATTAATGGAAAGAAGCCAGATGCAGTAGCTTACACCTCTAATCTCAGCACTTTGGGAGCTCAAGGTGGGTGGATCACTTGAGATCAGGAGTTTGAGACCAGCCTGGCTAATATGGTGAAACTCCATCTCTACTAAACATAAAAAATTAGCTGTTCATGGTGGTGCACACCTGTAGTCCCAGCTACTCTGGAAGCTGAGGCAAGAGAGTTGCTTGAACCAGGGAGGTGGAGGCTTCAGTGAGCTGAGGTTGCACCACTGCACTCCAGCCTGGGCAACAGAGTGAGAGTCTGTCTCAAAAAAATAATAATAATGGTAATAATAATAATAAAATAATGGAAAGAGACAGAGTAGTGCTTCTTCTCAATCTTTCAAACCTCAAACTGCAGACCCTGGTTCCATGACATGAAAAGCAGAATATAGTCATGGGTTTGCACAATTTCAAAGGGGTAGAAATGACAAGTGAAAAAATGAAAATGTTATGTAAAATAAGTCAAGTGGATAAAGTTGATTGCAGATTGGAGAGCAATCCCACCATATATTCACTGTGCATGTTCAAGTCTTTCTTCCGAGGTTCAGGCATCATCTTCACCAAGTTCAGATTCAGGGAACTAGGGAGGAACAGTAACTGTACTCTTGCTGCCTCAGGGCTACATTGCATCCAGGGTGCTCTCCCGAAGAGCCTGCTTTATCCTGAAGATGGACCATCAGAACATCCCTCCTCTGAACAATCTCCAATGGTACATCTATGAGAAACAGGTAATTCTGGGGCACTCTTGAGTATTCTCTGTTCTTAAGCCAGGCAATACTGGTATTTATGGAGAAATGAAGAGTGTGAGGGAGAAGATCATACTATCATGCCTTACCATAAATGTGATACTCAACTTATTAAAGTTATTAAAGTGTTTTTACTTTTATTTTATTATTTTTTAAGAGCAGGAGCAAATCTTAGCTTGATTTCCACCATATAGTCCTAAATACAAGAATTTATAATAAATTCCAGTGACATTATAGCAAGGACTGATCAGCTTCTCTTCTCAGAGCAGGGCTATGAGAAATGGTGACTGGAACAATAATAAGAGAAGTTCTAATATTCAATGACCCAAAGATGCAAAGAAATAATACAGTTGAGTGAACATATACAAACAGTGCACTGCGGCTAGAGACCCAAGGTTTAAGTCTCCCTCCACAACTTCTTATAGGTGCTACCTTTGACATGGGACTTACTTTCTTTGGGCTTCATTGCCACCAGAGGTAAAATAACACTGGTAATTACTAATGAGGCTACTTCACAGATAGAGTGTTCAAAAAGAGATGATGTCTTGAGATCCCTAAGTTCTTTCTATTTAATAATCTGAAAGAGAAAAATTGTCACAATTTAGAATAAGGTACACCAATTTTTGTCAATTTATTTTATGTTGTTCTTTTCTGTTATACCGATCTAGGCTCTGGACAACATGTTCTCCAGCAAATACACCTGGGTCAAGTACAACCCTCTGGAGTCTCTGATCAAAGACGTGGATTGGTTCCTGCTTGGGTCACCCATTGAGAAACTCTGCAAACATATCCCTTTGTATAAGGGGGAAGTGGTTGAAAACACACGTGAGTACCAATAAGTCATTCACTCACCAAATATTTTCTGAAAGCTACTATGTGCCAGGTGCTCTGTTGGGTGCCAAGTGAAATGCAAATAAATGGGAACAGTACTCAGTTCAGTTTGCTTTGGGAATTAATTACATGCCATGTGTGTAAATTGTGCTAAATTTTAGGAATACAGAAATGAATTAAACGTCTCCAGGGAACACATAGTCTAGTGAAGAAGCTGACAAGTGAAAAGAGAGGATGGAGTAAAGGATTTCTGGATGCCAATGAAAAACTACTCGATTCTTGTATACTTTCATATGTAAGAATTTCAAGTAGCAAAAAGTCATCTGGGCCCTTAGAATAGCATATTTTGAAGATAATAAGAAGGAAGTCACTAAGAAATGCTCTCAGGATCTAGAATAGAATTGGTATAGGAAAGAGGAGGCCAAGCGGACTTACAGACAGGGAGTAAAAACCCTGATTCATCTGGGTAACATATGCCACTGCAGATATTACTGTCATTTTTATACAAAGTTTCTAAATGTGGCAGAGCAACCAGAGTGAAAGAGGTCGGGCCAACTGATGATGAACACAACAAAGGAAATTTCTCAGAGTACTGGAAGGTAGATAAAGAAGAGTTTATGTTTATTATATATCTACTGCCCAGAAAAAAATTTTAAGTACTCATTCATAAAGTAAATAAAGGCACATAGGTATGCCATTGACACAGAATGGCATAATATCACTGGGATTGAGCCAACCAGCACTTCCAAAAGTTGTCAGTTTTATTTAAGCTAATGTATTATTATTCTAATAATTCCAATAATATATTTTTTAATGCTCTTTCTCTGAAAAATTTTCCCTTTTCCAGATAATGTCGGTGCTGGAGGCTGTGCAAAGGCTGGGCTCCTGGGCATCTTGGGAATTTCAATCTGTGCAGACATTCATGTTTAGGATGATTAGCCCTCTTGTTTTATCTTTTCAAAGAAATACATCCTTGGTTTACACTCAAAAGTCAAATTAAATTCTTTCCCAATGCCCCAACTAATTTTGAGATTCAGTCAGAAAATATAAATGCTGTATTTATAGATTTTTTGGTGTTTGTTGTTTTTTGTAAGCAGCAAAGGGAATCCAAGCAATGTCTTTGTCACTATATAGAAGAAAAAAAATTGCCAGAATTTTAAATAAGGTGCATAATGTGTGAAAATTCCCAGATAATACCACTGGGTCACATGTGGACTAGTCAGCTGGGGTCGAATTTCCATTTCTTCGTCTGCCCTCTGGACCAGCTTCCCATCTAACCATCCAAATATATGGGAGCAACCTGGGTAGAGAAGAGGCTCACACGGTGGTGGCCTTGACCTGGCCAGGGGAGGGACATAGCGTATGCTTATCAAACAAGTTGAATGCTCAGGTGAAGGCTTTTAGGGCCATTCATATGAGTTAAAATGTCCTTTAACTCACCAAAGCAGTAGACTCAACCTGAATAAACTTTATAATAATATGTGTTGCCCTGGAGTGAGAAGGGAGAAAGGGAGAGAGGAAGGAGCACCTAACGTCCAGGAAAAGATGCACCATACTGAAGATCATAACAGGAGTGAAAGACTAGAAATGCCAAGTCAATACATAGCAGAAAAGCAACTTCCAATATTTCAAATAAATTGCACATTGTGTACAAATCTCAGATCGTGAAGCTGGGTCACACGTGAACGTTCGGCTGAATGCAAATTCAGAGCAAAGAGGAATTACTTTAATAACAATTTATTCTCTTGCCGTAGACCTCTGGGATCCTAGCTGCAGAGGACCCCCGGCCTCCGCGTTTGAGCTGACATGAGACTCTCACTAGAGATTAGATGGAGAAAGGGCTCCAGCAGGCACGGAGCTGGAAGCTTTGTCTGTGAGACAGCTCCGCGGGAGCACTCATCCCCCAGGGCTCTCTGTCTCCCTCTGAGAGGCTCTGGCCCCATATAACCACCAGAATGGGAGAAGAAGTGCTTCCCCGTGGGATTAGGGCACATCTGTCCCGCAGGCCCACCTGCCTGCCAGTCCCTCCCAGGATTCCTGCCTGGCCACCCCACAGGAGTGTGTACACAGTGCAGCCTCAGCTGCTCAGCATGGGTGCTTTGCTCCACTTGAGTGCATTCCGGCAGCGTGGGAGCTGTTTGAATCCCCCAGTGCACACAGATCCCAACCCCAAGGGTCCAGGGGAGGGAGCTGTGAGCAGATCCGGACGTCCCAGGGCTGTGGCTCCGGAGTGCGGAACTGGGCCCAGTGCTTCAGCAGAAGAGGAGCCCATACTCTCAGAAAACTCTCAGAGAGGGGTGAGTCGCACAGGTTCCTGGGCTGGTGTGGAACCTAGGCGTGCCTCCCTCCACAGAGCTGGTCCAGTAAGTGTGGGGCCTGTCTCCCTGCTGGACCTCTGCCTGAAGGAGCCCAACGACCTGGAACACCTAACAACAACAGAAAGTCACGGCCACAGTGCCAGTGATCAGGGGTCCCTCCCCTCAAGACCGAGGAGGAGACCTGGTGAGGGGTCACCCCTCTCCCCCTTGCACCACAGAGCACGGCTTCAAAGGCCCGGATACACAAAGGAGCCGGGTGGCAGAATATTAGTCTAGCTATCTCCCATTGCTCTCACGCGCCATCTACTGGATTTCATCCCAAACTACAACACGAAAAACTGCTAATTTTCCTGCCTGCCAGGCCGAGGACTGGAATTCAACAGACTGTTTAGAGCCTTTGCCCTCTGAAAACTTCCAGAAATGAAGCCAACTGACTATATTCAGTTTACACCAGAGTTAAAGGAACGCCAACCCTCCCAGATGAGAAAGAATCAGTGCAAGAACTGTAGCAATTTAAAAAACCAGAGCGTCCCCTTACCTCCAAATGAGCCCACTAGCTCCACAGCAATTGTTCTTAACCAATCTGAAATGATGAGCATGGAATTCAGAATCTGAATGGCAATGAAGCTTATAGATATCCAGGAGAAAGTTGAAATGCAATCCAAGGAAACCAAGCAATCCAGTGAAATGGTTTAAGAGCTGAAAGATAAAATAGCAATTTTACAAAAGACCCAAACTGAGCTTATTGAGTTCAAAAAAGAATTTCATAATACAATCAGAAGTATTAATAGCAGAATAGGCCAAGCTGAGGAAAGAATCTCAGAGCTTGACCCCTGGTTCTTTGAATCAACTTAGACAAAAATAAAGAAAAAAGAGTTTTAAGAAATGAACACAATCTCCCAGAAATATGAGATTATGTAAAGAGACAAAATCTATGACTCATTGCCATCCCTGAGAGAGAAGGAGAGAGAATAAGCAACTTGGAAAATATATTTGGGGACATAGCCCACAAAAATTTCCCTAATCTCTCTAGAGAGGTTGACATGTAAATTCAAGAAATACAGAAGACCTTGGCCAGATAATATACAAGATGACCATCCCCAAGGCACATAGTCATCAGATTCACCATGGTCAATGCAAAAGAAAAAAATCTTAAAGACAGCTAGGGAGAAGGGTCAAGTCACATGCAGAAGGACTCTCATTAGGCTGGCAGTGGACCTCTCAGCAGAAACCTGACAAGCCAGAAGAGATGGAGGGAGAGGGGTCTATTTTTGTCATCCTTAAAGAAAAAAAATTCCAACCAAGAGTCTCATACACTGCCAAACTAAGCTTCCTAAGTGAAGGAGAAATAAAAACCTTCTCAGACAAGCAAATGCTGAAGGAATTCAACTAGACCAGCCTAACAAGAGGTCCTAAGGGAGTGCTGAATATGGACTCAAAAGAATAACACCTGCTACCACAAACACTCACTTAAGCACACAGCCCAACGACACTATAGGCAATTACACAGTAAGTCTACATAACAACACAATGACAGGATCAACATCTCACACATCAATACTAACCCCGAGTGTAAAGGGGCTAAATGCCCCACTTAAAAGACATAGAGTGTCAAGCTTGATAAAAAGACAAGATCCAATCATCCACTATTTTCAAGAGCTCTATGTTATGTGTAATGACACCCACAGACTCAAAGACTTGGAGAAAGATTTATCATGCAAAATCAGAAAACAAAAAAGAGCAGGAGTCACTAGTTTTATATCAGACAAAACAGACTTTAAACCCTTAATAATTAAGAAAGACAAAGAAGGGTATTTCCTGGACCACAGAAGGCTTATTGGAAAAAAGGACATAATGACAAAGGGTACAATCCAACAAGAAGTTTTAACTATTCTAAATATATACACACCCAACATTGGAGCACCCAGATTTATAAAACAAGTACTTCTCGATCTACAAGAAGACTTAGACAGCCACACAATAATAGTGGGAGACTTTCACATCCTACTTACAGATCATTGAGACAGAAAACTAATAAAAGAACTCTGGACTTAAACTTGTTACTTGACCAATTGGACCTAATAGATATCCACAGAAAACTTCACCCAACAAAGACAGAATATACATTCTTCTTATCTGCACATGGAACACATTCCAAGATCAATCACATGCTAGGTAAGAAAGCAAGTCTCAATAAATTAAAAAAAATTGAAATCATACGAACCTTAATATCAGACCACAATGTAATTAAAAATAAATCAATATCAAGAAGATCTCATACATAAATACATGAAAATTAAACAACTTACTCCTGAATAACTCTTGTGTGAACATCAAAATTCAGGAAGAAATAAAAAATTATTTGAAATTACTAAAAATAGAGACATACCTTACCAAAATCTCTGGGGTACAGCTAAAGCAGTGTTAAGAGGAAAGTTTATAGCACTAAATGCCTTAATCAAGAAGTTAGGAAGATCTCAAATTAGCAGTCTAACTTTGCATCTAAAAGAACTAGACAGAAAAGAACAAACCAACCCCAAAGCTAGCAGAATAAAAGAAGTCACTAAAGTTAGAGAAGAATGGAATGAAATTGAGATGCAAAATCCATACAAAAGATCAAATGAAACCAATAGTTGTTTCTTTGAAAGAATAAATAAAATTGATAGACCCACCTAGCTAGATGAACAAAAAAGAAAGATCCAAATAAACACAATCAGAAATGACAAAGGTGATGTTACAATTGATCCACAGAAATACTTGTCCTCAGAGACTGCTATGAACGTACACAAATTAGAAAATATAGAGGAAATGGATAAATTCCTGAAAGCAAAAAATCTCCCAAGATTGAATAGATGTGAAAATTCTCAACAAAATATTAACAAACCAAATCCAGCAGCATATCAAAAAGTTAATATATCATGATCAAGTAGGCATCATTCCAGGAATGCAAGCCTGGTTCAACATAGGCAAATCAATAAATATGATTCGCCACATAAACAGAATTGAAAGCAAAACCTACATAGTCATCTCAATAGAGGCAGAAAAAGCTATCAATAAAAATTCAACATCTATCAAACGAACATACCTCAAAATAATAAGAAACATCTATGACAAATCCACATCCAACATCATACTGAATGGGCAAAAGCTTTAGCCATTCCTCTTAAGAACAGGAAGAAGGCAAGGATACCTACTCTCACCACTCCTATTCAAGGTAGTACTGTAAGTACTAGTCAGAGAAATTAGGCAAGAGAAAGAAATAAAAAGCATCCAAATAGGAAAAGAAGTCGAACTATCTCTCTTTGCTGATGATATATTTGTATACCAAGAAAACCCTAAAGACTCTGTCAAAAGACTCCTAAAACTGATGAATCATTTTAGTAAAGTTTCAGGATACAAAATCAATGTACAAAAAGTAGTAGCATTTCTATATACCAACAGTGTCCAGGCTGAGAGTAAAATCAAGAACACAAACTCACTTAAATAGCCACAAAGAAAATGATATATCTAGGAATACAGCTTTCACTAATGAGGTGAAAGATCTTTACAAAGCTTAAAGAAATCACAGGTGACACAAACAAATGGAAAAAAATCCATGACCATGGATTGGAAAAATTAATATTGTTAAAATGGCCATACTGCCCAAAGCAATATACAGATTCAATGCTATTCTTTTAAAACTGCCAATGTCATTCTTCACAGAATTAGAAAAAAACTATTCTAAAATTCATATGGAACAAAAAAGAGCCCAAACAGCCAAAGCAATCCTAAGCAAACAAAACAAAACAAATGAACAAACAAAAAACAAAGCTGAAGACATCACACTACCAGACTTCAAACTACACTACAAAGCTACAGTAACCAAAACGGCAGGGTACTGGTACAAAAACAGACACATAGACTAATGGAACAGGTTACAGAACTCAGAAATTAAGCCACACACCTACAACCATCTGATCTCCAACAAGGCTGACAAAAACAAGCAATGGGGTAAGGATTCCCTATTCAATAAATGGTGCTGGGATAACTGGCTAGGCATATGCAGAAGATTGAAGCTGGAACCTACCTCTCACCGTATACAAAAATTAACTCAAAATGGATCAAAGACCTCAAAGACCTCAAACTATAAAAATCCTAGAAGATAACCTAGGAAATACAACATTAACCTTGGCAACATTAGCCTTGGTAAAGAAGTGGGATCTAATTAAAGAGTTCCTGTGCAGCAAATGAAACTATTAACACAGTAAACAGACAACCTACAGAATAAGAGAAGATATTCTCAAACTACGGATCTGACGAAGGCAAAGTATCCGTCCAGAATCTATAGAGACCTTAAACAAATCAACAAGTGACAAACAAATAACACTTTAAAAAATAGGCAAAAGAGATTAACTGATACTTCTTAAAAGTGGCCAACAAACATATGAAAAATTAGCATCACTAATAATCAGAGAAATACCAATAAAATCACTAAGAGATACCATCTCACACCAGTCAGAATGGCTATTATCAAAAAGTTAAAAAATCCACAGGTGTTGGTAAGGCTGTGGAGAAAGAGGAACACTTATACACTGTTGGTGGGAATGTAAATTAGTTCAGCCCCTGGAAATCAGTCTGGAGATTTCTCAAAGAACTTAAAACACAGATACCATTTGACCCAGCAATTTCATTACTGAGTATATACTCAATGGAAAATAAATCATTCTACCAAAAAGACACATGCACTCATATGTTCGTTGCTGCATTATATACAATAATAAAGACAAAAATCAACCCAGCTGCCCATCAATGGTAGATTGGATAAAGAAAATGTGGTACATATATACTACGGAATACTACACAGCCATGAAAAGGAATGAAATCATGTCTTTTGCAGCAGCATGGATGAAGTTGGAGGCCATAATCCTAAGCAAATTAATGCAGGAAGAGAAAACCAGATACTATGTGTTCTCACTTATAAGGGGGAGCTAAACATTGAGTACACGTGGACATAAACATGGGAACAATAGACACTGCAGACTATTAGAGGAAGGAGGGAGAGAGGAAGATTCAGGTTGTAAAATTACCTATCTGGTACTATGCTCAGTACCTGGGTGATGGGATGTGTATACTTAACATCAACATCACACAATATTCCCATGTAAGAAACCCGCATGTATACTCCCTGCACATAAAATAAACACTGATTTTTTTTTTTAAATGCAACAACAAATAGGTTTTTCCAATTCTCCTTATCAATTGTCACTTTGGAAACTCAAATACAGTTGAAAACTGGCCAGGAAAGTTTTGGGGTTCCTCTGATTGTTTCGTAAAAGGAGTTTAATAACATTTAAAAAATAATTTCTATGTGCCATTTACTACTTTTATTTCTAAAACTGTACATCTACTTCTTAACAGTCATCAATGTACTCAGCACTGGAACAGGTATGCTGGGGGAAGAGGCCCAAGGCAAAGCTACCATAGCTGCCAAAGTTATTTTCTTGTTGGGGAAATAAGCATTAGTATGAAAACACTTGATAACAACAGTAATGAATGCACAATAAAGTGCCAAATGAATGGTAGAGTGTCTGAGCTGGGGCTTTGGTGTTTGCAAGTGATGCAAACCAAATCAAATTTGCTGAGGCCAAGGGGGAATTTACTGTCTCATATAACTAACCATGGAAGAAAAGAGATACTCTGGTCTTGAGCAGTGGAACTAGATGCTTGAAGGTGACCACACACTCTCTTTCCATGTCTCAACTTTCCTCTCTACATTCAACCTCAGTATCTTACACTGGGTTTCTCCATGAGGATAGAGTCAATACCACTGTGAACTACACTATAGTCAACCGCTATTGGTCCTCATCTTCCCACCTTGATCATCAGAGAGAAAAGGACTCCTTTTAGTTCTAATTTCAAATTACTTTTAATTTTAAAAGTATATGATCCTAATTGGCTCATGTGGGGCACAATCCTGTGGCCAGCATTAGGGATAGGAAGTTGGGGTGCAGGAAGGGGTGTTATGACTGGTAAACTCCTTTGGAATCTACTGCTTAGAGATGTGTTATCCTCATTAATTTTTATAGCATTGCTCCTATTTTTAGCATTTGCTCTCTAACTCTCCTCTTTGCTGTTGTCATGCTGAATACGTGTTAGGAGCAGCCAGTGGAGGATAACAGGCACACCCTAAAAGGAATGTGTCTAAATGGAAGCTACAATGCAGCTGGGGCTTTGGTTATATTTTTTCCATAATTAGCCCCCTCTTAAAGACTGAAAAAAGTAGACATCGACTCCGTTAACTTACTGGATGCTCAAGCCAGAGACCCTCTCTGGGCCATCAGGGAGAAGGAGCAAACCTGGACCGAATACCACAAAGCACCCAGGATGCTGGAAGAGTTGGTCAGACTACAAAAGCTGGCTTGAGCTGAGTTATGCCTCCCTGCCCAGAGTCTAGTGGGTTCTGGCAGTGCTCTCTCCTCATAGTGGCCCAGCTGAGAACTGATGGTATCCTCCAATGCACAGTCAGGCTGGAATGGCCTTGTGGATCCACAATGGGGACCTAGAGGCAAGTTAGTTTGATAGGGAAAAGGCAGAGTTCTAGGTCATCTGTGCCCTGACTAGTTTATTTTCAAGCCAGCCGAGCAATCTAGCTTTCTGCGGGATGGAGGAGCAGGTATCCAGCATTGGAAACCCATGGAGAACGGGGGAGAAAGAGAGAGGAGGACCTTTCAGCTGTGGAAGGCTCTTTGGAGAATGGTTTGTGGGAGGGGATTAGTTCTGGTTTGGCCATACTCCCAGCCCTGTAGCAAAACCTCCTCAGGGCTTCCCCTCTCTCCACACCCCTCCCAGTGAGGCTGATGCTTTGAGCTTACTCCTTACACAGTATTAACCATGCCACACTTATAGGCATTGTCATCTTGGTTTCCCCAACCCCCTTTCTCCTGTGACAGGTCCTTTGCTGGCAGTGGACAGGTAAAATCCTTACTCTAGCCTACTTCAGCTCTGTTCCTCATTCCCCGAGGGGTAGGGACTTTTAGAAAGTGGCCCATCCCATGGTACATGGTCCCTTCTTGACCACACTAGGACTCAAGTACAAATTAGCATTTCCCTTTTTATGAATCACTTAAAAAGTGGTACTACCACACTCCACAGCAGATATTGCCACTTTTAAAATGATTTTTAAAAAGGAGAAGGCTAATTTCTTCCCTGCTGGCTTCCCTACCTGCACCTTGTAGATAGCACCACCCGGGGTGCAGGCTGGGGCAGGCTGTGGTGGGAAGGGAAGCAGTGGTGTCCCAGTTCTGGAGAAAGGCTTGCAGACTCTGCCTTTGGCAGGATTTTTCTGCAATTAGCCATCTCCTGGGCAGAATGAAGGGAATTTCCCAGCCTGTTTCCTGCCTGGGCAGGCTCCTCAAATCCAGGGATGAACTATTAATACTTTCTGCAGGGCCAGCTCTCCTTTTGGTTTTATTATGGTACCAATTCCAGGGCTTTGAGGGTTACAGGGAACCAGGCTTTCAGTGGGGTGGGGCGGGGGGAGGTAGACTGCTTCTCATCTACAGTTGGAGAAGATTCCAGAAGGAGAATACTGTCTGGCTTCACTGTTCTCTCTGGGTTGTTTCCTTGGTTCTCTCCCCAGCTCCATGTTGTCTCAGTCTCCTGGATCCCAGTACCCCTCCAGGTCTTCCATGTGGGCCCCTAGACCACACCACCCACCTTCACACTCCCATTCCACAACTGAGTCCAGTGACCAGCTTATTGATACTTCCTTAATTCTCAGCCAGAGCTAGCCCTCGGATGGCCCAGCGGGTCTCGCTGCTTCAGATGTGGACTTGTGGGCATTCCCTGGCACCATTTTCTCTCTGGGTCCTGTAAGCTCCCAAGTGCAGGAGGTTCTGGGGTACACCTGTGTGCTTGGCAACATCCAGCATTGTGTTTGCTGCTTCATCTAGGTGTCCTGTTGCTCCCATTTCCCGTCATAGGGCATCAATCCTTCAGCAAAGGGAGACAGCAAATGCAATGCTGCCTGTCTGACCACGGGATATACTGGTTCAGATCTCACTAGTGATAGCCCAGACTTCAACTTGCTTTGCAGGGTATTAGATCCCCAATCCCTTAGTGCCCAGGGATTCAAAGTTTGGAGTAATCACAGCCCTGCCAAACAGTAGGGGTGCTGGTGGGGAGTGTCTGCTGGCTGTTCATGAACCTCTGCTGTCCTGGGTCTCTCTCCACTGGACACAGCAGCATCTCTAAGTTACAGACAACAATGTGCTGCCCTGCATGGTTGAACCGCTTCTGACATCTGCTAGGCATCCCGTCCCATGTGCCCTATGCCCTCTTCGATGCCAGTGAGTCACAATGGTCTATGCTTATTCACAGCAGTAATACCTAGGGAGTGCCCACGAAACCCTTTAGTCCTGGTCCCTCACTCCGCATGGATCTCCTGGGAAGGCATCCACTGAGTGGATCAGTTCATGAGAACCTGCATTTATGAAGCTCTGGAGTGTGTAGGCATCATCCTCAGTGAAGACAAGTAAGAGGCCCAGCCCTTAGAGGAGCTGCAGCAGGGAGAGTACCTTCCACCTTGAGGCCACCCCAGACCTGGAGGAGCTGCAGGCCCTGGCTCTGCAAAAGGACCTTTGAGGTGGGTGAGACTGTCTCCCAAATGGGCAGCTCTTGAAAAGGACACATGACCAGTGTGTGTGCGTACTGCCTGCTCTGAGTCTTCATTGGTCCCTCTGTCTTCCTTTTCATATGTATGCACATAAAATATACTGATGTTTGTGTTTTTTTTTTTTTTTTAAAAAAAAGCTGGCCTGAAGGAGCAACTGGGCCCAGGATATGAGTGTGCCAATGGAGCTTTTGCAGGAAGCTGGGTGAGGCATGTAGATGAGGTTCTTATTTTTGTTATTTCCCATACAATTGTGTTTCTTACAGTAAATGACATGTCACATGTCACGCAAACTCGTTTGCTCATCTGAGATAGAATTAAATAGGATTTGTTCATTCAGAGCTCCCAGGATTAGAATACATGGACCCAGACAAATACTTTATTATACAAATGTCTGTTTGGATAACTGACTCAATGAATGAATTCAAGCATTTGTTAACTCAAACATAATAAATATAAATTGGTGAATTAATAAAATATTGAGACTTCTAGCTTCTAATAATGATGAAGTAGCTTATATCAGACTAACATGCCTTCCATAACAATTGTAAACCTGGAAAAAAATATAAATAGTAGCCATTTGAAGACAATAAAGTTACCCCAAACAGGCAGAAACTAACGAGGATATGACCTTTAAAAGAAATGCTTATTCATCTATTGCTGGTAAGAGTTGTCTAATACTCTGTGGCAAAACCAGTCCATTGATTACCCAACCCCACAGCTCCAATTTAAGTAGCAACAAAAAAAAAGCCCTTAATTTTAGAAAATATATTCCTTTAGTTCCAGGGGATTAATCATGATTAGTCTGAATCAGTAGTTTTCAACTGGGGTGTGATTTTTCTCCCCTCCCCTGGAGACGTCTAGTGGTGTTTGGAGATATTTTTGATTGTTACAGCTGGAGGGTACGTTATTGGCATCTAATGGGTAGACACCGGAGATGCTGCTAAATATCCTACAATGCCCAGGGCACCGCCCTACAACAAAGAATGTTCTGGCTTCAAATGTTTACAGTGCCAAGGCTGAGAAAGCCCTGGGCTAAATCAGTCTTGGTTTCTTTTAAGACAATAAAGCAGTATCATTTTCCTCAGTCTATGATTGGCCTGTGGGTGGCCATATGATCTCGGTTCCTGCCAATGAGTTATAAGTAGAAATCTGCTAAGTGGGGCTTTCAGGAAAGATTTTTCTTTCCTAATAAGGAGTAACAGACTCAGCTGGCATGTGACTCTGCCCTTTGTGTGTTCCTATCATCCTTCCCTCAATGAGGATATGAGGCTGATGTCAGGAGATGATTGGCCATTTTAGGACCATGAGGCAACAATCCTAGATAAGGAAGATTCGGGAAAGAAAGAAAGAGCTAGAATGCCTGACTGCATTATTCCAGAGCTGCTCCAGCTGGGACTTCCTTCCTGGATCAGTATCTACCTGTTTAGGCCACTGTGACTGAGTTCTCTTTTTTCACCGTTGAAAGCATTTCTTACAGATACACCTGAAAAAGGCTGGATAACTCCAGTGAGTACACATGCCTCCAGACCTGGGCCCACCCAGCGCTGCTGTCTCCACTTCTTTCACCCCTAAAACCCTTTTGCAAATTCCAGGCTCACCACCTTCCTTTACTCACGCTGCAGAAACCCAATACTGAGGGCTACTCCTAGGATAACTTCAAGCAAATGTCACTTGAAGCTCACTGCCCAGCTCTCTTTGGCCTGCCATTCCTTCTTATCAGTCCAGACACTGTCCCTAATTCTCCCTTGGCTCTTGGGGAAATGTCCGATGTTGCAGCAACTCTGATGCACAGGGCTCAGCACACATTCAGGAATGGAATCGAGTGCTTCTTGGCGTTTAGGATCTAGGTGTATCCCATTTTAAGGTGGTAAGCCCATTTCCTCAGCATGCTTTTAACCACTAGGGAAGGATTCCCTGGCTGCTGCATGGCCCTTCCAGCTCATGCAGTAGCATATGACCTCAAAAAGGGACACCCCAAGAATTCACCCCTCACTGCCTCTAATGATGCAGCTCACCCCTCAATCTTCCTCTAAAAAGTTACTGTTGCTACACCCATACATGGCCTTAGGTAAGCAATGCCTGGTCAATGGACAATCATCCTGTCCTCTTATTCATGACCTTTGTTAGCTTCTCTTTTCTCCTGTTTGACCCAAACTAATCACAATAGGGAGAATCCTGGGGCTACTCACCAGCCCCTTACCATCTGCAGTTGACTCCCATCTCAAGAGACTTGCCAGAGTGTGTTTGATTTTTGCTGAGAACTCCTCAGCATATTCCATTATGCTAAGGATAAATTAAAGGATAATTCCATTACTATCCCTTTCCACTCCGTTGGGGCCAAGGGCGAGGTTGGCTATTGCCTGGGAGTGGCATGAAAAAGCCTTCTGGGGCATTGGAAGTCTTCTCTCTTCCTCTGGTTGATGGCTACATTGGATGAATATATGTAAACATTCATTGAGCTGTGCACTTAAAATCTGCACTTCATTGTATAACTCAATAAAAATGTTCATATATTTTTAAAATTTAAAACACAAAATAAAAAGGAGGCCCATCCAGTCTTCAGCAGTCTCAAGATACATACAAGTTGGCCATGGCTAGAGCCCATCAGCACTGAAAGGCCCGGGTTCCAGCTGCCTGGTGCCTGGAGCCAGGCCAGAGGACCCAGTGCTGTGGTCTTCCTTCAGGGATGGGGAGGATGTAAGTCCATGGACAGCTACAGCTCTGCCTGCTGTGGACGGCTGGGGTACTGCCTCTGTGTAAAGCATCGCCCAAACTAACTCAGTCCAATGGAGGGGCTCCACACAAATAACTACTGACATATGGGTTATGTTATGGGGTGGGTCTCTCCGCCCCAAGCAGACAGCAGGACAAGGAGAAGCAGCACATTCCAGGCAGGATAAGGGGCACTGCTCCTGATCTCTTGGAAAGGAAACTGAGAGCACAGAGTGAGCAGGTAGCCAGAAAATGAACACTGGGCAGCTGCCTCCTGTGGCTGGCGAGCCAGCTCACCCATACCCACGGTCCTGAGTTTGGACACAGCTGGCTCTTCCCTAGACTGCAGAGAAGCAGGAGTGGCAGGGAGAATTAGAAGTGGCACCATCGGGGGTGGAAAGGACTGGTAAGGAAATTAAGATGTTCCCCCTAAAGGGAAGTCTGTCAATGGAGTGCCTTTCTCGAAACAAGGAGACCAGGAAATTTGACCTCTGTTTTAGATCTCCTCTCACTGGGAAAGGACTCTTGAGCAAGGATGGAATTCTTGCAGGAGAGTTTTATTTATTGCGAGAGAGTTTTGAGTCCCAGCTGGGATTTAGACATTACTTAAAGACTTCTTGGTAATCCTCCAAGTGCCCAAAGATTCTTTCAGGGTAGATCTGCTCAGGAAAGAGGGGGCTGGGACACAGTCCTAATCCAGTAACAAACTCTGGAGAGGGAGGAGCAGTTTAATGACATTGTGATGTTTCAGGCTCAAATTTGTCGCCGGTGCAGTCCCTAGTGAACTCATATTCCAGGTCTCAGGGTGGTGGGTGGGGACTGAGTATAAAAACAACAGTAGCCACAGATGAGAAAAGCCCCCCCTTTTTTTTCACTAGTTTCTCTAAGAAACTAGGGTACACATTGCAGGGTGATATGGTTAAGCTCTGTGTCCCCACCCAAATCTCATTTGGAATTGTAATCCCCATAAACCCCATGTGTTGAGGGAGGGACCTGTTGGGAGCTGACTGGATTACAGGGGCAGTTTCTCCCATGCTGTTCTCGTGATAGCGAGTTAGTTCTCACGAGATATGGTGGTTTCATACATGTCTGACAGTTCCTCCTTCACACACTCTCTCTTTCACCTGCCACCATGTAAGACATGCCTGCTTCCCCTTCTGCCATGATTGTAAATTTCCTGAGACCTCCCCAGCCATGCAGAACTGTGAGTCAATTAAATCTCTTTTCTTAGAACTGTGAGTCAATTAAATCTCTTTTCTTTATAAATTACCCAGTCTTGGGCAGTTCTTTATAGCAGTGTGAAAACAAACTAATACACAGGGCATACATGAATGATTGAGATGCCAAAAGGTGAGGAGAGACTCATTTTTCTTATTTCTGCACTGGGTCCAGAGGGCTAATGCCCCTTAAGCCCCCTCAGGCTCCCCAGATCAGTGGCAGAGATGGCAGTGTCTGCCCAAAAGGCAGCACTCCACAGAGGGGCAGCAGGTGGAGACAGCTCAGCTGAGGACTCTGGGTGCTGTGGGTTCCCTGGCCCCTTCTCTCAGCTGTAAGAGGCAGCATTGACTATGTCAGCCTATGTCAAAGACAGGGGCTGCCCCAAGGGAGGAAGAAAAGAGAGATGATCTCCCTGCTTGGAAGATCACTGGGCTCATTCTTAGCTACTTTTAGGCACTCCCAGGGAGACTCAAAAATTATTTCAATGGACTCAGCAAGAAGCTTAAGTTCTCATTTATTTATTTATTTATTTTTATTATACTTTAAGTTCTAGGGTACATGTGCACAACGTGCAGGTTTGTTACATAGGTATCCATGTGCCATGTTGGTTTGCTGCACCCATCAACTCGTCATTTACATTAGGTATTTCTGCTAATGCTATCCCTCCCCCAGCCCCCCACCCCCGGATAGGCCCCAGTGTGTGATGTTCCCTTCCCTGTGTCCAAGTGTTCTCATTGTTCAATTCCCACCTATGAGTGAGAACATGTGGTGTTTGGTTTTCTGTCTTTGTGACAGTTTGCTGAGAATTATGGTTTCCAGCTTCATCCATGTCCCTGCAAAGGACATGAACTCATCCTTTTTTATGCCTGCATAGTATTCCATGGTGTATATGTGCCACATTTTCTTAATCCAGTCTATCATTGATGGATATTTGGGTTGGTTCCAAGTCTTTGCTATTGTGAATAGTGCCGCAATAAATATACGTCTGCATGTGTCTTTATAGTAGCATGACTTATAATCCTTTGGGTACGTACCCAGTAATAGGATCTCTGAGTCAAATGGTATTTCTAGTTCTAGATCCTTGAGGAATTACCACACTGTCTTCCACAATGGTTAAACTAATTTACACTCCCACCAACAGTGTAAAAGTGTTCCTATTTCTCCACACCCTCTCCAGCATCTGTTGTTTCCTGACTTTTTAATGATCGCCATTCTAACTGGTGTGAGATGGTATCTCATTGAGGTTTTGATTTGCATTTCTCTGATGACCAGTGATGATGAGCATTTTTTCATGTGTCTGTTGGCTGCATAAATGTCTTCTTTTGAGAAGTGTCTGTTCATATCCTTCGCCCACTATTTGATGGGGTTGTTTTTTTCTTGTAAATTTGTTTAAGTTCTTTGTAGATTCTGGATATTAGCCCTTTGTCAGATGGGTAGATTGCAGAAATTTTCTCCCATTCTGTAGGTTGCCTGTTCACTCTGATGGTAGTTTCTTTTGCTGTGCAGAAGCTCTTTAGTTTCATTAGATCCTGTTTGTCTATTTTGGCTTTTGTTGCCATTGCTTTTTGTGTTTTAGTCATGAAGTCCTTTCCCATGCCTATGTCCTGAATGGTATTGCCTAGGTTTTCTTCTAGGGTTTTTATGGTTTTAGGTCTAACATTCAAGTCTTTAATTCATCTTGAATTATTTTTTTTATAAGGTGTAAGGAAGGGATCCAGTTTCAGTTTTCTATATATGGCTAGCCAGTTTTCCCAGCACCATTTATTAAATAGGGAATCCTTTCCCCATTTCTTGTTTTTGTCAGGTTTGTCAAAGATCAGATGGTTGTAGATGTGTGGTGTTATTTCTGAGGCCTCTGTTCTGTTCCATTGGTCTGTATATCTGTTTTGGCATCAGTACCATGTTGTTATGGTTACTATAGCCTTGTAGTATAGTTTGAAGTCAGGTAGCATGATGCCTTCAGGTATGTTCGTTTTGCTTAGGATTGTCTTGGCTACGTGGGCTCTTTTTTGGTTCCATATGAACTTTCAAGTAGTTTTTTCCAATTCTGTGAAGAAAGTCATTAGTAGCTTGATGGGGATGGCATTGAATCTGTAAATTACCTTGGGCAGTATGGCCATTTTCACGATCTTGAGTCTTCCTATCCATGAGCATGGAATGTTCTTCCATTTGTTTGTGTCCTCTTTTATTTCGTTGAGCAGTGGTTTGTAGTTCTCCTTGAAGAGGTCCAAAGCTTAAGTTCTGTAATCCCAGGTGGAACATACAATCTGTTATTAGTGTTCATATGATCCTCTTTTAAACAGAAGGCTAGGGCCTTAATAAACATGGAATACATTTGGGTCAGGGACACTGATTTGAGATTCAAATATGGTAAATTTCACTGAGTGCTGAAGTAGATGTATTCTGAGAATAAATGTTAACAATGGCCATCAGTAGGATGGTAACATCTTGAATGCTATTTTTGCCATCACCACCCCAACTCCCAAAGGACCCAAATCCTGGTGCATGCATGGAAGATTCTTTATAAGGACCCAAATTTACCTTGACAAGTCCTCTAAGGTCTAGAGGGGTGTGCTGGCTCTTTCTCAGGAGGGAGCTATCACAGCCCAGCCAATGACAGCCAAGTGTGATGATGCACATCGGGAGGGCAGCAGGCCTTGAACCTGGCATTTCTGGAAGGAAACCAGTCCCAGCTGGAAAGCGAGTATCTGCAAGGATGTAATAGATGGAGACAAGCATGGTGGGGGGTCTTGAAGTCTCCTGGAAATAACAAGGATGTTATAATAATTGGATGAAGTCCAGAGATGATGGGAAATTCAGGAGCAGCTGAAGCTCAGAAGTCCAGAAGAGGGAGACTGGCATCAGAGTGGTCAGTAGGCAGCAGGCCCCCACCATCACAGAAGGTTCAGGAGTGGGGATCTAGCAACTGTAACAGGGACTTAGGCACATACGACAAGATAGGGACTGGTCCCCAGAGCTCAGGTTGAAGGTGGAGGCTGGGTGTCAGGGATAAGGCACATACAGGATGCACTGACAACCATGGTGATTTGACTCTGGGGATTCACTGGGCTTAGTCTTGGGGGCCAGACGCTGCCTCATGGTGCTCTCAGGGCCTCGGGTTGACCAAGCCTTGGTATATTGCATCTGATATTTACACATAGTGTGGCTGTGTACGTATCTGTACTTGCCTTGCCCTCAACAAATCATATGTGACCAATTCCAGAGGCTCAGAGCCTCTGGCCTGCCCAACCACATCCTGTGTACACCTTGGTAGAGGTTCATCTTGGGCTTTTCTGGTGCAGTCGGCTTTCATTCCTGGCTATAGGCAGTCAACCACTGCTCTATCTTCTTGGCAGAACTGGCTCCTAGCAGCTCTGTCATCCCCCAGAACCCTCCTGCTCCATGCACACGCACTATGCAACACCCCACCCAGTCCTACTTTATTTTATAGTCCTCCAAACTCCAGCCTGACCTTCTGTGGACATCTGCGCATGTGTCTCTAACACTCCTTCCCCATTTATTCTTGTTCCTGAGGTGAGAGGAGCCAGGGATGCTCTGTGGTTTGGGTAGGCATGGCTCAGGCCCTCCCAGCTATAGGAACGGACAGTTAAAATACAAAGCCTATTCGATTTCAACAAGAGAGAAAGAAAAAGACAGATTAAAAAAGCCTGGGCAACATAGTGAGACCCTGTTTCTACCAAAAAAAAAAATTTTTTTATTAGCCTGGCATGGTGACTCATACCTATAGTTGTAGCTACTTGGGAGGCTGAGACAGGAGGATCACTTGACTCAGGAGTCCGAGGCTTCATTGAGCTATGATCGCACCACTGTACTCCAGCCTGGGTGACAGAGCAAGACCCTGTCTCCAAAAAATAAACAATAAATAAATACATACATAAAAAGAGTGCTGAGAATCCGTGGTCCTTATTCATTTGCAATGGAGAGAAATGCCTGGGAGTTACCACTAAAGGGCTTAGGCCAGTTCCAAAGGGAAGCTTACCTGGATCTCTCACAGAAATTTTCATGTTACAGGCTGGGCCACCACGGAGAATAGGCTTCCTTGGAATCTCAGCACCAATTTTTCAGGAGACTGAGATATAGCCTCAGACCCAACAGCTAAGTCTGTGCTATGGCTAGTGTCTGTGTTTATTTTTGATTGATTGATTGATTCTTTTTTTTTTTTCTGGCTAAAATTCTCAAGAAATTTCTCAAGAGATACCCCAGAAAGAAGCCCTTAAAAATGAGCCATCCTGGGAGAGGTGCCAGCTCCTTTGCACCATGCCGGAGTGGGAGGTCCCGGGCTGCATGCAGCCGGGAATGCTGAGAGGGGACAGGGCAGCCAGGGAGGACTCATTTGCTAGACCAGTGAGGCAAGAAACTATTGTTCTAACCCAGAGGGAGAAAGTGGACACACTTTTTCAGATTACAGAGCTGGGTACTGGGACAAAAGGCAGAAGGTAGAAGACTAAAAGGAGCAGCTTCCCACAGGCAGAGGGAGGGCTGGGTCCTAGCACTGGCCTCAGGCCAGGTGAGTCCACATGCCAGACAGCCCTCCTGGAGGTTCAGAGCCCAGGAGTCTCACCGCAGATGAAGAGTCCCATAAAGGACAGAAGTTGGATTTCAAAACAAGAATTGGAGTCAATTGCCAGGGCAGTACCTTTAAAAAGAAAGAGAAGGATTTTTATTTTTAAAAAATAGCACTTTAAGACCCCCAAATAGAGTGGCTATATTATGAGTTGCAACTAACACAGTTGTAGTGCTCAGGACAGCTCTTCTAGCAAAAGACTGGGACTAAAATGAAAGATCCTACTACCGCCTGCCCCTGCAATCATTGGCCTCATCTCTCCTTTTTCTATTTCTTTAAGTGATCCTTAATCATCCTTCTGAACCCCAGCCCCTCAGGTTCTCCCTGTTTTCCTGCTGGATCCTCCTGTTATGAATAACCCCTGTTCATTGGGTTAACTTATATTAAGATGTAAGTGACTGGCAGCAGCCTAATGGGAAGTGCTTACTGACTATCTGGACTAGAAAGCAGCTCTTTAAGTCTTGTCTAGTGGTTTTCCAAGGTGGTTACTACTGATCCGCCACCACATTCCTAGCAGGAGTGCCAGCCACTGAGATGTTCCTTTTCCAGAGTGGTCTATAACTATTAGAGTTTTGCCTTCCAACCTCTGGGCAGCTTGCAGAAGAGGAAAATGGGGATCCCAGAGCAATGGGACTCTAATGATAAGATGCTGGGCTCTGTGTTGCTTGGGCAGGGGGTGATGAGGCTTTGGGTCAAGCGAGGATATCTACCCACTGTCAAATCCCACTGATGAGATGACTGAACTTAGCCTCCTGATAAAGACTAAGTTAACTCAGCTCGCCATTCTCAGCAAGTCCCGCTGTCAGGAAATCATCTCCACAACCAGAGGGGGAATACATCCTAGGCCCCATTATTTTTATATCCAGTAACAAATAAATAGAACAAACCCAACAACTGTTATTAGAATTTGTCAATGACCGAAAATTCATACTGTGCCTTTTGACTCACCCATGGTCTTGGGTTTCTAGTTAAGTTGCTAACACACCTTCTTTTTGCTGCTGGGCAAAGTAGGTGGGGTCATCTCTGCACATGTTCTTAATGGGCTTTCCATACTGTGCTAAGTTCTTGACCCAGCTGGGTAAAACAGTGTAAGTCAGGCCGCGAGTAGACGGGTAATACTTAAAAGCCTGGAAGGGGTGGCACATCAAAATGATGAGACAGCATTTGGGGGTGGCACAGGAAGCAGGACAAAAAGGATCTGAGACCCTGGCCCATGAGTAAGTGGAGGCAGTGCATGGGGTGATAAAATTGACCAGAATAGCTCCGAACCCAAACAGGCTCTTGGAGTCTCTAACAGCAATATCCTGTCTGGCCACAAGGTGATGACATTACTCCAGAAAAATCTGCCTGTGCGTTCAGGTGACTTTTCCTGTCCGTTCCTTTCAACCTTTTAAACTTAATAATTCATTCGGTCTTCGATGCTTTCTCATCTCTAATGAAAATATAGAATGCTTTAAATTTTTTTGTTGCATTATATTATGTTTTTGCTTGTTAAATCAGATGGGATACTTTCAGCTTTTCTCTTTAAAAAATTGGTAAGTTACCTTATTTTTATGTGACCTGAAGTGTATCTTTTTCTCCCCCCTGAGAGTCAGCAACTCCTGCCATGAATATCAGTGTCGGCCAAATGTGCTGTGCAGGCTACTTAAGCAAATGACAGCAGATTTCAATGACTTGCCCAGGACCACTCGCTGGTTTTTAACTTACTGGACTACTTTTGTCATTTAAGAAGCTGAGGGGAAGAGAGCTTCAGCAGTCCTGGGCTTATTTTCAACTGAAGAGAATATGTGTGGATATGTTTAGGGGTTAGGTAGAGGAGAAAGAAGGTAGGGGAATGTGAATATTCTATTACTTCACTCTAATATTTACATTCAACAATTTATATTCACTAACATGTAGCTCAAACCCTTCTGGAATTCATCAAAATGAGATCACTGTATAGAACTTTTATTTGATTAAATTATGACTTGACTTGAATGAGCCATCAACAGCACCTGGAGTCCTTGGTATGATGGTGGAATTTCATGGGCATGAAGAACAAGCGTGACCCAAGTCTCTCTGTGTGCACAGCCTTGTCCTAGGAGGTTGGATGCAGAGGTGGAAAACACCAAACTAAAAGGAAACCACAGTGAACTGGCTTCACTTACCTGCTTGTCCAGGGCCTTGCTAATGTCATCCAAACTTGGGAAGACTGCCTTGTCCATCCTGGCCAGGACACAGGCCATCTTGTTAAATACCTTAGCCACCAAAAGGGCCTTAAAGCAACACAGCAGAAACACGTCATTCATGCAGTCACAATATTAATGGACACCCACTCTCTATCAGTGTGGCACAGCTGCTCTTCTGACTGATGTACAGCATCCAGCAGAGTGCCACTCTGGGCACCAAAAAAAGGCCAGCATCAGGACTGGTAACACGTTCAGAGCCCTGATGCTCCCGGGGCTTTTGGCACTGTCCCCTGATGTGGGTGAGGAAAGGAATCTCTCAGGGCATTCTGCACACAATGAATGGACAGGTGGGATGGGAGGGATAGGGGGTTGGATCTAATAATAAGGCTGATTGCAGGTCCTGTTCTGCCACTTAGCAACCATCATGGTCCTCAGTGGGCTCCACGATCCTCTGTTTTTTCATCTGAAAGCAGAAATAATAATAGCCCCTCTCCCACAGGGTTGCTGTGAAGATGAGAAGAGAAATTAACTGCTTGTGAGAGCTTGTGAGGGCACTGTGAAAATTATGGAGTGCTCTCTGAATGTACAAGGTTGTCAGGAACCTTGGGCCAGGCCCTCTAGACTCAGATTCTAGCCCTAGGTCTGCCACTGACCATCCCCCTCCATGAGTCCCTGGGCCTGTCTTCTGGCCTCTCACAGCCTGGAGTAGAGCAGCAGTTCTTCAGCTGTGTCTGACTGTGCCTAAGGTTCGCCTGCATCTCCCTCCTCCAGCCAGAGTAGTTCTGGCTTCTTCTGTTCCACGTCATAGACTACCGTGGAATATTTTTGTTTGAAGAAAAGTCTCCATGGCATAGAGCAGAGTTGAAAATCACTAGCCTGTGTAGACTGTGTGCCCTCTAGCAGGATTCAGGGGACATTTCCTTGAGGAAATCAGGAGTGGGTTAGGTGACTAGCGAGGAACATGGTCAGGGAAGGGAGCACAGAAGATACAGACTGGAGCAGAGAGAAAGCCTGTGCCTGAGGTGCCCATCCTGAAGTGTCCGGAGTGGCTGGAGGGAATGTCATGGATGTGGGTGGGAGTGGGGCCAGATGGAAGACGGTGGGGCCAGATGGGACAGGGCCTTGCAGGACAGAATAAGAAGTGTGGGCTTCTGCTTCACTTAACCCTTCAGAGTCCTGCCAGGTAGGAATGGTAGCTATTGATGCTATTTTGCAGAGGAGGAAACTGAGGCACACAGAGGCCGAGTGATGTCCCTGTGGTTATAGTGCTTTTCTATCAGACAGCCAGGCCAAGCACACAGGTGGAGCCTTCTCAATATTGTGTCTTTCTGCTAGGTCTTACCATTGAAAGTGATGGGCAAGTTGCAGTCAGATTTCTAAAAATGAAAATACAACATTCTTCTTCTTTGGAAATTAACATTAAAATCAGAAGTCAAGACAAAATAACTTCTACAGCACATACCAGTTACAAGACATGGGGGCTTCTGAGATCAGAGGCCTTCGGTGGCCGTGTGAAGTCAACACCTCACAGGAACATAGGGGATGTAGGATCCCTATAGACCAGCTGGAATTCCCCCTATATTTTTTGGCTCAAAAAGAAGTCACTGCAACTGCAGGGAAGCTGTTCCCTTACCTAATGATGTGCATGCCCATCAAGGACCTAAACCTAGAGAAGGCGAATGTCCTCTTTCTCTGGAAAAGCATAAGGCTACATTTTGGACCAGACGTGGCTTTCTTTCACATTGTAATGAATGTGTTTCTCATCTTATATTCTTGTAGTCCAGGATTCCGTCCTATTCACTGAAAATATTGTTGTCTCGGATGCTGACCATACCTTGGAAGGCACCAATATGGATAATTTGAGTCCCAAAAGATCCATACAAAGGATGGTTGAAACGGATGTTCTGGAGAAAACCAAGCAACAGTGAGAAAAGTTGAAAGTTCAGAGTTCCTACTTTGCCCATGCCTTGTAGGTTTTACGGGTACCCACAGGAAATTTGAGGAGGTTGCCCTTAATTATCACCTTTTAAAATGCTTCTGCTAAAGGAGGACTAGACAGGTTGAACTCTTTCCATCCTTACTCACCATCATGGCCAGGGATGGGGTTAGGACGAAGACCCCAAGGATGGAAGATGCAACCTGAAATGAAAACAAATATCAGGGCATTTTTGCCTTAGCTTCAGGTGAGCTCAGAGTCCAGAGCCCCAAGCCCTGCTGGGGCTGGAGCCTTCTTTTAATGATCTCTAACTCCCATCCTCTTTCATGGCATGGGGGACCCAGTGTATCAGGAGACTGTCACGCAGTATGGTTGATATGCTGGCTACTCAGGAGACAAAGCTTTATATAGTTCAGTCAAGGATACCTTTTGCTTCACTCTGCATGTATTGCTAATCACTGGGCTAAATATTAGGCAACCTGACCAACCACTTGATGCGCACATGGGGAAGGACCATCTCAGGCCAAATTGTAAAATAAGTGATGATAACTCAGGTTCTCAGTCTTGTTTTTCTGCACCTTCCTCTCTCTTTCCAAGCATTTGAGACTCCCTCTCTGCCCTCTCTGGAAACTGATATCCTCCTGATTTCCTTTCCTCTAGATTCTCCACTTTGCCTGAGAATAAAAGACCGTGAACCACTTATTTGCACTTTATTTTGAAATAGATTGTGCTAATTAAATGTGACTAATTATTGAAATATTTGCAGTTAATCATTTCTTCTCAGTGTGGCCTACTTGCTTGTTGAGGGAATTTTAAGCATCAGAGAGTAAGTCAGAGAGAATTGGTGGGAGCAGAAACAGGACAAGGTGAGAAAGTGCACAATGAATGTTTCCCCACATTCCATACCTCATTCTCATCTGGTCTACTGAAGGCTCAGGAACTCGCCTTCTCCCCCACCCCGCAATATCCCACATGCAACGAAAGCAAACAAAGGCAAGATACATATACAAAAGAAAAGAAAACAGCTACTCTATGAATAATCATCATGATGCTGTAAGGCTAATAGAGGAAATATATGAGCTGCAAATAGCAACACTATTTTATGAAACTATTAGGGTTGGTATATATTAAATATATTTGAAACTTTCCTTCACTGGAAATTTGTAAATAAGACAAGTCTAGGAAGAGAGGACCCTAAAATATGAATATCTATGTAACCCCCAAGGATTCTGGACCTTTAAGAACTTAGTTATTACTTCCTTTGGGAGAGACTCTTTGTTCAGATGTTCCAAAACAGAGAGGCTATGTTTTTTCAAATTAATATTTGAAAATTCTAAATTCCCCTTGAGTTTAATTTGAAGAGTCCATGGGGAAAAAAGAACTTCTCCCTGGCTATTTTGGCTCTGAGAACATAATCACCTACATTTGAAATTAGAAAATATACTTACAAGGTGTTTCATGGTGTCTCATACCCCACACAACAGCATGCATAGAAGAATTTTCTATGTCCCATTTATTTTCTAAATCTGTTTTATATAGTCCTATGCCTTTCAACTATTGCCATGATAAGGCGTTCTGGGTAGTTTCCTATGATCCGGATACCATTCAGGGAGGAAAAAACGCAAGTTTATGTAATCACAGTTATTGCTTTTCTTTAACTACATCTGAGTATTTCTCTTTACCCTGATACCAAGGTAAACATTGGTTCCAAGATAAACATGGCATATGAGCAAATCTTTGTGGGCTGGTATGCCCATGACCTTAGCAACTAAGGTGAACATTGCAAACATTGATCTCACAAAATGGTTCTGATATAAAAATCAATGAGCTCACTGTTTCTACTTCTCAATTCCCTAAAAGTGTTTTTACTAACAGTGTGAGTGATTGAGACAAACCTCATGAAACCAAAAGAGACAGGCTGAACTACACAATTAGACTGATTGAAAAGCAATCTGGTCCCGCTCTTCATCCAAACCAAAAATCATGTGGTTGTCCCTGCGCTGCCCTCTGTCTACCCACCAAGCTGACCTCATTTCACTTCTTCAAACATCCACCCTGGTGGACTTTCCTGATGTCCTGATATTTTGCTCCTGCTACATGGCTTGTTTCTCTCCTCTGACCTTTCATTTCAGGGCACGTTTTTCCATAAAGAATATTTTGACTAGCCCTGGAAGTCCTGAGACATAGGAAAATATTGCCTTTATATAATAAGTCAAGCATGAATTTAGGCCTTTTCATACATTATCTTTTTTTTTTTTCCTCAAGCTCTGACTAGCGGTGGCCCAGCTACCTGGATCAAATTCCAGAAGGCCAGAACCAAACAGACACTTCTTCTGAGAACATGTGCTCTGTATGGGCAAGCCTGGGCACTGGAATGACCCAAGGAGGAAAGACAGACAGCTCAGTCCTTACAGTGCCTAATAAAAATTGGCCACAGGAACATCAAGCAGTTGCATTTAGGGGGCTATAGGTCACCCAGGGCTCAGATAATATCATACTCATATCTCTATTGCTCTCAGTACTTCAAAAACACCATGCACAGACCACAAACTCAATAGTTATTGAATTATTAAAGAAGTTATTAAAGAAGTTGGAATCATCACAGTTCCTTGCCTGTACCTTACTTTGGCTATTTATATTTTTTGTTGTGTTATATCTATTTGTACAGTTGTCTGATCAGGACATTAAATTGGATATTTATGTCACTTAATTATCAACTTTGTGAGGTTAGAGACTTTGTTTTGTTCTCTGCTGTAGTTCTAGTGTCTAATATTTAAAATAGTACCTGACACAGAGTAGATTGTTTTGTTTTGTTTTTTGAGATGGAGTCTCACCCTGTTGCCCAGGCTGGAGTGCAATGGCGTGATCTCGGCTCACTGCAACCTCCGCCTCCCGGGTTCAAGCGATTCTCCTGCCTCAGCCTCCCGAGTAGCTGGGATTACAGGGTTGTGCCACCATGCCTGGCTAATTTTGTATTTTTAGCAGAGACAGGGTTTCACCATGTTGGCCAGGCTGGTCTTGAACTCCTGACCTCAGGTGATCCGCCCGCCTCAGCCTCCCAAAGTGCTGGGATTACAGGCGTGAGCCACTGTGCCTGGCCCATATACTTGTATTTTTCCCCTAATCTCTAAGCAAATAAAAAATATAAGTCAGTAACCCAATCACATCATTATGGCCCACATACAAACTCTCCTTCTCATATTGTTGCTTGGTTTGGTTGTTTTTCATTAGCTCTTTCCATTCAGTCAGATACACATGAGGACGCCTGGCCTTCTTCATGCATGTGCCACTTGTTTTCCATCTCTATATTCAATTATGATTATATTCATCTGTTTTCTATGGCTGTTTTCAACCTCCTCCCTCTTCTACCCTGCGGATCTTCTCCTCTCACCTTCTTCACCTCCTGCATTTTTATATACATCCAGGAACCCAGGACTCCTGCCTTCCAGGACACCAACTGCCCTGATCCCGCTGTGCTCCTGTTAGCTCTTCTCCTTCTGGCTCAGTTTCCCTGGATGTTTCTGTGCCTTTTCTTTTGTCCTTAATATTTTCTCTAAAGCAGGAACCTCTGAGTAGGCACAGTATGTTAGCACACGTTATCTTGCAGCATCTTGTATCTATCCTGAGCTACTTATTTTTTTCTCTATGTGCACCCAACCTCAATGGCTTGATCTACCCCACTTCTTTCTGAAGTTCATTCCAGGTAAATTGGCAGCTCGGGTTCCCAGTCCACCCCATCTTGTTAGGTAGTTGACATAGTCTTTTACAAAGCTGAATTCTCTTATTTCTAATTTTTTTATTCAATTGAAAACTCCAAACAGCCTGATCATTTTTTTCTCTCTCCAAATGAAAAGTGGCCAGCCGTTGGCCCCCTTGCTTCCATGAAGGCATCCAAATAGTGTTATAGTGTTACGCCCAAGTCAAGACTTTGGTAACATTTCAGTGATCTGCCTAACTTTCAGGAATGTGCTTATCAGCAATCTGATTGGGGCAGGATCTTGGAAGCTCTGACTCATGAGATGACACAACTGCGCCTATTGTCTTATTGGAGTACCTTCTGGGCGCTGACGGTTGTAACCTTGGCAAAACTGCCATTTCAGAGAAGGGACGGAAGTGGCCCTGGGCTTGGGCAGTAGGACATGCCTAGGAACTGTTGAGGAAGCTATGTGCTAGCATGTAATAACCCGTGAAAGAAAACTGGGAGACAGGAAGAGGGGGCAAGACCCCCTTCCTTAGTTCCCTTACAACATCCCCAATATGCTATTATGAGTTAGATGTCTTGTTATCAGAGATCAATACTCCCATTACTTAGGAGAGTCTTGTCTCAAAGAAACTTTGGGTTTCCAGGAAATTGTTGCAAGATATAGGTTCTCATTATAACGCATGTGCATGAAGCAACTTCTGCACATACTCAGTCATGATCTACTCATTCCCCCAACAGATAATATTCACAGGCAATGTTTGCCTTGCTTTCTATCATGTGTTCCTAAGGCTGCCTCCTGTACTCCACTTTTGGTGGTCAAATTTAGGCTGAGTGGATGATGCATTAATTCATTATTATCTCTTATGTAAGGGAGAATGGGGAGTGATCACTAGCTTTCCGGATGATGTCCAAGGATACTTGCTTCCAGGAATTCATATCCTTGTATAGGTCCCACTCACTCTGAATAGAGTTGACCTGTGCAACCAATGGGATATTGTGGAAATAAAGGTATGGAACTTTCTAGGTTAGTTCATAAAAGACATTATGACTTCTGCCTTGTACACTCATGGATCATTCACTCTGGAGGAACCAGTTGCCATGTTTTAAGATGCTCAAGTAGGCTCATGGAGAGGTCTATGTAGCAAGAAACTGAGGCCTTCTGATAAGAGCAATGTGAGGAGCCATCTTGGAAGCAGATCTGCCAGCCCCAGTCAAGCCTTCAGAGGACTGCAGCCCTGGGCAACATCTTGACTAAAACCCAATGAGCTACTCTAGTGAGAACCACCCAGCTAAGCCTTCCTGGATTCCTGACTCTCAAACTGTGTAATGTAATACATGTTAATTGTGTTCATGTTTTGGATAATTTATTATGCCATAAGAGAGGTAATTTTTTAAAAATTGAGGTTAAATTCATATAAAATGAAATTAACTATTTTGAAGTGACAATTCATTGGCGTTTAGCACAGCCAAAAAGTTGTGCAACCATCATGTCTGTCTAGCTCTGGAACATTTTCATCACCCTGAAAGGAAACTTGATAACCATTGAGGAGTTACTTTCATTCTCCCTTCCCTCAGACTTTGGCATGCACCAATCTGCTTTCTGTCTGCATGGATTTACCTATTCTGTATATTTTATACAAGTGAAATCATACAATATATATCCTTTTGTGTCTGGAATTTTTTACTTAACATAGTGTGTTTTCAAGGTTCATTCACATGACAATATCAGTACTTCATTCCATTTTATCGCTGAACACTATTGCTTTGTATGCATGAGTCATAGTTTGTTTACCCATCGATCTGTTGATGAACATTTGGGTTGCTTCTACTTTTTGGCTATTGTGAATAGTGCTGCTATGGACATGTGTGTACATGTATGTGTTTGGGTTCTTGCTTTCAATTCTTTTGGGTATACACACACCCAGGAGAGTGGAATTTCTGGGTCCTATGGTAATTTTATGTTTAGCTTTTTGAGGACCCATCAAGCCATCCTCATCAACACTTACTTTTTTCATTATATCCATCCCAGTGGGGGTAAGATGGTACCCCATTGTGGTTTTGATTTGCATTTTCCTAATGAAGGAATAAGTTATTTAAAACTTATTCCAAATTTATGCTATCAAGACATAAGTTTGGTCCATAGGAGAAATAATATATTGAAGTGTCCCAGTCATTAACTCATTAATTAACTCACTTCTTGAACAAACATTCCTTGAGCATCTTCTACAGAATAGGTCCTAGGGGTTGTGGAGTTCTCAAAGTTGAATAAAACAAAAAGTCTTTTCCCCTAAAGAGCCTTCTGTCAACTAGGGGAGATGAGATGTTTATCATAGCAGAGATTTGTCATCTATTTCAACTGTAAGCAGTTTTGAAAGGGACATGGGGAAGCATTAGAGGACTTAACTTCACATTAAGGAAAGCAGATTTAAGACTTGTCTGGGATCCAGAAGCCAAGTTTCTGAGAGTTGGTGAACCAACATTGCCAAATTCATGATTTTGTCCAGGGCTAAACCCTCCCAGGCTGAATAAGTGAGCACTTGCTGTGGTTCCCACCCAGTCCTCTTTGCCTGTCAGCATATTTGGGCTCCCCGTGGCTGGCCTGGCTTTCTCCCTCCTGGAGGACAGCCCAGTTGGCAATACACCTGCTTTGCTTGTATTCTAAGTTTAGGATTGGGGGAGTTGGTAGGAGAGAGGATTGGGGTGGGTTTTTGTTTTTTTTTTTTTGGCCTTTCAACTCTTAATTTGAAACCCTGAGCCTGGACTTTGAGCCAGGCTTCATTCATTTTGCCCTGGCATCAATAACAGTCTTTGCCTGTGCCAAGAATGACCCCTGCCTGTTCTGGTGCTGCCACATTTCTTTCCATTCCTTCAGCTGAGACAGATTGGGAAGTGTAGCATCTTCTCAGACTCAAATTGAACTTGGCATTTTACTAGATTATACTGATCACCACCAGGCCTTCATTTGCTCTCTCTTTCTTCTGGCTAGAGTCTACAGGTCCTACACAGCCTACCCTATATCTTTTATGATATTATCTTCTTTTGTTTGCTGGGTTTGCTTTTTTGCCTTTCCAATGGATTCAATTCATTTCATTTTAACAAATATATCAAAGTATCTACAATATGCCAGACACTATAATAGTATTGAGGAGACAGAAATGAACACGTTAGACATGGTCCCTGACCTGATACTGCTGACAGTCTATTAAGGAGTATGGTATCCATTCATTCAATTGATCATTTACCCAACAAATGTTTATTGATTTCTTACTGTGAGCTAGGTGAATTCTAGGTGTTAGGAATACAATGGTGAGCTACATAGATTTGATCTTTCATGTCAAGGAATTCTTAGTTGGTGGAGGAGATAAGAACTTAGTACATAAACATGTCTGTTATCTACCCCTGCTCCCTGCCTTCACTTCCTTCCATATGCAGCTTAAATTCTGTGGCCAATTACCTTCCTGTGTTATAATCACTCTCTTGAATATACCCTCCACTCCCTTGCCCCATTCTTGCTTCAGTGAACTCTTTTTTTTTTTTTTTTTTTTCTTGAGACGGAGTCTCTCTCTGTCGCCCACGCTGGAGGTGCAGTGGCACAATCTCGGCTCACTGCAAGCTCTGCCTCCCGGGTTGACGCCATTCTCCTGCCTCAGCCTCCTGAGTAGTTGGGACTACAGGTGCCTGCCACCACGTCTGGCTAATTTTTTTGTATTTTTAGTAGAGACGGGGTTTCTCTGTGTTAGCCAGGATGGTCTCGATCTCCTGACCTCATGATCTGTCCGCCTCGGCCTAACTCTCTTAATTAAACCACGTCATTGCCTACTTGGTGGCTATGCTGAGTGGTCTGACTTTAAATTCACATTCACTTACCCCTAGGGTGGCCTTCAAACTCACAGGAAATTGTACTGTATTTTTCAAGTCCAATCACACTGTTATTCTGCCAGACAACTATTGCAAGTCTTTATCTCTCCCCAAACTTCCAATATCTCTCCCCCATCCTCATTCACACAAGATGACAGTCTTGTGTGGCTTGTGGTATTTAGCTTGATCCCTGACTTTTCAACATATTCCTTGTATTGCAGGGGGCACAAGTCTCAAAAATCTATTATCCAAACTGTTGTCAGCTGCTTTCCAGTTAGCATCTGCCAAGGAGACCCTGACACAGATTAGAAAGCAGGAGGAGGGGAGAAATCGTTCTTATTCTGGATTTGACAATGGCAGCTGCCTGTAGGCAACTGCAGGTTCCAGCCACACCAGCATTTCCAGCACCTACAGAGGAGGTAGCTCCTGCTCAGCCTGCAAGTCACAGGCCCCCTTAGAGGTCCCCTCTCTCCCATTGTCTTCTTCAGTCCTTCCAGCCTTTTGCACCCAATTCCTCCCATTAAAATTCTCTCTGCTTGAGAATGTTTCATGTTTTCCAAATTGGTCACTGATTGATAAAACTTGTTCCTTATTTCATTGAGAATATGGAAGCTATCTGAAAAAACTTCCATATCCTCCCACCACCATGTCTACCCACCTTCCAGCATCTGTGTGTATAAACTCTAGCTTCTCTCCTATTTCTTAGGACTGGCTGTCTGAGTTCCTAGCCCTAGTTTCCACCTCTGCTTTGATCCCAGACCTTATTCCTTCTGGCTCGCTCATGCATTTCTATCACCATCAATTTCTCTTCCCTGCATTGCCTATTTTTTGCTTCTTTTCCAGATCATTCCTGTGAGCAAAAATATATGCATTTTGCCTCCCACATTCAAACAAAATAAAATGACAATAATGATAGAAATAAAACAGAAAAAAATTCCTCTCCTTTCTGCACTTCCCACCCTAAGTACTACCCTCTTTTCTGTTCTTCCATTAGCAGCAGAATCCCTTGAAAGAGTGGTTCATACTATCTCCTCCTGGTTTCCCTTGAACCTACTCCAATCAGGCTTAAGCTCAAACAGTCCACTGAAACTGCCCTAAATACATCTAATGACCTCTGCAATAATAAATGCATGGTCCACTCTCAGCCCCACTCTTCCTTGACCAACGAGCAGTCTTTGACACAGCTGAGTCCCCTCCAACCCCTCAATGGGCCTCCGGAACACCACACGTGTGTGGCTTTGCTCTATCCTTCTGACCACTCCTTCTGCTTTGCATCTTCCCAACCCCAAATGAAGGAGTGTCCTCAACCTTAGCTCCTGGGCCTTTCCTCTCTTCTGTCTCTATTTAGCTCATTTCGTGATTGCATTCAGCGTCATGGTTTTAAATATAATCTCTACTCTGACAACTTCCAAATTTACATTTCCAGCCCAGGTCTCTTTCTTGAGCTCTAGGCTCATATGTCTAACTTTCTCCTTGATGTCTAATGATCTAAAAATCAGCCTGTTCAAAAGTGATCTCCAATTGTTCCACCCCCCACAAACCTGCTGCCTCACAGTCTTTCTTATCTCAGGGAATGGAAGCACTATGATATTGGAACCATCTCCACTCTGTTTCCCACCTGATAGGGTTTGACTGTGTCCCCACCCAAATCTCACCTTGAACGGTAATAAGGGTGGGGCCAGGTGGAGATCATTGAATCCTGGGGGTGGTTTACCCCATACTTTTCTTGTGGTAGTGAATAAGTTTCACGAGGCCTGGTGGTCTTATAAATGGGAGTTCCCCCGCACAAGCCCTCTTGCCTGCCACCACGTAAGGCATTCCTTTGCTCTTTCTTCTTCTTCTTCAGCCATGATTGTGAGGCCTTCCCAGCCATGTGGAACTGTGAGTCAGTTAAACCTCTTTCCTTTATAAATTACCCAGTCTCGGGTATGTCTTTATTAGCAGTGTGAGAACAGACTAATACACCACCCATATCCGTGGTATCAGGAGATCTCCCCAGCCCTACCTTCAAAATATATACAGGATTAAATAACTTCTCATCAACTTTACTGCTTCTACCCTTGTTTAATCCACCCCCATCTCTTACCCAGAATATTTTGAAAGTCCCTTAACAGGTGTTTGCCAGCGTGCCCGTTTTAAACAGTAAGGCAGATCATGTCACTCCCTGATTTAAACCCAGCTTAGCTTCCCATCTCACTCAGCATAAAAGCCACATGAGCCACATGGTCCCACACCCACAGAGGCAGGCCTCCACTTCCTCTGCCTTCACCCCCTGCTACTTCTCTTCTGCACCCTCAGCTCCTGTCATTCTGGCTTCTTTGCTGTTCTTTACCTGGGACTTTTGCATGTTCTGTTCCATCCATCTAGAATATTTCCCCTCAGGAATTCTTTTCCTTGTTCTCTACTTTTTTTTAGGTCTTTATAAAAATGTAACCTCAATTAGGCCTCTCCTGGTGGCCCTATCGAAAATTGCAAATGTCATCCTTAACCCTGACATCTCTATCCCTGTTCCCTGCTTTGTTTTTCTCTCGCACACCGAATGTAACCTAACATACTATGTGGTTTACCTATGGATTCCTTTGCTTATACTCTTGCCTTTCACTGGGATGTAAGCTCACGAAGATAGGGACTTTGTCTACTCGGCTTCCGGCTGTAGCCCCAGCCCATAACACCATGCAGAGCACCTAGGAGAAATTCAATAATTGTGAATGAAGGAGCAAATAATTAAAAGGTGCCTCAAGCAAAAGAAGAGTGTCATGAGAGAGAATAGCAGTCAGGACCCACTTTAGATATGGTGGGTGTGGGGGAGGTAGGAGGAGCCAGGACTCTGGCAAGTGGCTTTTAGGATAAGACCTTAGGAGTGTGGGTTGGGGAATACAAAGTAGTTTGATCCATTGCTTTAGTTTGCTGGGCAATGAGAGGTTTCCCAGGATGTGGGACTTTCAACGCTAAAAGGAAAGTGCCAGGCAAACCAGGATGAATTGGTGACTTTAGCAGAAGGGGAAGAGAATGTCCCTGGTGGAGGGTGGGACAAGTTCAAGTACTCTGCTGGAAAAGCTTCAGGGGCCAGGCTAGGCAGAGCCCTGTAGGGTGCGGCAGCAGTGTTTTCTATCACCTGTGCAGTGGGAGGTCACCAGAGGGTTTTTGTAGAAACCTTTCTAGCTCTCATGTGGAGAATGGGTTGGAGCCCAGTAAGAGGGAAGCATGGGGACCAGTTTTCTCCAGGGGAGGAAGGTTGTTAAATGTGGTTTGGGTTCTGTGAGGACCTAGTCAGATTCACCCTAGGGGGTTGGGGGGGTGAGGTTGAGTTATTGCTTCCTCATCTCTGAGTGCTGGGAAGAGTGGGCAGACTCTGAATCTACCTTTTATAATTTTGTTTAATACCAGCACTTACTGCAAATTGCAAAGTAGGTGAGATTGGAGTGGTTTTTTGATAAAGAGAGAGCTTGTCAAGGGGAATTTCGGAGCCATTTTCCACATCAACTCAATAGAGGTGTTAATCCTCAATCTGGATAACAGAATAATTCAACTACTGACTTTGGCTTTAAACTCCACTGCAGATTAACCAACTGTCAAGGACCTCAGCTGCCAGCAGACAGGCCTCGATGATGAAGAATGTCAGACACCCACGGCAGGCACCGTGTGGACACTCCAGGCCTGACCCCTCCCCGTGGAAGGCACAGGGGCAGTGCTGGTGAACTTCTGGATGGCCCTGGGTAGTTGATTGCTGGCTGCCACCATCCCCCAACAGGGCAGGAAGAAACCTGTTTTGTGCCAGATGACAAGGTGAGATTTCCTGGCTCTGACTCTTTAAGACAAAAATTGTGATTTAGAAAGAGACTGGCCTGCAGAGGAGCATCATCAAAACAGTTTTGTTTTTCTAAAAATAAATTTTAAACAGAATGGCAAAATTATTAAGCATCTTGAAAATTGAGTTGACTTTAGCGCTCTCACATGCTATGATTATTTTTGCATAATCTCTCCTGTTATTTTCCTATGCAAATTTATCTATTAACATAGTTTCTATAAGTGAAAGTGTGTCCTTATTTCTTTTATTATGTATTTCTATTACTCATTCACATTCTGATAGAAAATAGGTTACTTTTTCTAATTACACACATAACTTTGCAGAAAACATCTTTGTGTGAAAACAATAGTATTGTTTTGAATTATTTCCTTAAGATAAACTCTTAGAAGTAAATCTAAGTCAAACTTTTTAAACAATAGAATACATGTATATCATCACTGCTACATTGCTTTCTAAAGTATTAAATTTAACTTCTCATAGTATATGAGTATATAAATTTTGTAGTAACAACAATTTCTTTTATTTTTCAGTTTTGTAATTTAGTAGTTATGACATCACATCTCATCTTTGTTTCAATTTTATTTCCTTGATTACTGATGAGATCAAATATTTTTTCATAAAATCCCTGTCTTCTGTTCTTTATTTCTTCCTTTCCTATCAAGTACAATTTGCAATTCTTCTATGAGTCTCCTTTGCTTTCCAGTGGGTATACCAGGAGTGTTACCTAGTAGGGTTATTGAAAGCATTGGTTACTCAGAACAATGCTGGTGAGTAGTCATGGGCTTGATTTGGGATGTTATCAACTGCCTAGCTTTGAATGCTGGCTCTGACATTTGAATGCTAATGAGACATAGAAAGGTCATTTTGCAAGAGCAAGTGGGATTGGAGATATCACTGTGGCTGCCTTTGGAAAATGCCACCTGTCACATTAATCATTTTCTTTTTTCTTTTCTTCTTAAAAATAGAGACGCAGTCTCACTATGTTGCTCACCCTGATCTCAAATTCCTGGGGTCAAACAATCCTCCCACCTTGGCCTCCCAAAGTGCTGAGATTACAGGTGTGAGCCACCACACCAGGCCTATAACTGCAGCTTTCCAATATTATTATTCTCTCCCTCTTTCTTATTTTTCAAATTTGTCTTGTTTATTCTTGCTCATTTATTTTTCCATATGAATTTTAGAACCATCTTATCAAGGTCTTTTGACTGGCAATGCATTGACTTATTAACTAAATTGGGGGATAACCAACAAATCATTTTCTATTTGTAATTTTGCCAAGTCTTTTCTTTCTCTTTGTTTCTGCTTACTATCCCTGTAGCATGCCATTCACAAAGTGGCCACAAGGTGGGTGTAGGAGCAAGGAAGGTGACCCTCAGGCCCTTTTTGGTGTTTCTTGAGACCTGGTACGAGGTACAAGGGAAAGAGTGAGTTTGCTAGACAGAATGAGGCTGCAATTCTCTACATATAATATCTTGCACTTATTTGGCCTAGCTTACAAACATTTCATTTTCATTATTTTCTTTGGATAAATGAAGAGCGATCTTTCCCCATTTTATTTATTTTTATTTATTTATTTATTTATTTTTGAGATGGAGTCTTGCTCTGTCACCCAGGCTGGAGTGCAGTGGTGAAATCTTAGCTCACTGCAACCTCTGCCTTCTGGGTTCAAGCAATTCTCCCCACTCAGCCTCCCAAGTAGCTGGGATTACAGGGGCTCACAACCATGCCCGGCTAATTTTTGTATTTTTAAATAGAGACAGGGTTTCACCATGTTGGCCAGGCTGGTCTCAAAAATCCTGACCTCAGGTGATCCACCCATCTCGGCCTCCCAAAGTGTTGGGATTACAGGCATGAGCCACCGCACCTGGCCTCTCTCCCCATTTTATAGATGACAAAGTGAAGCCCTTGGAAGTGGGACGACTTCTCTACAAGGAGGACACAGAGCCCATGTCCTCTTGTATCAAGGTTACTCTTTTCTACGCTATCCAAAAGGAATAAAAAACAAGTGGAAATGAAATCCAAAGCAATGGCTGGAAAATGGGTGCAGGACCATTATCCCCATGTTCAGAATCCTGGCCTCAGCCTCCATGTGCCTGTCATCTCTGTGTAGTTAGTCATCAAGCCTTGTCATTGTCCTTCATGGTGTATCTCACATCTATCTTTCCTCTCCTCCCAATATCATCTCCATCTCACTTCTGACTGGTATCCAGGACCCCAGTTTTCCCCTCCAGTCCATCCCCTTCGCTGGGGTAATAATTTTCATTAGTCAGAGGTGGGGAAATGGAGGCAAACAAGGTTATTGTTTCCAGAATGAGGTGCCTGGGGTTGAGCTAGCTGATGGGTCTTCCGAAGCAGGCTGGGCCTTCTGGGAATAGTTTGGTGGGTTGATGGATGAGATGTCAAGGGCATGCCCACCACACCTCTCCTGGCTCCTACTGGGACACCCACAAGGAGCCTCCTGAAGGTTCTCCAAGGGGCAGGGTATTATTGTCTGTTGACTCCAGGGCATGGGCAGAGCAGGCAAGCAAGTTGGGGACAATTGCCAGGCAGCTCCAGGGAGCAGCAGGCAGCACAGGGCAAACCTCCGGTATCTATCAAGGAAAGGCTGCTGAAGAATGAGCAGCCACACTGGGGCTTGCTTTCCAAAATGATTCTTGCTGAGTCACTCTGGCAATGTGACCCTGGGCCACGCCTCTTGGCACCTGCTATTTTACTTCCGTTAGCTTGAAGAGAAATTAGAAGCCTCAGTGTTGCCTTATAAGGCAAATTGGGGCAATTCTTTGAGAAGGAAGGGCTGTGACTCAGGGACACCTGCGGAGGGGAGGGAGAAGTGGCTGCACACAGATCAGAGGTTTGCATATACACACACACAGGCTCACAGATGAGCAGGGGAGAAGCTTCCTTCACCCATTCCACATACTTGTACACGCTCTTTTGTCTTTTGTGAATTCTTTTCCTTTTAAACACACAGAACCTGGATTCACCTGTACCAGTATGGTGGCGTGGGGTCGCTGGAGGGATGTTTATTTCCACCCTTCAGGAAGCAGCTCTGCATAAATTGTGCCTTGAAGAAGAAGACCTCAGATCTGAGGTTAGAAGGCCGCTGCTTGTGATGCACTGAAGCTCAGAGGTCACCCCATCCGACTCTCCACACCATCCCTCAGAAAACCACCTCAATGATCCAAAACGGACTCAGGTGTATGACTGAAGAGGTCCTGGACCTCCAGAGATAAAATTACCAGCTCCTTAGAAGCACTCCAGAGTTTATCAAAGCCTACTTCCGCTGGGGAAAGCTCTGTGCCTCCCCTCAGCAGCCACCCATGGTATCTACCCATGGCTGCTTCTCTAAGTCCCCTGCCAGCCCCACCTTCAGGAGCTGGAATTGGGATGGGTAAAGTTTCCACAGCTACTTTCTTAATGTAGGAATCACTCCGAGGCCCTGCACAACACGTACTTGACACCTTTCATCTCAAATACTCCCTTTGACTCTGTCTGGCTTGATTCAGTGTCTGGTCCATACCTTGTTGCCTAGCTCCATTCATTGAAGGCATGCATCTGAGTCACCTGCCTCCCTCATGTCTAACACTGCCCTCCTTATGAGCAGCTAACCCAGGACAACAGAGGGGAAGGCGATGATGAGATAGACCATTCTGTCGCACCCTCAACCCCAAGCTATTAAGGTGATCAAGTTAGCCTCCAGCAGGAGAGGAGAATGACCTTGGATAGAATATTAAATATGAGTTGTGCATTAAAAAAGAGAATCAGAGAGGTTATATAGTTTATTGAAGGCCACATAGCTATTGTTTCTGTGCCTCCTTTCAAACCAAATAATCATGAGTCACAATTTATTGACCGTTTCCTATGAATCTAACCCCATGCTAGCCTCTTATCTTATCTCATTGAATTATCATTATTATGGTTATTAATTTAAGTGTGAGGAAACTTAGATAAATTTTGCAGCTTACTCAAATTCTGATTCAATAATTGATGCTGAGTCATTCTATACAGTTGTATTATCAAAGTTAGTATTATGAAATTATATTATTGGATTAGAAAACTCAGAACTTAAGTTTGAGAGCTGCTCTGTATCTTGCATTTGGGAATTCAAATCTCATTATAAAAGTTTGAGAGCTGCTCTGTATCTTGCATTTGGGAATTCAGATCTCATAAAAATTATAAAAAATTTTTAAAAAATTTTAAAAAAAAATTATAAAAAAAATTTTTTTTGAGAAGGTGAGAGCTAGAATGCATTAGCAAATGCCTGCCCTTGCTGGGCCCCCATACCACCCCTTCCTCCTGTACAACCACCCTGCACACACACACACACGCACACGCACCCCACAGATTTTCAGCATCAACTGCCATAGAGAAAAAGATTCTCAGGGGGGCCAGTAACAGTTCCAACTTGTTCTCATATCAATGATGTCACCTGACCAGGAAGTCTACTCCAATTTGCTCACTGAATTAAGTCAAAAACTGAGCAGCAGAGGTAGTTAGCTTCCGTTAGGGTATTTAATTTTAGAAACTAAACAGCTTGCTGGTAAATTTAGTGTCATCACTTCTCATTACTTAGTTAAGAAAGATAAGTGCTGGAATAATCACTAAGTAGGGGCTTTTATTGTTCAAAGTAAAAATGCAATTTTGATCAAATAAAGTAACATTCTGGCTGGGGGCAGTGGCTCATGCCTCTAATCCCAGAACTTTGGGAAGCTGAGGTGGTCTAATTGCTTGAGGCCAGGAATTTGAGACCAGCCTGGCCAACATGGTGAAGTCCTGTCTCTACTAAAAATACAAAAATTAGCTGGGCATGGTGGCGCAGCTACTCGGGAGGCTGAAGCATGAGAATCACTTGAACCTGGGAGGCGGAGGTTGCAGTGAGCCAAGATTGCACCACTGCACTCCAGCCTGGGTGACAGAGCAAGACACTGTCTTAAAAAAAAAAAAAATTAACATTCCTTTCTAATGGTCTCATTTGGTAGGAACAATGTATTGGAAGAAATAATATATGAAGTAGAATATATTGTACATTTTGTAAACAAATGGGCACCAGTTCCATAATAATTATGTATAATTTATTTTTGTTTTGACACAATTACAAAGTTATACAAAAGTTGCAAGTAGAAGAGCTTTATTTTCCTTACCCTTGTGAGTATAAATTGGCATTTTGACAGCCATTATTCCTGAATATTTTTAATTTTTATAAATACATAATAGTTGTACATATTTATGAGGAACATGTGATATTTTGACACATGTATGCAATGTGTAACCATTGAATCAGGGTAACTGGGATATCCATTACCTCAAGAATTTATTATTTCCCTATACTGGGAACATTCCAAATCTATTCCTCTAGTTATTTTGAAATATACAATAAATTATTGTTAACTGTACCCTCCCTAATATGCTATTGAACTCTAGATCTTATTTCTACTATTTAACTGCATTTTTGTTCCTATTACTGAACCCCTTTTTATCTTCACCTGTCCACTACCCTTCCCAGCCTCTGGTAGCCATCATTCTACTCCCTACTTCCACAAGATCAATTTTTTTTTAGATCCTAACTATGAGTGAGAACATGTGATATTTCTTTCTATGTCTGGCTTATTTTACTTAAGATGTCCTCCTGTTCCATTCATGTTGTTACAAATAACAGGATTTCATTCTTTTTTATGGTGGAATAATATTCCACTGGGTGTATGTGCTACATTTTCTTGATCCAGTCATCCACTGACGCACCCTTAGATTAATTCCATACCTTGGCTATTGTGAATACTGCTACAATAAACATGGGAGTGCAGATATCTCTTCAATATACTGATTTCGTTTCTTTTCAATATATACCCAACAGTGGGACTGTTGGATCATATGGGAGCTCTCATTTTAGTTTCTTGAGGAAGCTCCATACTGTTTTTATACTGTATTAATTCACATTCCCACCAACAGTGTATGAGTATTCCCATTTCTTGGCATCCTTGTCAGAATCTTTATTTATTTATTTTTTATAAAAGGCATTTTAACTGGAGTGAGATTATATCTCATGTGGTTTTGAATTGCATTTTTCTGATGATTAGTAATGTTAAACATTTTTTCATATACCTCTCGGCCATTTGTAAGTCTTCTTTTTAAGAAATGTCTATTCAGATATTTTGCCTGTTTTTAATCAGATTATTTTATTTTTTGCTATTGAGTTGTTTGGGTTTCTTATATATCTGGTTATTAATCCCTTGTCAGTTAAATAGTTTGCAAATATTTTCTCCCATTCGGTAGGCTGCTTCTTTGTTGATTGTTTCTTTTGCTGTGCAGAAACTTTTTAGCTTGTTGTGATCCCATTTGTCCATTTTTTGCTTTAGTTGTCTGTGCTTTTGAGTTCTTACTCAAAAAATCGTTACCCAGATCAATGTCCTGAAGTATTTCCCTGATGTTTCCTTCTAGTAGTTTCATAGTTTCAGGTCTTACATTAAGTATTTAATCCATTTTGGTTTGATTTTCATACATAGTAAGAGATGAGAATCTAGTTTCATTCTTCTGCGCATTGATATCCAATTTTTCCAATACTATTTGCAGAAGAGACTCTCCTTTCCCCAATGCATGTTCTTGGTGCCTTTATCAAAAACAAACTTGTTTGTTTGTATGTAAATGTGTAGATTATTTCTGGGTTCTCTGTTCTGTTCCATTGGTCTATGTGTCTGCTTTTATGCCAGTACCATGCTGGTTTTGTTACTGTAGCTTTGTAGCATAATTTGAAGTCAGGTAATGTGATGCCTCCAACTTTGTTCTTTTTGCTCAGGATTACTTTGTCTACTCAGGGTCTTTTGTAGTTCCATACAAATTTTAGGATTTTTTTTTTCTATTTTCATGACGAATGTCATTGGCATTTTGATAGGGATTGTATTGAATCTGCCGATCACTTTGGGTACTATGGACATTTTAACAATATTGATTGTTCTAATCCATGAACATGGGGGCTGTCTTTCTGTTTTTGTGTGTCCTTTTTAATAACTTTCATCAATGTTTTACAGTTTTCACTGTAGAGATCTTCCACTGCTTTGGTTAAGTTTATTTCTAGGTTTGTTGTTTGTTTGGTTTTTTCTTTTTTTTTTTTTTTTTTTTTTTTTGCAGCTATTGTTAATAGGATTGCTTTCTTGGTTTCTTTTTCAGATTGTTTGCTGTTGGCATATAGAAATGCTATTGATTTTTTGTCTTTTTTGTGTCCTGCAGCTTTACTGAATTTATTTATCAGTTCTAATGGTTTATTTAGTTGAGTCTTTAGGTTTTTCTAAATATAAGATTATATCATGTGCAAACAAGAATAATTTGAATTCTTCCTTCCTAATTTCGATGCCCTTTATTTCCTCTTCTTGTTTAATTGCTCTCACTAGGGCTTTCCATTCTGTGTTCAAGAAAAGTGGTAAAAGTGGGCATCCTTGTCTTGTCTATATCTTAGAGAAAAATATTTCAGTTTTTCCCATTAAGTATGATGCCAGCTGTGGGTTTCTTGTATATGGTCTTTATTATGTTGAGATATGTTACTTTTACACCCAGTTTGTTGAGATAATTTTTATCATGAAGGGATGCTGAATTTTATTAAATGCCATTTTGATATCTATTAAAATGATCATGTCGTTTTTGTCCTTCATTCTGTTAATATATCATGTTTACTGATTTGCACATGTTGAACGATCTTTGCACCCCATCTTTTTATTGTGTTGTTGAATTTGATTTCCTAGTATTTTATTGAGGATTTTTACATCAATGTTAATCAGAGATATTGACATTGAATTTGGTTTCCGAGTATTTTATTGAGGATTTTTACATCTATGTTCATCAGAGATATTGACATATAGTTTTCTTTTTCTTTTGTTGTGTCTTTGTGTGGTTTTGGTATCAGGGTAATGCTGGCCTTATAGACTGAATTTGGAAGTGTTCTGTCCTCCTTGGTTTTTTAGGAATTGTTTGAGTAGGTTTGTTATTAATTCTTTAAATATTTGGTAGAATGCAGCTGTGAATCCATCCTGTCCTGGGTTTTTCTTTGATGGGAGAGTTTTTATTACTGTTTCTAGCTCATTACTTGTTATTGGTTTTTTCAGGCTTTGTATTTCTTCATGGTTCAATATTGTTAGGTTTTATGTGTCTAGGAATTTATGCATTTCTTCTAGATTTTCCAGTTCCTTGGTGTACACTTGTTCATAATAGTCTCTAATGATTCTTTGTATTTCTATGGTTTCAGTTGGTGTTTCCTTTTTTTTAAATTTCTGATTTTATTTATTTAGATCTTCTCTCTTTTTTCTTTGCTTACTAAATGTTTGTCAATTTTGTTTATTTTTTTCCAAATACCAACTTTTTATTTCATTGATCTTCTGTATTGATTTTTTAGTCTCAATTTTATTTATTTCTGCTCTGACCTTTATTATTTCTTTCCTCTTACTAACTTTGGGTTTGATTTGTTCTTGCTTTTCTAGTTCCTTGAGGTTCATCATTAGGTTGTTTATTTAAACTTTCTCCTTTTTTGATATAGGTACTTATTATCTACTTTTTTGATATAGGTACTATAAACTTCTTTCTTAGTACTGCTTTTGCTGTATCCCATAGATTGGGGGATGTTTTATTTCCACTTTCATTGTTTTAAGAAATTTTAAAATGTCCTTCTTAATTTCTGCATTGACCCATTGATCATTCAGGAGCATGTTGTTTAATTTCATATTAGTATAGTTTCCAAGATTCCTGTTGTTATGGATTTCTAGTTTTATTTCTTTGTGGTTAGAAAAGATACTTGATATGATTCCAATTTTTAAAAAAAATTTTGAGACTTGTATTGTGGCTTAACATATGATCTATTTTTGAGACTGTTCCATGTCCTGAGGAGAAGAATGTGTATTCTGCAGCTGTTGAATGAAATGTTATATAAATGTTTGTTAGGAACATTTGGTCTATAGTACAGATTAAGTCCAATATTTCTTTGTTGATTTTCTGTCTAGATGATCTGTCCAATGCTGAAAGTGGGGTGTTGAAGTCCCCAACCATTATTGTATTGGGGTCTATCTCTCTCTTTAGCTCTAATAATATTTGGTTTCTATATCTGTATGCTCCAGCATCAGGTGCCTATATGTTTACAATTGTTATATCTTCTTGCTGAATTGATTCCTTTACCATTATATAATAGCTTTCTTTCACAGTTTTTCCTTAAAATCTCTTTTATCTGAGATTACCATAGTTATCGTAAAATCTGTTTTATCTGAGATAACCATAGTTACTCCTGCTATTTTCTTTTCTTTTTTTGGGGGGGGTGGGCAGGTGGGATTTCATTTGCACGGAATGTTTTTTTCCATATGTTTATTTGGAAACTTCTCTGTTACTATTTCGTTGAATAACTTTCTGCCTTTATCTCTTACATCTTACATTCTGCCTACATCCTCTTTGAGGCCAACAAATCTTGATATTTCATTTTGAGGTTATTTTGTAGATCTCGTAGATGTATTTTAATTCATTTTTCTTCTCTGACTGCATATTTTCAAATAGCCTGTCTTCAAGCTCACCAATTATTTCTTCTGCTTGATCAGTTCTGCTGTTGAGACACTCTGATGCACTTTGCAGTTGGTCAATTGAATTTTTTAGCTCCAGGATTCCTGTTTGATTTTAAAAATTATTTCAATCTCCTTGTTAAATTTCTCTGATAGAACTCTGAGCTTTTTCTCTGTTAACTTGAAGCTAATTGAGCTTCATCAAGACCTCCATTTTGAATTCACTGTCTCAGAGGTTACATATCTGTCACTCCAGGATTGATAACTGGTGCCTTGTTCAGATTGTTTGATGATGTCACATTTTCCTGGATGTTCCTGATGCTTGTGGACATTCGTCAACGTCTGAGCATTGACGAGTTAGGTGTTTATTCCAGTCTTTGCAGGCTGGCCTTGTTTGTATTCATTCTTTGTGAGAAGGCTTTCCAAGAATTCAAAGGGGATTGAGTGTTTTTACCTAAGCCTGTGATCACTTCAGCATTTCAGCCCGTTTAGCACTAGAGGACACCCTAAGCCCAGGTATGCTGCAACTCTTGCAGACTCACACAGCCTTGGTGGACTTGGGGAAGTTAGAAAATTCCCTGGGTTCCCAGGCAAAGTCCATCACTCTCTTCCCTCTCTTTGCCCCAAGAAGGAGTCTCTCTCTATGCTGGACTGCTTGGAATTTAGGGAAAGTTGACACAGGCGCTTCTGTAGCTACCATAGTTAGCACCACTCTGGGTTGTGCCTGAAGCCCACTTTCTCCTAGAACAGCACAGTACTGAGGCTCATCCAAGGCCCATACCTGCTACTGCCTGGCTGTTGCTGATGTTTATTCAAGATCCAAGGCAATTTTAGTCAGCAGGTTGTGAATCCTGTTGGACCTCAGTCCATCCCACCTGGACAGCAGATTCCCTTCTGGCCTGAGGTAAGCCTAGAAATGCTCTGGGAGCAAAGGCCTGGGGTAGGAGGCTTCAGGATTCCACCAGTGCTTTACTGTGGCTGAGCTGGTACTCAGTTACAAAACAAAGTCCTCTGTAATCTTCTCTCTCCTTCCCCTAAGCAGGAGGAGTCTCTCTCCATCCTCCACTGCCTGGAGTTAGGGGAGGGTTGAGGCAGGAACTTCCCTGGTCACTGCAGCTGGTGTTGCACAGGGTGGCGCCGCAAACCCACAGCCTCCAAGAATAGTGAAGCACCAGGGTTTGCCCAAGAACTTCAGTTCTTTTGGCATGACTGTCACTTAAATTTATTTGGAGCCCCAGGCCACTTTAGTCAGTTGGTGGTGAAGCTAGTTAGGACTCGGTTTCCTCCTTCTGGGGCAGAGGATTTCCCTCTGGCCGAGTGCTGGTCTAAATGCTTCCTCCATGGGCACTGGTGGACTTCTGCCCAGTGTTGTGTTTCTTCATGACAGTGCAACATGGAGTTTCAATGCAAATTCCTACAATCACCTTGCTGTCCTTCCCCCAAACATACAGATTCTCTCTGCACTGCACTGCCTGGGGTTGGGGCAAGGGTGGTGTAGGCAATGAAAGACTGTCCTTCCTACACTCTTCAATGTGTCGTTCCTTGTTATTATGTTAAAACCAGGTACTGTGATCGCTCATCTCTTTTTTTTTTTTTTTCGGTTCCTATTGAATGTTTCTTGTTAAACAGTCGTTCAATTTGATGTTCCTAAGGGAGGCATGATTGCTGGATGGTTCTATTCAGCCATCTTGCCCTGCCTCCTCTTCCTCCTGAATCCTTTTTTGTATTTTCTATAAACCAGGATATTTTTCTAGATAACCACAGAACAGCCAGCACAATCAGGAAACGGACATTGGTACATTGTTGCCATATAATCTGTAAGCCCCTGATCAAGTTTTGCCAACTATCCTATTAATGTTCTTTATAGAAAAAGGAGCCAGTTCAGAATCATGAGTTATTTGGTTGTCATGCTTCTTTAGTCCCTTCCAGCTTGGAACACTTCCTCAGTCTTTCCTTTATTTTAATGATCTTAACACTAGATTACACGCTAGTTATTTAGTGGAATGTCCCTGAGTTTACAGTTTAGTTGATGCATCCTTATGGTTGGATTCCAGCTGTCATTCAGGTTGGATTCATCCTTGTCAGAAATAGCACTAAAGTGTTGCTGTGTTCTTCTTGTTGCCTCCCATCAGGTGGCCCATGATTTTGTTTTGTCCTAACACTGTTTCTGCCCACTCGGATCACTTGACTAGGGTGGCTTCTGCCAAGCTTTTCCACTGTAGCTACTCTTTTCCCTTTGCACTTACTAAGAATTTTGTTGAGAGATACTTGGGAACTATGTAAATATTCCATTTCTCATCAAATGTTCAATTTATTCATTTATTTTATTTATATCAGCATGGACTTGGCATCCTATTCAATTCAGTGGGTAGTAATCCATTACTATTATTTTTCATTTTGATGCTCAGATTGTTCCTGATTTGCCCAGAGGATTGCCTCACACTGACTTCTGTGTCCTATAGATATGCTCTTGTTATGCGTTGAGTACTTCCTACTGCTGGGCACAAGATATTCCAGGTTGATCTTATAATTTTCCTGCCCTGATCCTGCAATCAGCCGTTTCTTCAAGTAGCAATGATTCCTTTTATAAGAGAATAGTATTCAGAAGCCAGGATCTGAGCTCAATATGTGCTCATTGCTATTGGAGGAGGTCTGCCCTAGGCCTTCTCAGTGGACAGAGCTAGGGAATATGTGTATGCATATACATATGCACCAATATATGTAGAAATAGAAAGACATAGATGGAAATATGCTGCATAATGTATTTAACTTATCAATTTATTATATACATCTCATGTCTATCTATCTAATGAAAACCTCAGCTTACACCAGGATCTTCAATTTACTTATTTCTTTTTTCTTTTTTATTTACTGAGATAGGGTCTCACTGTGTTGCCTAGGTTGGTCTCAAACTGCTGGGTTCAAGTCATCCTCCTGCCTTGCCCTCCCAAAGTGCTGGGATTATAGGTGTGAACAACTGTGCTCAGCCCATTCAATTTAAATTTAATACTAGGGTTCATTTTAGTTTCTCATTTTCCATATTTGTAACTCCTTTCTCTGACAGTGAGAAACCAGGCTCCTGTTATCCTTCATATATTTATTTATTTGCTCAGTCATCCTGCATGCCACCAATTTCCCATGGCCACCATCGCCCCTTCCCCTGTGTGGATGCCCTCCCTTACCACACTCAGGCTCTGCTTGCCCACCCTAGCCATGGCCCTCTCCTTACCATACGGACACCCTCCTTGCCTGCTTAGATCCTGACACCCTGCCTTCGGTGATATAGTTTGGTTGTTGTCCCCTCTAAATCTCATGATGAATTGTAATCACCAATGCTGGAAGGGGAGCCTGGTGGCAGGTGTTTGGGTCATGGGGGCCGATTTTTCATAGCTTGGTTATGTCCTTGTGATAGTATGACACCTCTCTTTGCATTACACCTGCTTGACCATGTGATGTGCCTGCTCCTGCTTCACCTCCTGCTATGCTCCCTGGGGCCTCCCCAGAAGCTGAGCAGAGGCTAGCACATGCTTGTAAAGTCTGCAGAACTGTGAGTCAATTAAACCTCTTTTCTTAATAAATTACCCAGCCTTAGGTATTTCTTTATAGTAATGCAAGAATGGACTAATATACTGGGCAACAATGATTCCTACTCTCACATTATCCTCCCTGGCATGGGTATCTACTTAGCAGTGCCCCACCTAATGGATTTCGGGAAATATTATGTTGCTCAGGAAGGGAAAGAAAGAGACTAGAAGGAGCTCATTTATTGATATTTTGCAAGATAAAGGAGAGGAGAGCTCTTCTACCATAGCACTTGTGAATGTCTACAGTGGTGACTATTTTGAGTGGCTTAGAGTTAAAGGGAATAAATCTGAAACTAATATCCTGAAAGTTTTGCACCAAAAGGTGTTCTGAAGTAGAGAATCTTTGTTCAAAGACAGTCTCAACAAGCTGCAATGACCTGACTGTGAAATGACAGAAGCGATTCTGCAGAAAGGATACCTAAAACTCAGATGATCATGGTGGACAGGAAGCAGGACTAGATTGTAGCTCCAGACAGAGCAGCATGCGGAGGCTCGCATTGTGAATTTTAGCTCCAGATCAACTGCAAGAGCAAATCATCAATCCCAAGAGGACTCACAGACCCTCCAAAGGAAGCAGACTGCTCCTGCAGGATCTGGGAGAACCCCCAAATACTGTGAGTGCCCCAAATGTGGAAGTGGGAAAGGGAGACTCTTCTCTCCCAAACACACACCCCCACTGGAGAAACTGAAGGTCTCTTTGGGAGAGAAGTTTCCGACTTTGCCTGGAGCTGAGTCAATTTGGGAAGCCAAGCAAAATACAGGGGTAGAGGAAGCAGCAGAAAGGCCCTGGGAGCTTGCTGGGTCCCCTAGTAGGCCATTCCTCTCTGGAACCACAGGGATCCAATGGGAGGGAGGCCAGAGAGCCAGGTTAAACTCCACAGGGAGGGCCAGGTGCGGTGGCTCACACCTGTAATCCCAGCACTTTGGGAGGCCGAGGCGGGCGGATCATGAGGTCAGGAGATCGGGACCATCCTGGCTAACACGATGAAACCCCATCTCTACTAAAAAATACAAAAAAAAAATAGCCGGGCGTGGTGGCTGGTGCCTGTAATCCCAGCTACTGAGGAGGCTGAGGCAGGAGAATGGCATGAACCCGGGAGGTGGAGCTTGCAGTGAGCCAAGATTGCGCCACTGCACTCCAGCCTGGGCGACAGAGCAAGACTCCATCAAAAAAACAAAAAACAAAAAACAAAAACAAAAACAGCAACAAAAAAAACTCCACAGGGAGAATAGAAGGAAATCTCTAGCTGAACTTTGTAAACATTTGAATGGGGTGAGAAGCCTCCTGGCCAGAACTTGTGGGAGGGTACAAATCTGGTGTGCAGTCTCCACAGGCAGGGGAAGACACAAACCCTTTTCTTTCACAGCTACGAGGCACGTAGCCTGGTTTTCAAGCTCGTCTTGCCCTCTGCCTGGAAACGGACCCGGGGCTCTTGGTGGGGGCACAGAGGGAATGGACCGACCCTTTGGTTTGCATGGGAGCTGGGTGAGGCCTTTGATTGCCAGCTTTCCCCCACTTCCTTGACAACCTGCATGAATCAGCAGAGGCAACCATAGTCCTCCTAGGTACACAACTCCAGTGAACTGGGAATCTCACCCCCAACCCCCACAGCAGCTGCAGCAAGACCCACCCAAGGACAGTCTGAACTCAGACATGCCTTGCTCTGCCCCCACCTGATGGTCCTTCCCTACCCACCTTGTAGAGGAAGACAAAGAGCATATAGTCTTGGGAGTTCTAGGGCCCCACCCACCACTGGTTCCTCCCCATACTAATACAGGTGATGCTCTCTGGAAAGCGCCACCTCTTAACAGGAGGACAACCAGCACAAAAATAGAGCATTAAACCACCAAAGCTAACAACCCTCACGGAGTCCATTGCACCACCCCCACGCTCCCACCACCTACACTGGAACAGGCGCTGGTATCCAAGGCTGAGAGACCCATAGACAGTTCACATCACAGGACTCTGTAAAGACAACCCCCAGTACTAACCCAGAGCCAGGTAGACTCGCTGGGTGGCTAGACCCAGAAAAGAGACAACAATCATTGCAGTTTGGCTCACAAGAAGCCACATCCGTAGGAAAAGGGGGATCGTACTACATCAAGGGAACAGCCTGTGAGACAGAAGAATCTGAACAACAGCCTTCAGCCCTAGACCTTCCCTCTGACAGAGACTACCCAAATGAGAAGGAACCAGAAAATCAACCCTGGTAATATGACAAAACAAGGTTCTTCAACACACCAAAAAAATCACACTAGTTCACCAGCAATGGATCCAAACCAAGAAGAAATCCCTGATTTACCTGAAAAAGAATTCAGGAGGTTAGTTATTAAGCTAATCAGGGAGGGACCAGAGAAAGGTAAAGCCCAATGCAAGGAAATCCAAAAAATGATACAAGAAGTGAAGGAAGAAATATTCAAGGAAATAGATAGCTTAAAGAAAAAACAAAAAGTTCAGGAAACGTTGGACACACTTTTAGAAATGCAAAATGCTCTGGAAAGTCTCAGCAATAGAACTGAACAAGTAGAAGAAAGAAATTCAGAGCTCAAAGACAAGGTCTTCAGATTAATCCAATCCAACAAAGACAAAGAAAAAACAATAAGAAAATATGAACAGCTGGGCATGGTGGCTCATGCCTGTAATCCAAGCACTTTGGGAGGTCGAGGTAGGTGGATCACCTGAGGTCAGGAGTTTGCGACCAGACTGGCCAACATGGTGAAACCCCATCTCCACTAAACATACAAAAACTAGCTGGGTATGGTGTTGGGCACCTGTAATACTAGCTACTTGGGAGGCCGAAGCACGAGAATCGCTTGAACCCAGGAGGTGGAGGTTGCAGTGAGCCAAGATCGCACCACTGCACTGCAGCCTAGGAGACAGAGTGAGACTTTGTCTCAAAAAAAAAAAAAAAAAAAAAAAAAAGAAAAGAAAATATGAACAAATCCTTCAAGAAGTCTAGGATTATGTTAAATGGCCAAACCTAAGAATAATCGGTGTTCCTAAGGCAGAAGATAATTCTAAAAGCTTGGAAAACATATTCGGGGGAATAATTGAGGAAAACTTCCTTGGCCTCATAGAGTCCTAGACATCCAAATACAAGATGCACAAAGAACACCTGGGAAATTCATCACAAAAAGATCTTTGCCTAGGCACATTGTCATCAGGTTATCCAAAGTTAAGACGAAGGAAAGAATCTTAAGAGCTGTGAGACAGAAGCACCAGGTAACCAATAAGGGAAAACCTATCAGATCAACAGCAGATTTCTTAGCAGAAATCCTGCAAGCTAGAAGGGATTGGGGCCCTGTCTTCAGCCTCCTCAAACAAAACAATCATCAGCCAAGAATTTGATATTCAGTTAAACTAAGCATCATATATAAAGGAAAAATACAGTTTTTTTCAGACAAACAAATGCTGGGAGAATTTGCCATTACAAAGCCACCACTACAAGAACTGCTAAAAGGAGTTCTAAATCTTGAAACAACTCTTGGAAACACATCAAAACAGTACCTCTTTAAAGCATAAACCACATAGGACCTATACAACAAAAATACAAGTTAAAGATCAAAAACAAAAAACCCAAAAAACCAGGCCGGGCATGGTGGCTCATGCCTGTTGTAATCCCAGCGCTTTGGGAGGCCAAGGCGGGCAGATCACTTGAGGTCAGGAGTTCAAAACCAGCCTGGTCAACATGGTGAAACTCCGTCTCTACTAAAAATACAAAAAAATTAGCTGGCTGTGGTGGCAGGTGCCTGTAATCCCAGCTACTTGGGAGGCTGAGGCAGGAGAATTGCTTGAACCCAGGAGGTGGAGACTGCAGCAAGCTGAGGTTGTGCCACTGCACTCCAGCCTGGGTGACAAAGTGAGACTCTGTCTCAAAAACAAACAAACAAACAAACAAAAAACAAACTACACAGGCAACAAAGAGCATGATGAATGCAACGGTACCTCACAATTCAATACTGACATTGAATGTAAATGGCCTCAATGCTCCAGTTAAAAGATACAGAACTGCAGAATGGGTAAGAACTCATCAACCAACCATCTGCTGCCTTCAGGAGACTCACCTAACACATAAGAACTCACCTAAACTTAAAGTAAAAGGGTGGAAAAGCATTTCATGCAAATAGACACCAAAAGGGAGCAGGGGTAGCTATTCTTATATCAGACAAAACAAACTTTAAAGCATCAGCAGTTAAAAAAGACAGAGGGACATTATATAATGGTAAAGGGACTAGTCCAACAGGAAAATATCACAACCCCAAACATATATGCACCTAACACTGGAGCTCCCAAATTTATAAAACAATTACTAATAGACCTAAGAAATGAGACAGACAGCAACACAATAATATTGGGGGACTTTAATACTCCACTGACAACACTAGGCAGGATATAAAGACAGAAAGTCAACAAAGAAACAATGGGTTCAAACTATACCTTGGAGCAAATAGACTTAACAGATATATACAGAACATTTCATCCAACAACTGCAGAATACACATTCTATTCAACAGTGCATGGAACTTTCTCCAAGATAGACCATATGATAGGCCATAAAATGAGCCTCAATAAATTTAAGAAAATTGAAATTATATCAAGCATGCTCTCAGATCACAGTGGAATAAAACTGGAAATCAACTCCAAAAGGAACCTTCAAAACCATGCAAATACATGGAAATTAAGTAACCTGATCCTGAATGAGCATTGGGTCAAAAACAAAATCAAGATGGAAATTAAAAAATTCTTCAAACTGTGTGACAATAGTGACACAACCTATCAAAACCTCTGGGATACAGCAAAGGCAGTGCTAAGAGGAAAGTTCACAGCCCTAAATGCTTATAACAAAAAGACTGAAAGAGCACAAACTGACATTCTAAGGTCACACCTCAAGAAACTAGAGAAACTAGAGAAACAAGGACAAACCAAACCCAAATCCAGCAGAAGAAGGGAAATAAACAAGATCAGAGCAGCACTAAATGAAATTGAAACAAAACAAAAAAAATACAAATCATAAATGAAACAAAAAGCCGGTTCTTTGAAAAGATAAATAAAATTGATAGACCATTAGCAAGATTAACCAAGAAAAGAAGAGAGAAAATCCAAAAACCTCACTAAGAAACGAGACAGAGGATATTACAACTGATACCACTGAAATACAAAAGATCATTCAAGGCTACTATGAACACCATTATGCACATAAACTAGAAAACCTAGAAGGGATGGATAAATTCCTGTAAAAATACAACCCTCCTAGCTTAAATCAGGAAGAATTAGATACCCTGAACAGACCAATAAAATTACTGACAAAAAAAGTCCAGGACCAGATTCACAGCAGAATTCTACCAGACATTCAAAGAATTGGTACCCATCCTTTTGAAACTATTCCACAAGATAGAGAAAGAAGGAACCCTCCCTAATTCATTCTATGAAGCCAGCATCACCCTAATACCAAAACCAGGAAAGGACATAACCAAAAAAGAAAACTACAGACTGATATCCTTGATGAACACAGATGCTAAAATCCTTGACAACATACTAGCTAGCCAAATCCAACAACATATGAAAAAGATAATCCACCATGATCAAGTGGGTTTCATACAAGAGATGCGGGGATGGTTTAATATACACAAGTCAGTAAATGTGATACATCACACAAACAGAATTAAAACAAAAACCACACGATCATCTCCATAGATGCAGAAAAAGCATTAGGCAAAATCCAGCATCCCTTTACGATTAAAACTCTCTGCAAAATTGGCATACAAGGGACATATCTTAAGGTAATAAAAGACATCTATGACAAACTCACAGCCAACATAATACTGAATGAATAAAAGTTGAAAGCATTCCCTCTGAGAACTGGAACAAGACAAGGATGCCCACTCTTACCACTCCTCTTCAACTTAGTACTGGAAGTCTTAGCCAGAGCAGTCAGACAAGAGAAAGAAACAAAGGGCATCCAAATCCGTAAAGAGGAAGTTAAACTGTCACTGTTTGCTGACGACGTGATCATTTACCTTGGAAACCCTAAGGACTCCTCCAGAAAGCTCCTAGAATTGATAAAATAATTCAGCAAAGTTTCCAGATACAAGATGTACGCAAATCAGTAGCTCCTCTGTACACCAACAGCGACAAAGCAAAGAATCAAACCCTTTTACAATAGCTGCAAAAAAATAAATAAAATACTTAGGAATATACCTAACCAAGGAGTTGAAATACCTCTATGAGGAAAACTGTGAAACACTGCTGAAAGAAATCATAGATGACACGAACAAATGGAAACACATCCCATGCTCATGGATGGGTAGAATCAATATTGTGAAAATGACCATACTGCCAAAAGCAGTCTACAAATTCAACACAATCCCCATCCAAATACCACCATAATTCTTCACAGAATTAGAAAAAAACATTCTGAAATTCATACGGAACCAAAAAAGAGCCTGCATAGCCAAAGCAATACTAACCAAAAAGAACAAATCTGGAGGCATCACACTACCTGATTTCAAATTATACTATTAGGCCATAGTCACCAAAACAGCATGGTACTGGTATAAAAATAGGCACATAGATCAATGGAACATAATAGAGAACCCAGAAATAAACCGAAATGCTTATAGCCAACTGATCCTTGACAAAGCAAACAAAAACGTAAAGTGGAGAAAGGACACCCTTTTCAACAAATAGTGCTAGGATAATTGGCTAGCCACATGTAGGAGAATGAAACTGGATCCTCATCTCTTACATTATACAAAAATCAACTGAAGACGGATTAAGGACTTAAACCTAAAATCTGAAACTATAAAAATTCTAGAAGATAGCATTGGAAAAACCTTTCTAGACATTGGCTTAGGCAAGGATTTCATGACCAAGAACACAAAAGCAAGTACAATAAAAACAAAGATAAAAAGCTGGGACCTAATTAATTAATTAATTAATTAATTGCTTTTGCATAGCAAAAGGAACAGTCAGCAGAGTAAATAGACAACCCACAGAGTGGGAGAAAATCTTCATCTATACATCTGACAAAGGATTAATATCCAGAATCTACAATGAACTCAAACAAACAGTAAGAAATAAACAAACAACCCCATCGAAAAGTGGACTAAGGACATGAATAGACTATTCTGAAAAGAAGATACACAAATGGCCAACAAACATAAAAAATGCTCAACATCACTAATGATCAGGGAATGCAAATCAAAACCACAATGTGATACTATCTTACTCCTGCAAGAATGGCCGTAATAATAATAATAAAAAAAAACAATAGATGTTGGCATGGATGTAGTGAACAGGGAACACTTCTACACTGCTGGTGGAAATGTAAACTAGTACAGTCACTAGGGAAAACAGTGTGGAGATTCCTTAAAGAACTAAAAGTAGGTCTACCATTTGATCCAGCAATCCCACTACTGGGTATCTACCCAGAGGAAAAGAAGTCATTATTAGAAAAAGATACTGGCACATGCATGTTTATAGCGGCACATTCACAACTGCAAAATTGTGGAACCAACCCAAATGTCCATCAATCAACGAGTGATAAAGAAACTGTGAGATATATATATATATATATATATATATATATATGATGGAATACTATGTAGCCATAAAAAGGAATGAATTAACAGCATTTGCACTGACCTGGATGAGATTGGAGACTATTATTCTAAGTGAAGTAACTCAGGAATGGAAAACCAAACATCGGATGATCTCATTGTTATGTGGGAGCTAAGCTATGAGGACGCAAAGGCATAAGAATGACACAATGGACTTTGGGGACGTGGGGGAAAGAGTGGGACGGGGGTAGGGGATAAAAGACCACAAATATGGTGCAGTGTATACTGCTCAGGTGATGGGTACACCAAAATCTCACAAATCACCACTAAAGAAGTTACTCATGTAACCAAATACCACCTGTACCCCAATAACTGATGGAAAAAAAATGACAGAAGCAATCTGTGAATAAGAACCCTGTGAAAATCTCTCTTTGTGATTTGTTCCTCATCCTTCAGACTCACAGTGGGGATAGTGGGGAGTTCGGACAGTGGGGAGTATGGGAATCAGCTCGGGGTTCTAATCTTGGCTGCATAACCCATTCATGGAGGGCCATGGGACAAATCATTCACCTGCTGAGTGTCAGCCCTCTTTCGAGTCAACCCTGGTAATCCCTGGCTCTTCTTAGAGTTGGATAGCTCATTCCCACAGCACTCTGTACATTCTTCACATAGTTCATCTTGCTTTCCTTCAGGGCAAAGATCAGGCCTCACTCATGGTCTCCAATGTGCCAGTCCAGGTCTGGCAAATATGGGCATCGAATAGGCCTTTGTGGGTGAACGAATGCATGACTGAGTGGGTTTCTGCTTGTCAAGTCTTCCTCTTTGGAAGCATACCCCCTTAGCACACATTAGAGCTCACTCTCAGATTGCATTGCCAAGAAGTCATGCTTATTAGGACAGCTGGTGCACTGGAAGGGCTTACATCCACCCCCCCTCATAAAAATCCCCGATTCCCAGATAAGGAGAGGAAGTGGCTGCCGCAGGAATTTGATCTGAGATAACCCGTTCCACCACGCTTGGTGGACTGTGGTGTGCATCTGCAATGCGCGGCCACTTGTCGCACGAGGCAGCGGCCGCCACAGGCTCTAAAGGAATGTGTGTCCAATATTGGGTGCTGAAAGGCTGGAAGGAGAAGCAGATCTCAGGACGTGTCAGGGTGGCTGATTTGCTGTGATCGAAAGGGTGTGATCCTTCCCTGGGTAGCAAGTGGGGGACAGGGTCGTGGGGAAGAATGTGGAGGGGATTAGAAGGGCTTGCTTCCATTTTCTAACATTTCATATCTATTTCCCTTTAATCTTTTGACCTGGCCTTTTCTAAAACTGGGTTTTAATAAGCTAAAAGGGGACAACGCCTCTTGTATTCATTTATGGAGTTTATAAAGAGCCCATCCCCTTGGAAATGAGGGAACATGTAAGACAGCAGTCACAGGAGCCCAGATTCTTCAGCTTCACAGTGGTGGTGACAGGGGCAGCAAATTGGCAGAAGAGCCAACTGGTTGACTCCTATTCTGGAAGGAGGAAGGGATAATTTACACTTACCAAAAATACCCTGACAGGCATCCCATCCATTTAATTGGATAATTTATTATTGGAAAGATCTCCAGATTTATGACCAAAGATCTGGGTGTCTATCCCAGCTTTGCCACTTACTGGTTCTCTCTAGGGAAAAGAAGTCTCACCGTGAGACTTAGTGTCTCCATCTGTACAGTTAATATCCTACTATCGTGCAACTCCAATATGAAATGGCTTGTAAAAGGCAAAGAGCTACAAATATGCAAAAATAGTTATTATTATGGACTTCCTGTCTTTTAAAACACACATGTTCCTTGGAGGATTAAACCTACTCTCATTCACTCCTTAGTGTTAATTGATTTCTTAAAACTCCTAATTATAACTAGTGGAAAAATGAGAATTTTTTTCCGCTGAGCTCACACCACAAGCTGGTTGGGAAGGGGTTTTGGAGTGGGGCAGATGCAAGGAAGGTGTTACAGAGAGATTTGCTGTTGGATGCTAGTGTGGTATGGTGGAAATGCTGTGGACTCACCGAGAGTTGGGTTCAAATCTTAGTTCTGTTAGATTCTGACTATGTCGCCTGGGAAAAGTTATTAAACATCTTCAGGCCTAAGGTTTTTCATTGACAACAAAAGGATGCAGGGCTTCAATAAATGATCTGTCAGCACTAATATTCTTGGATTCTGTGCTTAGGTTATGACAGTAAAATACACCTTAGAAAATTCACTGTCTAGTTTATGATACAGTATTATCTGGAATTATTACCTAAAAAGAGTTAGGAATATTGCCCATGAAGTGATAATTCAGGCCTGAACTAAGGATAGATAATTTCTGTCATTTGTAGAATCCCCAGCACAAAGTGCAGAACCTGGGACACAGTAGGTGTTTATGTGTCAAACAGACTATTTACACAGTGCAAACCTTTATTTTAATGGAAGGAGAAGGTCAACTCTTGCGCCACTGACAGTGTTTTTAGTTAATTCAGTCCGTTTTTCAGGGATTCTCCCTGCTAATTTTTCTTCTTGTAGATACAAAGGAGTATTTTAATAATAAAAAGAAGCAATTTGAATATTTAACAATAAGAGATTCACTAAGCAAGTCTAGGGATATGCAAATAACTGGAATGTTATACAACAGTTTAATAAAGATTACATAAATGTACATTGGCATAAAAAGATATTTGGGTTATATCGGTAAGTTTAAAAAGTAGTTGACTAAACAGCTCCCAAAGCACAGGAAAAAGTCTGGAATATTACACATCGAAGTGCTTAAAGAAGTTATATATATTCATGGAAGGATTAAAGGTTTTCAAAATGAATTTTTTCTTCTGTTATTTTTAAAATCTTAATTGAGAAATAATTTGCACACCCTACAACACACCATTAAAATGTATAATTTGATGACTTTTAGTATATTTCCAGGGTTGTGCAACCATCATCATAGTCAATTTTAGAACATTTTCATTACTACAAAAAGAAACCTCATACCACTTAGCAATCAACCCCTGTCCCACCTCCCCCTCCAGCATCCCGCTGGCAACCTCCAATCTACTTTTGGTCTCTATAGATTTGCAAACGTTCTCCTAATTTATGTTTTACATTCAAATTTACAGCAATCAAGTTTGGTTTTCAGTAGACTTTGCCAGAGAGCCCATCCAATGATCATGCACCAAAACGACTATCACGTCACTATCTTTTCTGGACCAAAACCAGGGAGCAGAGTCACATCTACAATTAAGGGTGGTTTTCAGACCTGGTAGTAATGCTGCTTAGTGTATGGGTTGAAGTATGGGGATCCCAAGCTTCCTTTCACTTCTGATGGTGCTCTCATCCCTAACTGGAAAGAGAGCTTTGTACCTTCTAGCTCCTTTTATTTCTAATCTGAGATATCTTTTCATCTTTTGAAGAGAGGCAGAGATATAAATGAAACCCTCACCCTTAACCATTGTCATGTTATGATTTTCACAGCCTTGTTTTTCATCAAGAATCACTGATTTGAAGTCAGATGGTTTGTATATGACAGATCTAGTTCCCAAACTCAACCAGGCCAGCTCATAAATATTTACTATTCATGTTTTTAAAGTGATTGTGTCAACTTGCTCTTAGGTATCAGAAATGAAATTTTATGGCCAATGAAAATCAAGTGATTAAAAATAGTTGCCTATTTCCTAAAGTCCAAATATCTCAAACATATGAATTCATTATTCTAATATTCATTTACCATCTTCTATGTAGAGAGCCTCAAGTTTAGTGCTCAATTACACAAAGTATAATCCTGGCTTTCATAAACTTATAATGTGGAGGCTTGGTTCCAGTCTTTGGACACCATGGTTCTTTTCTCATTTACACTATAAAGAAGATTTATGATGACAACCAACATAAACCCATCTAGAAAACAAAGCATATATTAAGTTGATCCATGTGAAGTTATCAATATTCTACCATTTTTGACATCCAAAAGTTTCAGTCCAATAAAAAAACTTGCACTAAATAATGATAGCAATTGCTTACAATTTATCAGCAATTGGACCTAAAATATGTTATAATCACTATTTGATTTGGTCTCACAACAATCCCATGAGGTAGGAAATATTCTGATCTCCATTTTTTGGAAAACAGAGTCTCAGAAAGATTCAGTCATCTGTTTGAGTTGATATTGTCAATAAGTGGTCTTATTGTGTGATACATCAAAAGGTTTGTGTGATGCAAAAATACTGTGCTCTTAAATATTGTATTAAATAAAACATTAAAGGAGTTGGAGAGAAAATAAGGGCTACAAAGAAGTCCTTATTCAAGTTTCTAGCACAGAGTGTATGCTTAATAAGTGTTAGCAGAATACATGAGCAAGAAAGCAGAGAAAGGAATGGTTAATGCTAATAAAAGCCCAAGGAAATCCTTTCCATATCTTTTCTTGTATTCCAAAGGGTACAGAACAATCTTCCTCAAGCAGTAACATCTCCCAGCAGGCCCCATCTCCACCCCTTTTGTCAGTTATCTCTGATTCCTGTCAAGAATCTTCAACCTGTTGGACAAGAATCTCATTTCCACATTAAGCTCCTGTCTTTCCAATGGTGGCCCAAACAAGTCCTAGATTTCCAATCATAAACCAATTAGGAGATAAGATATAAACTCATGAAAATTGAATAGCAATATGAAACATCAGGAGAAGACATGTATATGAAATATGAGTGGGTCCTGCCCTAATACACTCCCGTCAGAATGCTATTGTGTCGGTGATTCAGGCTGTCTTTGGGCAGAGGCAATCTGCCTGGTAGGATGCCTCTGAATTTACTAACAATCACCAACTGGGAAAATGCCAACGTGTGAACCACTTGATTCCATCTTGTGATGAATACTCCTCCCCAAAGTTCTGTCATTGTAATCTGCCACCCTGCAAATTTTGCTTGCAAAATGTGTGCTGGCAGCGGCTTCTGCAGCTATTTCAGTATCCTGACATCTGTCGATGCTCTTTGGGCAATGGAATGATACAAGTCGTTCTCATAAGTCATTGGTATCAAAGAGCAATGCTAAGTTTTTACAAAACATTTTGGGAAGAGCATCATGAAGATGCCCATAAATGCTATCGGGCACTGCCTGCAGCATGAGCAGACCATTCGGTGAGAGGCGAGATATAGAGGAGCGTGACAGGGGATGAGCATGTGCAGCATGACTAAAATTAGTTTCCAATCTGAGATCTTCATTTCTGCCATCTCTGGAACAGCCATCATCATCCACATTTTTCCCCATACATGGCCCATTCCAAAATAATCCTCATTCAGAGGTCTAAATGTCAACTGCTCTGAAAAAAGGTTCTGAAATGATGATGATGAATAAATGTGTAACATTTCAAGCAGATACTCTGTGGAATCTTATCACCACTGCCAGAAAGCAGCTAGCAAGGGAACCATGGCCATATACTGAAGCAAGGCCTGGTTTCTGGCCTTGTAAAGCGATGTCTCGAATATGTATCTGCAGGTTGATACCTCATCTCATTGACAGCTTTCCATCCTGACCTGAAGTTCTCCAGCTTTCCCAGTGTTGCATGTAGGCAGCCCCATTCCCTGGGACGGTCAGAGACTGGACTGTTTAACCCAAGGGGAAATACTCTGTCCTGGAGTCACAGAGCACAAAGCTCTTCATCTGTTATACAGACCCAAGGATTTCCCCCAAAGTTCTACCACAGAAAGGCAAGGATTTCCCCCAAAATTCTACTGCAGACAAGAGAAGTCATTTTATATTTAAGGTCTTACAAAGTCTTATGTTACAATTACAAGAGGATAAAGTCTAGAAGCTAAACTAAATGACTGAAAAAATGGCTCAAATGATGACACTCTTGAGATTCACTTGGAGAGTTTAAAGGCAATTTTAAAAGAAAATGTGAAAGTGGAAAAATTCTAGTTTTTTATTTTATTTTATATAACATTAAAAATATATATGTAGTAAAATTATTAAATAAAATAGGTAAACGTTTGACTCTTCCATCTACATCCTTAAAAGGCATATATACAAAATTCCCCCAAAATCTATCTCTTTTTGAATTTTTTATTTGGGAAATGAGGGAATCATCTTATTTGGCGGTATATATGGAACTTAAGAAATATTTGTGGAGTAGTATAGGGAAGAGTCAGGTGTCATTAATATGAGAGAGATTGGGTGTTTGGGTGTCTCATTTTGCCTATTGATTTTAATTTTAAAAATACTGTCAGCAAAAATTCTATAGAATATTAAAATCTGCATTGTCTCTGAAATTACTAAAACCATTAACAAACCTACTAAGTTTAATGTACTGATGCTACCCAGCATGTTTTCCACTTGAAAATAATCCCTTGCCTATTTCCTCATTCGCTTTACCTTAGACCTAGTTTAATTGTGAGACCTCAGCCCCAATTCTCATGACAACTGGAAGGGGTATTTGACAAGGTTGTTATCTGGGAAGAATCATTTCACCATTTGGGGTTTTGGTTTCCCAATTTATATAAAGGATGATTTTCGCCTGCCTCACCTATTCTTTTAATTACTGTGAGGGTCAGATGGCATGAACATAAACTCTTCAAAGAGTAGTGTACTAACCAAGATTTCTTTCCATATGTGTGTGTGTGTGTGTATAATATATACATATATATATTAAACATATAAAACATGTAACATATATTTTAAGTTAACAACCTGAAGCACTCCAAGCATATATTTAGAAAGGGAGGGAGGGAAGGTGGAAGGAAGAACATAAGGGAAGAAAGGAGAAAGAAAAGGAGAAAGGAAAGAAGAATAGGAGGAAGAGAAGACATAGCAAATAAACTATTCATAATCCCATATTATCAAGGTTGTAAATTCCCATACTCTTTCTCCTTTACTTTGTCTCTGTTGAGTATGGTCATTTCATTCACATCCACATATCCGTGAGAGGACAGGCTGCAGGATATCTCAGATTTCTCCTGCTTTTGCAAGCTGCAGTTTTTTGTTAACCTTATTTTATACTGTTTTCCTTTGGCAAACACAGGTGCAAAAGGAATGGGGATTTAGTTGGAGTTCAGGATTCGACCTTCTCTTCTAGAGTGTATTCTTTTTCTTTAGAAAATATAATAAGCTTTATTTATAATATTTAATAATGATATTTAAATGATGTTTACAATTTCTATATAAACTCTTGGATACTCAGCATGTTTCAAATATACAACCTTAATTGATACTCAGCAATCTCTGTTAGTTTCTAGCTGTTATATTCCATAGTGGCATTGGTATTGTATGCTTCTACCTCATTGTGGTTAAAATATACTTTTATGAACTTGCCTGAGAATCCAACAACCAACATAATCACATAATGAGAAAATGTGTTCTGAGTTCCAAACAGCTGGCTAACAAATGAGTACCCAGAAGTCAAAAGTTGTATGGCATTTTCTAATAGCTACATTAGCCGACATAAATCAATTGACATATTCTAATGAATGGAATTCTTTCATTAAATAAGAATTAGCTATGTATTCATTTAATTGTTTAAACAACTTTTTCTAAGCAGTTTTCAAGAGCACCTGAATCACTTACAGATTAGTACATGATAAAAGACACAGAAGATACTAACTTTTAAAACAAGATGCCATTTAAAAGGGAGAATAAACAATTTAAAAGCCTGGAGCTGAATAGATGTGCACATTCATAATAACAATTATTAGAACTAAGGCTTTTATGCCAACCACTGTTATCCCCACTTCACAGATGACAAAAATACAGTTTTTGAGGGGTTAAGAAAAACCACCTAATCAGAGCAATGTTCAAGTTTTCTGAACACAGGGTAACACTCTGAAGAGTAGAAACCCTAGGTTAGATTGTGTCTGATTCTGGCAGTACATTTTAAATGATATTTTTGGGTTATGAAGGTGAAAAGATAAATATTCAAAGTTTAAAAAAATTTTCCTGAGAATAAAAAGAATAGAGATTTCTCTACAGATTCCATTCACAGCTGAAGTGGGAACACCACTTTGCTGCCTGGATAATAAGTATTGAAGTTGCTGTAAAGGAGACCCCCCAAAGATTGACAGCTTGTTGAGAACCCTGTGGATGAAGTTACCTTCCTTGGAATATGGAAACAAGTGGACTGTGTGTGCACAGTAAGAGAGTTTACGGGCTTGGTCGATGATGGGACAGGGTTGACGGAGGGTCCTAGAGAGGAACAGATGGAAGAAGTCTGAGCAGTACCGGTTAAAAAAGAGGAGAGATAATGTTAAAACATTTGGCCAAGGAACCTGAGACATTCATTAATCTAGAAAAACTCTTGAGTGTGTGACACTGGAGCCTGGCATCTTCTACAGTAAAAATTCAGCGACAAAAGAACTCTTTTCTACAGAGAAATTGATCTCTCGTTGGCTCTGTACCAAGAAAAGAGTAGCAAGTAGCAAAGGAAATAAAGCAGGGGCCAATCTTTACATTTTCCCTGCAAGAACCACTGTCTCTCCAAGGCCCCTCTCTCTGGTCCTTGGTAGCCTCCTTCCCAGTTGTCCTCCCCCTCTTCTCACCATTTAACTCACTGTGAGGACCTTGTCATCTGGGAACTTGACCGCTTCCGGTGCTACAGACCATCTATTTTCTTCATTCGGAAGCTCAGCTTATGGACGAGCAGCTCACAGCACTTGCCATCATCCCTTTGATCCTTCAGGCACAGTTTATTTTGCTACCGAGCTTTACAATATTTCTTCAGTGTTGCTGAAATTCAAAGTAGGATTGACTTCAATAATTATGGAAATGACTCTAGTCCTACTTGTATAGACTGGTTAAGATTCTTAAGGAGTTGCTTGAAATTTATGCAATATTTTATTGAATTTTAAAGGGGAAATGATATGTTTTAGTACTATTTATAAATATTGGGATTTATACATGTCTTGAATTGTATCACTAAGTAAAAATTTTGGTGCTAATAATAAAGTATAAATATATATGGTATATTGTTACTATTAAAACTCTATACCTAATTTCTCTCTTGAAATTTAGTTTCAGCATGTTTATCTCCTTCACATATTGACCTAGCTGTTCCATTTTCAGTTCAAACATGCTAAGCCAAAAATTTCCTCCAACCACCTCTTAGACCACCACTTTTCAAATTTTTATAATTTAAATGAAAATAAATTAAAAGCTATGTTTTTACACATTTCTAATCCATTTACTCACTTTCTCCTTAGCAGGCTGGCCTCTGGAGTCAGACTTCCTGGGTTAAAATCCCAGATCTACTATTTAGTAAGTGTTCTACAATGTGCATATTATTTTATTTCTTTGAGCCTCGGTTTCCTTAGGTGTGAAATACTGTTTGACTTATTGAATTGTGAGAATTAAAATTGCATTTTTAGGCACATAGCAATTTACGTTTGCTGCTATCATTACTATAATTATCATCCTTATTATTTTTACCTCTACCCCATTCTTGCACTTTCTTTTTTTTTTTTTTTTTTTTTGCTTTGTTTTGTTTTGTTGCAAGGTCTCACTGTCTTCTTGGCTGGAGTGCAGTGGCGCAGTCATGGCTCACAGCAGCCTCAACCTCCTGTGCCCAAGCAATCCTCCCACCTCAGCCTCTCAAGTAGCTGGGACCTCAGGTTCCTGGCTAATTTGTGTGTGTGTGTGTGTGTGCCTGTGTGTGTTGGGGGGGTGTGGGAGCGGAGACAGTCTCACTATGTTGTCCAGGCTGGGCACTTGTTTTTTTAACCAAATGACTTTGCCTTTTAATTCACAGAGGAAATTGAGAATATTAAGAATGATGTTTCTCAACTTCTTCCTCTACCACTTCATCTATCTTTTCCTCTCTCCTACAATTACAGACAAAGGTGCTCCCCTTCTTCTGCCTTATCCTTTTCCCCCAACTGTATTCTCTCTGCCATGTCTTCACTCTATCAAATTAGTCCCTCTTGGGGAAGTAGAGTGTGTTTAACTGAAAGACTGGGCTTAGGGATTGAACAGAGCTGTTGTCAATCTTGGATCTTCCTCTTCCTGGCTCTCTGACCAGCACCCTCATTTGTAAAACAGAGATGATGATAGCACCTATGTCATAGGGTTTAGGGGAGAATTAGCTGAAATAATGACCATAAACAATGGGGCTCAGTGCCTGGCACAGAGTAGGAGTTGAATAAATGGTAGCTTTTTATTGTTATTTTGGTTAGTATTGCACACACTTCCTTGCTAGCCTAGTGCCACTGTGCATTACACAGGGTAGGTGCTTAATAAACATTTGTTCTAGTGGTGGTGAAGGATGAATTATTAGCCATGATAAGTTGCCCCTGGCTGGGGCTCAAGATTCCTGGCTCCTCTCAGAGCTGTCTGACATCACCACCACAAGTTCCAGAGAACAACATTTATGTAGAAGGGGGACACTCCAGAAAAAGTCATTTTATTTCTCTGAGGATTTTGCCCCAAACCTAATGTGGTCTCCTGATGAGGAAATAGACTTTTGCTTTGGCTGTAAGCAGGTTCAAGGTGCAGAACCCAAGGACAGCAGCTGTTTACTTATTTCTTTTCTCTAGGATAATACTCCAATCCATTTAATAAGAAAGACAATTTTAAAGTAAGCACAGTAGAAAAAAAGAAACAGTACAAATAAGTTCCTCTTGAGGGCTTTGGGGCAGGACAATTGGGATGGGGGAGGGATGAGCCTTCTTAGCTGAAGGATGCCCTGACCGTCTTTGTTTCATCAGCCACTTGGAGGACCAGGATTCCCATGGGTCGAGCCCTGGCCAGCATTTCCCACTGTCCCAAAGAGAAATAGCCAGAGAGAGAACCTTGATATTTTCAAAGGGAGGACGGTGAGTGGGTGTGGAGTGGGGCAGAAGATGGATGGCAAGAGGCAAGAGATGCAAGTTCCTTTAGGGATGAGAATGCACCTGCAGTTTTGGGGAAGATTGTGACATTTAGGAAGGTTAATATCCTGTATTTAAATGTAGATTCCCTTGGTTATATTTAAGCTTAATTCTCTGTGGAGTACCTTGTAAAACTGAAAGCAGATGAATATGCCATAGTGCCATTCGCAAATGTGCACTTTTGTTTATTGATTCATTGAGCATGTGCTATGTCTCAAGCCTTAAGCTAGTTTGCAGGGATACATGAATGGAACACAGCCCCCGCCCTTAAGTTGTCCATGGTATTTGAGAAGACGGACATTCTAACCTTATCTCAGGGAAGCTGATAAAACTCAGAAGTATGTCAACCATGCAACAGAGAATGACCATTCTTGTGCCTGGAATAACAGCTTGGGGATGCAGATTTTGGAATTCTTTTTATCACAGATTTGGTCATTTGACTTTATTACAAAGTTCACTTGGGTGTTTTATCTTAGCTAGGCTGATGATTGCTGTGTGGCAAGAATGGTACAATAGAATCAAGGTAACTGCAAAAATCTTCTGGAAAAAAAAGCCCTACATTTTCTGAGAATTCAGCTACCCAAGTTCCATTTAACTGTCTGGTTGGCTATTTAAAGAATTCTGTTATTGTCCTTCACTAGAATCCCTTTTAGGTGCTGTTATCAATCCCAGCTGCACAAAATCCCCAGGGATAATTAACCAATGAGTCCTAAACACATAGCCCTGACAGATAATTCACTAATTTTGGAGGGCATGTGTAGGACCACATAAACGGCTTTGGTTCCCTGGACTTCCACACAATGTAAATTGCACCAGAACAAGCTTAATTGAAGGCACTTATCTAAAATTCACTTTGTCATTTTCCAGCCATATATTCACAATGCTTTGTAAGGCTTGCTTAAGCAAAATTGCAGTCTTATGACATCATATAATTAGAATGGGACATGACTCTTGTAATCTGACCTTTTCCCATTGAAGGGAAGAAAGAAAAAGAGATTTTCTTGGGGTATAACTTAGCCTTTTAAGGCAAAAGTGACCATCTCTTTCTTTTTAGGAACCAGAAGGCTGTTTCCGCAAACAGATTTACCAACATTACCTAAAGCTGAACGTGGCCCATGGCTTCACGTTTTTTTCCCTTTCTTCTATGCGTGGCATTTAAGGAAGATGGGTCACATGTAGACACTGATTTCACAAAGAAATGTATGATGCCCAGCAACAGGGCTGTCATGACACACTTAAGCTATCACTCTGATGCAGAAGATCTTCTCCAAGAAACCCTTTTGGCATGCAACTTTCTGAACTTGTCAAGTGAAAGTCAGCTGAAAACCGGCTGCCCATTGATAAGACAGGTCCCCAGTTATTTCTCCCTCCTTCCTTCCCTCTTCCTGCAGCGTGTCAAAGGCCAGCCTGGCTGAACTCTGATAGTCCTTTCATATTTGAAAGTTGATAATTCTAAGTTATAGGGTTTGACTTAGTGGGTCATGAAACTGGGGAGGAAGGGGTTACTCCTGTAACCTTCCACATGGCTTACAGTCTGACTGTGACGCAGACATTTGCAGACTGATTTGGCTGAGATGAATCTTTTTTATAAAACCACATTTCTTTTCCTTTCAGGTATATTCATCATCATGTAGTAGTTACTTTCCAAGTTCAATACCATGAGTGTGGTTTGCCTTGACCTTCCAGCTCTCCAGACACTGTCCTGGGGGTGATCATTTGAAGAGGGGATGTGTGTTTTTTCTTTGAAATGTATGTACGCTGAGTTCTACTGACAAGGTAATCTTATTTTCTTAATGAAAAAAAAGAAGAAGAAAAAAGAAAAGGGACTCGTGTTTTGCCTATTCTTCTGGGGAAGACGGGACAGAACACTTGAAATTGGATCTGTCCTAGGAAATCTCAAAACTTTAGAGGGTTCGTTCAGCTTTCAGGGAAACCACTGTTAATAGCTAGCACAGAGAGGCCCATTAATACACCCAAATTATGTGATAATCGTAATATGGCCAAGGATTATGCCATGCCCTATTCACCTTCTCAGAGTCCAACCCAACTGACTATAAGTCTAACAAAGGCTGTTTAGAGAACTAGGAAAGAGCGGTGGCAAGAGTGTGAATTTGGATCCCCAAGTTTCCCCAGCAGTGAGAATTGAGGCAACTCATTTAATCCTTTGTACTTCAGTGTCATCTGTAAAATGGAGAAACAAATACCTTCTTACACAGTGATGCTCAGACAGTGAGTGTGAAAGGCAGACACATGGTGCAATTCAGTGTAGGGCCCTGGGGTTATTCCTCTGTCCTAGTCCACATGAACATGCTGGAAAAGCCAGCTTTCCAAGGAACATGGCTTTTGATGGCTGTTCATGGGAGTGAAATCAAACAATGTGAAATCTGTTAATTTCTTCACTGAAATAATTGCACTTATTCGCATCTCTTACTTTTTCCTCTAGGCTGCTTTCCAGATCTGAGTGTCTTGTGAGGTGTGAATGGCAGCTTATCTTGCTGAGAGTGTGGAATAAACCCTTAGCAGCCTCTGGTGTTAAAGGGCTTGACTTATCTCAGTGTGGTGGCAGAGTGCCCTGGCTGGGTTTACTTCTTTGTCTTTGCACTCTGTGTTGTTGCTTAGCACAGCTGTCAAACACCTCTAGTGATTCTAAGAGCACACTGACAGACAGTCGATTCCACTCCTGGGATATCCTAGGTCAGTGGGCATTTTCATTTTTAGCATTTACTTCTTAAGAAGCACATGCAAAAAAGATTTTGTTAGCTTTAAGAACTATGAATATATTACTTAAAATACAGATAATATAATCATAATCTTGTCTGTAACATGTAAAAGTTGCCTCACTCTGTGCTTTAAATGTGTTTCTGAAAGGAGGGTAAGTAAAATGATCATGATTTAAAATGTAATTAGAAGCTGGGTGTGGTGGCTCACGCCTGTAATCCCACCTTTGGGAAGCTGAGGTGGGCGGATCACTTGAGGTCAGGAGTTTGAGACCAGCCTAGCCAACATGGTGAAACCCCGTCTCTAACAAAAAGTACAAAACTTAGCAGGGCGTGGTGGCACATGACTGTAGTCCCAGCTACTCGGGAGGCTGAGATGGGAGGATTGTCTGAACCCAGGAGGTGGAGGTTGCAGTGAGCTCAGATAGCGCCGCTGCACTCCAGCCTGGGTGACAGACTGAGACCCTGTCTCAAAAAAAAAAAAAAAATGTAATTGAGGAACTCACTATTTCAAGAAACTCTTGAAGTTTTTTCTGAAGCTAATAATATTATTATTTTTGCTACTTTGGAATTTGATAGATAATATCAGTGTACCTACTTTTTCTAATGTGAGCTGTCCTTTTCTCCCTTTTTTTTTTTTTTTTTTTTGTGGAAATGGGGATAGGACAATCATTTATTTCCTTATTAACCGCTAGGGTTGGAGATAGTATATGAGGTACTTATTGTCAGGCAAAAGAAACACTTCTCCTAGGATTTCTCCAAGACAAAGTTTCAAAGTTGTTCTTTCATATGAAGTCCCAAGTCTATCTGGATTTGATTTTTGCATAAAGTACAAAGTAGTCAATTGATATTTCTCATAAATGATCCCTGCATTTTTCATGAAATCATCTTTTTCCTACTGATATGTGATGTCAGGTATTCTATGTCAATTTTTGGATTTATGTGAGTCCTTTTCCAACTTCTTTTTTATTCTATTGATCTATTCCTACACCAACGCCACACTATCTTGATCATTACTGATTTTTAATAGATTTTAATATTGGTAAGAAAATTCTCCTATTTAATTCTTCTCTAAGAGTACCCTTACTTAATCTTAATCCTTTGCTCCTTCATATAGCTTTTAGAATCATCTTTTCAAGTTCTATGAAAAGTCCTGTTAGGATTGTGATTGACATTTTATTGAATTTATATATTGATTTGGGGATTTTTTAACATCTTTATTATATTGTCTTCTTATCCATTGACTTGGAATATTGTTACATTCATGCAAGTCTCCTTTCCTGTCCTTCAATAAATTTTTTTGCTCTTGGACACCATGCTTTACATGGGCTGTCATTTAATATAGGGTGTGGAAGCCAACACAATACTAAAACAGTGTTTCCCAGCCCAAACTATACCTTTTCTCAAGGTGATAATCTACATGCTCTGTTGCATCTCTCAGGAATGAGTGGCAGAGAAGAGCAGAAGAGAGAGCCTCCAAGACTCAACTACAGTCCCCAAAGTCAATCAGCATAAGCATTGGCAAGGATGTGGAACAACACGAACTCTTGCTGGGAGACACAGGATTGGGAAAACCATTTTCGAAAACAATTTGGCATTATGTAAAATTGTTGGAGTCTTTTCTGACTACCAACCAGCAATTCTATTCTGATATTTACTCTTACTAAATAAAGTCTAGACTTGCACTGTCCAACATGGTGGTTATTAGCCAGCACAGGCTGGAGTGCAGTGGCGTGATCTTGGCTTACTGCAACCTCTGCCTCCTGGGTTCAAGTGATTCTCCTGTCTCAGCCTCCTGAGTAGCTGGGATTACAGGTACATGCCACCATGGCTGGCTAATTTTTGTATTTTAGTAGAGACGGGGTTTCACCATGTTGGTCAGGCTGGTCTCGAGCTCCTGACCTCGTGATCCGTCCACCTCGGTCTCCCAAAGTGCTGAGATTACAGGCGTGACCCACCGCACCTGGCCGAGAATCTCTTAAATAGAAAATAACAGTAAGATTATTCACTGTAGTACTGTAAATAATGAGAAAAAAAGAAACAAAGTCTCTATCAACAGTATAACGTACAAAGAAATTTTTATGTATTTATAAAGCTGACAACAATTCAGTGAAAATCAATGAACTCAGCTACAGGCATCAACAAGTGTGCATTGGAAAAATCCTGTTGAGTGCAAAAAAGTAAGTCTTGGAAGAAAACATATAACATGATTCAATTCATATATAAGTTAAATGGGCAAAACCCATCGTATAGCTTGTTAAATTTTTTTTTTATTATCACACCTGGTCCTGAGAAGGTAGCAGGAGTAATGTAATGCTTCTGAAGTGGGATCCAAGGTAGAGAGGGTTCCAAGAACCTAGAGTCATGTTCAAAGACCTCCTGACTTCATTGGCCTCTTTTCATTCAGGATAATTTTATTGGTTGCATTTATTCAGGGGCTGTGCACTACTCACAGGAAACAGCAGAATTCATCAGGATGCTGTCCAGTGGCTCTGACCATGTCTGGATCCCAGATCCCTTTGAGAATCCAATGAAGTTCAATGTTAGATTCTTTAAGTTTGTACAGTTATGGAACTAGTTTTAAAAACTGGCCCAGAACTTTGCAAATCAGAGGTTCTGGAGCATTTTGCAGTGGGGTGGAAAAGCATAATGTGTAATTAATATTTTGCTTTCCACATGTATGGGTTCTTTTAAAACATCTAAACATACCTTTTACATCTTTGGCTCACGAAACTGCCCATCCACTCTGAATGAACCGTAACACATTCCAAATGAGAAGGATACAAAATAATGAGATAAGTGCAAAAGAATAGAATGAATTGCATCCAGAAAGATCAAAATAGGGGTAGGAATGTAAAGACATTTGGACCTTTTAGGGTCAGATGAGAGTCATCAGAAAAAGCTTCTAGAGAAAAATATGGGGATAAAGAGACTCTGCAGCTAAGATGTGAGGTGTCCCAGGCCTGGAAGAGGGAGAGAGCTTATGTCCCCTTCCTCCAAGCATGAAGCCAACCTCCTTCCTTGTCCACCCAGCACAGGTATGGGTTTAAGAACCTTCACCAAGCATGCGTCTCAAGACACGCTGATATCTTGAAATGTCTGAAATATGGCTATAGTCATTTTCCTACTGTATCTTTTAATCATCCCCAAATATCAACATGGATCCAAATATTTGACCCTGTAGTTTTTCTAACACCAAGTACAGGGAAGCCAGTGAAGTCTCAGTTAATGTTTTTATGCTCAAGAATGTAAAGAACTAGAACTCCGCAATGTGGGATGCATGTCTCTCCCCGTGACCTTTGAAACCAGTGTGCTCAGGGGTTGTAAGTACCACCACTTACACTGCTGTCCTGTGGCAGTTACACGCACATGCCTGCATTCAGAGTTTTGGAGTGTGCGTTGACATCTGTGTGTGTGTGAAGATAAATGGGTGCCTGTTTGGATGCAGGACATGATACAGGGCATTGCTGGTATGCTGTCAGAAACCTCATGTGAAAACGAACCACCCGAAGGACGGCTTCTGGCCCTTGGAGTCACTCACTCACTTGTGGGACTGTTCAGGGTATAATCTGTCTCCAGTCTACAATTGTCGTTTTACTATGGGAATAGAAAGTTTGAATCAAAATTGAACATTGAATCAAAATCAAAACTATTAAACAAATAGACAATTAACAACTACTAAACAAAATATGGTTCTTTCTATGGTAATTTAAAAAATGGCTGTAACATTGTACATTTTAGGAGGAAAAAGAATCAAAAGATGACTAGAAACCTAAGTGAGCCTGGAGAAAAAGTTAAGTGGAGACATTGTAGCTAAACGATGAGCATGAATATAGGAAAATTTAACCTAGAAACTGAGAAAGGATTCCAGTGAACCAAATATCTTGACACAGCCCTTGGAACACAGCACCAGGACGCGTGAGTAATGGTGTGCACGTCAGAAAGATACCAGAACTACCACCTCAGTGGGAAAAACATCCCCTGGGCTTGTCCGCAGGGCCTCTCTGGCTGCACCCCGGCTGCTACTGTCACTAGTTAGAATGGAAAATGTGATGAACCTGATTTGTCTTTCCTAATCTGGACACACAATCGATTCTACCATTTTTATTTTCAGGACCAAGGCATTTGGCGTTTTTTGTGTGCCTAGTAATGTTGTTTGCCGAGTGTATTAGTCAGGGTTCTCTAGAGGGACAGAACTAATAGGGGATGGAGATATATTTCTGAGTTTATTAAGTATTAACTCACACGATCACAAGGTCCCACAATAGGCTGTCTGCAAGCTAAGGATCGAGGAGAGCCAGTCCAAGTTCCCCGACTGAAGAACTTGGAGTCCCATATTCAAGGACAGGAAGCATCCAGCATGGGAGAAAGATAGGCTGAAAGTCTAGGCCAGTCTCGTCTTTTCACGTTTTTCTGCCTGCTTTATATTCTAACCGTGCTGGCGGCTGATTAGATGGTGCCTAGCTAGATTAAGGGTGGGTCTACCTTTCCCAGCCCACTGATTCAAATGTTAATCTCCTTTGGCAACACCCTCACAGACACACCCGGGATCAATACTTTGCATCCTGCAATCCAATCAAGTTGACAGTAAGTATTAACCATCACACCAAGCTTTTGCTGGAGCCTCTTGATGACAATTTTGATTGAGTCAGAAGGATGAATTTCGCAGAGATGTTGGTTATATTAACAACTCATTGCACAGATGGAGGACCTGAGGTCCACATCCAGCTACAAATTTCTGCCTGCCTCCTGCCTCCAGGCTGATCTGGGGACGTGTTGGCCTCTCAGCATTATTGCCCATGCCCTAGTCTGGTAGAAGAGTGGTTTAAAAGTGTGACTGTTTTATTCTTCATAAGAATCAGGCTGCCTTGGTTGAAATTGTGGCCCCATCACTTTGCAACTTTGTGGCCTCTGGCAAGCTATGGCACTTCACTGACCCATATATGTGATGGAGATAATGATACGGTTATTACAGGAGCACACTTGATGATAGGTGTAAAGCACTCAGTACAATGCCTGTTTGTAGGAAGCATCTAATAAATTCTAGTTGCCAGTATAACTAAGCACTTGCCCTATTTTTCAAATGCTATTTTAGCCAGATCAAATAGGTAGGAAAAAGCCTGTCAATCATGAAGTTTATACTTTCCTGTTTCTAAAAAGGTACACTTCTAAAAATTTATATAATTCATTTATAGCTATTAACTTAAACTTGGAAAGTTTGGATATTTGGTCTGTCTTCACAAGTGTTTATCTGAGCCCTACCTCTCAAATTAACATGTATCACCATTGATGTGCATTATGTTGATTCTTATACCTATTATATGCATGTGTGAAACTAAGCCCCATAAAAACAGAATTTAGGCATTCCTGCTGAAAGGAAGTGAATTGAAGGGAAGAGAAGCAGAGCCTTTGCAAAGAGAAAATTGTCCTATCTCTCAACCAGTGTCAGAATGTGGAAATGTTTACAAAATGCTCATTAAAAGAAATAGGGATTGCAAGATAGAAACAAATTCTGGTGCACAAGTTTACACTAGGGAGATAAGAAAGGCTAGGCCCCTATAGGGGATTTTGTTATCCAATTACTGCAACCTGACTTTTAGGGGGAGAGGAAGAGTGGTAGGGGGAGGGAGAGAGAGAGGAAGAGTTTCCAAACTTGTCTCCAGTGACAGGAGACATTTACGTTCCACAAGATAAAACTGCCACTTAGAGCCCAGGGAAGCTAAACCTTCCTGGCTTGGCCTAGGAGCTCGAGCGGAGTCATGGGCTCTCTGGTCCTGACACTGTGCGCTCTTTTCTGCCTGGCAGCTTACTTGGTTTCTGGCAGCCCCATCATGAACCTAGAGCAGTCTCCTCTGGAAGAAGATATGTCCCTCTTTGGTGATGTTTTCTCAGAGCAAGACGGTGTCGACTTTAACACACTGCTCCAGAGCATGAAGGATGAGTTTCTTAAGACACTAAACCTCTCTGACATCCCCACGCAGGATTCAGCCAAGGTGGACCCACCAGAGTACATGTTGGAACTCTACAACAAATTTGCAACAGATCGGACCTCCATGCCCTCTGCCAACATCATTAGGAGTTTCAAGAATGAAGGTAAGTTTTTGCTGATGAAATTTTGCTAGGATTTTTTTCAAGACACAATAAGTAAATTTACAATGCATGGGAATGATATAGGTAAGGGTAAATACATCTATATAAGGATGTTAAATACATATGGATACACAAAAACAAGGCACATTTTGTTCTATACCAATTATATAGTCATTTCAGGAACCTCGAAAAATACTTACAAACATCTTTTAATCCAAAGCCACAAAACATCTATCAATTTGACATCATAATTGGGTCCTTTTAAAAAATGTTAATTTGAACACCAAGTAATACAAAGAATTAATGTTGGTCTACTGCCGTACCTTTGTCATTTTCCAAATAGGCCTTGATTGCCATATGGGCTTTTAATTAACTAAAAAATTTCTCAACTTCTACTTAGAATAAAAAGGGTAAAAACAGTCAAAAAACATCAAATTGTGATTTGTGTTTTGTTCAAACTTTTGATAAGTTTTTATTTTGTGACCTTATTTAAGAAATGTTCAAACAGGATGGAAATATATTTTAAAGATTCTTCCTAAGGCTGTGTTGTTTGATGTGTCATGTACATCCTTAAAGCACTGTTTACAGTTTCCAGGAAGTGTAGATGGCCCATTAATCATCCAGCTCATCATTTCCGTCTTTATAAAGAGCAACGTACAAGCTTTGAATTATTGGTGGGAAAAGTGTGTTTTCTTCTCTTAGGTCTTTAAATTTGGTAACTAAATCTAATGAGCTAGCAAGTTAATGTTTTTGTTTGTTTGTTTGTTTGTTTGTTTTTTGGTTAATATGGTCCTAGTAGGAAAAAAAACCCCTGATATCTAGATATCTATAGTAGAAGCTGAAGGTCCAAAGGAACTAATTTAATTTTTGCCAGTTATGCTTTTATAGTCACTAACCAGGTATAAAAGAAGCTTCCCGTTAATATTGGCCAGATGTTCTTGAAAGAAGAAAGGTAATAGTGAAGAAATAGCTCAGGATTTGGGATTTTGAGAGCTAGTTGGCTTAGTGGTTGTGAATAATTAGCTGATGCCTCAGAGCCTCAATTTCCTCATCTATAAAGTGGGAGTAATAATACCTACATAACATAGTTGAGTGACTCAAAGGAGGTTACAGATAAGAAAGCACTCCATTTACTATGAAGTGCTGATCAAACTTTAGTGACTACTAATGAGTTACTTAATATTCTAGGTACTGGAATAAATGTTGAGTAGGTATTCCTTAGTCCCTAAGATATTATCTCCCTTTAAAATTGAGTTGGCTGCCAAAATTTATAATTCATAATATCTTTCTCATGGAAATGGCAAGTTGAGATTACAGATTGCTTTTGGAGGTGAGTCTGAATTGAAAATGAACAACTTCCTCCTGTAAGAACCCTCCCTAATACTTCTCAGCACTGAGCCCTAAGTGTCTGGCTCAGGGTGTGGGTGAGAAAATGTTGTTTGCATCCCCTGGAAAACTAGAAACGTTTTCCGTTCTCACTTCTCTCATAGAGTATCTGGATGATCCAGGTCAGGATGTGGAGTTTACTGTGCTTATTATTACTGGAGATTATTGAGGGCAGGAACACATCTCTTAGTAAACAACCCAGCCGCCAGCACCTCTGCCAGTCTGCAGGAAATGTGCAGCCTGAGGACAGAAATCGCACAGGACATGCCCTGTTGGCTACTATTGCCTCTCTTCTGACTCTTTGGATCTGCTTAGTGCAGCTCCCTAGGAGAGAAAGACCAAAAAAACTCCAAACCTACCCCATCTTGGGAAAAAAAAGTGCCACCTCCAAGGTGAAAAAAGCGTGCTCCTTTATCACCTTGTCATTTGGGGAAATCAGTTATCTGCATCAAGGCTTGATTTATTCTGGTGCAAAACGAGTAGAGAATCAATACCTGCATTATGGGGTCATTGTGAGAACCAGAGAAGATCATGCTTGCAAAGCACCTGGCATGAGAAATTTGTCAACAAACATTCGTTCTCTTGCCCTGAAATGTAACTCTTCCATCTATTGCTTACTGCATTTGCACATGCACAGAACTTCACAGTGAACTTACTTTTTCAAAACAGCTTTATTGAGGTATATTTGACTTATAAAAATATGACATATAAAAATATTGATGTATAAAAGTATAATCGCACATATTTAAAGTGTATAATTTGAAAGGTGTTGACATATGTAACATTCATTGAAACCATCACCACAATCAAGATCATGAATATATCCATTAAAACCAAAAGCTTCCTTGTATACTTTGTAATGCCTTCCTCCCACTACAGTGAGCTCTTATTTTATACTTTTCTCCTGGGTAGAGCAACCAGCCTACTCTTCCATGTTCCCTGTCCATGGGGAGTCAAGTCTCTTCCCTTCTTAGAGTGGAAGAATAACTCCCAAGCCCAACCCAAGAGCTTGATGATGGATTAAGGTCATATGTCACGCCCATAAATCAATTTAGTCTGGTGCCTAGAATCATCAACTAATCAATATTTTTAAAGCACTACCTCTGTTTAAGCCATCATAGTAGGATAGAGACATAGAAGGGAGTTTTGAGCCATTCAAACCAGGAGGATGGCAATCTAGTTGGGAAAATCCATTCATAAAAAGATGGCTGAAATATAAGGACGTAAATGACAAGGATCAAAGGAGATATAAAGTGATCAAATGATTTCAGAGGGGAGAGGAGGGAACTTTCAGATGAGAAGTAAGGGAGGCTTTTATAGGAGATGTCAGAGCTGGATAGGTGGAGGTGAGGTGAAAGGGCTTTCCAAGGGTCAGAAGAACATGTGAAAAGGTGAAAATTGCAGGGAAAAAAAGAGTGTTTTGACAGGTGGTAAAGATATCAATGTAGTTAAAACAGAAGGGTTTACAAATCCATTCAATTGTTCACAAATATTATTGAGTAATCACAATGTTCCATGCACTGTGGAGGACGTATGTAAGCTATGGCTGATCAGGAGGTTAAGACCCAGATATAGCTGGTCTTGAGAGCCATGCCAGGGAGTTTAAATTTATTCTGTAGGTCAGCATTTCCCACTAGCAGTGTGTAAGATTAATTTAGGTGGTACCCAAAGAAAGCTATTAATCATGTGAAATTATTGTATATTTTTCTTAGTATGGATTTTTAGCAAACACACATAAATATCACCTCAAATCTCTCCTTTAATGAATTATGTTGCTTAGGAACAGTCTAAAATAGATAATAAGTATAAAATAATTAGATCAAATTAAAGAAAAATATTAAAAGATTATAATCTGAAACAGGGACTCACCGAGATCATGAACTAAGTATAAACTTGGGGAAATGCTGCCAATGATGACAGAGAACCCCCAGTTGGTGGTCCTTAGCATCTTCGGTGCCATGGAGTCCTTTGATAATCTGATGGCAAATGCCTTCAGGGCTTCCTTGTAGACTCATTACCTGAGGCAAGTGTGCAGGAGCTTTGGGCTCACTGTGAAATATTCAGATAGGAAGTCAACATGATCGTATTTGGAAGTATGCTTCTAAGACTAAAGGACTTTTACAGAGTTGATTCATAAACATTATTGAGTGAGTTATACATGTCACGCCCCATGCCAGGTGCTAGGGGTACAAGACTAAGGCAACCAATCTAGTCCCAGGATTCATTTTCTCCCATTCCTCTTTATAGAGAACCATATAACCAGCAGTCAATTGCTGAGACCCTCTTGGTTTATGGCTGTCTTATTGGCCTTGTCAGGCTTTGTTGCCTAGAACAGAAGTCAGCAAGTTTCTACTGTAAAGGGCCAGACAGATAATAACTATTTTAAGCTTTGCAGGCTATATGTTCTTTGTTGTATCTATTTAACTCTGCCATTATAGTGCAAAAGTAGCCACAGACAATACAAAAACAATGGATGAGGCTGTGTTCCAATAAAACTTTATTTCCAAAAGCAGGTAGCAGGCCCATATTGGCCCATAGGCTATAGTTTACCAACCTCTGATCTAAATGGAGGTCTTTTAGGAAGACCAGTGTCCAGCCAACTGTGCGGGGATCTCCACCCACTACAAACACAAATATTAAAAAACCATGAAGTCCTCATCCCCGAAAAGCTTCAAGAAAGGAACAATCACCACATGTCCCATTTGGTGGCGTTTTGTTTGTTAGGAAATTTGGGGACTTGCCCACACAATCTCCAAGGTCCCTCCCAGTTCTGTAATTCTGTGGCTGATGAGCTATTCAAGCAAGGTTGGCTGAGTTTTATGCCATCCATTAGACCCCCATTTTCCATTTTAGTCTTGGCAGCTGAACTCTTTTGGGCATTCTACCACTGACCTTTTGGGATTTCCTGTGTCACAGAATGCTGACATTGTGTTTGTTCTCATTGATTTTCTCCCTTCATTCTTTCTGCATTAAGCTTTGTGCATGGGAAGGCCTTCTTATTACATAAATAAGCATCTGTTTTTCCCTGAGACCCACTGCAAACCTGATTTTTGCAAATTTCTTTTTTCAGATCTGTTTTCCCAGCCGGTCAGTTTTAATGGGCTCCGAAAATACCCCCTCCTCTTCAATGTGTCCATTCCTCACCATGAAGAGGTCATCATGGCTGAACTTAGGCTATACACACTGGTGCAAAGGGATCGTATGATATACGATGGAGTAGACCGGAAAATTACCATTTTTGAAGTGCTGGAGAGCAAAGGGGATAATGAGGGAGAAAGAAACATGCTGGTCTTGGTGTCTGGGGAGATATATGGAACCAACAGTGAGTGGGAGACTTTTGATGTCACAGATGCCATCAGACGTTGGCAAAAGTCAGGCTCATCCACCCACCAGCTGGAGGTCCACATTGAGAGCAAACACGATGAAGCTGAGGATGCCAGCAGTGGACGGCTAGAAATAGATACCAGTGCCCAGAATAAGCATAACCCTTTGCTCATCGTGTTTTCTGATGACCAAAGCAGTGACAAGGAGAGGAAGGAGGAACTGAATGAAATGATTTCCCATGAGCAACTTCCAGAGCTGGACAACTTGGGCCTGGATAGCTTTTCCAGTGGACCTGGGGAAGAGGCTTTGTTGCAGATGAGATCAAACATCATCTATGACTCCACTGCCCGAATCAGAAGGAACGCCAAAGGAAACTACTGTAAGAGGACCCCGCTCTACATCGACTTCAAGGAGATTGGGTGGGACTCCTGGATCATCGCTCCGCCTGGATACGAAGCCTATGAATGCCGTGGTGTTTGTAACTACCCCCTGGCAGAGCATCTCACACCCACAAAGCATGCAATTATCCAGGCCTTGGTCCACCTCAAGAATTCCCAGAAAGCTTCCAAAGCCTGCTGTGTGCCCACAAAGCTAGAGCCCATCTCCATCCTCTATTTAGACAAAGGCGTCGTCACCTACAAGTTTAAATACGAAGGCATGGCCGTCTCCGAATGTGGCTGTAGATAGAAGAAGAGTCCTATGGCTTATTTAATAACTGTAAATGTGTATATTTGGTGTTCCTATTTAATGAGATTATTTAATAAGGGTGTACAGTAATAGAGGCTTGCTGCCTTCAGGAAATGGACAGGTCAGTTTGTTGTAGGAAATGCATATTTTCCTCTCCAGTTAAGTCCCTTTCAATCTGTTTTCTCTTTGGACTTGCCATTTCCTGGCAATGCCACCTCCCTGTTGATTTGAAAACAACCCCTAGGCAAAATACAGTGTCAAAAGACACACACTTGTGTATGTATATTTGTACATACATGAACTTACAAAAATCTTTTGGTTCTATGCAGGCAGGTTATACTCATCTACATGCATGACTCACTCAAATGTATGCATATTAAAGGCCAATGGTATGTTCTCTGTTACCTCTTCTCTGAGTAGGATTTAAGTCAAGATAATTGACATCAGGGTTTTAATCATCCTAGGAAGTATTACCCTTCCTAAATACTCTGGAAATGTAAGTGTAGCTTTTGTCAGTTGAGTTTCTGTAGTTGCTCAGAGAGGAGGGGCCTGGCAAAGGATGCTTGAAGGGAAGGGTTAATTGATACAGAAACCAAATGGACTTAAGAGGTCTTAGAGGTACAACAGGAAAAAATGAACCCATGGAGGACCAATGTGCTCCAGAGGGCAACTCCTGGTCAAGGCAGGAAAACAGAAGAAACCAGCATGAAATCTGTTCCTGAGACAATAGGAAAGCAAGGCCATGAGTACTGGCCATTGCTGCTGCAGAGAGTAGAGGGGTTGGGAGGGTACTTGAAGGGGAGAAAGGGAGAAAGGGAAGAGGATATTGATGTTATCCTCAGAGGCTATCCTCAGATGTGTCTGTAAAACCAAAAGTGGTTCTGTTTAAAGAATTAAATCTTTTGGACAAAATAGAAGTATCAAAGACTAAGAGGAGGAAAATCAGAAGGGGTCTGTCTGTTGGAAGAAAGGATGTTAATATCTTTCTTCACCTGTTAACACTGTTCCCTTGTCTCAGCACCCCTGCTTTCCTCTGCTCCATCTTCTTCCTTCCCTCTTTCTTCTTGGCCCTAGTGCCTCTCACCTTCCTCCCATCCCTGTGTCCCTGCTCTTCCCTGGCCTTCATGATGCATGCTGTGAACTGGAAAGGGACACCTAAGTGCCTTTGCTCTCAGGGTGAAAGGAGTTAGTGTTCTAATTTCTAAATCTTCCCGTGATATTTAATTTGATTTTATTTTAATAATATCCTTTATCAAATGTTTTGTTCATGAAGAATACTTAGATATAAGAGAAAAGAAAACCAGAATAAGTAAGTATAAGAAAAAGAAAACCAGAGTCCAAATGAATGGATTTAAATAAACGAATTTATGAATAGACACACAAGCAAATGACTCAAAAGCCAAGCCTGAATTTTGAAATCATGATTGTTTCATGGTAGAAACCCAGTAACTTTCCCATCTTCTCATCTTACCATCTTCCCATTTTGCAACTGGCCAGGACTGAAAGTGGTGAGGAAGTGTTCTGCACAGGAAGGGTCCGGTGGGTTTTCCTGGCAGGTGGCAGCCTCCAGTCTTAACCCCTAACCATTTCCCTCTACCTGGCAAGCATATTCTGGGCTTTGTGCAGGAGGAACCAGAGCAGAGCAGAGCAGTTTCCAAACTGTTCCAGCATCTCCAGGCAGGGAACATGGATGGTTCCTGTTAGAACCAGGAATGTGGTTTCCAGTACGTCATCCCCCATTCACCCCTACTCATCTTAAGGAATGCTTCCTTAAGAAGTCTGACACTTTTTTCTTTTTTTTACCCTGGAAAACAATCAGTCCCCTTTTACAAATCTCTTAAGGTTATAAACTCAAACTGCACTAGACAATAGAGGCAAGGAAAACTATTTTGAAGAAGGCCCAATTTGAACCTCAGCTCGCTAGATCTGTTGTCTGCTGGGTGAATCCTGGGGAATTCATTGCTCATGGAAGAGTGGTGTTTTGACCGTCAGTGGGTATACAGTGATTGATGCTTTGAGAAAGCCATGCAACTCAGAATCACTATTTGTGGAACAGCCTCCATATAACATGATGTGTGTATGTGTGTGTGATGTATAGCTGGCTTTGAATAACCACGCTTAATACCCTCAGTGGAACGTGGTGCATCCTTCATACTCCATGGTACACAATGTATACTCACATACTCCAAGGTACTTCTTATCCTTTCTAAAGGACACTGTAATACATACACAGTAAAACCTCAGCTGACCAGGATAGTCCTGGTTAGATAAAAATTAAGCAAATTTTCTTTATGTCTAATACATATGACAGTGGTGTGCTGGTAAAACCCTTACAACCAGCAATCCAGGGGGAGAAAAAGCCCTGATTTGTGGATTTCAATGCTGCAAACGCTCCTACATGGTCTATCTTGAGCTGCCAAGGTGATGTCAACTGGCTTGCAAAACTTCTAAAACCTAAGTCAGCTCTTGGGAGCTGTGCACTGGTGCTGGCACACCGCTGACATTTAGTATCCCACTGACATTAGCACACCGCTGACATTAGCACCCTGATACTAGAATGTTAAGGATGTGCCAGCCCTGCTTTCCACTGTGTGCGCTGCTGGCTCCGGGCTTCTGGAGAAATCTTGTCTCGAGCACTTATAGTCACTCTTCTGTTAAAGAGATATGAAAATATAGGCTGTTGGCGATCAGGCTGCATAGCCCAGTTGTTTCTTTCTGCCCATCCAGATGTAAACCTGCATTTCTATGATTTTCTGCTTCCCTGTGGAAAGGGAGTGCAGAGAGCAACATATTGTTATTCAAATGTTGCTAGTTGTATTTTTTTGGCTTTTTGTCAGAAAGTGAAAAGACACAGCCCGTAGAGGAGTTCTCCCAGCTCCCACCGGAACCCCGGCAGCACACCGGTGTCACTTTCAACTCCTGCATTGACAGGAAGCCAGAATATTGTCAGATCCTTAAAAAGGTAGAATCTTACTAATGTTTCTCTGGTCATAGACCTTCTTCTGGGTCCCATGCCAGTTTTTTTCCCCCTTTTATTGCAGAATTATCATCACCGAAGTTGATATAGCTAAACAACTCTTGAGGAGAATTATAGCAGAGGGACTTGGGCAGCCCACAGCCAAAATATTCATGTAAGAGTTTCTAGGCTTCCCACTATTTATTGATTGATATATTTATTTTTGTAAAATATTGTAGAATACCAAATATTTTATTTTTATGTCTGTGATTCCCTTTTGGATAGAGAGTCTTCTGGGCTTCAGAGTATGGCTCACATATAATATATGGCCTGTATTTCCATCTCTCTCTTTTTGCATCAGAATATTCTATTGGTTTAAGGAATCTTGCCATAGCTTGCCATAATTTTGTATATTTGTGTCTTGCAGGCATGCTGTGCCTACAAGCATGCTTTGTAGTATATTTTCTGATTTGTAAATAGTACAGTTTTAACTGAAGTGTAGATGTTCCAGGAAATATTTAACCAATACATTGTCATGCAGTTTCATAAAGTGATGTTGTCAGTTTATCATGAGAAGCAAATATTGTCAGGCTGTGAGAGAATGTGATTGCTACTCAGTAAACGGAGATGCTATTTAAATGAATCTTTTCATCCCCCAAATCTGGTACTTCCCCTCTGAATTCACCTGTTGCCGTCACTGACCCAGAAATTCAGAGATGTGATTGGTCAAATTCATTTGTAATTGGACCAATTACTTTGTAAATGTCAAAAATGTTAGCTTAGTGATTTCCAAAAGAGTCAGCCCCAAAGTGCCGAATTCTTTCCTGATGTGTAAATTTTGGTCCGGGGAATTAATGACAAAAACCTTTTTTTTTTAAGAACTGTTACTAAATGTTTCAGTATTTGTTATGATTTATATTCTTCAAGTAAAAGATATTTTCATATAAGAGAATTTTATGTATTCTTCTTACTTGATTCATCAACAGATTATGAAGCCTAGCAGTGTTCTGGCAAAACCTTTTTAACTTGCCTAGAACACAGAAGGGATGTTGCCCTTTTTAAGGTTGTAGATCTTTTCAGAGTCACTGTGGGTCATTCTCAACCCTTTGCAGTTCTGCAAGCTCACATATGGTGCAAGAGGAAATGCTGGTATGACTCTGTGCATTTTCTTGCCCCCAAACAGGAACAGTTGATTTCCTACATTAAATGGAAGGTAGATGTGACTATGGAAGAGAAGTACACAGGGGTGTTTCTGCATGTGAAATATTTGTCATAAGTTAAAAACCCATCATGGAATAACTGTTTGTTGTGATCAGCATGTTTTTATCACACATGGGCACTGGTTTTGTGAGCACCTGGCTTGATAGTGGTGGGGCGGCCAATGTGCCAGCGCCCGCCTACTGAGCATTCATGGACATTGGAAATCAGCGAACACCACAGACACACCGAATCAGCTGATGCACGGTCATGTTCTGGGGTAAAACCTGTTCATTATCCATGTCCACATTTGTATAGTTATCACTAGACTAAAATGAAGATGGAAATAAATATTTTACCCTGTGTTCATGAACCAAATGTGTACCTTCAGAGTCTTTTTAAGTAAAATAAAAAAATTATTTTGGTGATAATTATTTGCAGCTTATTTTTCCTTGAGGTAAGGTATTTAATTTTGCACACTCCCCACTTTTTCATGTTTCTACTTGATAACATATCCCGATGGAATAAAACTAATTGCTATATTAATAAAGAATGGTCTGAAGAAACCATAAGTTGTTTTTGGCTTGTAACTGACCTCAGTAGGGAGTGGGATTTTGTAGCTCCATGGTTCTCCCACTTTATATGACTTTGTGTAATTCCCATTAATGCCACAGGCATTCACAGAAAATACAATTGGCTCCCTTTTGTCAGTAGCTGGGAAATATTTCTTCTTTGAATACCAAAGGAGGCAGTTTAGAGGTAACAGTCCTGGCCAACAGACAGACCTTGCTGCTTTTTCACGAAGGAAATTCATTCTTATGGCAGAATGTGGAATTTGAAGGGCATAGGGACAGCCCCAGGTAGAATAAAATCTCTTCCATCAGAAAATCATCCTGCATCACTTTTTTTGAGGGGACGCCTCCAGTGTCTCAGCTGGCAGGCTGAATCTGGCAAGTGTGTCGGAGGGAAGCACAGCCTTCATCCCTGGATGAGCACTGATAAGGTAAGACAGGGCTCTCCCATGGAGGAAAGGGAGCTGAGAGCCCAAGATGGGGCTGAGCCCAGGACTGGACTAAACAGACCTGAAAAGCCACTCGTGTAATTTGATTTTGAATTCTTTAGCAACCTATTCATTCTCTTCTTTAAATAAGTCCGTTTATAAAAGTCTGTCACAATGTGGGGTCTGGAACCCATCTCTGCAATTGGTTTGACCTGATCACAGCTATGCTGGACCAGCCGCCTTGTTCTGTGATTTCTTTCCTACTGATACAGCCTGGAATTGCACTAGGCAGACACACAGCTGCAAGTTATTTGGGGGGTAGTTTGTTTACAAAGTAAGATAAAAAATTATTTTCAAAGCTCACATTATACATTTATAATATGTTACAGGTTCTAATAGTATTCCTGATGTGAACTGAACTTTGTGGTATGGGGAAATCATGCCATGAGATCTCTGCATGTGACTCCAGTCACATGAATGAGAACCCACTTTTGTATAGAAGTGACTATTTGTAAATAAGGGGCCTATTTGGAGAAGGTGAGAGCTTGTTAACTTGGGTGGTTTAAATGGATTATGTGATTATCTCCAACTCACTCTCCTGAACTGTCAGTTTACAAGAAACAGCTCCTGCCCTCTCTTAACCTTCCTCAGACCATTCACACAGATCTAAAGTAGCTCATCTCATTCCAAGAAGAAAGCCCAGAAATGCATAGACAACGCAATACGTTTTTACTCTTAAATGTGATTCTGTGAATCTTATAAAAAATTTAGGCCACTCAGTTCAAATTAAGATTGATGGGAGGTGTGAAGTACCATTGTCAACTCAAGATTTGCTAGAAAGTTTTCACACACAGAACACTGAGCCCACTTCCTTGCACAGCATGGGAATGGTTTTAGAAAATTTAGTTCTAACTCCTTATTAGTATCTCACCTAAAATGCGTACCATAACCTTACTAATTATGAGGAAACATCAGATGAACCTATTTTAAGAAGATTCTGCACTCTTAAAAAGTCAATGAAAGGCAAAGAAAGATTGAGAAACCGTTATAGATTTAAAAAGACTAAAGAAGCATGACAACTAAGTGCAGTATGTGGTCCTGAATTGGATCCTAGACCCCTCAAAAACTGGCCAAAAGCACATTATCTTTTTGTTAAGTCCACTGCTGCCACAGCTGGTAGAGAGTCCAACTTCATCCATTGTATGCTCTCAAATGACATTCATTTGTAAAAATCTTCTGCATGGTTATTGCTCTTTTTCTGAAACTGTGAGAAGCTATACAGGAGTAACTAGGCTTTTGCTCAATGCAATGTCCAAGAAGCAGGCAGACAGCATTAAAAATGAAACCTTTCTTTGCTCAGTAGCCAAACTCAATGCAAGGAACAGAGCTGAAGGGAAATTGTTCATCACATGGCAAACCTGATGTTAATAAATGAGCTGCAATAAAACATTTTCCTGAAATAACCAAACTCAACATGCTTTTCAGGCAATAAGCCATCTGTTTCAAGTGTTTAGAAAACGGATCTCCAATCACTGGTAATTTAAACTTCCTTATACCCCAGTTCAATGTTTGATAAGGAAAGAGTGCTAACAGGATGGAAACTGAGTTACTATATTAAGAAACCCAGCAAGAACAAAAACCAGCCCCCTGCAGCTATTTTGTTTATGCTCCAGACCCATCTGTTTTAATTAACGTAATATTTACATGAGACCAGCTCCTGTTACGTCTTTTGCTGCAAATATCGCATGTTTTATTCTTTGTTGTTGTTGTTGTTCTTGCTTTTAAAAGAGATCCTGCAAAAGCACAGTTGCAGACTATGCCTGAGCGAGGTGTACACCGGGGAATTACACCTGCATTCTAGCTCCCCAGGTCCAGGCTCACCTGCTTTGTGCAGTTTGGGGTCAGATATCAGGTTGCCAGATGAAATACAGGATGTCCAATTAAATATGAATCTAAGATCAAACCATGAGTAGTTTGTTTAGTATAAGTCTGTCTCAAATGTTGTACAGAACATACTTATACTAAATAATGTTGGTTGACTACCTGAAATTCAAATTTGGTTGGATGTTTTTATCTGCTAAATCTGGCAGCTTAAGTCAGGTATTGCTCAGAAGGTTACATGAGTGGAAAGATCCAGAGAAAGATGAAGTCGTTTGCCTTTCCATGCCTAGAAGGGCTATTCAGAAGATGACTAATCACAAAGCATTAATTTGTTTACACTAAACAAATTATTCTAGTAAGGTTCATCATTGAAGAATAGCTTTGAGATTTGAAGTGGAAATCCCCTTGACCATGTCTGCCAATGCTAAAAACAGTAGTAACACCCCAAAATCATCATCCCCAGTTTATACGTGAAGAAATTGAGTCACAGTGAAGAAGGCATACTCTTAGAGGTCATTCAACCAGGCAGAAGCAGAAGTAGGATTGCGAACCCAAGCAGCTCACTTCCAGCAATCAAGCCCTTCCCTGCTCTGCCATGCTGCCTTCTACTTAAAACCACAAAAGTAGTGAACTTTCACATCCATTTTCCTACAAAATCTGTCAACAAACTGGAAACCCCCAAGCTTTAGCCAGGCGACACTGAGTGGGCCTCATACCTCAGGATCCAGGCTGCCTACCATACTTCCATCCCTCCCCTGGGGCTTTTTCCTGTCTCTTGCTTTCCTTCCCTCTTTGGAGCTGTTCTTCACTACTACATCTTTAAGAGTTTTCTCCCTGCAATACAGGTGCTTCCTCTTCCTGCCCTTTCTCAATGTATGGGTCCCATAGGTTAAGAGCTCACTGAGAATTCTGCAGAGATAGACACGGAGTGATGACAAGGACAGAGCAGAGTCATATGCACAGGTTGGATAACCCTATAGAGACCCTGGGGCACTCATTTGGTCTCTGAGTCCTCTCGGCTCCTCATCAGAATTGCCCAGACATTTCTCTCAAGGCTGGGAGCCTAGAAGGTGTTGGGTGTGAGACCAAGATGCTCAGCCCACAGCTCAAGGAGGAATCAGGCTGACACTGCTGGCTAATCTCATGCCCCAAACATTCTGCCAGGGTCCTGGCCAGCTATGTCTTTTCAGGATTTTCCCCTCCCTCTCTTATGAAATCTGTCTGTCAACTAACTGGAAACTCCCAACCCTTAGTGAGGAGACATCACATGGACCTGAGAGGTTTTTCTTTCCTCCTCGACCCCCACTGGGGAAGAGGCATGTTTCCCCAGAACTTCAGAAGATTCTCAACTGAACTGACTGACATTTTCACTACCTTTCCTGGGAGTCTTTCCAACACCGAGTCCTGAAAACCCTACCCTCAAAGATTCTCTTTTTTTATGTTGACTTCACCTATTTTAGATTTTGCTATATTCATTAAAAGTGAAATTCCTGGAGAAAAGGCTATGCACATTTAAAATATATAATTCTGAGAGATACTACCAAAAATGACTCTCCAAAACTTTACATCAAATTATAATCCATCAGCTGTGTATAAGAGTACTATTTCTACAGTTTCCAATATTCAATACTATTGCTTTTCTCAATGGACCCTGTTATGGATTGAATTGTGTTCTCCCAGAAAGATATGTTGAATCCCTAACCCCACATACCGTAGAATGTGACATTATTTGGAAATAGGGTCTTCATAGAGGTAATCAAGTTAAAATGAGATCCTTAGGGTAGACTGTAACCCAATATGACTGTTGTCCTTACAGAAAGGGCAAATTTGGACACAGAGACAGTTGGAACACAGGGAGAATGCCATTGAACATGAAGGTAAGGATTGCAGTGATGCTCCTACAAGTCAAAGAACACCAAAGATTGCCAGCAAATCACCAGAAACTATGGGCGAGGCATAGAACAGATTCCCCCTCACGACTATCAGAAAGAACCAACCAAGCCTACACCTTGATCTTGGACTTCTAGCTTCTGAAACTGAGAGATGAATAAATTTCTGTTGTTTAGACCAGTTTGTGATACACTGTTACAACCGGTCTGGAAAATTGTTACAGATGCTAAGTACAATAATTCCTTGTTATACATTTATTTCTTTAATGATTTAAATTGACTTAAAATTAAAATTTAATTATTTAATGATTGGTGAGTTTGAACATATTTTGACATATTTCCTGACCAGTTTTCTTCATTTCATAAATAAACTTTTCCTTTTACCCAGTGTTCATATTTTTCTAGCTAATTTGTTGGAATTCTATGTATTATGCACAATTAATCCTTTGTTATATGCTATGGATAGTTTTCCCAGTTTGTTGCTCATCTTTTAACTTTTTAAAAATAATACATTTTGTTGTTTAAAAAGTTTACATTTTTATTTAGTCAAATCTTTCAGTCTTTCCCTTTGTGGCTTCTTCACTTAGGTGCCTCATACTTAGAAGTGGTTTCTCCATTTCAAAATTATTACAAGGTTTTGTTGGCAAAATAACTGTCATTTTTGGCCTGGCCTAATGAAACTGCCAAGGGAATAAGAAAAGGTAGAGGGAAAAGGAAAGTGTTTTCTATTTTGTCTCTTCCTTGGACTATCCTAGACCAAGTTCACATCATCTGAGCCTGGAAGAAGCTTAAAGCCTTACTTTCTCTTGGGAGAGTTCTTGGAAAACCTCTCAATCTGCAGTTCCTGTGACTTGAGGCCTGGGTGCTTACTCCTGCAAAGCCCAGAGAACCTGCAGACCAGCCAGGCTCCTCTGTGCTAATGTCCCCTTATGCCTCCAGGCAGTCTTATCGGATGGTGCCATGATGTCGTTATCTATCACTGTGTAACAAACCACACCCAGACAGTGCTTTCGATAATAACAATCATTTATTTTGCTCATGAATCTGATGGTTGATTCAGATGGGCTTAAGGAGAATATTCTCCCTTGAGATCTCATATCATCTGATGGTAACAGGGATGCCATCATTTTGAAGGCACCTGGGTTGGGGCTTCTTAGATCTCTCTGTCTGTTCCCTCCACGCTGTCTTTCTAAACAGCTACCTCAGGGTAACCAGACTTTCTGTTCAGAAAAGAGAGAGAGAGAGAGAGAGAGAGAGAGAGAGAGACCTGTATTGGCTTTTATTACCTAACCCTGAGAGCCATGCAGCGTTACTTTCTCCTCACCCCGTGTGGTAGGACTGAGTCACAAGACCAGCTTATAATCAAGGGGAGGAGAATTAGATTCCACCTCCTGATGGGAAGTGTGCTGATGAATCTTCAGACATCTTTAAAAACTCTCACAGATAAATTGTGAGAATCCTCCAAATGGATTCTCTCTCTTCTGTGTACTGCCTGTGCAGGGTCTATAGGAAACATCCCTATCTTCCTTGCCTTGATGAACCCTAAGGGTGCAAGCCAGTCCCTGCTCAACAATAGCTTCTCTTCTTCGCTCCTCCACCAGACCAGGCTGCCAGGCTCTCTCTTGACCTCAGATTTCTGAGTGGGCTCAGACTTGAGTCCTCCCTGCCCCCCACCCCCAAATGTAGGAACACATATCAAGTTATCCCAGGGGTACCATTTGAACAACTCTTCCTGTACCTGAAGTGAAGGGCAGACATTCCTCCTTCCCTCCCCTAAATCCCAACAATCAGAGCTTGGCTAAGTAAATTAAGATTCACCCAGAAATGAGTGTGTTGACTAAAATCAAGTTTTGAAGAATACTTGTAGGCATGGCAAATATTCCTTAATGGGATAACAATTTTTCTTAAGTCAAATCATGACAGGTCTTTAAAATTTGGTGACCCAAGCTAAATGATGTATTTAAGCTAGAGCCAAAGACTACTTTCAGTTCTTTTGGTTTACTAGTATATTTTAAAGCTATATTTGGAATGCTTGCACTTTCAACAAAGGAATCACAGAAAAATTAAGCAACTTAACTAAGGTCATTGTATCAGTCAGCAAAAGGATTGACCACAAGATCTAGGTTTCTCAAGTTCTAGTATTAAGACTCAACCTTTTGCCATGAAGATGTTTTCAGTGAAATTTTTTCTAAGATTTACCTCAATATTTTTGTTTCAATGAGGCAGAAAATAAATAACAAAGAAAAAATTTCAGATTCTCCTAGACAATATTCTGCATTTTCTGAGCTTTCAGGAATATACTTGAACAAAAGCCAGATTTTAATAAATAAATGCTGCCAAGAAATATTATTTAATAAGTAGAGGTCCACATGATGCAGCAGAATGTTATTTGCTTGAGGAGTTGCAAAGTGAGAAGCAAAGTGCTTTTGACACATCCCAGGGCATGGTGTTGAAAAGCTGCGTGTGGAGTTAAGTAAAGGGTGAAGGCAGTGCGGATTTACACAGCAAGTACAGTAACCGAGTCCCATGATCTATCACCTTTAGGTTTGTTGTTTTTTGCCATGACAACTGCTTATCTTTGGTAGATGTTTTTGGATCCACAGCTGTCACTTGAGGAAGTGACTTTCCTTAACTGGCTTGACAAACAAAGACCAAATATGAAAATTCAGCAGCAGAACGAGAGATTTCCATATGGGAGATACTATGAGGTTTGTTAGAACTGCTCTTTTCATGGGTGCACAACTGATATAGAAAAAGACACAATGGCAAATACTGGTAACTCTGATATTCACCAAAAAGATGCAGTTAATCAACCACCTACAGCTAATTTGAACCCTTTAGAGCTAATACTAGTGCTATTACTGATGTGACAACTTAAAATCAGGAATAGGAAGATTGGAATGTTTGCCTGTAACTCTTGTGCTCCAGGCAAATTAAACCAACCTGAAGTTGCAATGCCAGATTACAGACTCTTCTATGCCATCTCATCCTGTATGGCCATCTTGTTGTCCACCAGTACAGCCCTAGTTCCTGTCTTCTTCTCAGACCATCCAAGGATCCCAGGATTCTCTTTGAGCTCCCTACAGCAGAATGGCAACCCCAGGGCCAAGCAAGTAACATAAAAAAAGGAAAGTCGCCAGGGTACCATTGGACAGCTCAGGCCTCAGCTGTTGGGAGCAACAGCTATGCAGTTCTAGATGACTGTTACCATAATGGAGTTTAGACCTGTGTGTACCAGATATTCCAATTTTTAAGATAAACTGGAAATACGGAACTTAAAAGTTTTTGAATTTTTCCACCTGGTTACAGAAAGTGTTTATACAATTCTTAGAAGTATAAATAATGCACATTTGTGAGTCAAATTTGGTTCCAAAGCTACGTCTTTACCCTGTCTGGCCTTGAGGTTAGTACAAATACTGGGAGAATCACATTCCTCTTGACTGAGACTATGGCCTTTCCCACTAAGCCCGTAGTCCTGCCAATAATGCCCAGAATTGGAACTGATCCTTTTTGCTCATCCTTCCATTTGATGTGCAGCTGCTTTTCTTGTTAAGACTGATTAAGAGTTGGGTTGGGTGCTTCTTTCTTCCCTCATTCTAGGGGAATGTATCTCTGTTTCCTGTTGACACATAGCCAACAGCATCCTTGAAGTTCTCAAAGAACTGCCCTTGATCCTAACATTGTTCCTATAGCCCAACATTAGAATGGGACTTTCTTCAACAAAGATGCACTCTGTTTCAATGGTTTTCAAGCTAGTTTGTGCATCAGAATCTTCTGAAGAGTAATTTAAAAAATAGATTCCCTGGTCTCACCCAGGAGAATGAGATTTAGTCAAATGGGTATGATATACGGCAGCAATTCCCTAATATTTTATTCTCAGAAGCTCTTTATCACCTTAAAAAATCACTGACTCCAAAGAGCTTGTGTTCATGTGGGTTTTATCTATTGATATTTACCATATTAGGAATTAAAACTGAAAATTAAAATATATATGTATTAATTCATTCTAAAACTAACAAACTCATTGCACATTAATATAAATAACAGTTGTTATTTATATTTGTTTGAATAATAAATGTTTTTCAAAACAAAATTAGTTTCATGAGAAGATTGGCATTGCTTTACAATTTTGTAAATCTCATCAGTGTCTGACTTAATGTAAAACACCTGGGGGCCAGGCGCCGTGGCTCATACTTGAAATCCCAGCACTTTGGGAGGCTGAGGTGGGCAGATCATGAGATCAGGAGTTTGAGACCAGCCTGGCCAGCATGGTGAAACCTCGTCTCTAATAAAAATACAAAAAATTAGCCGGGCGTGGTGGGGCATGCTTGTAGGCCCAGCTACTCAGGAGGCTGAGGCAGGAGAATTGCTTGAACCCGCGAGGCGGATGTTGCAGCGAGCTGAGATCATGCCACTGCACTCCAGCCTATGCGACAGAGCGAGACCCTATCTCAAAAAAAAAAAAAAAAAAAAAAAAAGACACCTGTATTTCCCTATCTGCTTTGCATTCAATCCATTGCAATATGTCGTTTTGGTTGAAATATGTGAAAAACACTTGGCTTCACACAAATTTATAGTTGAAAAAGGAAAACATATTTTAATCGTCTGTTCAGATAATTGTGCCTATTGTTCTTTGACACTACACTAAAACTTAATGAATGGTAGTTTCTTCAATGTTAGTTGCAAGGGAAAATCTTAAATCTTTTAGTAAACTCTTTGTACTTAGTTATATTAAAAGCCATTTGTCCTGTACTTTTAATGGACCTTTTACCTACACATAATTCTATAACATTATATATTTGTTATTTGGAAAATATTTGTCATCAGACCTTCTACATGTTGACATATTTCATTAAACAATATTATCACATATCATGTGGCTTCTGGAAAACTGTTGTACGCTTGGTGAGAGAATGATATTGATACAAGCAAATAATGTCCTGGTGTTATTATGTAAATAGTTTTGACTTCTATGGACTCTCTGGTCCACAGAGCCTTCTCTAGGAAAAAACAACAACAAAAACAACAACACAGTTCTTTCCTATACATGTATAAAACTAGATTCAGCTTCAGGCTGTGCTATTAACTAGCTAAGAGACCTTAAGAAAGATTCTTTATCTTTCTATGACTAATTTTCTCAACTGTAAAATAAAAGTGTTGAACCTCAGTTGGTGTTTATTAAGGGAGTACCATTAGCAATTGAGGCAGAAAAAGTTGCTGTTGAGAGAGACTATCCCTCACGTTACATTATATGTATTATTCCTGGCCTCCCTAAATATGAGTAGCACGATACTCCACCCTCAGCCATTGTAAAAACCCAGAGCCCTCGAGAGAATCTTTTGGAGGGAGCTATTGCCTCTAGTTGAGACCTATTGGACAAAAGGAATTTTAAGTTTCTTTTCAATTCTGAAGCCAATTCTATTAAAATAGGGTAAATGACTACTTTTGAAACTATTGAACACACTTTGAATTTCTCTTTTGCCGTGTGTGTGTGTGTGTGTGTGTGTGTGTGTGTGTGTACATCTACTTAGGTATTACAGATGTCCTTAAATATGTTGGATTAGACAAATGTTTGTGACCACATGGAGAAATTAGAAGAGCTGGGGGTTGGAGCAGGGAAAATAAAACAGACATAGGAAACAACCCTCATATTTTCCTGGCCACCTTGTTGCAAATTAAGAAATCTTGAAATCTTTACTAGTTGATAGTGCTTTGCACATTCCCTTGTTCAGCTGACCAGAGGTGTGGAAAGGAAGAGCTAAGGTCTCCCTAGCACGCCAAGCTTCAGGAAACCTAGATGGCCATGAGCTGGTCCCTCAGCCCTGGTTCCTTTTGCTCCTGAAGGGGCTGTGTAGCTCAGAGGGTAAAAGCCTGAGCTGGACCCAGCCTGCCTGGGTTTGAATTCCAGCTTTGCCACTTCCTGGCTACATTTCCTTAGAACGTCACTTCCCGTCTCTGTGTCTGAGTTCCCTCATTTGCCTACTGAAAAGAACAAAAGCACTGGCCTTATGACTTACTATGAAGATTAAATGTGTTGATGCATTCAAGGTACTTGGAACAATGTGTGTCAATGTGTAAGGAAGCAATAAATGTCAATGAATAGCATTCCTAAGTGAAGGTGGGAAGCCCTGCCCCCTCCACTGAAAACCCCGGTTCACCTTTCCCTGCTACATATTTTACTTCTTTTCCCAGAAGGCTGAATATGAGGCTGATTGATTTTTACCTTACTCTTCTGTGTACACATGAGTTACTGGTTATGATCTGGGGAAGCATCATTTTATAAACCTGCAGGGCGTCAGCAAAGAGCTCTCAGGGAGCCCTCCTGATGCCATTCCCAGTGAAGGCAAAGACATTTCCCAAAGCCTAGTAGAGTCCAACAGAGCTGGCACACCAGAAATTTGGAGGATTGGAACACACATTATTAAATGTGGTTTGTCTGAAATGGTCTCCTTTAGCAATGAGTGTCCCACAGTAAAAGGCTAAAATGAAATTCCCAAGATTTTTAGTTTGGCAATGATCAGTGAGAAAATAATTCCTGATTAAAAAAATAAGACCATCCTTGACAAGACTTTTCCACAGGAAGCATTCGAAAAAGTTTGGAGGTGAATCCTGGAGGAGTGCTGCCTCTTGTAAATGTGGTGGTTCCCACGAATGTCATGTCTTCTGTCTTGTCCTAAAAAAAAATGCTTTACATTTGTGAATTCTGCCTTTTGCAGAACCTCCTTCTGAGCTCCAAAGAATTTTCACTTTCACATCACCAGAAAAATGAGGGTGGTAGGAAGATAAGAAAGCAAGGGCTCCTACTTCTTGAGTTAATTGTGGACCTATTTGTGACTTGGCTTCCGGCTGACTCACAGCTTCTGAGAGAAGAATTCCAACAAATGTGTATAGTCCATCAGCAGTGCAGAGATAAGTGGAGGTGACCTCATGGCAAAGCTTCCGTATGTTTGTGTGTCTCTGAATAAACACTCTCCAGTGGCCCTTCTTGGTCGGAGTTTCTCATTTTTCTTCCTAAGTGTTCCTGACACTTGCTGCTCTTTCCTTAAGATTCTACTAATGACTGATTTAAGGGTTTAGTGTAATTGGCAAGATGGCTTTAGGGTCGCTTCCAACCATGTGAGTGTACAAATTTATATATGTGTAGAACTGGAAATGGCTTCAGAATTCATCTAGCTGAGTCCTCTTATTTTCAGAAACCAGAGAGGCTAAATGAACTTCTGAGATCAGAAAACACTTTCAGGCAGGACTAGGTTGAGAACTCCCAAACCTTGACTTTCCATGACTTACTCTAAGGTTTTTGAAATTGGGGTCCATGTGCTCCCCTGGAATGATCATGTATACAAGGCACACAAAAGTTACAGAACACAATTTGAGGCATGTTCTTACAGCTTCCATTTTACACTAAGATATTTCATATCACTGATATGAAAGATAATTTTCATATCACTGATATGAAAGATAATTTTCATATCACTGATTCCCTAGCTCCCCGAACAGTACCTGGCATAGTAGGTAATCAATAAATATTTATTGAATGAATGAATACATGAGTGTTAAAAATAAAATATGATGATTTCATCGAAGACTTTAGCTTGCAATGGGATATTCTGCCATTACAGACATTAGCAGATATATTTGAGAAAATCATAGTGGTGCTAAAACCAAGGGTCTCCAAGAAGCAGCTATACTGTGACCACATGCCTCATTTGAAAATCTCTCACTCATTTCCAAGAATCAATGTATTTTGAAATTGGACAACTAATAAAATTTCATCTTTTGTTTCTCTCTCTGGAATGCAATTCCCCCCCTTCCCACCCATTGTGGGTATTCCCTACTTGCATAATCTTTTCTTTTTTTAATTATTTTATTTTATTTTTCCAGAAGTTATGGGGATACAGGCGGCATTTGGTTACATAAGTAAGTTCTTTAGTGGTGATTTGTGAGATTTTGGTGCATCCATCACTTGAGCAGTATACACTGCACCATATTTATAGATTTTTATCCCTCGGCCCCCCACCATTCCTCCCCGAAACCTCCAAAGTCCATTGTATCATTCTTATGCCTTCACATCCTCATAGCTTAGCTCCCACATATCAGTGAGAATATGTGATGTTTGGTTTTCCACACCTGAGTTACTTCACTTAGAATAATAGTCTCCAGTCTCGTCCAGGTCACTGCAAATGCTGTTAATTCATTCTTTTTTAACTACTTGCATGATCTTTTCTTATCACTTCCACAGGGAAGCCTTCCATGAACCCCTAGACTAGGTTAAGTCTTCCAGGTATATGCTCCACTGGACCCTGACTTTCTTCTTCATAACACTCAACACACTTGATTAATATCTGTCTTCCCAGCTAGACTGTAAGTTTCCTTCATGAGGCATGGCACATGCTGTTCTCATGCATTGCCTGATACCCCTATGGTCTCAACCAGGACCTGAAACATGGTAGGTAATGAATGAATAGCATTTAACAAAACAGAATTTAATCTCCTGAGCTAATTATAGTAGCAATTGGAGGGACCTGGTGGATCCTGCTGCAGTCTGCAAACAATGGTGCTCTGCCTGCCACAGTATCAGCAGCTCACTTCATACCAGATACTAGACAATATCTCTCACTGCCTTATTTCCAGGAGCTAAAACAGCTACAGGTCCCTGAGTCTTCTGATCAGTGGCCACTCACTGTCACTCAGGTTTTTTGTCCACCTCCTTCCACCAGGATCATTGTTTACCAGAGTTGTCCTGTTTCCTTGTTCAGAGCTATTGGAGGTAGAAAGTCCATCAGGGAAGTTGATACTGGTCTGAGTCAATATAAATGCTTGAGGCTGGGAGAGGATGGGTTAGAGATATTTTCAGAAATAGAATTGCCTGAGCTTGGTGGGAAAACAGATGTGACAGGAACAGAGTGGAGGCCATGGAAAACTCCAGATGATTCTGTGTTTTCTAGCAGCAGTGACTGGTTGAATGGTGACATATTACCTAAGAATTGCAAAGGAGAGGAGCATGACTGAAGGGAAAAAACAAGGTTTCTAGTTTGAAAATACTGAGTGTGAGATGCCCACTCCCATGGTGGATGTGTCCGGCAGTTAGAAATATGAATATGGAGACGGGAAAAAGGTCAGAGATGAAGACCCATACTGGGAAGATGGTAGCTGACCTTGGTCTGCCAGTCACCACCAGAAGACTGTCCTCTTCACAGGACTACCCATCTCTCTACCCAAGACCCCTATTGAATCTACCCTTTCTGTGAGTAAGTGGCCAGCATAGCTGTTGCCTTTGGGTGACCATGACAAAGTGGCAGTGGCTGTGGCAGCCACCAAGGGAGACGTGGGTCAAGGCACTAGGATTGTCCCAGCCCTGGTTGAATGTTCACCCTTGGGCATGATCTCAGAGGAGGCAGGGAAGTCTTGTGGGCACTGTGAGTCTTGGCACCGCTGGGGATGCTTTGGGAGATAGAACACATCAGTGGAAGTGTAATAGAAATATGTGGGGATTTGAAACTCTTCACAGAAAAATAGAAACTTGGGAACAATTTTGTGGAAACATATGTCAAACCTGTGGGTAGACCTGTGATGTGTGGTACAGGCAGACAGGAATAGATTTATTCAGTTCTCATTTTGCAAGTTTTTCCTCTTCTGGCTCTCTCTTCACTCTCACTGACTGTACCAGTTATTTGACTTAAAAAGACACTCGGTCCCTTGACCAGTCTCTTCATTTTTATCCTAATTTATCAGCCCCTCCAAGTTTCACTCCCATGTCTACTGTCATGGATCCACCATCCATCAGTCTATCCACTCTCTGGCTTATGTTCTCAAGTCTCCTTGTCCTTTCAGCTCATCCACAAGGCAAAGCTCCAAGCCTGGATTTGTACTACTTCCTGCCTTCTTCACTCCGGTTCTGGGACTGCTTTGGGGGAAACCATGTAGTCAAGAGATTGATGCAGATTCTCTCTAGTCTCATAGCGTCCAGACCACAGACTGCCTAACAATACTTCCAAGTGTCACCACTGGTCTCCGTGCTCCATTTGGTTAAAGATTATTCTAGACTCCTAACTCTCTTTCCTTGCTCTCGGCCCCTGTCCTTCCCGTGGATCTCAGCTACCACTGCAGCTTCACCCATAAACATGAGCTGCCTTTGTCTATGCTGCTTACAGTACAGGTGTGCACACCTCAGAGTGAATGTGAAATGGCTGCACATAAGACTCCAGGCTGCTACAGCAAGGGGTGATGAGGCAGAATCAAAAATAATTAAGATAAAAATAAAAAATAGTAGCTAACACTTACTAAGCTCTTACGAAGTCCCAGGCAGTGTTCCAAGGATGTCACCTCATTTAATCCTCATGACAACATCGTGAAGTGGGTAAAAACAGATCCCTGTTTACTCATGCTTCTTTGCTAAGAGAACCCCAATTTAGTTCACACCCATGGTGTGGCTCATAATTGACCTGAATGCACCACTGTGTTCTGCCCTGCTTTGCAAGATAGGCATGTCCTCAGCTCCCTGTCCAGCAAGAGGTGGCCACGTGGCTGTGTTCTGAGCAATGGGAGGTCAGGGGAAGTTTTCTGGGATGTTTCTTTTTGCAGATGAAAGAACAGTGCCTCAAAAAGTGGAAGGCATTTGTCCTCCACTCCTTGACTTTGAAAGTTGTCAAATGGCCTGGGGCTGTGGGGGTCACCTTAGAAACATGAGGTGACCAGCATGACCAGCATGACACAAGCCAAAGGACCAAGGATGGTGGAGGGGGAGCTGGGAAAGGGAAGACCCTGAGTCTCTAAGATATTGCGGAGCTGCCCTCCCGCATCTGTACCTCCTATTTCTCGATTTCTCATTAGGAGAGAGAGTTGTCCAGCTGGACTGCCTGGCTCATGTTTAGTTCTGTGTCCTATTATTTGCAGTCAAACACTCTTTACTGAATCAGGTCATTACCATCATTAGCCCCCTTTTGTTGAAGAAACTAAGACTTGAAGAAGGTAAATTATTTTGCTAAGGCTGGTCAGTGGGGAGGGAGTCTCACATGAAACACACACAGACTGATTCCAGGGCCTGCTTTCTGGGTTCTGTCTCTGCCTGCCAGGTTCCAGGTACTAAACTTTGGTAATGTACAGTTGGATGATGGGCAAAGGAAGACAGAACCAGATAGAGGGGAGTAACAAGGAGAGAACAAAGTAAGAGAAGCTAGACCTATGTAAGAGAAGTGGCAGGGAGACCAAGATTAAACACACAAATTGACAGAACATCTGGGGTGAGGGTGGAGAAAATGAGTTTGACACTCCATTGAGAGAGGCATATAAAAGGCTGGAGCTAAGGACAGTTCCAGCTGGGAGTGTTTCAAAAGACACAAGTAAAATACAAGAATCCATCTCCTAAAAAAAAAAAAGTTCTGATCTCTCCATGCTGTCTTTGATACTATACAATGACTAGGGAAGTTACACAGAATGGCCCATGTGGGCCCGGAGCTATAGGTTATTATGCAATAATAAATACCTCATAGCTTCTGTACAACAGATGAACCTTTCTTAGGTCACACTGTATACTTCAGCATTCCTAGTCCAATTGTATAACTCTTCCAGCTGCCACCCTATGGAGTGGAATGAAGAGACGACAATGGAGTCAAAGAAAGAGATGAGAAACAGCTGGCACCAGGTAAATTTGCAGGGTATTTATTAAAGGATAGGCAAGTTCTTAAAATCTTGAGTTACACCAATGTGCTCTGCAGCAAATTTTTAAAAGTTTGAGCTGGAGCTAAGGACATAAAATTGTTAATAGCAATATTATCTGTGAACTTTGAACAATTAGTATAAAATCTTGCCAACTTTAATTTCAATCCTATCTTTTCTAACCTTTTCTGGGACCTGGTTCCATTTAGCCAGATTGATTATGGGTTTCTGAATTATTGATGGCACCACTTTGCATGTGCTGCCTCCTCTGATCTGAACCATTTTCTTCCCTCCTCAGAATCATTCCTTGACCAGTCCCTGCTCACCATAGTACTGCTCAAGTGCCATCTTTTGAAGTAGCTCCCCCTACATTTGGTACTAAGTGGCCCTTTTTTGTGTTCCAATAGTAACCTGTACATGCCCCTATTACAGCACTGGTTTTATTGATACGGAAGTATCTACTTACAAGAACTGTGTTTTAAATAATTTAATCCCAATACCTACTAGGAACGTTACCTCTACCATTCCCTCTGCCAAAATATTCTTCTTAGGGCTCTTGTTCTCATTCTCTAGCAAAGCTCTTTATTTATTTCTTTAGTAGTATTAATCACAATCTACAGGTCTTTTATTTATTTGCTTTCTCATATCTGGTTCTCATTCTAGAAGAACCATGGTGTGAAGGCAATGACTATTGTTTTCTTGTATCTATCATGGAGCCTGGCATTCACTAGGTGCTCTAAAAATATTTGTTATAAGAAATAATATGTCTGGCACGAAATAGTAAAATCTACTACCTAAAATTGAACCTGGGGCTGCTTTACTGCATATCTTTCCAGAAGCTAATTATCTCTATATTTTGTTGTTGAAAATTTTTATTTTATGAGGACAAGTATTATTAATATGATAATGCAAAAAACAAAATGTGTAGGTAGAAAACATGCAAAAGATATTTTTTTTTCCTGTGGGATAGTGTCTCCTTGTGACAAGGACTACATCCTTCTCTGAGACTGTTGGTTCTTTATGAGCTTTAGCCAACACATATTCTCTTTTAAAACTATTCCTTTTGAAACTGCTGGTAGCACTCGAACATTCCCTTGCAGGTAGTAACAGAGCAGGGGCCAGACCAGAAGGGACTGCCCTATAGCCAGTGTTGGATACGTGTGATGTTAGCTCCAGCCTAGAATTCTGGTATCTCACTTGTTATCAACTCAACTTACCTATTCAGGTGGGGTGACAAATTCAGAAAATACTGTTTCCTCCACAATTCATGCAAAAAAGAGAAATACCGGGAGTCTGCAAAAAGTTCATGGAAAATGTGTATTATGAAAAAACTATACATGGATTTCAAAAATTTTTCTGCACCAAAATAAACTCATACTAACTTATTATAACATGTCTGAACAGTATCTAGCTTGAGGCAATAAGAAGGATAACACATCAGTTTGAAAAGAGCCCGTATCAGAGCAACATGAATTATGATAAAATTGAAGCAAGCAATAATACTGAATTTATGATGAAGCTTGGGTGGAAGAATGGTGAAGTCATTAATGCTTTACAAAACATTTGTGAGGACAATGCCCAAAGAAATCAGCAGTTTACAGATAGATAGATAACTCTTTTTAAGAAGAAACAAGATGATATTCAAGATGAAGACCACAGCAGAGATCATCCACATCAATTTGCAAGGAAAAAATTCAACTTGTTTGTGCCCTAACTGAAAAGGACAGAAGATTAACAGCACACAAAATAACCAACACCATAGACATCTTAATTGATTCAGCATATATAATTCTGACTGGAAAATTAAAGCTCATCAAACGTTCCATTTGATGGGTACCAAAACCATTGCACCCAGATCAGCTGCAGACAAGAGTAGAACTTCCATGGAAACTAAGTAAGTGGGATCAAAATCCTGAAGCATTTATCTGACGAATTGTAACAGTAGATGAAACATGGCTTTATCAGTATGATCCTGAAGACGAAGCATAACCAAAGTAATGGCTACCAAGATGTGGAAGTGGTCCAGTCAAAGCAAAAGTGGACCATTCAAGAGCAACGGTCATGGCAACAGTTTTCGGGAATGCTCAAGGCATTTTGCTTGTTGGCTTTCTGGAGAGCCAGAGAGTAATAAAATCTGCTTATTATGAAAGTATTTTGAGAAAGTCAAAGCATTAGCAGAAAAATGCCATGGAAAGCTTCAACCAGAGAGTCCTTCTCCACCAGGACAATGCTCCTGCTCATTCCTTTCACACAACAATGGCAATTTTGCAAGAGTTTCAATGAGATTAGGCATTCATCTTACTGTCTTGATTTGGCTCTTCCTGACTTCCTTTTATCTTCTAATTTTAAAAAAATCTTTAAAGGGTAGCCATTTTTCTTCAGTTAATAATGTAAAAAAGACTGCAATGACATGGTTAAGTTCCCAGGACCCTCAGTTCTTTAGGGATGGACTAACTAAATGGCTGGTATCATGGCTTACAAAAGTGTCTTGACCTTGATGGAGCCTATATTGAGAAATAAAGATTATGTTTTTCATGTTATCTTTTAATGTCATTTTTTCACAAACTTTTAGAAGTCTCCTTGTATTGTTTGTCACCATGACATAGAGAAGATATGATCTTCTTTTTCTTTGTATTAGATTTCCTGGCATATCTGACCTTCAGTGTACCTTCAGTACAGGTGATTGTAGAAGAGACGGTCAGATTGGGGAGGGGCACCGAGAATGCCTGATCCACTGTTCACCTGGCCACCCCACCACTTCAACACATATCACTCTCCAAGGGCAATTACATTTCAACTTAGAATAAGTACCCTAAATCTGAGAGGCCCACCTTCCCCCGCAATGGGTACACTTCTATAAAAAGAGCTACTGAATCTTCAGGAGAGAAGTTTGGTTCTCTGTCCCTTTGCATTTCTTAAAACTTCCAGCTCACTCAGAATGGTAGCACACTGAACTACATAAAACACACCAGAATGTAAGGAGCCTTCTCTACCCCTAATTTTCACATCAGTAACAAGTCATTTCTATCTAGTAACCAAGTGATTACTAGTAACCAAGTAACTTCTCATATTTTGCAGGCATTATTAGCATGGAGCACGGTCAATTCAAAACCTGTTTCCCCCACCAATAGCAGTGAGACTTTGGGCTAGTCATGTGACCTTGCCAAACCTTTATTTATTTGCTTGTTTACTTATTTCATGAAATAAGAGTCATCATCCTAATAACACCCACTTCTTTAAGATTTTACTCTCATTTAATAAACTAGCCTAAGTAAATTGCTTAAACAATGTTTGGCAGGTTGTTAAAGCTTAAACTTTCACAATAGCAATAAAGATATGATTTGTTAAAATTATAACTAATCGTGATGGATTATAAAAATGTATCATCATCATGAAAAGAATGGTTATTAGTATTAAAGCAAACCTCCTTTGACTCTTGTGTTAAAAATAAATAAATAAATTCCAGCTTAGACCATCTTATTGAAGTGGGGAGAAAAGCGGGGAAAAAACCAAGCCTACGGCCTGACTAATAGTAAGTATTCAACAAACAGTAAATGGTAAGTCTTCAAAAAGAGAGCACAGTGGTAGAGCTCTCCTCTCCTCTGTGAGGAAAAACAAAGATACAGTGATGTTTTTTCTCTAAGGGTGTTTTTTTGTTTATTCTGATTTATAATATTTTGTGGGTAAAGTGATCAAGGACATAATCAAAGGCATGGGATCCTGAATCCATCGATCCATCAACAAGTATTGACTAGGCCAGAAGCTCTCAAACCTCAGTTCACGGTGCCCTTAGTTTCTCAGTGAACATTTCACAGTGCCCCTGGGCTAAAAGAAATACCTAACTGTGCCATTTCTTAGGTAAATCCCACACGATTTGCTAAGCATTTCTGTCTCAATAACTTAGTAGCTGTTTGAAAAAGAATACACATAAATAGGAAGAAAAACAATGCTACTTTTTTGTCATGTGTAAATAACCACAATTACTAATGGGATATGTGCTTTTATTGGGTACTGCCTGGTTTCTCAAACCTTGGAATTAGATTGGACACCACCACCCTCCTTTCCTGTTTCACATTCATTTTTGTGAGACACTTGCATTTTATCACAGCAACAACCAGAAGCCCAGTTTCAAAAGCCTTGATGTAATTGAAAGGAATGTGGATGAACTGATGTTGAAGTTACTAACTAACTCAAACTGGTCATCTGCTCTGGGTCCCCAAGATATTGAGGATCGCTGTGCTTTTACCTAAAAAATGTAAAATATCATGGTGCCCTTCTGAGTTTGCTGCAGCTCCTGGTGTGGGAGAACCACCAGGACATAGTTTGAGAACCACCAGACTGTCAATTTTCACGTACCAAGAATTCTGCTAGGCATGTGGCCTAATGCAGTGAAGCAGATGGACACAGTCTGTTCTCCATGAGCCTAACAAGTTAGTGGATGAGACCAACATTAATAAAATAATCTTACCAATAAATTCATGATCACAAACTGTGATAAATGCAGTGAAGTGAAGCCAGGGTGTTGCTAGACGGGTCTTGTTCTTAGGCCTGAGAGAAGAATCTATCTTCATTTGGTTCTCAGCAGGTGTTTCTTTTGGCAGAAGCAAACCTATGATTGTAAACACCATCCTTCCTAAAATAATGACTTGCACAGAGAAGAAAACTGGTAGGTACAGAATAGTGGAATTAAAACTAACGATGTTTGTCTTTTTTTTCTTTTCTTTTTTTTCTTTTGAGACGGAGTCTCACTCTGTCGCCCAGGCTGGATGGGGTGCAGTGGCGCGATCTCGGCTCACTGCAAGCTCCGCCTCCTGGGTTCACGCAATTCTCCCGCCTCAGCCTCCCAAGTGGCTGGGACTACAGGCACCCGCCACCACGCCCAGCTAATTTTTTGTACTTTTAGAAGAGACGGGGTTTCACCGTGTTAGCCAGGATGGTCTCTCAATCTCCTGACCTCGTGATCCACCCGCCTCTGCCTCCCAAAGTGCTGGGATTACAGGCATGAGGCACTGTGCCCAGCCAACAATGTTTGTGTTAATGAGATGATCTCCGCTCACTACAACCTCCACCTCCCGTGTTCAAGTGATTCTCCTGCCTCAGCCTCCCGAGTAGCTGGGATTACAGGTGCATGCCACCATGTCCAGCTAATTTTCGTATTTTTAGTGGAGATGGGGTTTCACCATGTTGGCCGGGCTGGTCTCAAACTCCTGACCTCAAGTGACCCGCCTGCCTTGGTCTCCCAATGTGCTGGGATTACAGGTGTTAGCCACCATGCCCAGTCCAACACCTGGGGCTTTTAGGATGAATGCCTTTTGTCCAGGTCCCAGGCTGCTTGCAACCTGGAAGCAGGCTGCCTGGCTTCTTGAGCCTCTGTCCCCTGGGTCCCCATCTTCATCTCTAGAGCCCTGTTTTTCAAACTCACACTGGGGCTCAAGAGGCAGGGAAAGGCCCCAGGCCTCTCTTGCCAAACTAGTTGTGTGGAGTAACAGGACTCTGGAAAGATAATATTGCAGGGGAGAGTTTTGACCTCAGTCTCTCATCCCCTCGTCCCAGGCTCCATCCTCACCTGGTATTCTACCCCATCCTTGGGTTGATGGAGTGGCATGAACCTAGAGCTCCCACTAGTGGCAGGAAGTGGGCCACCAACATTTTCTGCCTTTTCATTTGTTTCTTCCCTTCCACATATGGGATCAACAGCCAGGCTTATAGTATACCAGAAGTATCCCAAAATGCTGTCTCCACATTGCAGGGGCTTTTCTCCATACACTGGAAATTTTCCACAGACTTGCAGGGAGCCATGGATGCCTCCAGGACTTAGGAACATCCTTTCATTGTTGGCCCCCAAAGCCTCAGTTAGCAGGAGGGAAGTTTAAAGCTGGGTAGGAAGACTGGGAAGGTCTGGAGTGAGTGGCTTAGAAAAGCTCTACAGCAAGGATTAAGAAAAGCATGCTCTTCTTTTCCTTTCCTCAGTGATGCTTCCTTAGTGTCAGAATGGTGAGACTGGGGGAGTCCAGCATGAAGGGGCAGGAGAGACTCCTCAGCTGCTGCAGTGTAGGCTGCAGATCCACCTGGAGCCCAGGTGCAATGGGCCCCTGTGCTAGACCCCTCGAGGTCCAGTCCAGGTCCTGGGAGAACTGAACTGTCGTTGGGAGCAAAATCATTACAGTAATAAGGAATGTGCTTGTCTGGCATATCTCTGCAAACCCATCGTAGTAATAGGTGGATGAGTATAGAATCAGGCATTCAGGGTTGCCGGGTCAAGTTAAATACTGCCTCATCACATCCAGCTAATAAAAATATTATTGTTAATAATAATAGCTGAGGCCGGGCACGGTGGCTCAGGCCTGTAATCCCAGCACTTTGGGAGGCCGGGGCGGGTGGATCACGAGGTCAGGAGATTGCGACCATCCTGGCCAACACGGTGAAACCCCGTCTCTACTAAAAATACAAAAAAAAAAAAAAAAAATTAGCTGGGCGTGGTGGTGGGCGCCTGTGGTCCCAGCTACTCGGGAGGCTGAGGCAGGAGAATGGCGTGAACCCGGGGGGCGGAGCTTGCAGTTAGCCGAGATCGCGCCACTGCACTCCAGCCTGGGAGACAGCGAGACTCCGTCTCAATAATATAATAATAATAATAATAATAGCTGAATAAATAATCTCATAATTAACTATTACAAAGAAAAACCAGGTTTTCTGACCCTGATCCTGGGCCTTTCTCATGACATCGATGGGTTAGCAAGACTTTCGAGTTCTGATCTTACTTATCTTCAGTGATAGAAAATTTAAAACAAAATGAAACAACCACCTGTGGTTTCTAGTTATGAAGACACTAAGATGTTTACTCAGCTGCAGGGGAGATTCTAAAAGATTCCGAAAGTTCTGCCTTTTCACTAGAGAAATAAGTGACAGTCTTAAAAGGGTTACTGTTATGGGCTGAATTGTGTCACCCAAAAATTCATATGTTGAAGTCCTAACCCCCAATGTCTCAGAATGTGACTGTATTTAGACATAGAGCCTTCAGAGGTAATTAAGGTAAGATGTGGTCATGATCTCATTAGTGGGCTCCAATCCAATATGACTGGCACCCTTACAAGAAGAGATTGGGATTCAGATGTACACAGTGGTTTGACCATGTGAACACACAGGGAGAGGTCAACTATGCTTCTTCTGCAAGCCAAGGAGAGAGGCCTCAGAAGAAACCAATCCTGCTAACACCCTGATCTCAGATTTCTAGACTCAGAATGGCAAGGAAATAAATTTCTATTGCTCAAGCCATAGAATCTGTGATATACTTCATTATGACAGTCCTAGAAAACTAATGCACCGAGGTTGAGAGTTTTTCTGAAAATTTTAATGATGATACAGAATGCAACCTGATACCAATAGAGTAGAACTGAGTTTCCAACTCAGGTAATTCCTACTCCAGAGTCTTCATGTAAATCGAAAATATTAATTGTTCACCACCTTGGACTGTTTTGAAACAATGGCTTTTAAAGGGCTGTTAAAGAACATTTTGGAGGAAGTTTTTTTAGTGAAGACTGATTTCCAAATGCGTTAAGGGCCACTCCAGGCCTACGTCCTGGTGCAGTAGGCTTCCGGCAGAGGGCGCACATCTGGACTCTGCATCTCCTCCAGGTGCTTCCTCCAAACTAAGTGCTGGTGTGAACACGGGTCCTGAAAGGCAAAATGGAAGGTCCAGGTCTTCAGGCCGCCACGGTTTGTGTCAGCTCATTGCTGCACCGGAAGCTCGGAATGTGCACATTGGGTCAAGGACTTGAGACTTCCCGTAGTGGCTTTGTGTCGTCACAGCCCATTTTCTCAGTCTGCGTCAGAGGCCTAGAGGCTCTCACTATGGCATGGACCCTCATCCTCGAGCCCCACTACTCAGAGGAGCTGGGAAGAATTTCCACCCTTCCTAGTGGCAAGTCTCACTGTGAGAGCGGAGTGCCACCAGGCAAACAGGGCAGAAAGACTGCTTTAAGGAGAATCCTTATATTGGGGGTTATGAAGTGCAATACACCCTCATCCTCACGCTAACACTGGTACCATGTAGCCCAAGCTTGTCTAACCTGCAGCCCGCGGGCTGTGTATGGCCCAGGACAGCTCTGAATGTGGCCCAACGCAAATTTGTAAACTTTCTAAAACATTATGAGATTTTTTTTTCTCATCAGCTATCATCAGTGTGAGTGTATGTTATTTGTGACTCAAGACAATCCTTCTTTTCCAATGTGGCCCAGAGAAGCCAAAAGACTGGACACCCCTGATGTGGCCCTTTCATCCATAGTAGCCTATTTTGTCCTAAAGACGGTCTTGTGCAGTGAGTAGGCCAGGCCTCCCCACTACCACAGTTTACAGGCAAGGAATGTGATATTTCATAGGATGACCCTGACTGGCACCTACATTGCTAGCCAAAGAATGGCACAAAGATGTGGACAGAAGAGACAACCTTAAGCAGCTGACTGCTGGCTCCTGCAACAGTATCATCATGGCATTTGTCCTGGGGTCCCAAGGAAAGAAAACAAATCTGTGGCTGAGGAACAGACTGAGTTGACAAAGCAGCTTCCACAGTAACACAAGGACAAAGGGTGTATGTAGATATGCACGTGGTAGCAGGTTCTACTAAAGGAACCTGGACCGACCATTCTGTAAGTACCCACTACACTCAGGGAAGGAATCTGAGCTTGTATTGTTGGTAGGCAAAGGTTTATAAGGCAGAGAGGAGTGTGGTAGTTCTATTAGATGTGTAGTACACCTGGAAGTAGACAATTAAAAACTTGGAACACTTCTCACAAGGTAATACTGTGTTTAAACTTAACCAGCACCACCCTCCACCTGGACTAGGCTAAGGAAGTCATTTTAGAATTGGAAGTCTGACCTTATAATTTTGCAGCCTACTGAATCTGTCCACTACTAAATCTTTCTGATATTGACTTCATTATCTACAAAAATATCTTCTCATCTACCATTAGTAATAATAACAATAATAATAGTTTCATTTACTAATCAAGAGATTTTTTTAGGTGGGCTTCTTAGAAATCTCTGGGGAGCTAAGACTCCCTTAAACTCCTCTGTCTCTGAGTTTTTACTTAGGTTCCATTAACAACTGTGGCACACCTTAACTTCCTCATTGTCAATGTGCTACACTGTCATTTCTACTCTACTGAGACCATCTGTTGGAGAATCATTCAGCTGCCTCTATGGCTCCTTGATGCGAGCTGAAAATAGTGCCTACTCTAGACTGATGCAGCCTTGCAGGTTTAGGAAGCTGACTGTGCCTTGGCAGGGAAGAAAGCTGGCCTGGAGCTGCTTTGCTTCTTCTTTTTTTTTTTTTTTTTTTTTTTTTGACAGAGTCTCACTCTGACCCCACAGCCAAGATTATCCAGTGGCACAATATTGGCTCACTGCAACCTTCTCCTCTCAGGTTCAAGTGATTCTCCTGCCTCAGCCTCCTGAGTAGTTGGGATTACAGACATGTGCCACCACGCCTAGCTAATTTTTGTATTTTTAGTAGAGACAGGGTTTCACCACGTTGACCAGGCTGGTCTCAAACTCCCTCAAGTGATCTGCCTGCCTTGGCCTCCCGAAGTGCTGGGATTACAAGCGTGAGCCACAGTGCCTGGCAGGAGCAACTTTTTGCCCCCAGCCTTACAACTGTACCTGGGACCTAGAGGTCCTCAACCCCTGGAATTCCGAATGGCGCACTCCCTCTGCCTCCAGCTTCCCTCTGATTCTCTCTGTGGGGTTTCTAACCTCTGGGCCACCCCACCTCACTGCTGGCTGTGCCCTTCAGTTGAGCGGTCCAGGAAGTGCTTCTGCCTTACCTGATAGGCTCTGCATAACTCTCTTTTGCTGCCAGGTGGGAATTTCAATTCTGCTCTTGCCTCTCTCTTCACTTCACTGTGATTTCCAGTAAATCTCCATATTTCAAGTTGGCTAAGCTTGGCTATTAATATGTGCAAGCAGAGTAATTTGCCAAAGAGCCAATTTGACAGATGAGCAATTTACTCAATTACTGGAGATATTTTTGAAGTGTTAACTTTGCCCTAAATCTGCCCCAGCGCAGAAGTTTTCAGAAAAATGTTTCCTCTGGGCACAGGACAATTTGCAGAGTCATTGTGTCGCCAAAGGCACGAGTAAAAGCAGAAGCAAGTGACTTTGTTGTAAAAAGGGAATATAGTGTCCAGCCCTGAAGTTTCTGTTCAGATTAACTCAGTTCATGCAAATAAAGCACTTAGAGCAGTCTGGCAGGCAATAGCTAGCCCCCAATAAATGTCAATGATTATTACTATTATTAGTACTATAATAATTACTACTTTTAATTTAATATATGCATTTAAATTCTATGAATCAAACTATACACTAGATGAAAAATAAAAATAACAATTTAAATGAGGATGCCAGGGAAAGAAAATAGCAATCCTAGTGGTCCGTATTCTTAGTCTCATCATTAACAGTAATTTATAACTACACTCACACCTTAGTGACCAGGGTGTACACATAAAGCTATAAATTGGGGGACCTTATATACAATTTCTGGTGATTTTCAAGGATAATTTTGACCAAAGGGATTTTTATCTTATCGACTTACAAATTAGACTCCCAATATGATGTGGTTGCCCTGACTTCTGAATCTTTGAGGGGGAAGAGGGTGTTATAAACTTATTTAAGCATAGCATCCATTGTTCAAAGAGTATATCGTGTAAAGAAAAGCCTTCCAAGGAGAAGCTTTGGGAAGCACTTCTGTAATGAATTACATTGAGATCTTCAGAGGACAGAAACTTAATCTCGAGTTAGAGACATGCTGTCATTACCAAAACCACGTATAGAGCATCTCTCCTCAGTCAGACAAGAACCAAAGGCAACTGACGTGACTGCTCTCTCCTTGGAAGGACGGCAGGAGCCATGGCGCTGTGAACTCAAACTTCAGGGAGCTTCAGACCCTCCTGCTTGTGACCATACCCATGCCTGGGCTCTTGACTATTTAAATGTGTTTTGAAAACAACTCTCATTATAGAAATGAAAAGCCTGAAGCTTTCTCAGCAAAAAAGGTTTAACTGATGATACTCTACAAAGAATAAATACATCAATCTAATTGAACCAACCAAACCAGTCAATTGTTCTAATAGAATAAATAGTATCAAATAGGTAGGAAGAATATGAGCCATATCTTATGGCTTATACTGGGTGGGGTGGCCCAGAGGTTAGGAGGTTTAACTGATGATACTCTACAAAAAATAAATAGATAAATCTAATTGAACGGACCAAACCAGACAATTTTTCTAATAGAGTAAATAGTATCAAATAGGAAGAATATGAACCATTATCTTCAATGTGAATGTGGACTAGTTATTACTTTTATGGTCATTACTTAGACACAGGTTGTTTCCTTTGACACTCAAGCCACTGTGGTTGGATGATCCAATACTAGAATCAGGTAGACGTGGTTTTGATGCTTGCTTCTGTCAGTTATATTTTCTCAGTTCTAAGTAGCCATCAATTTGTAAGATGTTCCATTTTAAATGCACCAATCAACTATAAAATACATACTGAATTTCAAAAGTATTAGAATGAAAAAAAAATGTCTCTTAGAAATGGGATATGAACTGTGAGCCTGAGCAGATTACTTAACCTTTCTAAGTCTCGGTTTTCTCATCTGTAAAATGGGGATGATAGTAGCCGCTGCCTCATAGTTTTCTGTGAAAATTAATTAATACATTGCAGGTAAAGCAGAAAACACCATGCTTAGGGAATTGAAAGCACTCAATATTTGCATTTTTAAAAACTATGTCTTTAGTCAAGCATAACTCTTTTAAAATGCCATTAACTATAGGAGGAAGAATCAGTGTTGTAACATTTTGCTATTCCTTGAGTACAATCTATGTGTACTAAGAAAAGACATCATTGGTAACACAACTACCAAGCTTATCTAGGGATCAGCTATCTCAAGATAGGCATAGCAATTGCTGGATGCCATATGATTTCCATGTATTTTATTTCTCCAATAGCACTCACATTCTTTGGGAGCTGTATTCTAATACTTTCAGAAAAGCCATGGGAACACACCAGAGTGACTGCTCGAGTAAATAAGTAGCATAAACAGCAAGCCAAACCATTGATGTACACATCACTGGGCCCAATACTATGAAATCCCACATAAGAAACTTGAAAGTGAAAGCTGGAATTCTGAGGATACTGGTTTTGCTTAATAAACAGCATTTCAACAGGTGAGTCAACTTAGTATTGCAGAGCGTGGTGTTGGCTTTTTTCTGATTGGGGCTAGTTTTTCATTAAAGGCAATATCTAGCACTGAAATAGACAACAGTACCTAGTCCCAACCACCTGCTTCCTGGTGAGTCAGTTCAAGTTCTCACAATTGTGTCTGTGTCCAGCCCCAGACCAGCTGAGCTGGGTCATGTGCTCACCCAGATCTTTCCCTAAAAGAGGACTGACAGGGAAACCACTGCCCTCTTTCACATCCAGGGAAGGAGTGACTTCTAAGAGAAATAGGGTTTTGTTTCCTCGCCAAAGTGTCAGGAATGATCAAATGTGAAAAACAGAGGGCAAATCCGTGTTAGTGCGTCATTAGGTGGGTGTTTCTAAAGTGATCACATGGTAACACTTCCTCTGCTCGCTGACCCACCAGGAGTGTTTTGGAAACAGTCAGCCCACGTGAAATGGGCTGAAGACATCCCAGTGTCCTCCTCTCAGAAGCTGTGAGCCCCAGTCAGGGCGGGCTGTCTTAGCCTGTAAACGTCCACAGGGCCAGAGCCTATATTTAACTGATGACACATCTTACAAGGGGGAAGGGAAGGGGAATCTGTGACCCTGTTTCCTCCCACCAACACCAGCCCATTCACACAGAGTCTTTTGAAGGTCTCACTGGCAGTACTCCTTCAAACTTACCCAATATGCCCCACTCAAAGGCCCTCCCAGGCTTGTGGGAACAGAAAGATTTCTTGAAATGGAAAGGAGGGTTGTGAATGAGTGAGGAAATTCAGCATGGAGATATGAGAGGCTCACTCTTTAGCCACACGGAACCGGGGACTCCAAGGCAACCCCATTCCCAGAGTTCTTTCGAGGGTGGGGCTAATGACATGGGACCAAGAATTGACTCCAGGAAAGGGCATGGTGATGTGTGGCCTCCCAGACAGCCTCAGAGCAAGCAGGTGGATTTGACTTAGGCTGTGGGGAAGGCAACAGCCTCTGTATATTTTTCCATCTTGATGCTGAGTCAGACAAGGCAGTTAGTGGTTCTTTCCAGAATCCCTGCCAGCCTTTTAAAGAAAAAGTCTTTGCAGATTTTGCTTTAGTCCATCTCTGCCAAGGGGTCATTTTCTATGTTGTACTTCCTCCCTATGTGAGGGCAAGGATAATGTAGCCTTGTGTAGACTGTATATACGCTTCAGTTCCTAGCTAAGCCACATTGAGACCTCAGTAAAACAGGTTTGATTGCAATCAGAAAAGAGTTGATTTGAGATTTAAAGGAAATGACATGGATACAGTGCTCACCAGAAAGTATTAAAATGGTATTTGTTGCTTATTATTGGTAGTTATTGTCATGATATTGCTACTGATGCTGAACAAAGACCCAAGAACCAGGGTGATGTTTAGCATGGGCTGGCCTCAGCAGGACTGAAAGGACATCAATAAGGGAGAACAGAGAGAAGGAAGGAGGACAAGTGCCAACTTTGAGCAGGTATCAGGTGTATGTGGGGGCAAACCATTTCTCCGTCCACCCTGATGATGAGTCCCCGTTTCCCTTTTTAAGGCCTGATTTTTGCACCCTCACCCCACCTAAGGCAGCCAGGGGCCCACACTGCAATACTCCTAGGTAACATCCATACTTTTTTTTTTTTTTTGAGATAGAGTCTCCCACTGTCACCCAGGTTGGAGTGCAATGGCGAGATCTCGGCTCACTGCAACCTCCGCCTCTCAGGTTCACGTGATTCTCCTGCCTCAGCCTCCAGAGTAGCTGGGATTACAGGCGCACACCACCATACCCGGCTAATTTTTTGTATTTTTGGTAGAGACAGGGTTTCACTATGTTGGCCAGACTGGCGTCGAACTCCTGACCTCGTGATCTGCCCGCCTCGGCCTCCCAAAGTGCTGGGATTACAGGCGTGAGCCACTGTGCCTGGCCAACATCCATACTCTTGATCTGTTCCTCCACCCACAGCACTGCTTATCTGGCCAGGCTCTCGTTCCTTCATTACACAGCTTTCTGCTGGGAAGCAGATAACTAATATAAAGATGATACTAACGATTAATGGAGGCTTCATGGAGTCTCCCAGAAATATCACGTTTGTGGTTAATATTCCAAAGGCTACTGGTAGGGATTTCTCAATCTAACATGAGTCTGAAAAAGAGATGATTTTCATCAGAGCTATTCTCGGGACTCTTTAAATCAGGCCCTCAAGTGCTTATCTTCTTTGCCTATGTTTAGAGTCAATCCTTAAAGCAAGTAAACAGTGTCCCCATATATTTAGGAATTCTCAAAATCCTTGGATTTGTTCATACTAAGCTACTGTTATACTCATTTTTTAAAAAAATTTTGGGCTCACTTTTCACCATCTGCATAATGGGCATATAACATAAATCCATTCTGTATCACTTAATCATGTCTTATCCTAGATGAATAAACACATGAAAAATCAGCCTGTAAATCAGAGAATGTAGCTGTGTTAACTGGAGATGGGAAAGGGGAGCAGGTAGAATTAATATTACCATTAGTCATGACTAAAGCCAAACTTAGCAGTTTTAAAACTATTTAACCATCCTGATTGTATATTGGAATCAACTGGGAATTTTTCTTTTAACTACCAATTCTTAGGCCCCATCCCGAAAGATTCTGATTCAATTGATATGAAGTAAGATCTGAGCATCAGAATTTTTGTTTACAGTTCCTAAGGTAATTCTCTTGTGCCACCAAGACTGAGAACCAGTGTTTTAAAATAGTATTGGGAATACACAGTAGGTGAAAAACTGGCATCATATTAGGTGGGTCTTGGTTGTGATCATGAGCTGAGGAGAGCTCTATATTCTGGAAGCACTCAGCAACGGATGTTCAATGGGGTTCACACCATGGTTGCAGTTTGGGGGAAAGAACCCTTGGAGAGAAAGCAAGAACCACAAGAATCACTGAATCATGGGTTAGAGGAGCCCTCCAAAATCACCTCCTTCAATCCTCTTCCTAATTTCTGTGTGAGCACTGGCCATTTAATTTATGTTTCTGGGCCTCAGTTCCCCTGTCCGTTAAATAAACAGGTTGAATTAAATACAATCAGAGTGTTTTCCAGTTTTTATCCTATGATTCTAAGAGAGTTTCCAGCATCAGAAGAAATAGAAGCTACAGTTACACAGCTGTGTCGATATTCTCTCCTGGGACATCATCTGAGCCACAAGCCCCCTGGCTCCAGCCTCTCTGCTGCTGCTGGCCAGATGCCACCCTGAGCTTCTGAGTGGCAGCTGGAGCTCCACCCTCAGGGCCTCCCTCCCATCATTCTCTGGCAGGATGAAAGGTTTTGTGTAATTCTTGTAAATGCAGCCCATTTTAATTGCAGAAGCAGCCTCCAAGTGTTTTCTCTGCTCTCCGGCAAGCACGTGACCTGACCACTGCTGCTATCTGGAAAGGAAGTGGTGGAATGTGGAAGTTTACAGGGCGTTCGTGTACACGCATCTTCTGGCCCAGAGCCCGTGGAATCCAGCCAGCAGTTGCTGTGCCACTGTGTTCTCTGGCCTCCCCCTCTCAGCGGCCTTGGGCAGCCTGGGAATCTCCGGCTTCGTGCTTTTCTGAGGGGACAGGCCTTTGAGCAGAGTTTTAGGAAGTTGGTCAAAACAACAACAACAACAAAATGTTTATAGTTTACATCCTTTGCAGCTGTCTATGCACTAGGAATGCCACACATGGTCTCTCCAGACTGCAGGCTCTGAACAGAATCCACTGGAAGGGGATCATCCCAGCCAATACCCTAGTACAAATTGTCCTATCCAGTGTACAGACTTACTGGAAAAGCATCATATCTGCCCCAAACTTAAGATAAGAGTACCCTGATAAGGGACATGCTTGAGGCTGTGACAGAAAAGGAGTTTGGGAGGGAAGAGGGCAAGGGGTTTTCAAATGCACATTGATGACCTTTCTGGGTTCTCAGCTCATGAGCAAAGAGGAGAGCGGCTAACATAAAGGTGAGGGTGTGGCTGGGAAAAAGGCAAAGTTGATGGAGTCCTTTCCATGGAAGGGCTCTGAAAGTACAGGTAGGAGCTGCAGAGTCCAACAGCACCCCTTGACACAGGTCAGTCTCCAGATATTGCCTTCTAGAACCTGGTCCTTTGGTCCAGGTGAGACCTGGAGCTACCCTGTCATGCAATCACATGCATGCCTTTTGAGGGCATTAAAACAGTGCCATCAGACTCCAGATCTTCTTTTCTGGCCCTCAGGGGCTCCCTCCTCCCAGCCTTTTTCAGCAGGATGAAGGGGTTTGTGTGACCCTTGCACTCATAAGGTCCCAGGGTCCTAAAAAAAAACCCTGTTTCTTGTCTTCTCCTTGTATGCAAGGTGGCACAGGAGCAAATAGTAGCAACTTAAGCGAGCCAAACTCTTCTCTTGATTGTGAAGAGGGATTGACACTTGCAGGCTAGGCTGTCTAGTGCTTCTGAGGCCAACAGCTGCTCTGTTGTCTCATAATACTGGTGGAAAAAAGTAGAATGAGAGACACTGCCAGACCAGGAGGTAGTTGGGATTCAAACGTGGCACTTCCACTCAGCACGAGCTCTGGCTCCCGGACCCAGTAAGGGCCAATGACACGGGCCTCAAAACAGACTTGAGAGCCTCCTCTTTGCATCTTCAGACAAATGTTTTCTTTGGAAATTGTGACAGCAGCCACTTCCATATTCAACTCTGTTTTAGCCCCCAAAGAGTCAGTGTGAGGAATCCGTGGGAGAACACAAGGATATGTGCCTGGCAGAAATGCAGGCACTCGCCAACGTAAGTCAGGTGGTCAATAAGTGTTTCCATGTTTGCTATCCTGTTATTTAAAAACACCTAAAACTCAGGAATCCCAATATTTTATTGCTTTTCTTACGAATGTTCCAGATGAGTTTCCCCTCAATCTTCTGCAAGCAGGCCTAGATAGGAATGCCGTAGGAGTCGCCCTCCTTCTCCATCAATCTGGTCCTCAAAGGGGCTGGCGTTGGTAGAGCAGGGCCTGAGTAGCAGGACCAAGAAATGCTGATGCTACTGTCTGTACTTTCACTCTGTGGGTAATAAGTCCTGGCCATAGGAAGGGAGGACTAACCAGAGTGAAGAAGACAGAGAGAAAAAGGAATGACAGAGGAGGCCCATGTGCTGGGAAGGCTAAACTCTCACTGCAGCAACCATAGATTCCAAACCACTGATTAAGCCACGGGGCTTCAAGAGTTCAAGCACATTTATGGGAGCAGTGGGATGAAAGATATAAATTTGGTACAGGTAATACCTCCTGGGCAACTGGGTCAGGGGTCTCCGGAGCTGAAAGCACACTTGGGAACATCTATTGATCTTTGTTTTTATCTCATCATTATTCAGTTACTGTTCTGTGAATTTTATAATATACATTATGGAGTACTATAGTAGTACATATATATAATTTATAAATAAATAAATATATTGGGGGGTGTATGCTCAAACATTTTCTGTTGATGAGTTACCCAGTCAAAAGAGCTTGGAGACCATCCAATTAGAATGATAACAACAAAAAAAGACTCAACCAACCTACCTAGAGGTCCGGGGCCTGACCAGGGCCTCTGCCAAGCTGGCTTGACATAGAAGGGGAAGAATCAGCTGTCCACTGGGAAAGCCCCTCTCCCACCTATCATCTAGTGCCTGTTGTCCCTTTAAGGGTAAAATCACTTGCATTTTGGTGAAACAGGAAAAAAGAAACTATTATCATGAAAATTACTGTCTAAAACCACAACAAATCCTATCATAGTAGGAAGCGTTTGTTCCCAGGCCCTCCATACACAATTAAAAAGCAAGTAGGGACTAGATTACCTCTTCTCATGTAATTCCCACAGCAATTGTGTGAAATACAGAAGAAATGGGGGCTCCGCAAGTATAGAAACACCTGTCCCTGAAAGGCAAGTCAGGACTGAAATTCAGCCCATGCCCTGCTCAGCAAGCCACCTGCCCCAAGGAAGGAGTGTCTTTTGCTAATTCTCACAAAGGTGCCGTATGGATTAGCAATAGCCTTTTTTTTTTAATTTTTGCTTTATTTGAATATAATTTTCTCATCAATTTTGCTTGCATAAATACAGTTTGTTGCTTGTTCTGGTTTAGTCTAATAGTAAGTTGGAGAAGTCCTGGAGAATGGGCATCCTGGTGGGGTGGCAGAATGGGGTTCTCGCTTCAGCAGATGCAGCCCCCCAAACACAGCACTCCATGGATGAGGACTCAAAAGATGAATGTCATTTTCTGCCCCTGTGTCTCAGAGATGCCCTGAGGCTGTCTGACAAGGTGAGCTGTTCCACACAAAAAACAAAGAATTAATCACACCTTAGTCCAGCCTGAGTTGGGGCCAGTCTATTGCCTGGGTCCTGAGATGTGCTGCCTCAAATGTCTTCACTGGACGTGGTCATGCCTGAGACCAGAATGGAATAAAACAATCCATTTGAATACAGCGATGGATGGTCAGAGATGTCCACACACATCTCTGCTCACCCTCACCTTCCTGCAAACTCCATTCATTTATTTATGGGGAAATTTGATGTTTCCCTCAAATGTCCTTTCCCTCTCAGAGAATAATTTTGTTTCCCCGTCATCAGATAGCACTGAGAAAGGGGCCAGAGTTGGGCCTCTCTGGGGCTGTCCCTGCAGTACTCCTGGGACCCTTAAGCCTCGGTCTTGGGTTCCTTCATGGATTTGACAAATTCCTTGACTTCTTCTTCCAAGGCCTTGTTCCTCTTCTCAACATCCTCCCGGGAGCGCTCCATGTTGCGGAGGCTGATCTCTAGGGCTGCAGACTTCTTCTTTTCCTTCTCCAGTTCTTCATTGAGCCTCACCACTTTAGCCCAAACGTCATAATTTTCCTTCTCAAGGCTACAAGGAAGGAAAGAAAAGAATGAAAGAATGTGGCATTCATTCTAGACTCTTCCTTCCCCCTTGCTCACAACCTGCTGCTCATTTTCCTTTCAAATCACAAGACCCTTATCCAACCTCTCAGCTATGTCCCTCTTCCCACATGAAGATGTCCCAGAAAACCTGAATCCCCACAGTACTTCTGAGCCCCTCATTTGTCATTTTTTTTTGGATGGAGTCTCGCTCTGTTGCCCAGGCTGGATGGAGTGCAGTGACGCGATCTCGGCTCACTGCAAGCTCCGCCTCCCAGGTTCACACCATTCTCCTTCCTCAGCCTCCCTAGTAGCTGGGACTGCAGATGCCCGCCACCATACCCAGCTAATTTTTTCTTTTTTTTTGTATTTTTAGTAGAGACAGGGTTTCACCATGTTAGCCAGGATGGTCTTGATCTCCTGACCTCGTGATCCGCCTGCCTTGGCCTCCCAAAGTGCTGAGATTACAGGCATGAACCACCACACCCAGCCCCCTCATTTGTCATTTAACACCATCTTGTGACATCTATTGTGTTTTTTCTCATGTCGTTTAATGTTTTGTATCTTCAACCGGATAACAAAGTCTTTGAAAGGAGGGACCAGTTCTAACAGATCTATATATTCACTCCCACAGCACCTTGTATCAGTCCTGGAAGCCCCATCCATATTTCAAATTTCTCACACCTCTGTGCTCATGAGTGCCTCCTCATCCTGTGTCAATGGAGAGCATAGATCAGCACCCTTTCTTATTAAGGATCTCCTGGGGACCAAGATTTGGAGAAACAGAGGGAACTGCCCTTTGGGGAGCTGTGGTCCTGGCAGTCTCACCCTCACTTCTGAATCCCATGCCAGGTGAAAAATCTGTGGGATTCCTGAATTGCTAGGATTTTAATCGTTACTGGCCCAAATCCTAATGTAGTGCCAGGTGGCCCCCTGCCAGGCTGTGCTGAATTAACCCTTAGGAATGAGTGTACACATGCCGATTGTGTGACTGGAAATTTGTTTCAGAATTTCATTCTGTAGAGTGTGCCTCCCTTCTCCCCAAATGGCCTGCCCATTTGCACAAGGGAGACTTGAGCTCCCATGTGAGCCCAAAACTTGGGTTCTATCTTCAAGGGCCTTGGCCTATTCTGTGGGTAACAATCCATCTTCAGAACTTTGCTTACCCCCACCTATCTCTTCTTAAAGCTAAATTGATCTCATTCCATCTTTTTTTTTTCCTTTTGTTTTTTTTGAGACGGAGTCTCGCTCTGTTGCCCAGGCTGGAGTGCAGTGGCATGATCTCGGCTCACTGCAAGCTCCGCCTCCCAGGTTCACACCATTCTCCTGCCTCAGCCTCCTGAGTAGCTGGGACTACAGGCACCCACCATCATGCCTGGCTAATGTTTTATATTTTTAGGAGAGACATGGTTTCACCGTGTTAGCCAGGATGGTCTCGATCTCCTGACCTCGTGATTCACCCACCTTGGCCTCCCAAAGTGCTGGGATTACAAGCGTGAGCCACCACGCCCGGCCATTCCTTCTGACCCTCTCATTACAAATCTACTTTTCTTCTCCAAGTTCTCTGTACCCCTCTGGTTCTGGAAGAAATTCCAAGTGAGGCACTGTGCTAGATCCTGACCATGGGTTCCAGTGGAAGGTAGAATCTGTGTGGGCTCAGGAGCCTGGGATGGGAGGCTTCCCCAACTGATGGATTCAGAGGACTCTGACACATCTGTGGCAGCCAGTTCTTTTTCTACCCTGTTGAAGATACTCATATGTGAGGGCAGTGTGTGCCTTCTATGGGACTGCTTTGATCACTGCCAAGATGTCACAGAAGTCTTTAATTCTACAAATGATTGGTTTCAGGTTCTTAGACAAACAAGCTACATTTTGCTTCTGGATGGCAGCTCTCTGTGTGGAACAATGAATGAGGGTTCAAAGTAGTCTTCCCTTCAGATACCTGAGTCTGCATGGACTAAGACGTAGCCATAAATCTAAGAGCCCACGAATTCACATTTCACTGCCTCATGACTAGTGCTGATATGGGAACAGCTGGATCAAGGCTTTCTCTCCTGAAAACAAATTTGCCAGCCAATCAGTAGTGTGAAAAATATTTCAAGAAAATACTCTATCTACCCAAGAGAACAAATTGTGTGCACAGATCTTGGGAATTTGCATGTGACAGAGGCAATAGCTGCCTAACTGGCCTCCCGCTTCTGTTTGCCCCCTGCAGCCGGTGCTCAATGGGAAGCCAGTGAGCCAATGAAGCATAAACCAGGTTGAAACCACCCCGAAGCTTCTTACTCAGGCTTTGCAGTGGCTGACAAAACCCTACTGCGTCCTGGCCTCCTGTACTTCTCCACCCTCATCTCCTCTAATCACTCTCCCTGGCCCCAGGCAGCTTCCACTCTTCCTGGGTGGGACCATGGGGGACTGCTCTTTTCTCATGGCTCGGCACTGGCCATAGTCATCTCCCATCTACACACCTGACTTGCTCCTCATCTCCTTCAGGCCTTTACTTACCTGCTGCCTTCTCACGGAGGCCTTCCCTGACCCCCCTATTTTACATTGGAACCCATTCCTTGAACTTTCCAACCTCCTGACCCACTTTATTTTTCTCCACAGCACTTGCCATCAGCTGACATAACATATATTTTATTATATATTTGTATTGTCCATCTGTCCCCACTAGAAGTTCTGTAAGTGCAGGGACTTTTGTCTCTTTTGTTCAGTGCTATACCCTAACAACTGGAATGTGCCTGGCACAGAGGAGGGGCTCGAGGAATATTTGCAGAATCAATGAATGACCTTAACATAAAAAAAATTAATTTCCTTTAAATTAATTAAAGCATGTTGATTCTTGAACCACTGTTTGGAAATTATTGATTAAACTACTTAAGCTAGATATTTACATTTCCTAAATCTAGTTTAAAGTTTAGAGTGTTCACCAATTTAGCTATCTCATTGTTCCCTTTACTCTTTTCTTTCTAGGCCTGCTATAGATTACTGTCTTCCCCAAATTGAAGCTTTATGATGTGACTTCTCTGGCGGATGGGAACAATCCCTCTTGTCTCTAAAGATGGAAGCCAAGTGCCTCTCAGTGCCCCTCTGTCTGACTTACTTTTTAATCTGTTCCTCATACATTTGCTTCTGTGTTTCTATTTCCTTTCGTAGCTCTTGGACCATCCTCTGCAAAGAATCAATTTCCTCTTCTCCAGAGTTCTTTTTTCCAGGCCCAGTTTCAGAGTTTGGACTGGCAAGAGTATCTCCCTTGGAGTCACAGGCTTGGGAAGAGAGTGCACTGGCTTCCTCCCCAGGGGACCCTGGCAGGGAAGGGACGTTATCGTAGGTGGAAGTCCGTTGGGAGTCAGAAAGTTGGCGCAAGTCTTGAGACATCGTTCTCCTGTGCCCTTCCCCTGCCTTAGCCTCTGAGGAAGGCGACCAGAATTCATTTTTAAAGATCTCCATTTTGCTGCTGTTGGCACCCTGAAAAGCTGATGTCAAGAAACATTTCCGGTTAGGGAGTGTTTGAGTCCTTTTACGAGATTGCATTTTCCAGTCTCCTGGCTTTTCCCTGGGTACTTTGCTGCTGTCCTCCGGAAACGCATCGCTCGGCTGCTGTCCGGTGGGGCTGGTTGTATCAGAGTCGCTTGTCTAGAAAAGAAATGGCCATGGATGTCACATGGGGTTTTCACCTCTGTGTGTCATGCTCCCAAGGTATGGATTAGAGACCCCAAAACAAAAGTTTCCTGGTAGCATACCTATGAAATTCTTAATGTATCACATTACTTGATTATCTGCATTAGCATTTTTTTCCAAAAGGATATTGCAGTAAAGGAACCATGTTCTAGAGATGAAGTCTCACCAAAATCAAGTGTTTGTTTGTGGTTAAAGAGTCCTAAAGTAGGATCCTTATGTAATCTTAGAATGGGTGGTCTTTATAACTATGACTGAAAACCCAGAAGCCGTAAAAGTTTGATAAATTTGACCTTTTGATTTCCATGACCTAAAAAATTAAAAAGAACAAAAATAAAAACAAAAGAACAAATCACCACATGCCAAACCAAAAAAAAAAAAAAAAAAAAAACTAGCAAAAAGTATTTGCAATGCATATCAGACAATTGGTTACTCTCCTTAATAGATAAAGTTCATAAAAATTGTGAAGAAAGAGATCAACAACCAATGTAATTATGGGCAAAGGACAAGATCAGGCAGCTCACAGAGGAAAAAATGAAACTAGTCCTTGTACATAGGAAAAGATGTTCAGCCTCTCTCATAATACAAGAAACTCAAATTAAAATTAAAATTACTGAAATGCCAGTTCTCACTTATCAGATGAGCAAACCCCCAAAATTTGACAACAAACTCTGTTGGTGAAACTGTAGGAAAACAGTTCTTTCATGCATTGCTTCTGGAAGTGTAAAATGACACAAACTCCAATAATTTGTCTCAAAATCATACAATCAAATCTATTTACCCTCTGACCCATCAAGCCCACTTCTGAAAATGCATTTGAGAAATACATCTGCCTGAGTACAAAAGGAGGTCCCAGAGTTATTTATTGCAGCTTCTTTTGTAGTATGAAGAACTGAAAGGCTGGGTGCAGCGGCTGATGCCTGTAATCCCAGCACTTTGGGAGGCTGAGGAGGGTGGATCACTTGAGCTCAGGAGTTCAAGGCCAGGCTGGGCAACATGTTGAAACCTTGTCTCTACAAAAAATACGCAAAACAATTTAGCCCAGCATGGTAGTATGCACCTGTAGTCCCAGCTACTTGGGAGGCCGAGGCCGAAGGATTGCCTCAGCAGGAGGTCAAGGCTGCAGTAAGCTGTGATCGCACCACCGCACTCCAGCTTAAGCAATAAAGTGAGACCCTGTCACAAAAAAAAAAAAAAAAAAAAAAGAAAGAAAAAGAAAAGAACTGAAGGCAGTGTGTTCATCTATAGGGACTGGTACATCTACAGAATGGGACACTATACACCTCTAGAAAACATGAGGTCATATGAGGTAGCTGTTTATGTATTGACATGAAAAAGTCTCCAGAATATACTGCTAAGTACAAAAATGCAAGATACATAGTTTTGTGTGGGAGTTTGTGTGTGACTGTATGTGTATGTGTGTGACTGTAGAGAGAGAGAGAATTATACTACATTTTGTGTAAAAAAGGAGGTAAATAATTTACACTCATGTCTTCTTATATTTTCATAAAGGAACATTGGAAGGATAAATAAGAAACTAAGGCAGTGAGGGATGGGGTGGGTGGGGATACGGGAGGGAGCAGAACTTCTCAACGTATACCTTTTTCTATCTTTTTGATTACTTGAACCATGTGCATATATTATATATTTTTTAATGAAATTATAAAGAAAAAGGAGAGAGAATATGAGACCTAAACACAAAATCAATCACTTCTCGGCCTTTTGGCTAAGATCAAGTGAGACCTAAACATAAAATCAGACAATCAGGTTCGAGCCCTCCCTTTAACCTTTGCAGCCAATTGCTTGCTTCAGAAACCCCACCCGGAGTTAGAGGTACCTGGGTTCTGAAGGGAGGACTGGATCTGAGTCCTCCTCTATAACAAGCTAGTGCTACTACATTGGGCCAGCTGCTCAACCTCTCTGAGTTTCTGCTCCTCAATAACACAATACGAATGATAAATTCTGCCCTACAATGTTATGTAATATGAGGACTCTAGAGGTGATCAGTGTAAATTTCCCAGCATAGTGCCTGCCCACAGAAATCAGTAAATGGCAGAAACCTATTAAATGAGTAAAATAATAGCTATTCTCAAGGACTGTGGGATGATCTTGTTACATGAAGTATGAGCATTTTTAAATTTTATTTTAGTTTTAGAGTGTTAGTAGAATGCATTGCCTTCAGAAAGACCTATCCTAAGAAAAACTACAACCACTACCCACTACCTGCCTTTTAAAAACAATCTTCAGGGCTAACAGTACTGTAGGTAACTTGAATCATCTGGTCAACTAGAAATTTGAAATCCATTTTTTGGCCACACATAAAGATCAAGCTACTATATAAAGTTCACATGTTCTTTGTAAAAATATTTGTTCCTATAAATATATAAAAATATTTGACCTTTGTAAATTATTGTCCTCACGAGGTCTACATTTCAGAGTCAGCAGAGCTTTTGGACATTGGGAACGTGAGTTTCAACCCTTCAGCACAAATGTGGGGGCTGACATGGCTGAGACGGCTTATCGAGGAATGAGAAATATTACACAAACACATCACATACTCTGAGAAAGGAATCACGTTTCATGGGTTAGCAGGAAACCAGTTTTCTCTGGACGTTCACCCAGAATTTTCAACAATTCTGACCAAAACATTTACAATGTTGTATACATTTTTCCCACTGAACTTCTCTGGACTGTATTTGAGTCTCTCTTTCAGAGTGGGCTTCAGTGAGGACCTCATTGCTCAGTCACTGGGTGATTGGCACACTTGTCACTCACCCCCCTCAAAGATGCCAATAGAAACTAGATTTGGAAAGAGGCCAGGCTTTCAAGGTGTGTTCAGATGAGTCTGTAGCAGCAGCGCCCACTGCCACTGCATCACCTAAAACTCCCCAAATTGCCACCCGAGAGCAGGCCTTACATGGGATGGCCTGGACTAAAGGAAGAACCCAATGGAAGCAGGAAGGTTCTCTGCACCTTACCATGCTACTGAAGCTGTCTGTCCTAGAAATTCGGAGGTCTTCAGTGGCATCCCAGCCTACAGAGCTTCGGGCCACTGGAGCTTTCTTGGGGTCATTTTTCTGGGCAGGGGGTGACAGGGGTATATCCTTGGACTTGGGGAAGAGGACTTCATGGTCTCTGATCATCATAGTCATCACTCTTTGGATCTGAGGAGTCCCTGAAAGACAGAAGAAAAAGATCTGTTGTGTAGTGTAGGAGGCAGGTAGTCAGTCCTCAAGGATCCCCACCCGTGGATGTCTCCAAACTCGGTTCTAAAACTATAGGGCCCAGAAGGGCCTCATTTTGCTTCTCAAAAGACCCTTTTTAATTGCTTGGAGTTGGAGATTATGTTGAAAGGGATGGAACAGAAGGACACGGGAGTAGAATAAAAGAGGGAGCTGTTTCAGAGGGAGCCAATAGTCCACTGGATTAGTTTTTGATCAGGAAAGTAGGCAATAAAACAGCAGAGAAAATGAAGATATCTTTCTCTCCTGATGTGGTCCTCAATATGATATCTGGTTTCTTATCAGACACAGAGCAAATATGTGCCAGGCTTTCTGCCCCCATGCCCATGGCAGATATCAGTACTCTGTGTCAGGACACAGCCTCAGAAGCCTGCACAGCACAGCTTTTTAAGCAGCCTTTTTGTGGGCTGGCTTGTAAAATGAAAGCTGGCTGGGCACAGCGGCTCACGCCTGTAATCCCAGCACTTTGGGAGGCCGAGGTGGGAAGATCACTTGAGGTCAGGAGTTCGAGACCAGCCTGGCCAACATGGTAAAACCCTGTCTCTACTAAAATTACAAAAATTATCTGGGTGTGGGGGTTTATGCCTGTAGTCCCAGCTACTTGGGAGGCTGAGGCAGGAGAATCACTTGAACCCTGGAGGCAGAGATTACAGTGAGCTAAGTTTGCACCACTGCACTCCAGCCTAGGCAACAGAGTGAGGCTCCAACTCAATAAATACCTAAATAAAAATAAAATAAAATAAAATGAAACCTGCTTGCTCAATCTGGCTAAGGGTATTTAAAAGTAATAAAAGACTGACAAACACTAGCTAGCTATTATTGTACTAGTCTACTGCACTGTGGGACCATTGGGCAAACCCTTGACCTCTGTCCTTTGTTGTGATCTGAAAAATGGACACAATTCCTGCCCTGCCTACCTCACAAGGCTATTGCATGATTCAGATGAGATTGATAACCAGCTTAAAATGCTTGGGAAACTACAGAGCAGTGCACAAATATCAGGGGGAATGTTGTAATTGTTATTTCCTGGGTACCTGCTTTCACTACGGGACCAGCCATACCTCTCATGATCACGGCAGGGTCTTCGACCTTCGACCTGATGAGATTCACACCAATCACAGTAGCCAGGTTGTCCACACTCATCTTGTTAACAGCACAGTTCAGCTGTATTTCATGTAGGAACCTACAGACAGCCAAGAAATCCCATGGTAGAAAGCAGGAAGTAGCCAGGAGGAAGCACTACAGGGTTCCAATGAGAACTCAGGGATGGATCCAATGCTTTCCTCCCAGACTCAGGAATGAGACCAGCCTGCTCTGCCCACAAGAATTTAGCCTCATCCTGAAAGACCCAAGACCAAGGAAGGAAGAGAAATCAGGAGGGTCCTGCCCAGCTGCTGGGGTGGGGGATGGGGAGGTGAATGGAATCACATAAGCAGGAGGCAAGATCCACTTCCAGGAGCTCAGACTGGACTAGAAAAGGTAAAATGGGTATCTGCCCATACCCATGTCTGCCTTGATAGGCTTATCTCCCAGCTCTCAGCACTCATCCCACCCAAGTCTCCAGAGAGGAAAACTTTATTGGTAAGAAGATCTCAGGCCTGGGGAATCCATGGTGCCTCCTTGCTCTCATCCTCTGATTAGAGCACAAGCATTGCTAATTCTCAGCAGGTTCTCCATAACTAATACTGAATTTTTGTTAAAATTCTACCCCTTTGAGGCACAAAGCTCTCAGATTCACTGTAAAAACAGGGAATTTCTAAATACTCTCTCAAAGAACCATTTAAAAATGGATAGAATGAAGCAACACAATTTCAAATACAGAGCAATTATTAAATATTGGTGACGTGTCCAAATGATGAAACATTATGAAATATTATGAAGTTATTTATAATCCAATTTTATGACATAGGGAAATGCTCATAATAAAACATTAAACCAAAAAAAAGGACACAATCCTTTATATAATTTTGATTTAGTATAAAATATTATTCCCCTATATTTACATTAAGGTATGTAAAGATTTATCACAGAGAGAAAACACCCAGAAGGAAAAATGCCAAAGTGTTAATAGTGCTTGTTGCTGGTGAAGGGATTGTGGGTCCTTTTTATTTCTCATTTACTGTTTGCTATATCTTCCTGGTTTCCAAGTCAAGCAAGCATGACTTTTATAATCTAGGAACTACAACAAATTATTTTTAAAAAATAAAAGACAAAATTCAGGTCAGTCTGGGATGAAGATCCCAGTTCCCAGCCGAGCCAGATCTGGGTCAATCCACAGCTAGAGTTGCCACAGGGGTGGCGCACAGCAGGTCCCCAGAAAGGGCTGAAGGAAAATAACCAGGGTGGCCCAGAATGAATGTCTCCCTGGAGCTAAGCTACGGCTCAGAATCACAAAGATGGGAGATCATTCTAGAAACATTATAAGGATTCTGGGTTCTCTTGCATGTACCAGGACTCTGGGCAGTGCTGAGGCAGGCCTAAATGGGGGAGCACGTTCATTTTTTGGTTCAACCAGGTTTTCAGAATCCTTGAAATTATACAGGAAGCTACTTCAGTGCTATGTGAATACAGCTGATCTTCCAAAGTGCTAGACCAGAATCTCTCTGTTCACAGACGTGGTCCCTCCTCTTCTAACTAGGAGCTTCTTTCTGATGGGGTTGAAAACTGCAGAGTTGATACCAGGGGCCTCTCACCTGCAGATGTAGCTCAGGAGACTATAGTTGTCACGAGGAAGGATGGAGAGCTGCTTCATCAACTCCTGCTGAGCCTGGGAAGAGATTTACACAAGTAAATCATTTACCAGTAAATGAGCCTGCCCATGTGCCAGCAAGGAGACCCTGGGACAGAATTGGTGTATCTGTGCAGAAACAACACTTTGGCAGTCATTCCTGTTCCTGTAGTTCTGTGGGTTTAAAAAAAAAAAGGGAAATAACTCAATTCTCACAGAATTTTTTTTAAAAGGGTCATAGTTTTTGTTATGTATACTTTTATTTATATGTAATTATGCCACTGCACCCCACCCTTGACCCTGAGCTACTCTAAGGAAGGACTGTTTAACAACTCATACGTTAATTGTTTGCTGAATGAATGCTTGAGAGGTAACAATCCAATAAAGAATAAGACCACAATAAGATATCTCAGAATCACTTTAAGACTGGTGAGAAAAGGAGGATTCTTCTGAGAAGGATTTCAAGCACTGTGGCCTATCTGAGACATGCCGGGACACAGAGACAGGCAGACCACGCTGGAGGACGGTGCAAGGTCAGACTGTTCAAGCTCTGCAATGGATGGCCGTGGATGTCAGGCAAGGTCTACTAGGAATGCATGTGCTGGAGAGAAGAGGGACAGCGAGCTTTTCCGTGTTCTTTTCAACCACAGCTGCCTGTAGGGTCTGTAATCACCATCTGCAACATGGTGCTTGTGAGAGTACACAATTCACTAGCCGGGCGTGGTGGCGGACGGCTGTAACCCCAGCTACTCGGGAGGCTGAGGCAGAAGAATCGCTTGAAACCGGAAGGCGGAGATTGCAGTGAGCTGAGATCGCGCCACTGCACTCCAGCCTGGGCGAAAGAGCCAAACTCCATCTCAAAAAAAAAAAAAAAAAAAAAAAAAGAGAGTACACAATTCACATGCCGGTGTGCAGGCACTCCTCAAACCTGAGCAGCTCTCCTGCAGAAAACGCACCCTCCAGCCTTGTCAGCCTACACGCAGCAGCTTCCGTAGATATAGACCTTCTTAGCGTAGCATCAGCTTCATGCTGAGATCCCTTCTTCAGTTGAGTCGAGTAAATTCATTGCAAAGGTTGCTACAGACTCACCCCTCCTAGCTGCCACCTCTGCCATGTTTTCACCAGTGAGAAGGACCTTGGTCCCTGTGTGTAGACATGCATTGCCACAGATGTGGAAACTCTCAAAGATGCTGAGATTAAGAAAGCTGGGAGAAGCAAGTCTAAAGTGAGTGCAGGGGTGGGAATCTTATTGTCAGAACAGCATCTAGCTGCCTCCTTTACTTTCCCCAGAACCCAGGGGTGAGATGCGATCTGAAACGTTTATCTTTTTAGCTGCCTTTTAAACCTTATTCCATAAAATTTTATTACTTTCACAATGGTGAGCAGATATACCAGTATAAGTTAAGACTTTTCATATCCCTTTCTCCCTCCCCCAATAAAATTCTTAAGTTACGCACAAAATATCGTACCTCAGATCCATGCAATCTAATTTTTGTTTGGAAAAGAGCTACAAAACCTGTATCATGTTCTCTTCCTTTCTTAATTTTGAAATATAAAGTCAGCTTTTCTCTTATGTCAGGATCTATTCAAATCATGATGCTCTCCCCACCCTTAGTCAGGGATGGAAGTTCTCACAGCTGTGTTTTCTTGCAGGGCTAGGGTGCTATTTCTTCATTCGTTTTAAATAAATATATTCTATGAAGCAGACTATCTAATAAATTTTGAAGTGTGGAAGATAATAAACCTTCCCTTATATTGAAAAAAATTTTAAAGTCACCCACCAGTATCATATCCCTGGGTCCTCAAAACAATCCTAGGCATGGCTGATATTACTATGAAAATTATCTAAGTTTGTGGTGTCTAATATAGCAGTTACTTGCCACATGTAACTACTTAAATTTAACTAAATCAAAATTAAATAAAATTAGGAATTTGGCTTCCCAGGTGCACTAGCCACATTTTAGATGCCCAATAGCCATGTGTGGCTGGTGGTCACCATATTGAACGGTGCAGATATATAAAAGTTCCATTACCATAGAAAGTTCTATTGGTCTAAGTAAATAAACTGAGTCTTATAAAAGATGCATAATTTGTCTAATGGCAAAATCAAGGTTAAATCTAGGTCTCATTATAGATTTTTCTGTGCACCATTTTGCCAGAGAGGGCTTTTAACATAGTCGATATAAACATCAACTTCTTCATGGATCACTTGGATTTGAAAATCTTGTTTAAAAATCATCAAGGTTTATTGTTGTTGGTTGGGTTTCATCAGTTTCTTTGGTTGTTTGGTTGGTTGGTTGATTATAATAACATGACTACAGTGTGGTCATTGTTGACTATAAGGCCTCTCTAGAAATAAATTTATACAGGATCAAAAATCTTGTTAGTGAACTTGTGCACTCTCACAAGCATATTGCAGATGGTGGTTACAGACCCTACAGGCAGCTGTGGCTGAAAAGAAAAACAATCAAAAAACCCTCCCTGTCCTTCTTCTCCCTGGCACATGCATTCCTTGGATGACCACGCCTGACACTCACAGCTGCTGTAGAGCTTGAGCTATGTGACCTCACACCTGCCTTCCAGCCTGTCCTTGTGTCCCAGCAAGTCTCAGCAAGGCCATCATGCTTGAAACCGTCCTCCGATGTATCCTCCTTTTCTCACTACTTTTAATGTGATCTAGCAGTATTTGATTATGGTCCAATTCTTTATTGGATTATTGCATCTCATGAAGGCTGTGGTTTGCCAGTCATTATGATTGAGTTCATATACCTTTTGTTGCTGAGGAAGTTGCATTTGACTATCTTACCAAAAAGTACAGGCCCCTTGACCCACTGTTGCCTACTGGATTAGTGTCCAGAAAACCAATCACTTTCTTCTAAGGCAGGACAACTAACTCTAAGATGCAAACCTTTGCCTCATCCGCATTCGTGAGCTGCCCACAGAGCAGGAACCCTTCGTACTGGCTCCAGGGAACCACGGGCTCTGGGAGGTCTCGGAGGTAGAGCTTTAACAGGGAAGCCACAGTGTGCACATCTGTGTCTCTGGAAGAAAATAAGCAACGCTCTGTGAAACTCTTTGAAAGAAAAACTTTAGGATGTTCCTCTCTTCCATTCTGATGATTCAGTGAATAGAACCATAAATTACAAAGGGAAATTTTGCAGAGGAGTAGTCTGATAAAGAAGAATCAGACCAAAACATTTTTGTTAATTCGCCCTTCTGGAACAACATTCTTGAATAAATGTTCCTCTGTCTCTTCCACCCAACTACCTCAAAGGTAAGTTCAAGGTCTACATTTTTACTAAACGTTCCTTAATGATTTTCGTCTTTATTGCTTTCTTCTTTCTTCAAGTCATTTAGTGCCTCACAATTAGCATTGTCTAATTAGTCTCTAATATTGCTTGTGTTAACTCCTTTATATCCTTGGTCCATTCTTCTCTTTAATCTTCCAGAGTGCTTAAAATAGTTCTGAGGTTCACTCACGTATTTACTCAATAATTCACTCAATCAATAAGCATCAAGAAAACCTATTAGGTGCAAGATACTGCAAGATACTTGTCAAGCACTGGGATTTCAGTAGCCAATCCAAGGGACATCAGTAGCCATCCAATCCAGGGATGGAGCCCTGGCCCCATCGAGCCACAGAACTCTGGGGACTCAAGTATTAAAATGTCCTTACAATACTGTGCGGCTAATGCCATGATATGGGAAGCCCAGGACCCAGGATCCTATGGAAGTATGGAAAAAGAACACCCAAGGCAGAGATGGGAACACATAGGTGACTTGTCAGATGAAAGAGTACCTCAGATGAACTCTGAAAGGCGGTGAGGAGTTAGGGCATGAGGCAGGCAGCATGTGTGTCAGCCTGGAGCATGAGGAGAGGACGCCTCCCCGTGGGCCTGATTGACTGAAAGAGGCACGGCTGTTCAGTTCAGCTTCTCCATTTACAGGAGGGCTTGGCAAGCCACGGGCCAGGAGCCAAATCTGTCCCACTGCCTCTATTTGTACAGCCTGGGAGCTAAGAATTATTTTTACATTTTTAAATAGCTGGGGGAAAAAACACTCACAAGAAGAAGAGTGTGTCGTGATGTAAAAATTACAGGAAATTCAGATGTCAGCATCTGTAAGTAAAATTATAGAAGAACACCACCACACTTGTTCATTTATGTACTGAGCAGAGTATTATAGTTGCAATAAAGACCATCTGGCCTGCAAAGCCTAAATATTTAATATGTGGCCCATTAAGAAAAGTTTGTTGACCCCTGGCTTACAAGGCGATTGCATTGATTCTGCAACACTACAAGGGAAAATAAGATTCACTACCATATTCCTGAAGCTGATTATTGAAGAAATGTTTGTTTATTTCATATTGATAAAACCTGGCATTCTTAGGTAGCAGCCCTGGTAGCATCGTGAAAAGCTGTGATGTGGCAAGAGGTCCAGAATAACCTTGGAATCTCCTTGATTTCAGTGATGAGAAATATAGAATAGGCTGGAGAACATGTCTCCTGGTCCTAGGAGGGAAGGGAGGGGTGGATCTGGACAAGAGGAGGAGAAGGGAGGCATGTGAGGCAACAGAAGCAAGAATACTGGGGCTTGATTGTAAAGCTCTGTCTTGGTGCTTTGTGTGCATTTTACTTTGGTTTTGACAGCCAGTTGTTGTAGCTGTCTCTGAAAAGGCTTCCCCTTTGCAGCCTGTGAACTCTACCTCAATAGGAGAACACGGGCTGGCACAGAGCCCACTCTATGCTCCATGGCTGCCCTCAGGAAATCTGGGGTAGGAACCATTCATTTAACATGGGGATTCTGGAAAATCCTTCCCTGCTGAGTCACTGCCCAAAAATACCCAAGGCAAAGCCAGGCTAGAAAAAGTACTTTTGTCAAAATATGTTATGAGAAGTTCCCGAGAAAGTGGCAGAAAGACAGTCAGCTGACAATTTGCAGGAGCAGAATTCTCCCAAAGTCCAAAAGTTGCATCTTCCTAAAGTCCCTACACTGCAATCCACCCATTTGTCTCTATCAGCATCCTGGGACTCCTGTTTGATTGGGACCTCTCCTTCACCCCCATCCAATCAGTCTTCCAAATCCCTTCAATTCTATTATCCTAAAGTCACACTGATCCTTGTAAGCCTCTCCCCTCCTTTCACTACCCTATGCCTCCAGCATTCTATACTCTGCCCACTCTAGGGCACAGTCCTCAACACCAAAACACACCAATGGAATGAGTGAAGAAAACAGAGTTTGAAAGGGAAGAAACAGTGTAAAGGATAATTCAAGAAACTGGATCCTGGCTGGGAACAGTGGCTTATGTCTGTAGTCCCAGCACTTCGGGAGGCCAAGGCGGGTGGAGAACTTGAGGTCAGGAGTTCGAGACCAGCCTAGCCAACAGGACAAAACCCCATCTCTACTAAAAATACAAAAATTGGCTGGGCGTGGTGGCAGGTGCCTTTAATCCCAGCTACTCAGGAGGCTGAGGCAGGAGAATAACTTGAATCCAGGAGGCAGAGGTTGCAGTGAGCCAAGATCACACCACTGAACTCTAGCCTGGGTGAAACCACTGCACTCTAGCCTTGGTCTCAAAAAAAAAAAAAAAAAAAAAGAGAAGAAAAGAAAAGAAATTGGATCTTTTGAACTTTTGAAGAGAAACAACAACAATAAAAAAGACACCTAGACAGTTTAATCAGGAGAAATTTAGACAGCAAAAGCATCCATCATTAGAAAAGAGAAAGGGATTATAAATACAGCTACACCATGGATACTTCAAAGTTATAATAAAAGAGCAAAATTAGCTATATAAATCATCTTACAACACTGAAACTTACAGAAAGCTTCCCAGTTCATTTCACCAAAAATAATCCTGACAAGCCATGCCCACTGCTGGGCCTTGCTAACTCTCATTCTTGTTTATTGGGTCTCAGCTTAAATGTCATTTTCTTGGGGACCTCCCTAAATACACAAGACCATGTGAAAAGCCCCTGTTCTAAGTTTTCATAGTGTTGAGTTTCCTTTTTAGCACTTAACACCATGGAACTTAAACAATTATTTCTATAAATTTTTATTTTAATGTGAGCACCCCATTGTACTAGGGCTAACTCAGATGTCTATTTTATGGTCTAAATTTGTAGCATTATTTTTTCTGAGTTTGCTGTTCCTCTAACCCAATAGAGCACCCTTAAATGATTCTTTTTTTTTTTTTTTTTTTAATCAAGGGCTAAGAGTAAGTCAGGAGCCAGGTGGCTTCTGGGTTCAACGGCTGATGCACTAGGGATTACCCAAGACTCAGATGGTTCTGCCAGCCCTTCCCTGGGGGCATTGATGCTTGTAATGTGGCATGTCTGTAAGTGCATTTCTCACAGACACATAGGGGTGAGAAGTGTGTTAGCTTTGTAGCCAGGCAGTGTCCATCCTGGTAGAAACTTGGCAAGGAGATTTTAAAGTTCACATTTTTGTGTCTAAGGAGACCAGAAAGACCTGCACTAGTCTCACCAAACAGCAACTTTGCTCACCTTCATTCTAGTGAGGTAATGGGGGCATCTTGGGGTGGAATCCAGCACATAACCAATGCAGAGGATCTGGGTGAGTTCCCACAGCCGTGAAGTTGGGGACAGCAAGAGGGAGCTCCTTGCTCTCCCAAATACCCCTTCTTCCACCCACTGACTCCTAGAATTCCTTTTATAGGAGGCAGAAAAAGCTACAACCATAGCTTCTCACTCCTGGTCTGCTCTTGACTCTGAAAACCCTCCCTTTCCCCCTTTCCTGCCCTCTTTCCACCCCCTTTCACACTGCCCCTCTTCAGAACTCCCACACACAATTCAGGTTAACACTGTCTCAAGGCTGGTCTCTTCCTCTCCCACTCCCAGGCCAGAATCACTCTCAGGAAATCATCTAACACTGGTCACTTTCACTTCAGAGTTAATTTGCCAGTTTTGTTGACCTGTCTTGAGTTATTGGTTTTGTCAATTCTATGATCCCAAAGTCAGCCTGATCCCTGTAAGCCCCTCCCCTCCTTTCCCTACCCTATGCATCCGGCATTCTATGCTCTGCCCATTGCGGGGCACAGCCCTCAACACCAAAACACACCATGGAATGAGAAGTAGGGGAGTATAAAAGGGGGTGGAGAGAGGGCAGAAAAAGGGGAAAAGAGGGTTTTCAGAATCATGAGTGGAATAGGAGAGAGAAGACCTGGTCTCTCCTAAATATGCCCAAATGTAACTAAATAATAAGAATCAAATAAGAGTCAGTCATACCTCCCAAATCAGACTTGTCCTCTCAAGGGTTATGTGGACCTAAGAGTTGCCCCTGCGAAGCCCCTGAAAAGCCCCCGATGACCTTTCCTATTTCTGGATGTGTAAAAACCCTACCCCTCACTTCTAGGGGTGGAGATGTCGCAAGGTAAGGTAATTTTCCTTCTTCCAGCCTCAAATATTTCAAAATAATCAAAGATTCCCACACCACCACCCATGCCAACTCCATAGTGCATAGGCTAGAGCCTAAGGCAGTTATTTGGCATATCCCAGCAATCACCTCTATTCCTTTTGGCACACTATATGGCATTGCTCTAGCAACAACCCACCTGTATCTTTCTTCAGGCCAAGGTTAACTGAAAACATAAAAAGAAACTGAATATAAAGGTGGTGAGCATAATGGAACAAGTGCCTGATAACAAGGTGCAGTTTATGGTGCTGCTGAAAGGTCCCTGTGTTTGATGCCAATAACGGGCTATTGTTCCAATAAGAACCCCATCTCTTGCTTCCTAGGGTGCTAAAATATAGCACCCATGGGAAATTAACTTATTAAGGGCAAGAAAGACACCCCTATGGTTGTCCAAACTACAACTGTGGCCATAAGCATGGAGAGAAACATATAGACCTCAGAGAAGCTTTGGAGGAAAAATGGGCGGCGTTGGTGATTAGAGTGAGGGGTGAGGGAGCTTCTACACAAGATGACACTTAGGTCTTCACAATTTTCTCAGAATCAACCCAACCCCATTGTCCAAAATAAGCTTAGCAACTTTCATTTTTGGAAACTGGGTAGAGTTCAGGCCCATCTTATTAAACCTTGGTTTATGGGCTGCTAATTTGGAAAGAGCAGTCAATCTTATGCCAGCAGGACAAGTTCACGCAGGCAACTGGGGTGGAGATTGCACAACATCGGGTGGGGATTTTACTAGCTGAGTGTGGCAGAGAAGGAAACCTCAGCTGAGTGGCTGGAGAAGGTGGGGAGGAAGGGGGTGGTGGGAGGAAATGTCACTATGCCTGATATGCCCCAAACAGGGCTGGGAGACCTCCACACTTAGGAATGCCAGGCGGCCAAGATATCAGGATGTGCTCCTGCAAAAGGGCTCAGAACTGAGTCAGAATCACGTAGTACTGTGATCCAGGAAACTAACAAGAAGTCCTGGTTCTAGCCACTTCTGGAATGCTAACGAAAGCCGCTGGTGCCCTTGGATATAGATCTGGTGCATTCTCCACTACACTGAGTGTTTGTACAGCTCAGCTCTTCCATGTTCCTCATCTGTCCTGAAGGGTGAGCCTCAGGCAACGTCCCATCTTTCTCCCCTCCTCTGCACATCACCTTCTCCTGTGCCTTAAACATCACCTGAATCTGCCCAGCAGGGTTCCAGTTCTGGTTCACATCATCTGTCACATAAACTATCTGCACACTCTCCTAACTGTGCTCCCGTCTCCCAAATTCCCAATCATGGGCGAAACAAAGGCTCTTTCTGTTGTAAGCCAGGGCTCTTAGAAGTCTCTATGCAAGTCCCATAGCTCAACTGGAATGGAGAGGCCCTCCCAGCCAAGCCAAGCAGAGGGGAGGGCAGAGGTGGGACACTGCAGTGGGGCAATGTACCTGTCAAAGGAGGGCCGCTCCCCAGCATCAAAAGCGTCTCTCAGCTGCTTCACCAGGTTGTCCTGCCCAGGCAGACGGAAGATGCCCTCTTCATTCCGGCCGTGCTCCAGGATGAACTCTGCACATTTCTCCACCAGGATGGGCACCAGATGGGGGCCGAATTTCTGTTCATAGGCCACAGTCTCATCCAAGCGCTGGCCAAACACTGCTGAGGAGAGAGCAAACAGAACCTGCCCGTCATTCTGTGCTTCCTTGGATGAACTATTTCTTGACTTTCTGTGTCACCTGTGTCTTCACAGGTTTTATTGCAATGATACTAGACAAAATATGGGAGATAAATCACTCAGAATATTTCCTGAAGCTATAAATAGGGGCCTGTAAATTTGAGGCAGTCTTTATCAGTCTTTTTATATTGACCCACATTTCTTACATATTTAAAATAATGGTTGGCTTTTACTGAATTCTTTTGCTAGGAATTGCACACTTTTTGTCCTTTAACCTTGACAGCAACCCCATGAGATGGTATTAATGTCACACGCACCTTACTGTTAAAGACACTGAGCCTTAGACACTTGCCAAAGTCAGGCAGCTCAGAGCATGACACAGTTGGGATTCAGGCCTAGGCAGTGAACTCCCAACAATATGCCTTAACCACGGCAGCAAGCAGGCCGTTTTGAGTTCCACTGGCGTCACAGAGTAGTAAAGCATAACACAGTATGGCATCCTCCCTTATCCACGGTCAACTGCAGTCTGAAAATATTAAATGCAAAATTCCAGAAACAAACAGTTCATAAGTTTTAAATTGCATGTCATTCTGAGTAGCATGATGAAATCTCTCGCGGTCCCGCTCGGTCCAGCCTAAGATGTGAGTCATCCCTTTGTCCAGTGTATCCACGTTATATACACTACTTGCCCAGGAGTCGCGTAGTAGTTGTCTCAGTTATACTTAGTAGTTGTCTCAGTTATAAGACTGAAAAGACATAATGTGTATAGGGTTCAGTACTACCTGAGATCTCAGGCATCCACTGCGGTCTTGAAATGTATCCCCCCAAGGATAAAGAGGGACTACTGTAGTCTATCACATAGATGTTTCATCTCACTAAACCACTGTGGCATTTAAAATAATTTAGGTTGTTTACTATGTCCTAATTATAAACATTGCCACAGCAAACACGTTCATTCACCTGGCAGAGATCCTGGAATGTATGCAGTACAATGCATAATTTCTAATTAATTAACATTTGGATGCATGAACAAAAGCGTTTCATTCTTTTGAACTATTTCCTTAGGACAAATTCCCAAGTGTAGAATTACTGGGTCAAGAGGTTTGAACATTTTTATAACTTGATGGCATGCAAATTGCTTTCCAAAAATATTTTCCCAAATTACCCTGCCTCCAGCAAAGCAAGTGTGGGCCAGCTCCACCCCAGCTCTGTCTGCGTGGAGAAACTTTGCTCCACAGTTTCCCCGCACCGGCAGTGTGAGAAGACAAATTTACAAATCAGGACAACCACTGCCTATCCATTCTCCCACCAGGCTTCCATACCCTGGAGGTTCAGAAGACAGGCCGTGGCTTCTGTCCTGTCCTGCGTGACTTTCCCTCTGCCATAATCAGGGCTCTGCTGCACCCAGCACTTCAATCCCTAGGACATCCGTTTGCAAAGTCACTTGACTCTCCCCATGATTCTCTCTCTCACGTTGGTCCCCTCCATCCCACCTCGAGTTCCTGTGGATTCCACCTGTATAGAGCTGTACCAGGCTCTTGACCCTCATGTTCTTTTCCGCTCCTACCCACTACCCAGCGTAGGCCAGCCTCCTCTCTCACCTGTAACCGCTACAGTCTCTTCTCTCTATCATGTTCGAAACCCTCCTGCTGCTTGCCTTTCTAAAGCATCATTCTGCTTGAGCGCCTTTCTCTTGGTTTTCAGTACTCATCTGCTTCTCTCCCAACTGCCACAGTGATGGTTTTCAAATAGACATTTAAAGCCCTGGCAGTTCATCAGGGACTCCTCTTTCATCACATCAGGTGTTGGGAGGTGAGAGTGTGGAATCTAGAAGGAGCTGAATAGGTGGCCTCTGTATTCCCCACTACCACCAAATCTGCTTGGCTGTTGTTCGTTTCACTTATTGCATTGCGGTGAGACTGTGATTAGATACTTCTGTGGCTAAAGTTTGAGAATCAAGGCTGGCATTCCTCAAGGCTTGGCACCCACCTGCTTTCCTGGCCTGATGTCCTGCCATGCCCCAAGAAGCAACTCACACTGACGTTTCCAAAACGTAATGCTCTGCAGTCTCCATGTCCTTGAACAGTCTCCTCCCTGTCCAGTCTGCTCTCCCCCTTCCCTGGCTGCACCAGGAGGACAAAGAGGACAAAATTCTTTTTCTCCTCCTTGGCCCCTCTCAAATATCATCATATCTGCCATGCCTTCCTGACATCCAGATGGAGGGACTACATCCTACTCTGTGCACCGTATTGTTTCTTGAATATCCCAATCCTTCCCGCACTCTGTGATCATGATTTGTATGTACCTGTGTCATCTGCATGATTGTAAGCTCCCTGCTACTGAGAATAGGAGGAAAGGCTGTTTTCATCCCCAATGTCTAGTGTAACCCCTGGCAAAAGGTAGACAGTCAACAAATTTTGCTGAAGGATTTAATGAATCAATTTGTCTTTAAGCAAGTATTTCACATGACTAATGGTTATTCGGCATTTCTTTAGTTTAAACACTAATAGGAATCTCCTTGATATATGAATTCAGCTTCCCACTAGCATGCATTGAGTGCCCTGCCATGTGCCAGCACCAGGTTCCATGGAATGGGTTGTACAGACAAGGGACATGGAAGACCTTGTTCCTGCTTTTAATGAGTTTGCCAACAAGTTATGAAAATAACATAACAGATGGACTGTCTGCCTTTGAGGGGTCACACAAAACATGGTGAGAAACAATTAGAAAATTTCAATAACCATATGGAATTAGGTTTCTATTTGTCTGTAAAAGGAGCTGGACAGATCTTTTCACCAAATTGATAGGACATGATTGAAATATTCCGACTTAAAACAGACCAGATAGCATCAGGAAAATTCTCTTTTGAGAGGTCCAGAGAGGGGCCCTTCAATGAGAGAGGCAGATGTCTCTTGGAACAGTTGAAACTCAGGCTCCAGAGGTCCACTGGACTTGATGGGGAAAGATAGCACAAACACAATGTAAGGATGTGCACAGAGAAGTCAAAGCTTTCAAATTCAAGCTCCATTTCTGAGGTCTTATAGGAGATGCTCCACCTTGCAGATGATTTGGGGCCAAGCTCCTTCTTGCACCTTAATATATGTCTAGTTCTCTAGCTTTTCTCCTCATCCCAGTCTATCAGCCTTGTCCTGCCTTCATCCTCTATTTCTCTCATGCCTCAAATGCAGCCCTTTCAATATTAATCTGACCCATACTTTTTTCTTCAACATCCCCGCCCTGCTGCTTCCTACTACCCTTTGCGTGTCTTCATCAGGCCACTGAGAACTACAAAAGACCATGCACAACCATATTGTGGAAATTTATCCTTCCAATCTCTGCAAGACACTGGTTCCAAATTTTTGCCACTCCTGTTGAGCTCCCCACCCATTCCCTCCCTTCTCTGTCTCAACAGGTGATCTTGGCTCCTCTTTCCTTCCATTATCAAATGGAGGGTTACGAGTGAACTCCCTCATCTCCAGTCCCTGCCTTTCCCATCCTTTCTCCTCTGTGTTCCTGTCTTCTCCCAGAGGAAGAAAAGGGCCCTACCTTTCATCTAGGATGATGCCTTCTTGAACTGTGGGTTCCATTCCTTCCATCTCTTCCAGTACTTACTGTTTCTCTTTGTATGTTGAAATTTTCTCTTTCAATTGAAAGATCCCACGTGGGTCTAAGTCTTTGCCATTTATGAAAGAATAATCTCCCACCTCAGTTCTCATGCAAATGACCAACATTTGCCTTCCTTCTCTTTACCATATACTTGTAATAAAAATGTCTACTTCTAGAGAGATGTCTGCCCCACTTCCTCACTTATCACTCACTACTCAGCCTCTCAACCCATCACAATCTGGTTTCATTAGCCTGCACTTCTTCACTAAATCTGCTCACTAAGATTTCTAGTGCTCTCCTAATGTTCATTCCACACCCTACTTACTGATCTTCTCTGAAGACTGATGTTGTTAATTCTCCTTCCTCTTCAATACTTTCTCCCTACATTGCAATAAATCCAATCATTCCTGTTCTATGCTCATGTCACTGATGACTCCTTTCAAGTGTCTTTGACTGTGCTCCATCTTCCACCTGCTCGTTTGGTGCATCATTTCCTGGGATTCCAACTCAGGCTTCTTTTCTTCTCACTCTAGTATTCTCCTTAGGAAAGTGCATATGATTCCACACATTTAGATATCACCTATAAACTTATAACTTATTAATCTGCATATCTGGTCCAGATCTCTCTCTCTATATATATATATATGTATGTATGTATATGTGTGTATATATATGTGTATATATGTGTGTGTATATATATACACACACATATGTGTATATATGGATATATGTGTATATATGGATATATGTGTGTGTACATATGGATTGATAGATATAATTTATGAAAGAATAATCCCCCACCTCAGCTCTCATGCAAATGACCAACATTTGCTTTTCTCTCTTTAGTATTATACTCATAAAAAAAGTGTTTTATTTTATCATTGTATATGTAGTTATATCATATCTATTTCCATCTTTTCTCTCTCTCTCTCTCTCTCTCTCTTTCTCCTCTATTCCCATAAGTTCAATGTCTAATGGCAATTCTCCCAGTATCTTCTCTAATCTCACTATCATCCCATCCCTAAATCACTGCTTCTCCTGTAGCCTTCCTCAAAGGCAATAGCTTCATTCCATCATCAAGTGCCAGGTACTCTCCTAGGCACTGAAAATACAAAGCCATTAATACAAGGTACCTGCACTTAACTAACCCAATTAGCAAAATTGTGAGCATTAGAATTATCCGCAACACTCTTCACTCTCCCCAAATAGGTTGGCACATTCTTTTTTTTTTTTTTTTTTTTTTGAGATGGAGTCTTGCTTTGTCATCCAGGCTAGGGTGCAGTGGCGCAATCTTGGCTCACTGAAACTTCCTTCTCCCGGGTTCAAGAGATTCTCCTGCCTAAGCCTCCCGAGTAGCTGGGACTACAGGCACGTGCCACCACACCTGGATGATATTTTGTATTTTTAGTAGAGACGGGGTTTCTCCGTGTTAGCCAGGAAGGTCTCGATCTCCTGACCTCGTGATCTGCCCACCTTGGCCTCTCAAAGTGCTGGATTACAGGCATGAGCCACCGCGCCCGGCCTAGGTTGGTACATTCCAAATATGCTTTAAACAAGCTCCCTATTCCCACTGCTGCTGCCTATATCGTTATAATGGTTTCTTTTGCAACTCTGTTTCTTGCAAATTCCTTCCACCAGAATTCACAAAGTCATTCAACAAATGTAGGCTGAGCATTTGCTGTGGGCCAGGCTCTTTGATAGTTAGAGAGTATGAAAGGAAGAATGAAAAATGGTTTTTGCTTTTAAAAAATTCTCAAGAGAATGCCCTTCCTCCTACTCTCCACCTGGAAACCCAGTCTTCTGAATTTGGATGTCTTCTCAGAGAAAACTGGTCACTCTTTCCTCTACTCATAGAGCTCCCTGTGTGTTCCTCGATGTTATCACTGTCATGTAATTTTATGATGATTCACTTAAACATCCCTCTCTTCCACTGGACTGTGGACCCCTCAAAGGCAGACAGTCCATCTGGCTCAGCATCTGTTTTCAGAACCTGGTATGTGATGGACCTCAGAGAGCTGTCACTACCTGCTGCCTCCCATTCCTCCCATTCTCTGCCCCTTTTCTCTACTCAGTACTTCCCCAAACCTATTCTTGTCAAGGAGACCAATGGCCTTTACATTTTAAAATCTGAGATGAAATTCTCTGTCTTCATCTTAACTACTCTATCAGCAGCAAGTGATACAGCAAGCCACCTCCTTCTTCTTGGGACACTTTCTCATGTGGCTTTTGGCACACCAGTCCCTCTTGGTTCTCCGTGTGTCTCATCAGATGCTTTTAGCCTCCTCTGAGGATTCTTCCTGTCCTTGCTGTCCTCTACATGTTGGAGGGTCCCAGGGCCTCCCTCCCTCATCTGCACACTTTCTCAGAGTCTCACCACTTTAAATATCACCCATATGATGAAGACTTTGAACTTGACATCTGCAGCCTAGAAATCCGTCAAAGCTATTCTCTCAACAAGAACCAACCACTGGATGCTCTGGAGACATCAGGACCAACAGTGTCACTTCTTACATGAGAGAAAAATCATCTTTGTTTTTTTTTAGCTTGGCTAAGTCAGGTTTTGTCACTCTTAATCTCAGATCACATGAGGAGTTTGGAATCAGAAACATCCCTGGAACTCCAAAGACCTGGTCCTGAGTTATACCAGTGTCTGACCTCTGGGTCCTAATTGTCACCCCTTTGGCCATTAGCAGAGCATTTCCATCTTAATAGGTATAAATTTTCATGAATTTATTATAATAATTATAAGTAATATAATTACCATAATGTAATTATAATATATGTAATATGATAATTATAACTATTAACCAATGTAATTAATGACATTAATTTTATGCTGAGAACTGACCCCAGATACTTTCACATGTGCTATCTCATTTAGTCCTCATGAGAACTCTACAAAGTAAATATTATTGTTCCATTTTACAGATGAGAAAACTGAGATTTGAGTCAGGAATTTTTCCGAGGTCATATTTACCCTGTGATTCTATATTCAGTGCTTTATTTCCCTTTAGAGTTTAAAGCTAATGGAATAAAAGTTCAGAGATCATAAAGTCTCAAGGGAGTTCCTCTAATGCCAGACCATGCCAGCCCATGCCAGCCCCACCTCCCCTCATACCATGTTCGCCTTGTCTCCAGTCCTCAGACCTAAAATTTTGGACCCCATCCTGAACAACCACAGAAGGGTGAGGCCTCACTACCACACTAGTAACTGCCCTAGCTCTCCCCACAATCCATCTCCACCCCTTAACCCTCAACCCCTTCCTTAGATTTGCTGGAAAACTCCAGGAAACTGGGTTGCTTTGGGGAAGTGGAAATAGAAAGAGCAACTGTCACCTCCCTCCCTACCTTGGTCCTCCTTTGTCATCACTGAAACACTCCTAAGATCAGGACAAGAGCCCCTCCCCACCCTGCCTCTAGCCCAGCCCAGGCCTCAGGGAGAGCTCCCCACCCCCATACACACTGTGCCTGCCCGCTCAGCACTGATACCTCCTTCCCAGGGTATCAGTTCCAGAAGCGCTCCCCACCCCTGACAGGAGAGGGTAGAGGCTCTGGGAAACGAGTCTTCTAGTGGAAGAAGTGAACTACAAAATAAAAAAGAAATACCTTTCTTTCGGAGCTTGGGGGTTTTCCTCCTGAAATCCCAGCAAACAAGCAGTGCCAGGGCAGGAAAGCCACAGCCCAGTTCCCACCGCGGCATCCTGGGGATGTGAGGCATGGCAGGGCCGAAGACTCACGCCTCCGATGAGCCAGCCTCAGGCCTTCCCTCCTCCCCAGACTGGAAGAACCCTCTTCTCTCACTTCCAGATCAGCACATGCTTGCAAATACTGCTCAGGTTCTGACTCCAAAAAGGAAACCATGGGATCTGTCTGCACCTGCCCCAGCCCTCCCGGCCCTTCTTCCCCCAGCACTTCCCCTCGCCACTCACCTTTACACACAGGACTCTCCAGCTTTTAAACAGTGAACATAAAGCTGTCAAGGACCGCAATAAAAATAAGTGCCTCCTTTTACTTAGCAGCTAATTGTCAACTGCCGTTCAGGGGATACCTCCCAGGTGGGTTAAAAAAAATCCCACGCGGGAACCCTTACCAGCATTGTTCTATATATCAATGTGTCTGGCAGAAACACAGAATTTCACTTAGCGTTTATGAAGCCAGCCCACCATTCCCTGGAAATGCTTTCAGAGTTGCACATGGCTCCATGGGGGCCTTCAGAGATAATGATCTTGAAGGCAGTTTGTTGGGTAGACTGAGATGATTTTGTCCTCCTGATGAGCAGATACAGTAAATAGTGCAGCAACCCTATCAGACATACCCAGGAGATGGCAAACAGGCTCTCAGCATTACAGAGAGACAGGCAAGGTTGTCAGGAAGGGCCCCGGGGCTGTCTCATGCTGCCAACCCAGTGTTTATTCTCCATTCATTAATAGGCCAGGAATCACGGACTCATCTGACTCCACATTCTCTCTGCATATCAAATTCACTCCCACCCCCTGGCAATGTTGCCTCCAAAACATTGTGCAAACCTGTTTGCTTTTCTGCATCTCCACTGCCACCACCCGTGTCCAACCCACCATCTGTCCTTTCTGCCTGGACAATGGCTTGAGTTTCATATCTGGTCTCCTGCTTTCATTCTGATCTGCCACCTCCAGCCCAATCCATTTTCCACACAGCAAGTAGAATGATCTTTTAAATAGAATCTGATTTTTTTCACCTTTTTCCTTGAAATCCCCAATGACTACCTATTGCTGTTAGGATGAAGACCAACATCCTTAACAAAGCTATCTCCCCTTTTATTACCCTCCCCTCACTCCAGAGCCTGTTCTTCTTTCTGTCACAGGACCTTTGCACATGCTATTCCCTGTGACTAAGACACCATTCTGCTTCCCCCTTTTCTGTCTAGTTAGCTTCTGCTGGCCTTCCAGAGTTAAGCTTAATCATCACTATTTCAAGGAAGCCTTCCTTGACCTACTTGACAAAGATATTTTTTCCTCATATAGTGTCATGTGTTTTTCCCACATGGCTCTTTTCACAGTTGTAACTATGTTTTCCCTTGGCTCTTTAAAAGTAATTGCTGTGTCTTCTCCTAGCTTGTGAGCTCTTTGAGAGAAAAGACTTTGGCTTTTTTTTTTTCTCTCTCCTCTTTCTCTCTCTTTCTCACTGTTGTGCCCCAGTGTTAGCATAGAACTGGGCACATAGCACATATTAAAGAAAGAGTTGTTGACCAAATGAATAAATAAGTATCTGTCTGTTGTTAGGAGCTGAGGGCAGGAGAGATGAGGGAATTCATGGAAATAAGTAAATATCATCTATTTTAATATCAAATGTAGCTGGTGAGAAAGACCAGAACACATGGAATAACAATGATTGCACACCCCTCCAGGCTAAATTGTGCTGTGGATTAGGAAATCATGCTCATAAGGGTGCAGAGAACTTAAAAGAATGAAAGGAGAAAAGAAATCCAAGGTATATAACAATTCAATATTTACATACAGTATGCTTCCTGTTGGCAAACACACAATGATGCTTAAAACACAAGATCTTTTTTTTCAAGATGGCTGACTACAAGCATTTCCAGTAATCTCATCCGCTTAGAGAAACCAAGCAAGTGTGCAGACAACTGCACTTTAAATGCAGTGTTCAAGAAAGAACTTGGGAGTTCAACAAAAAAGTGAGAGGAAGCTTTGAAATCCAGGAAGAAAGAAAACAGGAAAGCTGTGTGGCTGAGGCCAGCTGGGAAAGGGGAGCGAATCCCCCAAATGGGAGAGGGTGAGTGAGTGCCTTTCTGCTGTCCACTTTCCCACTGGGGAATTATACAATCCAGGCCGTAGGAGAGCACCTTGACTCTCCCACACCACGAATCTTAACCTGGGGAGTGGCAAGAAGACTATGATATGGAACTGCTCCAGGGAATGTCCTACACCCTTTTTGAAACCTGGCTGGCTGCTGTGGGACAACATTCTGGATCGGAGCTCTTACAGGCTGTGCATGGGAGAACTTGGGTGGTGCTTGCAGGACTGGGGCTTGAGCGGGGGATGAACCCTTGCGGCCCGTTCTGAGAAGCAAGTGTGGAGTGGGCTCCAGCCACTGGCATTGCAACCAGGCACACCACCATCCCAGGTCCTAAGCAAGAGGAGAGTTGTTGTGGAGGCTTGGCCTTAAGCTGAATGGCATCTCCTATGGCCTAGGACTGAGTTGTGGACTAGGTGCAGCCTGCCAGGACTGACTGGGTGGCCAAGTTGGCTGCCATAGCCAGGATGGAGGAGGGAACTTTGCTGGGACTGGGGTGTGAGACGAAAGCAAGTCTCATTCCTGTGGGCCAAAGCAGTGGCCACTGGGACAGCCCTATCCTCCCTATCCTAAGACTTCAGGACAGCAAAGGTTGCCCCTCACCAAGCATTTCACAAGCGGCCTAAGGACTTCCTCTACCCCCTAATCAAGGCTGGTGCATGCATATGCCATTGGAGGGCCTGAATACAAGCTTGCTTGGTCCAGCTCTGCCCAACTTTGCCCCCTACTCCAAGACAGAGTGTGGGATCCAGGCTCCTGGGTGTTCCACAACCCAACTACCACCTGGGTTACCCAAATACCTCTTCTGGGGAACAGAGGTCGGGCATAAATCTCCATGCTACCCCCACCGCTCGTTGTTACCTGCAAGCACCATCTACTAGCCTGGAGGCTGGCCCACACAGCCCATTGAAACTTGAAACAACGGCTAACACAAAAGCACTGTGCTTGAGAACTAGAAGAACATTTCATGACCACCTTTATACCCACTGCCCCCACCATCCTCGCTGCCCAAAAGGTCAAAAGCCCACTCACCTGCCCAGTACACCACTACTACAATCAGCATCCAAAAAAGCCCCCCACAGGCCCAAGAATCGACTTGCCTGGAACTGCCAGTACAGGTGCCAGCATATGCTGCCTGAGGTCTCAAGGAGAAACACACTTGGCCCACCACTGCTACCACTGAAACCTGAAAAAGTAACCAATAACTGCACCCTAACACACTAAGGAATCCATAGATACCACTAAGGCTATTTATGACCAAGGAAATCATACAGCATCTTCACCACTGCACACACTAAGAAGCAAAGTCAAATGGCCCTACCCAACCAACATCATAGTCACATCTTCAAGAAAAAATGTCCCCACCCCATAATGAATGTAAATTCAAAAATAAGAGGAAGTGACTATTGCTTCAGATGTGCAGAAATCAATGTAACAATACAGGAAGCACGAAAAAGCAATGTAATATGACACCCTCAAAGGAAAACAATAATTCTCTAGCAATAGCTCCTAACCAAAAAAACTCCTCAAAATCCCAGATAAAGAATCCAAAATATTGATTTTAAGGAAGCCTAATTAGATGCAAGAGAAATCTAAAATCAATACAAAGAAATAAGAAAATCAGTTCAGGATATGAATGATAAATTTACCAAGAAGATAGATATCTTTTTAAAAATCCAAACAGGAATTCTAGAACAAAATACATTTATTGGAGGAATTACAGAAAACATTCAAAAGCTGCAACAGCAGACTAGACCAAGCAAAAGGCAGAATTTCAGAACCTGAATACAAGTATTTTGAAATAATCCAGCCAGGCAAAAATAAAGAAAAAAGAATAAAAAGGAATGAACAAAGTGAGTCATTTGGAACTATATAAATGAACTGATATAACAATTCTAAATACATATGCACTCAACACGGAGCATCCAGATTCATGAAACAAATATTACTGACCTAAAACTAAAAAAGAGATTGACAGCAACACAGTAATAGTGGGAACTCAACACCCCATTCTCAGCATTACCCAGATCATCTAGACAGAAAATAAATTTAAAAGTCTTAAATTAGACTTTATACCAAATGGGATGAATAGACTTTTACAGAACATTCTATATAACAATTGCAAAATACACATTCTTCTCAACAACACAGGGAACAGTCTCCAAGACAGGCCATATGTCAGGCCACAAAACAAGTCCCAAAAAATTTTTAAAAACTGAAATCATATCAAGTATCTTCTCAGACCACAGTGGAATAAAACTAGAAATCAATACCAAGAGGAACTTCAAAAACTACACAAATACATGGAAACTAAATAACATGCTACCGAATGATCATTGGGTCAATGAAGAAATTAAGATAGAAATCTAAAAATTTTTTAAACAAATGAAAATACAAAAACATACCAAAACTTGTAGGCTACTGCAAAAGCAGTGCAAAGAGGGATGTTAATAGCATTAAATGCCTACATCAAAAAGTAGAAAGAGTACAAATTAACAACCTAACTTCAAACCTCAAGAAACTAGAAAAGCAAGAACAGACCAAACTCAAAATAAGCAGAAGAAAAGAAATAACAAAGGTCAGAGCAGAACTAAATGAAACAGAAACCAAAGAAACAATACAAGGGATCAACAAAATGAAAAGTTGGCTTTTCAAAAAGATAAACAAAATTGTTAGACTTCTAGCTAGACTAACCAAGAAAAAAAGAGATCCAAACAAACAAATCAGAAATGAAAAAGGAGACATTACAACTAATACCATCGAAATACAAAAGATCATCAGAGATTATTATTAACAACTAGATGCCCACAAACTAGAAAACCTAGAGGAAATGGATAAATTCCTAGAAACATATACCTCCCAAGACTGAAGCAGAAAGAAATAGAAAGTCTGAAGAGACCAACAGTGAGTAGTGAGATTGAATCAGTAACAATAAATCTTCCAAAAAAGAAAAACCCAGGACCAGATGGATTTACAGTTGAATTGTACCAAACATACAAAGAAGTTCTAATACCAACCCTCCTGAAACTGTTCCAAAAAACTGAGAAGGAGAGAATTCTCCCTAACTCACTCTGCAGGGTCAGTATCACCGTGATACCAAAACCAGACAAGGACATAACAACAACAAAAAAGAAAACTACAGACCAATATCCCTGATGAATATAGACTCAAAAATCCTCAACAAAATACTAACAAACCAAATCCAACAGCACATCAAAAAGATAACACACCATGATCAAATAAGTTTTATATCAGGAATGTAAGGATGATTCAATATACACAAATCAATAAATGTGATACATCACACAAACAGAATTAAGGCAAAAGCCATATGATCATCTCAACAGACACAGAAAAAGCATATGATAAAATTCAGCATCTGTTCATAATAAAAATTCTCAACAAACTAGGCATAGGAGGAACGTGCCTCAAAATAATATAGGTCATATGCAACAAATGCACAGCCAACATCATACTGAATGGGAGAAAGTCAAAAGTATTCCCTCTAAGAACTGGAACAAAACAGGGATGCCAACTTTCACCATTCCTACTCAATAGAGTACTGGAAGTCCTACCCAGAGTAATCAGGCAAGAGAAAGGAATAAGTGGTATCCAAATTGGAAAAGAGGAGGTCAAATTATCCCTATTCGCTGATGATGTGATCTTATATCTAGAAAAACCTAAAGACTCCACCAAAAAACTCTTAGATCTGATAAATGCTTTCAGTAAAGTTTCAGGATATAAAATCAACATACAAAAATCAGTAGCATTTCTATACACCAGTAACGATCTAGCTGAAAACAAAATCAAGAAGGCATTCTGATTTACAATAGCTATAGAAAATAAAATACCTAGGAATATATTTAACCAAGGAGATGAAAGATCTCTGCAAGGAAAACTACAGAATCACTGACAAAAGAAATTGTAAATGACACAAATAAAAAAAATCCCATGCTCATGCATTGGGAAAATCATTATCATTAAAATAATCATACTACCCAAAGCAATCTACAGATTCAATGCAATTTCTATCAAAATACCAACGTCATTTCTTCACAGAACTAGAAAAAAAACCTAAAATTTATATTTAACCAAAAAAGGGCTCAAATAGCCAAAGAAACCCTAAGCAAAAAGAACAAGGCTGGAGGCATCATATTACTTGACTTCAAATTATACTACAAGGCTATGGTAACCAAAACAGCATGTCACTGGTATAAAAACAGACACACAGATCAATGGAACAGAATAGAGAACCCAGCAATAAAGCCACATATTTATAGTCAACTGATCTTTGACAAAGTCTATAAGAACATACCCTGGAGAAAAGACACCCTTTTCAATAAGTGGTTCTGGGAAAATCTGATTGCCAAATGCTGAAGAATGAAACTGGAGCCCTATCTCTCACCATATACAAAAATCAAGATGATTAAAAACTTAAATGTAAGATCTGAAACTGTAAAACCTAGAGTAAAGCTAGAATAAAATCAAGGGAAAACTCTTCTGGACATTGGTCTAGGCAAAGAATTCATGACTAAGGCCTCAAAAGCACAGGCCGCAAAAATAAAAATAAACAAATAGGACTTAATTAAGCTAAAAAGCTTCTGTACAGCAAAAGAATCAACAGAGTGAACAGACAACCTACTAAATGGGAGAAAATAGCTGCAAACTATGCATATGATAAAAGACTAATATCCAGAATCTACAAGGAGCTCAAATAACTCAACAACAATAAACAAAATAACCCCATTAAAAAGTGGGTAAAGGACATGAGCAGACAATTTGCGAAAGAAGACATACAAATGACAAACATGCATATGAAAAAAATCCTCAACATTAATAATCATCAGAGAAATGCAAATAAAAACCACAATGAGATCGCACCTTACGCCACTCTGAATGGCAATTACCAAAAAGTAAAAAAATAACAGATGTCGGTCAAGATGCAGAGAAAAGAAAACACATACACTGTTGGTGGGAATGCAAATTAGCTCAACCTCTATGGAAAACAGTATGGAGATTTCTCAGAAAACTAAAAATAAAACTATCATTTGATCCAGCAATCCCACTACTGGGTATACACCAAAAGGAAAGGAAATCATTATAACAAAAAGATACCTGCACTTGAATGTTTCTCACATGATTATTACAATGGCAAAGATATGGAATCAACCTAACTGTCCATCAACAGATGATCGGATGAAGAAAATATGGTATAAATACACAATGGTATACTTACTGTTCAGCCAAAGAATAGTAAATATGACATTTCAAAGAATGAAATCATGTCTTTTGCAGCAACATCGATAGAACTAGAAGCCATTTTTAAGTGAAACAAGGCAGACACAGAAAGATATCACATGTTCTGACTTATAAGTGGGAGCTAAGTAACGTGTACACACAGACATAGAGTATGGAATTATGGACAACAGAAACTCAGAAGGATGAGGGGATGGAAGGCGGTGTATGATGAGAAATCACTTAATAGGTACAATATGTGTTATCTGGATGATGGGTACCCTAAAAGACCTGGCCACTACTACATAATCTATGCATGTAACAAATTTGCACCTGTACTCCATAAATTTATACTAATAATAATAATTTCAAAAACATAGGACCTGTTTCAGGACTTTAAAACTGGGTTGGGTAAAGGAGAACAATGTAATGCATTGTTTCCTCACTCAGCAATAGCCTGAGCAAAACTTCAGATGGCTCATCTCTGGAGGAAGAGGACAAAAGCAGGTCTGGACAGAGTGTGATGATTTGCAATTTGGACTGCTTGCTCCCTGGAGACGGGACAGGGACCAGGTTTCAGTGTGGAGATCCAGAGAAGGCATGCCTGCCTTACTAAAAGGAAGGAGTAGTTTAGAGGAAATGGGCAGGAGTAAGCTGAGAATGAGTTGTCAGAAGTCACAAGCCCTTAGAGAAGGGTGGCAAGAAATTAGCCCACTGATAAGAAAAAGGCTGAAACACCAATGTGCTGCCCTCTAAAGTGAGAGGAACACTCAGAGCCAGCTACAGGCAGGAGGAGCCCTGAGGAAGAAGTTGGGAATGCCGTGAAGACTATGTGGGCCATCTCTCCAGTCAAGGGAGAAAAGGAGCCCAAAAGGGGACGGCAAGCCAGAAGAGGCATCGGCTCTGCACAATTGTCACCAGAGTAACTTCTAAAATTTAAAATTGGGATTCATTCCCTAGGGTGTACAGACGGGCTACAGGTGTCTGAAAATGTTTTGCTGTCAGAAGCAAAATTGTTTGTGTCTAGGTATTTTTCTGGGGAGAGTCTCTATAGCTTTCATCAGATTCTCCAAGGGAGGTCTTTGCACCATAAAGAGCTCCACCGAGACTCACCACCGACATACTTGGAGGAAGATATTATAATTATAGAGGACACAACCCATTTACTGAATAATCTCTCAGATAAGCTGATCATCATCTAACAGAGAAGAGCCTACTGAGGGAGCTGAACATAGTGCTGCTATGGGAAAATGACTTGATTCTTTCACCCATTCGATTAATAAATCTTTATTGAGCACTGTTTAGATTCTAGGATATGGTACTGCACAAAAAAGAGAAAAACAATTCCTGCCAAGTAGATTGAAGCTTTCATTCCAGTGAGGGGAGTCTAGCTAGGAACAAAACAAATGAGTGAAATATTTAGCATGTTAGAAGAGGTTATGTGCCAAGGAGCAAAGCGAGGCAGAACTGAGGGGTAAGGAAGGGGTCCAACGTTAAACAGAATCATAGAGGAAGGCCTACTAAGGTGATGTTTGATCAAAGACCTGAAGACGGTAAGGGACCAAGCCATGCAGCTACCTGGGGAAAGAGGATTCCCAGCGAAGGAAACAGCAAGTGCAAGGGCCTGGAGGCAGGAACACGGGTAGGATGTTTGAGGAGGCTGGTGAAGCTAGAGTGAAATGAGCACGGGAGAAGGTCAGAAGGGAAATGCGGGAGGGGAGGCGGTGGGCAGACTGTGCACTGTAAGATCATTATAAAGCCTTGACTTTTACTCTGAGTGAGAAAGGAAGCTATCAGAGAATGTTGAGCTGAGAAGAATCTTGATAAGACAGGTTTAACAGGCTCACTCTGGCCGCTCTGTCGAAAACAGACTGTAAGAAGGCAGGGGTGAACGTGTGGAGATGAGTTTCAAGGTTAGTGCTGTAATTTGACAAGAAAGGATTCCATCTCCTTTGGGGTGGTAGTAGTGAAGGTGGTGGGAAGGGGGCAGGCTCTGGTTGGAAAAAGAAAGTTTCACAAAGGGCTAGAAAGAGGTGGCAGCCACATGTCTCAGTGACTTCACAATATTTGGGAGGCATGTCTTTCCCATCTAGTCAACCCACGTTAGAGATTCTTTCCAAGTGGTAATGTGCTGTGGCAAAAGAGCCCTGGCCCTGCCCCTCACCTCCTGGGCCCACGGGACACGTCATTTGTCCCTTTAAGGCCAACATTCCCTAACTTACAAATAGGAAGAACAAATGTCTGATTTGTCCAGTGGCCTCAAATGAGACTCTATACTGTCTTAAAAATGCCCTCACATTCCGGGATCTATGATTTTGGTTAGTAACTTTAAACGTGGCTGGGCACGGTGGCTCATGCCTGTAATCCCAGCACTTTGGGAAGCCGAGGTGGTGGATCACCTAAGGTCAGGAGTTCGAGACCAGCCTGGCCAAAACAAGGTGAAACCCTGTCTTTACTAAATATACAAAAATTAGCTGGGTGTGGTGGCACATGCCTGTAATCCCAGCTGTTCAGAAGGCTGAGGTAGGAGAATCGCTCAAACCCTGGAAGCGGAGGTTGCAGTGAGCCGAGATCATGCCAGTGCACTCCAGTCTGGGAGACAGAGTGAGACTCCATCTCAAAATAATAATAATAATAATAATCTGAGATGCTGTATCAGAGGCAACACTGTTCTTTGAATAAATAAGTGCTGTTGCACTCTGATTTCCCCTTCGCTGGACTTTCCACCGCCTACAGGACTCATGCTTGACTTGCTTCTCAGGGTGGTGGTCTCGGGGTGCGGTGAGGGTGAAATCCCCATGTGTATCATGACAGAGTACAGCAGTTCACTACGGCAAGGCTCAGCCAAGCATCACAGTAGCCACAGAACCTAGTGAAAGTACACGGATACCATTTTGACTCAGAGAGCAGGTGCATGATTAGGCAACATCCACTACCCTTGTCTATGCAGATAGCTTAAAGCACTGGACTGGAGAAAACAGAAAAGGGTGGCTCACAATCTCATAATCCAGCGCAATAAGGATGGTCACAGCTAAGATTTTCCAGCATGTGGCCTAATTATGTACCTGCAGGTCATGTGCTCCCAGAGAAACAGACAGGATAAAATCAATGCTAATGTCCCCTTTCTTGGTCCCAGACTCTTATAAAACCTCTTGGCAGTTCCTGCTCTTGGTTGCTTTGAGAAGCTAATGTATCTAACCAGCAAATCTTTCTTGGTTGTTTAACATCATTGGATACAATTTCTATTTGTAACCAAATAAATGCTGAAATGTATCAATTAAGATTCCAGGCCGGGCACGGTGGCTCACGCCTGTAATCCCAGCACTTTGGGAGGCCGAGGCGGGTGGATCACGAGGCCAGGAGATCGAGACCATCCTGGCCAACATGGTGAAACCCCGTCTCTACTAAAAAAAATACAAAAAAAGATTAGCCAGGCATGGTGGCAGGCGCCTGTAGTCCCAGCTACTCAGGAGGCTGAGACAGGAGAATGGTGTGAACCTGGGAGGTGGAGCTTGCAGTGAGCCGAGATCACGCCACTGCACTCCATCCTGGGCGACAGACCAAGACTCCGTCTCGGAAAAAAAAAAAAGAAAAAGATTCCATAGCAACTTGGGGAAAATGCTTAAGCCATTCTGAAAAAAGTGTGTAGATGTAAACAGTAGATGAAAGATAAACATAAAATGCCTCTGGTGGAATATTTTTTCTTTACTTTCCACAAAATTATTGTGATATTCTTGAAATTTCTGAAGGAAGCTGTAGGCCAATGAAATAAATATTTAATATTCAAACTACGAAAGCCTCCCTAAATAATTTCCAAAATAACAGGCCACACAGTCAATACATAACTATATATTTAAGGTTATCTGGAGTTGACACAAGTAGGCGTGCTCCTAAAAAGTTGAAGGAAAATGTTAACTTGAGAACTCATACCTGTCGGTTTTTTCATATTTTTATAAAGGCAGGGAAACTTACTAGATTCACGTGTTTGTTAATTTCAGATAGTTTTTGCATCCGTTTTCTTTAGTCAGGACCCTCCTCAAATGTGGAAACATCACCAGGATTCCCAGAGAGCTCAAATTCTTGAGTTGTGAAACCCAGAAAAGTGTTGAATGCTGAACTCACTGTACACCTGCAAGACTTCAGACACAATTCCTGAACCTTCCCCAGTCTGATCATCCCTCTTTTGGACAGTAGCTTTATTTTCATGTGCTGACTTATGCAGTCTAACTTATGCTTTCAGCATAGCTGTTGCCATCAGTTCCCAGAACCAGGCAGACTCGTGGTGCTGCATGAGCCAGTGCTGCTGGGTACCCGGGGTCAGCTTATCCAACCCATTCATTTTACAGATGAGAGTACTTTGGCCCAGAGAGGAGAAAGCACTACTTCCAGATATCATACACATTTACTCACTGCAAAAGACTTGCCTTCCCTCCAGTTAATTTGGAGATGGCTCTTTGAGATGACCCAGGTGCCGCAGGGGGTGGGAAGCTAGAAGCTCTGAGCCCACTTTTCCTCCACATTTGACAGAGCACTTGGCCATGGGCATGCAGAGAACTGCTTTCTGGTTGTCTCCCTTGAGCACTGCTCAAGGAGCTATCACATTGGAGCTACTTCCTACTTTCTGAGATGTCATAGGCACCTGCCCAGGAAAGCCTGCAGGGGTCCTTACCTCCACAGGGTGTGCCAGCAACTCTCCTGAGGAATTTAACCCACTCCTCCATCTCCGCCTGAGAGCTGGCCATGAGGACATAGGAGTCCTGTCCCATGCGATTCTGGTCCCATGAGGCTGGAGGAAGAATTAGCACTTGTGAAGGTCTTAGAGTGATAAGAACATGAGAGCAAGGGGAAGAGAAGGGAACCAGACCTAAATTGATGTCTTGGTTCAATGAAGCACTACCAGCCAAACAACACAAATGCATTGTCGAATTATCCTCAGTGGAACTGGATATCCGGGCACTCTTACTGAAGCTCTAACTCAACAGACAAATCATTGAACACAATGGTTTGCAATTGGCATAGCTTGGGCTGAGAGCTGCTTTCATTTAAGAGGACAGAAGTCATTTCCTACCAAAAGGAAAAGGAAGTTCATGGTGCAGTTTCAGCATAGATGAGACAGGGTCAGCCCATAAAAGTTAGAAGACTTTAGATCATCACGCCAACCGTGGATACTTTCCTAAGCTAGTCCTGAGCTCAGTTGTGGGGGTAGGGTAGGAGATGACAACCTCAGGTGGGAGTGACAGTGAATAGATGTGTGCTTTTTTCACAAAATTGGTGCTTGGTGATCATATTTCTGCTCTCCTGGCCACACAACACCTTTCAAATGTAGGTTCTCAATACTCAGTTAATGGATACATGAAACTTGTTAGAACTTTCTTTACCATTTTCACTTCAAACCTAAGATTATAGATAGGTGTAGTGTTTCCTCGGTTGGTGTTCTCAAATGGACCAAAAAGGTGGGAGAAATTGAAGGGAACAGAAAGCAGGGAGAAGGAGACGAAGAGAAAGAATGTGGGAAAGTGAAAAAGGAAGAAAGAAGCAAGAGAGGGAAAAGGAGAGTATCAAACACAGGTCTTGGACCATGCAGTTAGTTAGTATCAGATCTGAGACTTGAACTCTAACTTCATCCGTGGACCTGCTTGCAAATGGAAATCCTCAAAGTTGGTATTTTCTTTAGTTGGTTAAAATAAAAAGGTCTTAGCGGGGACAAGAAAACAATAGTGATCCCTTTCAATTATGGGATATTAAATTTCAAAGTGCCTTCGTAAGCAGCAATCCATTCTTCTCACAATGGCAGGCCATCTCCCTCAGAGAGCTTGTTCTAGCTGAGTAGTTGTGCCTAAACCTGTATTTCCCTGCAGGGCAGGAAAAGACTTTCAAATCCCCTTTGGTTCTGGTCTCTTGGACCTATCTTAATATCACTGAGCCTCACCTTCTTTCACCCTTTGTGATAACCTGATTCTGACTCCATCTTGTCATTAGGTCATCAGCTTTTCTGACCATTAAAGCACTGGGCATTGAGAGTATCCTGAGAACTGGATGTTTTCAGAAGTAAAATGGTAAGTTAAAAATACTCAGGGCAGAACAAAAAGACCCTCTAGGAATTGCAATATCCCTTTGAAATAGAATAAGGAGTTAGTATTATTTCCATTTTATAGATAATAGAACTGAATCCCAGGGATGCAAAAGCACCAGTTCGTCAGTATCCAGTGAGTTGCTGCCAAACACAGGGCAAGTCTGTCGGTGTCCTTCCTCCCATGAAAGATTCCGCTGGCCCATATTGCTCCTAAATTTGACCTTGGACAAAATTTATCTGGTGTCTTTCCCCGCTCCGTCTCCACCATGCCTCAACTCCAGTCTACTATGTTGTTAAAACATGTCTTCTCAGTTTACCCTGATTCCTGGGAGGTCTTTTTGTTCTGTCATGAGCAACCCCACTGGGAAACACGCAGCTCTCAAGATGTTCCTGAATGAAGAGGACTTCCATGGACTAACTCTTCTGGTTAGGAGAGCTGATGACCTGATGACAGGATGATTGAAAATCAGGTTGTCCCAAAGGGTGAAATAATGTGAAGCTTGATGATATTAAGATAGGTCCAAGAGACAAGAACCAAAGGGGGTTTGAAAGGTTTCTGTTGTCCTAAAAAAAAGTAAATATTTGGGCATAATTGGGGTGCTAGAACAGACTTTCATTAACAGGAATTGCCTGACATTAATACAAAGCTCACGAACAGCACCTCTGACCTCAGGCACATAATTTATCTGACTTAAACACAGCCTGTTCAACATGTGTTACCCTTTGGGCTATTTCTCTTGTTGGAAATGGACCTCTCTTCTTTTCTTAATCTGCCTAAAGAACTCCTACCCATTCTTTAAAACCCAACTCAAATGTTACCTTTTCTAGGGACCTTTCTTCCCCCTACTCCAAGTTGAGTGGGGAGTCCTTATTCTATAATCCCTTAATATCTTGTTCTTACCTCTATCACTACAGTAGCTAAATTATCTTGAGCAATAGTTTCCTTACCAGTACAATGGAGATATTATTTAATATGTCCAAAACTGATGCCCTTACCCCCAAACCCCCGAAAAAAAACTTGCTTGCTACATGCACAAATCTCAGCAAATCCATCTTTTCCATTGTTTAGGCCAAAACTTTTGGAGTCAACATCGATTTCTTTTTCCCACATCCAATTCATTAGCAAATGAAGCCCTCCCTACCTTCAAAATGTGATCAGAAACTGCTTACTTCACAGCCCCTTCATCACTGCTATCTCTGACTTGGATTCTTGCAAAAGCCTCCTCACTGATCTCCTTGTTCTGCCCTTGCCCCCACTACTTACTTTTGTTTTCAATTCAAAAGAATTTTAAAACATGAGTTATGTCATGTCACACCTCTGCTCAAAACTTTCCAGTGGCTCCCCATCCTTCTAGCAGAAAAGCTAAAGTTCTCACATTGCCTGCAAGTGCCTATGAAATCTGTGCCCACCCCTGAGAAAATGTCCTATTCTTGTCTCCTGCCATCACTTCACTGTAACCACACTGGCCTCCTTGACCTTCCTTGAACATATGAAATAGGCTCAGAGACTTTGTACTGGCAATTTCCACTTCCTGGAATGCTCTTCCTCCAGCTGTGCTCTTAGCTGACTCCCTCATTGCCTTCAGATCTGTGCCCAAAGGTCACCTTCTTAATAACACAAACTCTGCCGGCTCTGTTCACAATAATCAATCAACCACCTCAGCCAGCACCTTCTCTCTCTTTGGTTTAATTTTCCCCATAATTGCTATCCTATCAGAAAAACTACATAATTTGCCCATATATTTGGTTTGCTGCTAGTCTCTTCCCACGTAACGTGCATGCAGGCTGCTTTGTTCTTTGCCACATTCCCAGTCCTGCAATAGTACTTGGCTCATAGGAGGTGCTCAATGAATTTGTCGTACAAATGAGTAACAACAGATCATAAAGTGGTATGAGAACTAAATGAGATAACATATGCAACAGAAGGAACAACCCCTTCCTGGTGATTCCCTGGGGTAGGAGGAGAATAGAAGAATAGATAGTTATGCTATGAGAGATCAGTAGGGAGAGGGAAGCCTACCCTAAATTGTTGCCTGCCCCCAATTAAAAAAAAAACTAGCATGCCTACAATTAAAAGTTTCTATGTGACGTTTGTGCAACTAAAACTGGTGATCACAGAGAGAGGATCCTATCTGGGAAGCCCATTTCTTACACCAGCATTAGCTCCGGAGAATCATCTTGCAAAAGAGGATGATAAAAAGAGGAACTAAAAATTCTCTATGTTATAACATGAAGGATATCTCACTTTAGGGTTGGGTGGAACCTTGGAAGATGATGGTATCTTTATGAAAATGGTTTCCTATCTTATTATTACTTTAGTATTATTTGTCCTTATGAGATGTGGTGTGTGTGTGTGTGTGTGAGAGAGAGAGAGAGAAAGAGAGAGAGAGAGCGAAAGAGAGAGAGAAAAAGGATCTGTTTGTGAATTCCTCTAGCAGGCCAGGAGACTGCTGCAAACATAAGTGATAATGAGAGAACAAACCTTCCTCCTGCACTGGTATAGCAATGTTGAAGAGTAGGTATTTTTGGTGCAAAGCCCACAGTGAATCTTCAGCTGGATCTCTCAGTAGGGTTACTCTAGATTGAAAACCCAGGCTTTGGGACACACATGTTACCATGGATGGTTGTGTCCCATGAATTGCACTGGGAGAAGCATCCTAAGAACAGAATAACCTTTGTGGAAAGGGAGAGAGATATTTCTAGTGAGGAGAGACTGAAAAAGCAGGCTTTCCTGCTTTTCCTCTGAAGAGAAAGAGAGGAAGTTAGACCTTCAGATGAAAAAGCAAGGGAGGCTAGGAATGGTGGCTCACATCTGTAATCCCAGCACTTCAGGAAGCTGAGGCAGGTGGATTGCCTGAGGTCAGAAGTTCGAGAGCAGCCCGGCCAACATGTGAAACCCTGTCTCTACTAAAAATACAAAAATTAACTGGGCATGGCGGCACACACCTCTAGTTCCAGCTACTCAGGAGGCTGAGGCAAGGAGAATTGCTTGAACTGGGGAGGCAGAGGCTGCAGTGAGCCCAGATCACGCCACTGCACTCCAGCTTGGGCAACAGAGCAAGACTGTCCCAACTCAAAAAAAAAAACAAAAACAAAAAACAAAAAAAACAAACAAGCAAGCATCTAGAAACTTAAAAATTTTTGTAAATTTGTATTCTATAAACAGTCATAGCCAAGTTTAGGATTTTTTTTCTGCATTATAATTATCTCTAGATTATTCCCAAATATCAAACACTGATATGACATGCACTGTATCAAATGCTTCATATTTATTTCCTTATTAAATCTTTACTATTATCATTATTGTCCCCATTTTATAGACAAAAAATCAAAAGGCAGGGAGAAATTAAGTAACCTCTTACACAAATAGTAAGTGCCAGGGTCAGGGCAGGCTAGCTCCAGACTGGACACTTCTAACCTCTATGCTACGCTGCCTTCTCCATCAACTTTCTTATGCACACAGTCACCTTGTGTGAGTGGGAAGGAGGGGGTGAAGAAAAGAGGCACTCAGGGGCCATGTGGCCTCCTCCGCTGTGGTCAGTACAGCAGTAGCAGCAAGGCTACACAGCCAGATTAGCCTCTAGTCCTGGAGCCCCTGGCAGGGCTAGGGCTAGCAGAGGAGCAAGAGACAGGGAGAAGAGTAGAAGCATCTCAGTGTGGCAGATCCAGGAGCATGACCCAAACTCCCCTTGTTCCAAATGCATTCAAGGAAGGAAACTCTTGATTTGAAAGAGGCACCTCCAATGTGCCAATCATGTGCAATGGGTGAGATGCAATGGGTGGAACCATCTGAGGCTGCTGAATTTTTATAATTTTTGACCCATCAAAATGGCAATTTCACGTGGTTCCATTTATATTTTAACTGTTAAATTTGATGACCTACTCTCCTTCTACAATGAGTTCATTTTAGTGAGTAGAGAAGGTGCACTTTTCATGTCAGTGGCTCAGAGCCTTGTACAGTAACTGGCTCCTAGCACACGCTCATGAAATGCTTACAGAGTTGAACAAAATGCTCACCTACTTCTTTCATGGGCATTATTCAAGCACTTGATACTAGTTAATAAACTACAATAGCTTCATTAACTGTATAAAGAACCATTGTGGGCTCTCAATAGGCTGGTTGGTTAGTTAGTTGAATTACTCTCCGAATATAGCTTTGACTTCTAGGGTCCAGAAGTAAAATGGGAATTTTACTTCTGCACTGCACCTCTGTCCTACCTGTGGTGGCCTACCTGGAATGATTTCAAAGACAAACTTCCCAGCTTCTTCTGGGTTTGTGGCGATCTCCTTGATTGTACATCCTGGTAGATACATGCAGCCCTGAAAGATGAAAAGTCAGGCCTTAAGGATAAGCAGCAATTTAATATAAACTAAAATTGGGTTGGACAACAGATAGGATAATGATGGGATGGGGAGGAGAGTAGGAGGATAGGGACATGGGAAGCTAGCCTCCCAGTTTTAATGGGGCCCCTTCTGCTACTCAGGCCTTGGGCAAATCAAAGGGCAGCTATTCCAGAGCAAATCAGGTGCCCAGAGAAAGACAAGGTTCTGATATAAGAATGAGCTAAGAGGGTGTCATCACCAATACTTGCCTCTTCCCACTTTTCCAAGGACCCAACTTGATGGCCAAATGAGACACTTGGTCTTTGTGAAGGCAATGCTGAGGCTGTGGAGACCATACTACCTGCCAAGCTGCCAGAGGGGTTCAGGGAGGACTGAACCACTCAGGTGACCATTGGAGGGGATGGGGTATTGAGTAGAAGGTGCTCGCACCTTCACTAACCACCTTGAATGTATTATTCATGTAGTCCTTCCAGCAGTCCTCTAAGGAAAGTATCATTATGTAAATTTTATAGGTGAAGAAAAGAGATCAGAAAGCTTCTATAATCTACCCAAAGTCATAGAGCTAGTAAGTGCCAGAATAGTAGTTCATCTCAGAAGTCAGTCCAAAGCCAGTGCTCTTCACCATCAAAGCTGAGGTGGTGGGAAATGGTCCCACCACCAAGCCCAGATCTATGAAGGGGTCTGAGGGTTTAGTAGGATTTGTGACCTCTTACACACAGATATATTATCAGAAAAACAAGCCACTTCCACCATGTGTGTGCATGGTGCTTTATCACTTACAGTGCATTTCACTTGGGATAATTCTTTTGGTTTCTTTTTGAGACGGAGTCTCGCTCTGTTGCCCAGGCTGGAGTGCAGTGGCGTGATCTCAGCTCATTGCAACCTCTGCCTCCTGGGTTCAAGTTATTCTCCTGTCTCAGCCTCTTGAGTATCTGGCACTACAGGCGCTCACCACTGCGTCTGGCTAATTTTTTGTATTTTTTTTAGTGGAGATGGGGTTTCACAGTGTTAGCCAGGATGGTCTAGATCTCCTGACTTCATGATCCACCCACCTCAGCCTCCCAAAGTGCTGGGATTACAGGCATGAGCCACCGTGCCTGGCCCACTTGAGATAATTCATTAGACCCCCACAACAACTCCATATCCAGAGCATAGCAAGATTTATCACTGCCACTTTGCAGATGAGGAAACTGACACTTTGAATGTCTAAGTGACTGCACAAAGTAACATCGTTAGTGCGCACTGGATCTAGTTATTCATAATTTACACCTCGCTGGCTGTTGAAGGTAGCAGGCCTGATTCTGAGTTGAGTAAACACACGTGTCTTTATTTCAAAACAAAGTACCGATGGAGATGACTGGTGGCAGAGAACACTATAAAGGCAAAAGAGTCTTAAGGAAATCTCAGAAGTAAGATCCACTCAGGAGCCTAAGAGAATAAATGTTTCTTGAGGATCTAGAAATAAAAATGCCTAAGACTGAGAGAGAACAAGACAAGAAGGAAGAGGAGGAGGAGGGGAAGGAACAGAAAGGGCAGGAGAAGGAAGAGGAGAAAGAACAAATGGAGGAGGAGAATGAGGATGAAAGACAAGGAAGGGGAGAAGGGGGAAGGGGAAGGAGGAGAAGAAAAAGAAAATCGGTCTAGAAAGTGGAATTCTGCAATTCCTCTACATTCCTCTAATTTTATTATTTAAAAATAACCTCCACCTACACAGTCCTCACCATCTTTAATAAATCACATCCATGCCTTCAGAAAAAATGACCCTGAGGTTGTGCTGCTGAGCTACTTTGGATGAGTTATGGCACCAGAATAAAAGGCCTTGTTGCTTTTAGGCAGGATGGAGCACTGTCTGGTAAGGAGAGAAGGAAAGGGCAAACACAGAGGTGTCTGCCTCCCCTAAGTACCTCTCCAAACTGTCTTTTGACACCCAAAATCATTTCATCAGAAATAGTAACAATAAAATACTAAAAATATACATGCCATTTATTGAGCATTCCCTAGGTGTCTGACTCTATGCTAATTGCCCTGAATGTATCAGCACATCTAATCTTCATAAGAAGTCTAGGAGGGAAGGACTGTTATTCTTCCCCATTGGAGAAAGGAAGAAGTAAAGCTCAAGGAAGTTAATTAGCTGACCCAGGATCACAAAAGCTAGATAATAAGAAATCTACGATTCCAGCATCAGTCAGTGTGATTCCAGAATTACAAATAAGGCTTTACTTACAAGTCCCACTTGCTGAGAGAAGTAACAATGAGAGTTAAACATGTTCACACCAAGGTGTAAATGACTAATTGCAGGCCCTTTCCTCAAGCTCAGCATGAGAGGCTTGAACTTCATAAATGGCAAGAAGAAAGCAGGTAAGAGGAAGAGACACCAGTAGGGGTGAGGGTGGGGACACTGATAGGGAAGGAAGAATTGTTCCAGGAAGGGAAGGGCCCAAGTTGCCCAGAGCCACTTGTACTTAGCAAGTTGACTGGGGTGGGCTCTGTATAAAGATGGAAGGACAGAAATGTTTATGCAGGAGGCCACAAGTCCTTCAGCAGTAAAGCAATGGAGACAGCTGTGGCAGTGAGGTGCCAGAATATCTAGAATTCTCTAGCTATAACTTTTAAATCCAATTTGTAGTTCATCTAGAACTACATTTTAGCCCAACTCCTTGTTAAAGCATTTTTCAAAATGCTTATATTGGCTCATGAGAACTTAACTGTTAAGTTTTAAGCCAGTTAAATACAGCTATTACTAAAATTTAAATTCTATAAGCTTACAATGAAATATTTTCTATTAAAAAGGTGAAGATACTTAAATTGTACACCTTTCTGATTATTTTGCTATCATTTCTGCTGTTGTGGTTATTTCCATCTATTCTATCTGTGTGGTGGAAATCCTATATAATGTGGTGCTATTGCATGTCTCTTCTCAACTCTGAGTTCAGTGGTATAATGTTGGTAGCTTGCATCAGTCATGATGGGAGTATCTGCCACACAGAAATTAGCAAATGTTGCCCTTCAATCGGCTCTCCCATCAGAGGGCCAGTTGTTAACTATCTACCAGCACACCGCTGGTAGACAACCACTTGTGGCGATGCCTCAGAAAACAGGCAGATGAGACAATGGGACCACGGGTCTACCCTACTACTAGGATTGTCTGAGACCATCATTGTAACAGAAACTTGAGGGCGATAAGCTGAGATTCTGTTTGAAACAATTTCCCTGACAAACAACTCTCTAGAATGGTTTATATAAAGCTAGTTCATGGACTTACACAGCCTTAAACCGTTAAAACTGGACAGGATCTTTCTGAGAACTCAAAGAAAAAATGCACAGACTGCCTTGTGTAGGGCCACAGGATTCTCCAGAAGCACATACAGGAAAGTCTATCATACACGGCTCCATAATTTATTTACATTCTCCTTTGCCGGACGCTAGGTCCAATGTTTCTCATTATAAATAGCATTGAATATTCTTATTATTTCTTTTGGAACTTCGTAGACCCAGAATTACTGTGTCTAAGGGTATGACAATTTTTTGGTGTTTAGTAAATCTGGCCAGATGACTTTCTAGAAAGGTTGTACCAACCAACACACACATCATCAGTGTATGTGAGGGCCCTTACGCCTGATGGCTCCAAGATTATTGTGATGTTTCTGCTTTTTGGTATCTTGGGGGATAGGATGTTTGTGTGCATTCTTTTTAAATTTACAATGATTACACTTCAATTATAAAAATATTTTTAAAGAGACATTAGAAATTGTATGTGTAACCCCAGTATTCAGAGATAACCACGGTTAATACTTCTGTGTATGTCTTTCTAGGCCTTTTTCTATAAATACAGATTCATGCTTTTTTTTTCAAGAATGGGATTAGTATATACATCATCTTCTGTTGTAAACTGCTTTTTAAAGACAGTAATGTTATGGACATTTTTCCATTTCAAAAAGTATTAATTAGGAGCATCAATGTCTGAATTGTATTTTATTGTATAGATATATAAATGTAGCCTAATATAAGTTAGCCCCTACCACTGGGCATTGTTGTCATATCACTAATATAAACAATGCTGTGGGGAATCTACTTAATTATTGTTTGTGATAATAGTATAAACATCAGCCCAAATTCCTAACAGTGGAAAATTAATTAAATAAATTATGGAACATTCATATAATAGATTGCTTTGACATAACTAAGAATTATATTGTAGAATCATATTTAGTGTTGGGGCAAAATTCATGATATATTGTTAATTTTTTCATTAAATAATATTTATTATACTAATTTTGCATTTACAATAGATGAGTTCCTAAATACATATGTATAGGGAAGGCTGAAAGTGGAGGGGATATAGGTGGCTATTTCTTACTAATGGGATTGTGAATAATTTTTAAAGCTTTTATAATCAAATGATACATATCAACATGTGGTAAAATACACTATTCTTTCTAAGAAATTATTATTGTATTCCTAAAGGTTTTATTTTTCTATTTTTCATATCTGAAATGAGTGTTGGATTTTATCAATGCATTTTTCAGCCATCTATTGAAGGGTTGTGTGGTTTTGCTTACTTGACCTATTGATCCGATGTATTATATCAATAGATTTCCTCAAAATAAATTATCCTTGTCATCCTAGAAGTGTTACCTAATTATCTCAGGCTAATTTAGTCCTGAGAAGGCTTTGGGTTTCTTCCTCCCAGAAGTAAGGAGGAGAAGCAAGAACCTTCAGATATTTATTTTACCCTTTGACATTAGTTTATGTTTTAACAAAACAGTTTTTTATACCTGCTTTATATCATTTGATCCTGTGACAAATGCAGGCCAGGTAGTATTGTCTAATTTTATAAAAGAATAAAGCGGGGTCCGGAAAAATGAAATAATTACAGGGCCAAATAGTGGTGGAACCAGGAAAAGAACACATCCTTTTATATAAACTACCTCTCACCCTCTACACTTCATGGAAACACACTCAGCTGCCCCTTTCATTGATCTGGGGTGGCCAAAGCGTTACTGCCGTCTCCCTTACACTCTGCAGATAGGAGGACTTCCTCCATCGTCTTAACATATCAACCGCCATCTTAGCCTGGAATTGCTTGGCTTTAATAAGGTCTGGGGTGTTTATAAAGAGAAGGAAGGCTGGTTACCATGCACAGAACATGAGGCAAGAGCCCCATCTGTGGTGGGGTCCCTGCGATCCTTCCCTGGCCTCTGCAGTGACAGAGACTCCAGAGTTCAGAGCCCTTAAGTGGAGGAACTGGTTAACCAAGTCCTGCTGATGTGCAATGGATCCTCAAGCCTGCCCTTAAAGAAAACAGTCCTCTTCCAAAATGAGCTTTTCATTTTGGTCCCACCCACCCCCAATATCTACACACTTCTTGTCCTTGCCTTTCTCGGGATTTTGTTCTGGCTCCAGAAGGTTCTAGAGTCTGTCATCCCAAATAAGCTCCTTCTGGCCAAGCCCATACTTCCATCTCCACACACATGAGTTCTAGGTGGGTGACAGCTGTGCTGGATGCCCTGAGACATCCAGTTTGCACCTGGGGTCCTGGCGTAATTGTTCAGAGCATCCTCTTTTATTCTCACACACCACAATGGCCAAAAAAGCAATGAGGTTGGCCGAAGAGACCTAGGCCCAAGATTTAGGATTAAAGCCCATTCTCACAGCCTTATCCACTGCATCAGGAAATCCTGTTTGCTCTACTTTCAAAGTATATCCAGAAGCTGACCATTTTCCTCCAGCCCACAACTCCTACTGAGCCCCTAAACATCATAACCCCTTACCTAGATTACTTGCGTCTCCTCTGGCTCTATTTTTGAGCACAGTAGCCACAGCTGTCTTTTTACAATTTAAACCAAAAACTGTCACTCTCTGCTCAGAGCCCTGCAATGCCTCCCTGTGGCCCTCAGTGTGAATGCTCAGGTCCTTACAGTGGCCTGCAGTGCCCCAGCAGTCTGTGCCCCTGACCCCTGACTACCCTCTTGCTTCTCAGACCTCATCCCCTCTGATTCCTACCTGCTAGTTCTGCTCCCACCACAGTGCCCTCCTTGCTATTCCGCAGCCAGGCCAGACATGCTCCCTTTGGTGCCTTAGCACCGGCCGTTCTCTCTGCCTGGAACACTCTTTCCCCAGAGATCTACCCAGCTTATTCCCTCTCCTCTTTAGTCTCGGCCCCAGTGTCACCCTCTTCATGAGGTCATTTGACCATCCTTTTTAAAATTACATCTTCCCTTAACTCGTGACATCTGCTAGCTCATCCTATTTTTTCCTCATAGAACTAATCTTTTCTCTAACAAACTACATACTTTTCTTATTTGTTATGTTTATGTGTCTTTTCCTCCACATTCTAAGCTGCATATGGAAGAGATTTTTATCTGTTTTGCTCATAGTTTATTTCAAGTACCTAGAACAGTGTGTGGCATATAATAAACGCTCAATAAATACTTACTGAACAAACAAATCAATGAGTCCCAAAATCGGTTTTCCTGAACCCAAATCCACTCTCTCTGAGCCCTTGACTGAGTGTCACTACCATCACCGCCCTGTTGCCAGTCTTGACTCAGAGCCATGTGTAGGAAACTCCACAGTGCCCGTCCTGGTGCTTCCTGGAGGACCACTCTGTCATCTTTGCAACTCAGTTTATGTATCTAGAAAATGGTGTAAAGGGAAAAGCAATTTCCTTTCCAATGGGTGTGTCTGGTCCTATTGAGAAGGCCCCTGTGAGTTTAAGTGAAATCCCAGCGGGCTCCAGGCCCGCCTCCTCCGTGCCTTATGAACGGGACAAACAGCCTGGCTGGTACCTGGGGCTTCGTGTCCTCTTCATCCTTGTAGTAGTAGAGCTGCTGCGCCCTCAGCACAAAGTACCTCTGCTGCCAGTTCTTCACGATGGACCTCTGCTTCTTCAGCCAGCCCATCTTGATGGGCCTCTCCAGCGGGTTGGGGGTGGACGATGGATGGAAGGCAGCCATCTGCTCGCCAGTCATCACACTCCTTGACCGAGCTATAGAGAGGAACAGACAGGCCGACTGACCGAGGGACATGGGGCAGTGAGCAAAGAGTGGGCGGAGAGGAGAGAGGAACCCCAGAGGGGGCTGAGAAGCGGGGGGACGACAACCAGGTCCAGTTCAGGGGTCCGGATCTGAGCCAGAGAAAGTCCCCCCCGAGCCAGAGAAGCAGCCGAGGGGCCAGCTCCCGGTCAGGGCCAGGCCAAGAATAAAACCCAGGCTGCAGTCGGTGGCCCCGTGCACAGGCAGTCCGGCACCGCGGCGGGCCCCGTCATTCTGCAAACCGAAAGGTTGGCTGGAGCCTTCTGAAGAGGAAGTGGCCACAGCATCTGACAAAAGGTGCTTCCTTTTTCCTGCGTGGGAGTCAGTATCTGACAAGAGAGAGGAGAAAATAATGCCTCACTCTGAAGGCTCGGGGTGAGTCCCACGCAGCTGCAGAGGCCGCCGGAAGCTGCCTGGGCACTCTTCCACAGCGGCCGGCTAGAGGAGGGGCCGCAAGACAGAAGCTGTTAGCTCCAACCTCGCTGTGGAACGCAGGCCCCCTCCAGCGGACCCCACTCAAACCCCAGCCCCCGGCCACAGGGCCAGCCTGCAGGGAGTTGGCACCTTCTGAATTCTCCTGCCCAGTGCCATTCTGTCCCCTGCCCACGGAGAGTATCCCAGCCCTTTATGCTGTACAAGGCGCTCACTGCTGCTGCCTTCCTATGACCTTTACAGTTAGATCGTCACTGCCAATAGAACTCAGAAGCAGGATTTGAAGCCAGAGCCCCTTGAACCTGCATGCACTCAGCATGGTATATTTGGCTTTTGTTTTCACACAGGAGTTCTGCCTGTCATTCGAGTAAGTCCAGCCTGTACCTCCACATCTTGTCTCCATGGTAACCCCCACCCAGGACCATGCTCTCCTTTCCTTCCCTCCACAGCGCTCCATCGATCACCCTGGTCCCCATTCAACACTTCCTTCTGAGCCCCATCTTATTTCCCAGCCAGTTCAATGATGCCCTTGTCTCCTTGGCCTGCACTGCCCTCCACACTTGCTAATACCCAGTGTCTGCACCCCTCTCCTTCTGCCAAGTGTTGCTGGAGGAAGGCTCCATCTTCCAACCCCCTTTTTCAGCTTTTGTCCATCCCTGGACCACTCATGACACAGCTAAACTAAGCTATCAACTCTGCTCCCGACCCATTTCATTTCACCTGATTGGAGACTAGTTCTACCTTTCCTGACTTTTTGACGGTGGATAAATTATGCTTCTCTGAGCCTCGGCTTCCTCACTTGCTAAATTAGGATAATAATACTTCCTTGTTTATGGAATTGTTGTAGAGATTAAACAAACATACGCAAACCACTTAGCACAGTCCCTGGTCAAAGGTAAGTATATGTTACTCTTGCTGTTTTTATCAACAGGTGACTTTACTTCCTACTAAAAGGATGGGAGTCATCACTGAGAGCTTCTTCAACTTCCCTCTTCACTTCAAAATGTCATTCCATCATCAAGCTTCCTCTCTTTCTTCTTTCCTATCTTTAATGCATTAAATTGCCAACATCTCCTCATTGATTTTGAAAAATATATTCAGGGGGTATACGTGCTGGTTTGTTACATGAGTCCATCGCCTAATGGTGGGGATTGGGTTTCTAGTGTATCCATCACCCAAATATTGAACATTGTAACCAACAGGTAATTTTTCAATCCTCACCTTCCTCCTGCCTTCCCCACTTTTGGAGTCCTCAGTGCCTATTATTCCCATATTTATGTCCACGTATACCTATTGTTTAGCTCCCACTTATAAATAAGAACATGGGATATTTGATTTTCTGTTTCTGAGTTAGTTAGGATAAATAGCCTCCAGCTCCATCCATGTTGCTGCAAAGGACAGAATTTCATTCTTTCTGATTCTCTTATTTCTATCTCCTTCTACGCCTGTGATTCTCAATCTTTATTTATAATCATGGCATACTTTCAAACACCAGAGTTTTATATGGCATTACAGAGTCTTTCTGTAGCTATCTCCAATTGTATCTGGAGTTATCACCCTATTTCCACATTTCATCCTTCGGTCCAATATTGCTGTCTGAAGAGGACTCCACTGTAACTGGGCTCCCTTGACCCTCACAAGGGGTCTGAGTTCCCATAATATGCCCTTATACCTGGTTCCATCTGGCAGTCACTTCTTACCTCCCACCAGGGACCTGGTGAGGTCATACTAGGTTGTATCCCACGTTGCAAGACATATTTGATTCAGCTTCCCATTGGACAGACATCATCACAAGAGTGCTTATGCTCAGATGTAGAAAAGATAATTTGATATTTTGATGACAATTTGGTAGCTTGCTTACAAAGGATTTGCTTTATATCAGTGTGTCTTAGCATCCCAGTTAAGAACTTTATCTGAGATCTTGCTCCTCAGTTACTTGCTATCTTCAAGGCCTTCTATCTGTAATTAAAAAGCAGCCAGTGTGGGCTGATCACTTGCTCTAAGGCTGTGGAAATGATCCCCAAAGAACTACAGAAAGATTTTGGCAGAATACAATGGGGAGGAGGGAATTTGAAGGACTGTATACAGTTCTGTATCTCTCTAAGTCAGAGACTATACCTTGCAAGGACTCTTATCTGTCCTAGAAAGAGGGCAGAGAGTAGGCAAAAATGAAAAAGATAGTTTACACACAAAACTTTTGGAGAAAATCGAAGAGTGAGGCATTCCAGCAGATGCAGAGGCATTCTCCCCCACTTCAGTAGCCTCAGTGAAGTCTATCCCGGTGTGGCTTTTGTGACCATCCAACTGTAGCAACATCAGACATGATAGGGAGGACCCCCTTCTAGCAGTGGCATATGAGGAACCTTTACTTGGCTTCTGAGGTGATGCCATCAAATGGAGCCAACTCAGGAGTGAGGGGAAGTGCCACATGGTGGCTAGAAGGACTCAGGCCCCTTGGGCCACCCCCAGAGGCCCACAGACATCATTAGGACCACAGTGGGGGTTAGGGGAAACTGAAGGTCTCCAACAGCATTGAAGAAGTGGGAAGCGGTTAGCAGAAGAGAAAAAGATACTACAGATTGGAAAGAATTCACTCAGCATAGAAGAAATTAGTTGCTGGTATTTTGTTCACAGTTCTGTGAAATTTTTCATGCTTTGTTGTGGCAAAAACAACTATAAGAAAAACAAACAAACAAAAAACCCTCCTAGGAGCACGTGTGCGTTGCAGAATGACCTGGCAAAGGCAGGAGTAAGTGCGAGGATCTTATGTTCCCAGACCTGGCCAAGGGGACCTTTGATGCCCTTGTAGCAGAAAGGCAACCAGCTTGTCTGCTTACATATGAACAAGGCTCTGCCTGGCCATGTTTTATATCCATAAAGGATACCACTCACTCTACATCCAACCAGTGTTTCTTTAGTGCCTGTTAACATCCCACCATAGTTTGTGTAACTATGAGCACTGGGCCACCTGTTATAAGTTAGAGAGTGGGGATAGCTCAGTACAAAGTTCCACACTGCTGGAATTAGGCCCAAACCCTGAGGGTAGGGAGACAGCTGGGGTCTCAGATGAGCTGGGGATTAAGCAGGGGCACTTTCCATCCCAAGTGCAGAGCCATCTCCCTCCATAGCCCACAGTGTTGCTCACCAGCCAGGCCTAGCATGAGATCATTAAAATAGCAGAGAAGAAAGTCTGGGGGCCTTGAGTTTGTCATGGTTTTGACCAACTTTCCTTGTTAGGTTCTTTGAACAGTCTCTCTTCTTTGTGGGTGGGACTTGTTCCGGATAAAGTAAACAAAGAGATCTGTTACTATTAATGGAGCTGTTTCTCATAATGAAAATAATAACCATGATAAGCTTCACTTGTGAGCCAGTCATTGTACCCTGAGTGCACATTCCCAGCCCTTCAGGAAGCAGGTCTGAACCAGGCGGAGGGTTGGAGAGGGGGCTGCAGGCAGACCAGGGCGGGGAAAGGTGGGAAGGCAGTTGCTCAGTGTTTACAGAACACCTTGGGGCAAGTGAGAAATGAGGGCCTCAATAAGGTTAGAAACCTCACATTATTCTAGTAGAGAGAGGATGAGCAAGCCCCTAGCACTGCATTGTCTAGTACAGTAGCCACTAACCATAAGTGGCTGTGTACATTTAAATGAATTAAATAGGTTACATTAAGTTACAATTGAGTTCCTCCGTCATACTAGCCATGTTTTAAGTACTCAGTAAGCCTGTGTGTTTCGTGGCTACAGTACTGGACAACAGATAGAGAACATTTCCACTATCACAGAAAGTTCTGCTGGTCAGCACTTCCCAGAACCTGAGTGCTATCATTACAAAGCGTGGGGTGGAAATGGGCCATAAAAGTGAGGCAGCATTTTATCAAATAGAGAAATCAAGCTGGAGGGCCCAGAGAAGAAGATGCTTTAGATGACAGAGTGAGGCATTCAACTTGATTAGAGAGGTAGTAGGGAGCTATTTCATATTCCTGAGCAAGGGAGGCCCATGATAAAATATAGTTGTATGACTGGACTGTTGGTGCTGAATTTTAGTCTGCAGGTGTGAGAGAGTACTGGAAAGGAAAGAAGAGAAATAGAAGAAGTGCCACATGCCTAGGGATGTTGTTTCTGCTGTAGAAGTTAGCTGCTTTTTGCCCCAAGATGGGGCAAAGGAAAATTAAAGAAGGAAGTACGAACAGAGAAGTCAGCTGAGAAACGTTATCACTTCCTTTCTTCATCTTCTGCCGCTGAACCCTCAAAATAATCTGCTCTCAATTCTGACTCAGTCTAGATTCCACTTTGGATGGCTGTAAATGTGTGGGTGAGGTGTGAATAGTTCTTTCAGAGCTGGGGAAACAATTTCAGGTATTTTCCCAGTATGTTGATATGAGCTGTGCATTAGTTTGGGAACCATGTTTAAATGGATTTGAAAAGGGAGTAGAATTTGCATGGCTTCCCCCAGCCCTCCTTTCTGAGCTGTAGACCCATCCATCCAGCTTCCTAACACACCTCCATGAGAATGTCAAGCTCATCATGCTTACCACCTCATCAAACTTACCACCTTTCCCCTTCTCACCTCTACCATTCCTCTGGCTAACACTGACACACATGCCCAAACCTGCTTTACCTCCGCTGGTCTCTCTGATGTACTTGAGTGACATTCTCCCAGCCAACCAATCAACACAGAAGGCTGCCTGTTCCTTATATTCAGCACTGACAGCATTGCTTATGACGTGAGCCTTCTCAAACAGAATTCTGATCATGTTACCTTCCTGCCTAAAAGCCTCTGATGACCCCCAGCATCTCCCTCCTAAACGATGAAGTCTAAACTGCCATGGAGTTGGAGTCCTTTGCGGCTTTTTCTGCTGCATTTCCTGCTCTTTCTCCATGCCCATCCTGCTCTTTATCCAGGACAGTATGCTATTCTCTCTGCTGGAATGTCCTCCCTACCCACCCCCACCTACATCCAATTTGACCTCTTGGAAAACTCTTACTTATCCTTCAAGAATCCCTTCAGGCCCCACTTCCTGTGAGAAGCCTTCCTGGCCCTGCCAGACTTAGTTGCTCCCTGGCTCTGGACCCTTGTCAGTGGAGACACCTGTGTATCGTAGCCTTTGTCGCCTTGCTTGGTACTTTTTTCTTTTCCTGTCTTCCCTCTCCACTTGCACTCTAAGAAGACAGGGGTACTCCCTTGATGTTTGGCCTTGCTCATCCTTGTATCGTGCACCTAACACAGTGCCTAACAGAGAGAAGGAAGGAGAAAGTAGCAGAAGTGCACAGGCTTCTACATACGCAGCCTTGGGTAAGCCGTATTCTATCTCTGAGGGCCAGTTTCCTCCTCTGTAAAGCTGTGATAATAACATGCATCTTATGGGGTGATAAATCCATAGGGATTAGTAAGGGTAAGTGGACAGGTCCCAGCCAGTGCCTGCTTCTTAAAACATAGAAATTAAATGAAAGCTATTATTATTAACATTATTATTATAGTATGGACTCAATTTTATTCTAAATGAGAGAAAAGAAAGAGAATATTACAGAGGGGAGGGATGAAAAGAGGGAGAGAGATGGTATAGAGGGAGATTGGCTGGACATTGCACAATATTCCAGGTGCAAAGCCAGAAGCCTGGATTAGGATGGAAGAGGAAACAATATGAGAGGCTAATACTGAGAGGACTCAGCCCCCTGCTGAACAAGGAGGAGCAGGAGACAAAGATTTTTGTGAGGTCTGGGGTTTGAGTGGCTCTGGTAAGGTAGCCTTCCCCATTCATTCATTCATTCATTCAAGATTGAGGACTTGACATGCACCAGAACAATTTTGGGTCCTGAGGATATGAGATCAGCCAGACACAGCCCTGATGGATCTGGGAGACCCATTCATGGAAGCAAGAAAGGAAATCAGAGAACAAGGCCAGTTTGAACAGGCAGGTGAGTCCAGTTCTGGACATGATAAAGTGTGAGGGTGGACTGAGAGCTTCAAGCTTCCCGAGAGTTTTGCTTTTGATAAGTAAGGCTTATGAATTAAGAAAGAGACTAGGGGGAGAAAAGAGGTGCAAGTGAAAGCCAGAAGATTTGAGTGACGTGAAAATCTCAGACCAGAAAAGTTATTTGCATAGACGTTCAGGAACCAAAGAAAAGATGGCATAGAGGAAACCAGCACAGAGGGAAGCATTTCTAACTTGAGGCTGTGGGGATAAACTGAGATGCAAGACAGAAAAGGGTGCTGTTTTCCTTGGGATTTTTAGTAAAGCTCCACACTTCCTAGAAAAGCATCTGGCAATTGAAGCATCTTGATAAATATTTGCTGAGTTAATAAAATAAATGTTTTAGAACGAAATGTGAGCCACCATGCAGGCATTTTGTATTTGCGAGAAATATTGGCCAATTTACCTATTGGCGGGATTTCTGGATATGTTCACTGCATCCACTTGAGCAGAGTGGACGATGGAAGATATAATCCCTGATCTAACAATAATGAATATCAAGTTACTTATGTATTGAGTACTTACCACGAGCCAGCCACAGTGCAAGCACTTTATAGAGCTGTGTCATTTAATGCTCATGCTCTTTATGTAAGTACCATACTGTCACCCTCATTTTTCAGACCAGGAACCAAAGCTCACAGAGGTGAAATGATCTGCTCCAGTTAACAACTAGAAATCTGATTTCAAAGCCCAATATCCATACCTAAGCCACAGCCCAGAAAGGAGCATGTATTCTTGTGGTGAAGAGAGGCATCCACATTGGAGATGGAATCCATGTCTAGTAATTCACAGGGTTAAAGAATCCAGAGTGAAGTGGACAGGAGAGACCATGCCACCTTTCACTGAGCTGGGAACAAAGCCACTACTCCTAACCTATCATGTGAAGCAGCTGCCTCAGCCCCACCCATTTTGCCTCTAGATTGTGCACAAACAATTTTGTGCTATTTCCGCCAGTGTATGCTCTGCAAGGCTCAGCAGGCCTCGAAAACACAGTGACAGAGAAATGGTACTGAAACCTCAAGCCCACCACTGAGGCTGTGCTGATACCCCAACAAGAAAACGGACATATTAGGTAATCCTGCCACGTCTTACCAGCTGCTACCCAAGCTCATGTGGAGAGACCTAGGGATTCTGAGCAAGGTCCCACGTGGCCGAGGCATGGGAGGGAGAGAGAGTGAGCTAAGCTACCGTGGGCCGGCAGTCAGGCCCACACCACAGCTGAGGAAGGAGCCGACTGGGGAGCTCTCTGAAACAGCAGACCTGGCATTGCTACCACCTGAAAATGATAAACAGATTCATACGTCCCTGCCCACACCCCGCACACATACACACACGCAACGCCCCTGCCACATTCACACATACATACATGCAGACCCCCCACCTATCCTGTTATCAGACTGCGGGATGATGGCCCTCAGTTTCCACCCAGAAGGAAATTAGGACATGTGACTTCAGAAACTTCAGGCTCGCTTTCTGTATCCCTTTTCTGTCTTCAAAGCAAACGCCACCCCCCCATTGAAAAGCACCCATCATTCTTTTGAGTTTCGTTTTTAACTTTAGTATGAAAAGCACTGCCCCTTCAAAAGGCATCTTTACTGTGAGACTGATGACAGCAAAGGAGCCTTCTCTCTGTACCCTGAAATTAAACCACACGGGTCTTCCCAGGGCACTCACCCTTGAGACAAATTTGTATAACCGAATTCATAGAAATATCTAAAAGTTGTTCCCTAAATGCCTGCCTCAATACTCCGGAATTGGGCAGATTTCATTTTCCCATGTTCTATGGATTCTAGAAATGCCCTTTATTGTTTGACAAGTGACTATGTCAACCTAAAGGAAAAGAATCTGCTTTGGAAAGGGGCTTGGCACCAATAACTATGTGTTCTGCAGGAAGAGGTAAAAAATGCTGTCTTGGTAGCAATATGAGACAGAGGGAGAGAAATTATCTGTGTGTGTGAGAGAGAGAAAAAGAGAGAGGGAGAGAGAATGACAGAGAGTGAGAACAAGAGAGAGGGAGAGAGAATGACAGAGAGTGAGAACAAGAGAGAGAGAGAGAGAGAAGGGGAGAGAGAGAGGAGTACTGGCTTTCTGTTACTTCTTTCTTATCAGCAGCTCTGGAAACCTGAGCCAGCAACAAATATTGCAAGGTTTTTTTGCACGCCAGCAAATTTGTTTCACCTAGGGTGCCTCTCCAGGGCCACCCCTCCAGTGTTCATGTTTTGTGGCTTTCGTGTTTCTTAGGAATTTAGAGTGCAGTTGCCTCTTGTGGGTCTGTGTGTCTCCATCAGTTGCAACACCTTACCCAGCCCTCTCCGCCTGTCTCTGCATAACAGGAAGCCACGTGTAATAACAAGAAGCTTGCGGAAGAACACTGCCCCAGAGCTGCCTCTTCCTCAGCACAAGGCAAAGTGGAGATTTGGCAATCAGAGGGCAAATTTTCTCTGTAGAAAATTCTTTGACAATGTAGCTGGTTAACTGCATATGCAAGCTACCTGCTTTCCCAGGCGTTAGTGTAAGGAAGAACAATTCTCATCAGGTAGGACTGCAGGATAATTAGTGCAGTAAGCTCTGCCCAACACCCTAGTGGTGTGTTACATTAGGAAGAGCAATCGAAGTACTGACCCCTCCATTGCCAAAGCTAGTCATTTATTTTAGGTAAGAGGTTTTGGTTCACTAGTCACTAGCATTCATAAATAAATAAGTGCATTAGGATGCTTGAAATATTTGTATTGCATAAGCATGGATGAATTATATGGCCTGAGTAATTCACAGGAAGGACCCTTCCAGGGCAATGCTCAAGTACTGGCAACTACCATCAAGCACTGGCCCTTGAGGAGGCTACAAGCCATTACAGCCTAACAGACGTCACTCCAGTCAGTTTCTGGGGCCTCTACAGGTCTTAGGGAACAGTGATTTTAAACTTTAACACTACTGAGAGTTAAAGTGACCAATGAATAATGCTAGCAGTGGGGTGGGCCCAGGAAACGAGTCATAATATGTTTCTCCTATTCTACAACCTGATAAAAAGATTTCATTAAAAACTGAGACAATTTGATCATGGATAAAGGATAGATGATACCAATGAATTATTGATTAGTTTTGTTAGGCGTGATCAGGACAATGTGGCTAGAAAATAAAATTTCCATATTTTTAAGGATGCATACTTAAGCATGGGGAAAATGTGTCTGGGATTTGTTTTAAAATATCTTAGCATAAAAGGGAATAAAAGAAAAAGAAAGGGATAGATAAAACAATGTGACGAAATATTCTGTTGAACTTCAGTAGTGGGTCTACATGGGGGTTCATTATATTTTCTCTGTTGTGTTTGGAATGTTGATATAATAAATGATCTTTTTAAATATTTTATTAGGCTTAAAAATAAATTCAATAGGCTTGTTGGGTTTTTTTTTTTTTACATGTCAACTATTGCTCTAAACTTCAACTTGTCTATTTTCCAAGGTCTGCATTTCAGACCTGTTACTCCTCAGAGCACAGCGGAATGACACTACACAGATGTTATACCACTTACGTACACATTCCCTCCCAGACAGATCCGCCTCCATATCCCTGCACTGTCACTTTATCAGCTGATGAATGGGAAGAACTGAGGGACTTACTGAGGCTGCCAGTATGGATAGTATTTCCTGTAAAGTCAGCTTTTACCCCAACACTTACTGGCAGAGAGAGAGAAAGGGCAGCAGAAACCGGAGGGAGCCCAAGGGTGGTCTGTGAGGGAACTCAGGAAGGAATGACCACCTAGAATTCTAGGTGACCTCATGGCAAGAGCTTCCATTTCCAAATTTCCATTAAAATGACAAAGGGACTAGCTCAATAATAACAAGGGGAGATCTAAAATGAAAGTAAAAGTAAAGAAGGATTCTATCTGCATGCCATTTGGGGGGAAGACGGATTTCTGCAAGATGTAGGATAGGCAAGGCTAAACTGAAGAAAGCTGTTGGTCTCACAACTCAATGCATATGGAACAGCCTGCCCCAGAGGGAGCGGAAAGGGCCCAAGAAAATCCTGCACTAACAACACCTAGAGAGGAACAGCAGCAGCATGGAGGCAGGGAACAGATGGAGACCTGAGAGCTCCTTCCAAGTGCGCACAGAGGTCTGGCTGGGGCATGTTATTTCCAGTTTACCCTGGGTGCCCAAAGTCAGGCCAGACAAAAAGTAACAGCTCTGTCCTGCTGGCTCCTCAACCAGGTCACGATACCAGTGAGAACAGAGGGTGCCTGTCCACCTAACCTGGAGCTACACAAGAAGAAAAACAAGAAGAAAATGAACTTTCCTTCAACAGAGAGGGTAGCTACCCTCCCTTAACCCCTTAACTGGATGCGTCTTAAAAAGTTACACATAAGCTTGCCATAGCACCCAGCAATTCCACTCCTGGGAATCTATTCAGGGGATGTGAAGGCACACGTCCATAACAGTTTTTGAATGTGAATGTTTCTAGCAGTATTATAGATGATGGTCAAAACTGAAAACAATCCAGAAGCCACAAACAGGTTACTGGATAAACAAAATGTGGGAAAGCCAAACAGCGCAATACTACTTGGCAACACCAAGGAGCAAAGGACTGATTCATGCCACACAAAGAACCTCAAAAACATTCAGCTAAGTGAAAGAACCTGAATGCAAAAGACAACAAATTATATGAGTCTGTGCATAAGAAATATCCAGAAAAGGCAATTCTGTAGAGACAGTGGTTGCCAGGACTGAGGGTGAGAGCAGGGATTGATTGCAAAACGGCTGGAGAGAACTTTTTGGGGTAATAAAAATGTCCTAAAACTGGACTATGGTAATCATCACACAACCCTATAAATTTACTAAAAATCATTGAATTGTATACTTACAATGAAGGAATTTTATGGCATATAAATTATACCTCAGTAAAGTTTTTAAAAGAAAGATTAGAAACTAAATAATATATATAACTGCCATACACACAAAAAACCCACCATGGAAACAGTGAAGAGTAGAACAGTTTCTGCAGAAAAAATGAGAATAATTTTCTACACTTTTTATGTGGTGAAACATGCCAGAAACTCTGCAGAGTTAGAGATTTTTGACTGTTTTGTCACTCAAATGTCTGGAATATTCCAGGAATGCAAGAATACTTCAATATTTAAAAAACTAGTAAATGGTTTAGCCCATCAATAATTTAAAAAGTCTTATGTTTTCAAAGATTATGAACTTGCTTTTGATAAATTCAACATTAGTTTATATTAAATGTTAGTTATAAAGAACAGAAGATCACATTCTTAGGTGTTAAAGTGTATCTCAAACCGAAAAAAGGGGAGGGAAGAATTGAAGGAACGCTCTGTATTGCTGAAAATGCAACTACAGAAAATTGGAAGAATTAAACATTTTTAGGATTCAGGCCAAATATTTGCTTGGTGTTTTAACTGTATATGGAAAAATGATGAAGTACAGCAGAGAATCTTCAAAGAAACAGAAAATGACACAGCAGAATACTTCTGATACTTCTACTGTGTCATATAATTGAGAGCTGTGAAGTTTATGAAAATTTTCACTGCTGTGACACTTTGCAATTTTGTTAAAGATTTTTTAGAGTTTGATAAAGAAAGCATTCTAAAATTCATGAAAGATGATCAAATACAAAAAAGCCAACATCATTGTCTTGGTTACAGCTAGTGACTTGTGAAAAAGTATCGAGATTTTACTTTTTCATAAAATTTTATTATTTATCAGCATTTCTATCAACTTTGGGCTACACTTCATGATGCTTGAGTAAGGCTTTGCAGAATGCAGTATTTTCCCTGTGATTCAGCCACTGACATCTGGTAGTTCTGTTTCCTCTTCAAAGCTGTCAAACATTATCAGCTGCCTGAAAAATGTGTTAGGGGGTTTCCCTTTTATCACCCAAGGTCCTCACAAAAATGTCAGGACTTATTTTGTATGTATCTGTGAGCAACTGTAGTGTTTCTGTCTGACCTGGACTTTCTTGGCCCACACACTAGCCTCTGCTTGACATTTCTTTTTGGCTGGCCACTCCTTCACAGTTCTCATGGAAGAACTAGAAGAACACCATTTTTGTTTCTTTTTTCTTTTTCTGTTTGTTTTTAGCCAGTAGTCACTGAAGGACCAACTAAGCTTTTGTGCAAAGGCTGAAGAAGCAGGAACCAGAGATGCACAAACAGGAGGTAAAAGAAGGAGAACCATGAGGGGGTGACTCAACAGGCTAACACCGGGACCCCAGGATGCGGTCCTAATTCCAAATCCCTCTGGCTTAGCACATCTAATAGCATACGAGAGCTTTTGAAGATGAAAAATGAGTTGTAATATTTGACTTGGGCTATTTTTCTCAAATTATAACTTGCGTGATTTATTTTTTCCCAATTATTTTTATTCCAGTAAAACACACATAAAATTTACTATCTTATTTTTGATTGTACAGTTCAGTAGTATTAAGTACATTCACATTATTGCACAACCATCACCATCCATTTTCAGAACTCTTTTCATCTTGAAAAACTGAAATTCTGTACCCATTACAGAGTTAACTTCCTTTTCCTTCTTTCCCTAGCCCTGGTAACCACCATTCTACTTTCTGTCTCTATGAATTTGTCTCCTCTAAGCACCTCACATAAGTGGAATTATACAGCATTTGTCTTTTTTGAAGCAGCTTATTTCACTTAGCATAATGTCCTCAAGATTCATCGGTGCTATAGCATATTGCAGAATGTCCTTCCTTTTTAAGGCTGAATACATTCTATTGAATGTATATACCACATTTTGTTTGTCAGTTCATTTGTCAATGGACACCTGGGTTGCCTCCATGTTTTAGTTATTACAAATGATGCTGCTATGAACGTGATGTACAAATATCTCTTCAAGACTCTGTTTTCAATTCTTTGAGTATATATTTAGATGCGGAATTGTGGGATCAGATAGTAATTCTATTTTTAATTTTTTGTGGAACTGCTATACTGTTTTCCATAGTAGCTGTAACATTTAACATTTCCACCAACAGTGCAAAAGGGTTTCAATATCTCCACATCCTCACCAACATTTGTTATCTTCCAGTTTTTTAATAGCAGCCATCATAATGGGTGTGAGTTGCTATCTCGCTGTAGTTCGTGTTGCATTTCCCTAATGATTACTAATATTGATAGCATCATTTCATTTATTGTCCATTTGCATATCTTCTTTGGAGAAATGTCTATTTGAGTCCTTTGCCCATTTTTGAACTGAGTTGTTTGTGGGGTTTTTTTTTGTAGAGTTTAGGAGCTTTTTATACATTCTGGATATTAATCCCTTGTTAGATATATGATTTGCAAATATTTTCCCCTATTCTGTTGATTTTTTACTCTGTTGGTAGTATCTTTTGATACGTAATTTTTTAAATTTTCAGAAGTCTAATTTGACTATTTTTTCTTCTGTTACCTGTGCCTTTGATGTTGAAGCCAAGAAATCATTGCCAAATTCAGTGTTGTGAAGTTTTTGCCCCACGTCTTCTTCTAAGAGTTTTACAGTTTGGGGTCTTAAATTTAGTTCATAGGTCCATTTTGAGTTAATTTTTGTATATGGTATTAGGTAAGGGCCTAACTTTATTATTTTGCATGTGGATATCCAGTTTTCCTAGCATCATTTTTGAAAAGACAATCTTTTCCCCATTAAATTATCGTGGCACCCTTGTTGAAAATCATTTGACCATACACATATATGTGAGGTCATATATGTGTATGTGACCTCTACATCTATTCTATTCCAGACAATCTATTCTATTCCATTCATCTGTTTCTGTCTTTATGCCATTACTACACTGTTTTGGTTTACTCTAAATTTTGTAACTAATCATATAATTTTTGAATTATGTGATTCAAATAGGAAATGTGAGTTATCCAACAATGTTCTTTTTCAAAAATTTTTTTTTTTTTTTTTTGCTATTCAGGATCCCTTGAGTTTCCATATGAACTTTAGGATGAGTTTTTCTATTTCTACAAAAAGTCATTGGGATTTTGATAGGAATTGCATTAAATCTGTAGGTTGGTTTGGATAGTATTAAGTCTTCCAACCTAGGGAGCCTGGGATGTCTTCCCATTATTCTGTTCTTCTTTAATTTCTTTCAGAAATGTTTTGCAGTTTTGTAGTTTTGTAGTGCAAGTATTTCACCTTCTGGTGGTTAAGTTAATTCCTAATTAATTTATTCTTTTTGATGGTATTGTAAATGAAACTATTCTCTTAATTTTCTTTTCAGATTGATCACTGTTAGTGTATAGAAGTGCAACTGATTTTTGAGCTTTGACTTTGTATCCTGCTACTTTGCTGGGTTTATTAGTTCTAACAGCTTTTTGGTCGAATCCTTAGGATTTTCTGCATATAAGATTATATTATCTCTAAATAGAGATAAGTGTACTTTTTCTTTTCTAATGTGGATGCTTTTTATTTCTCTCCCTCACCTAGTTCCTCTGTCTAGGGCTTCAAGTATTACATTGCATCGAAGTTGCAAAAGTGGACATCCTTGCCTTGTTCTTGATCTCAGAGTAAAAGCTTGGAGTCTTTCAACGTTGAGTATGATGTTCACTGTGGGTTATTTACATATGACTTTTATTACATTGAGGTAGATTCCTTCTATTCCTGGTTTATTGAGTGTTTTTATCATGAAAGAATGTTGAATCTTGTCGAATACATGACTATCATTTGAGATGATCATATGTTTTTCCCCTTCATTCTGTTAATGAGATGTATTAATGAAATTGACTGATTCTTCTACGTTGAATCACCCTTGCATTTCAAGAATAAATCCCATTTGGTCTGGATTTATAATCTTTTATTGTGCAGTTGCGTCATTTTTCTGTTGTAGCATTTTGTTGAGGATTTTTGCATCAATGTAATAAGGGATATTGGTCTGCAGTTTTCTTGTAATGTTGTCTGGCTTTAATATCAAGGTAATGTAGAATGAGTTGGGAAGTTTCCCTTCTTTTTCAATTCTTTTGAAAATTTTCAAAGAGACTGGTATTAGTTCTTCTTTAGATATGTTGTTGTCTGGCTTTAATATCAAGGTAATGTAGAATGAGTTAGGAAGTTTCCCTTGTTTTTCAATTCTTTTGAGAAGTTTCAAAGCGACTGGTATTAGTTCTTCTTTAGACGTTTGGTAGAACACACTGGTGAGGACATCAGGTCTTTAATTCATTAGGAGATTTTTGATTATTGACTGAATTGCCTTGGTTAGAGGCATATTCAGATTTTATTCTTTTCTAAACTAAAACTATTCTTTTAGTTTAGGCTTGATAGGTTTTGTGTTTCTAAGAATTTTTCCATTGAATCTAGGTTATCAAATTTGTTGGTGTACAATTGCTTATAGTACTTTTATATTTCTTTTTATTTCTGTAGAATAGGTGGTAATACCCTCACTTTCATTTCTGAATTTAGTAATTTGAATCTTCTTTTTTTTTTCATTATCCATCTACCAAAAGGCTTGTAAATTTTGTCGACCTTTTTGAAGAGCTAAGTTTTTGTTTTGTTAACTTTCTCTCTTATTTTTATATTCTATATTTCATTTGTCTCTGTTCTGATCTTTATTATTTCCTTCCTTCTGCTAGCTCTGGGTTCAGTTTATCCTTTCTTTTTCTAGTTTCTTAAATTATAAAGTTCAGTTGTTGATTTGGGATCTTTCTTCCATCAATTTCCCTCTTACTCCTGCTTTCTCTGTTTTCCATAGTTTTGACATGTAGTGTTTTTGTTTTCATTCACCTCTAAGTATTTTCTAACCATCTTTGTGACTTCTTCCTTGATCTATTGTTTGTTTAATAGTGTATTGTTTAATTTCCACAATTTTCAGAATTTTCTACTATTCCTTCTTTTATTAATTTCTAATTTTATCCCATTGTGGCTGGAGAAGATACTTTGTACGATACCTACCTTTTAAAATCGATTGAGACTTAAATTGTGTCCTAATATATGGTCTATCCTAGAAAATATCCATGTGCACTTGACAAGAATGTGTATTTTGTTGTTGGATAGAGTGTTCTGTATATGTCTCTTAGATCTAGTTGGTTTATTGTGTTGTTCAAGTCCTCTATTTCTTCACTTATCTTCTGTCTGGTTGTTCTATTCATTATTGGAGTGGAGTATTGAAGTCTCCAACATTATTATAGAACTGCCTATTTCTCCCTTCAATTTTATCAATGCTTGCTTTATATATTTTTATGGTCTGTTATTTGATGTGTAAATGTTTATTATTGTTATATCTTCTCATTGTACTGAGCAATCTATTAATGTATAATGTTTTTCTTTGTTTCTTGTAGCATTTTTTAAATTTAAAGTTCATTTTCTTTGATATTAGTATAGTCACTCATTCTCTTTTGGTTACTATTTACATGAAATATCCTTCTCTATCTTCACTTTCAATCTATTTGTATCTTTGGGTCTAAAGTGAGTCTCTTGTAGACAGCGTATAGGTGGGCTGTTTTCTTATCCATTCTGCCAATCTTTGTCTTTTTAATGGTGAGCTTAGTCTAATTTACATTTAATGTAATTACTGGCAAGCAGCAACTTACTTCTGTAATTTGCTATTTATTTTCTACATACCTTACAGCTTTTTTGTCCTCCATTCCCTGCATTACTATCTTCTTTTGTGTTAGTTGATTTTTTTGTAGTGAAAGATTTAACTTTCTTCCTTCGTGTTTGTGTACGTCTATATTATTTAGCTACTTTCTTTTGGTTACAATTGGGATTACACTTACTATCCTAAAGTGATGATATTCTAATTTAAATTTATATGAACTTAACTTTAATAACATACAAATACTCTGCTCCTTTAACAGCTCTGCACCCCACCCCTTTAAGTTGCAGATGTCTCAGAATTACATCTTTATATACTAATAATTTTTCATGTCTCCACAATTGTGTAGAAAACAAAATGTGAAATTACAAACCAGACTGACAATAATGCTAGCTTCCAGACTAATAATTGTTTTTAAAATGATTGCCCCTTAAATCATGCAGAAAACAAAGGTGGAGTTACATACCATCATTATAGCAATTCTGACTTTTAAAATCATAGATGTATTTACCTTTGCTGAGATCTTTTTTTCTTCATATGGCATCAAGTTATTGTTTAGTGTCCTTTTATATCAACCTGCAGGAAGGACTCCCTTTAGCATTTACTGCAAAGACAAGTAAAAAACTCCTTCAGCTTCTGTTTATCTGAGAATGTCTTAATTTCTCCCTTGCTTTTGGAGAATATTTTTTCTGCGTATAAAATTTCTAGTTGACAGCTGAAAAAAATAGCACTTTAAATATATCAGACCACTACTTCTGGCCTTCAAAGTTTCTGACGATAAATTTGCCCATAATCTTATTGAAAATTCCTTGTATGAGACAAATCAGTTTTCCCTCACTGTTTTCAAAATTCTCTTTGACTTTGGATAGTTTGATTATAGTGTATCTCGATGTGGGTCTCTTTCAGTTCATCAGCTGTCATTGAACTTCTTGGATGTTTATATTCATGTCTTTCATCAAATTTGGGAAGTTTTCCATCATTATTTCTTCAAATATTCTCTCTGCACCCTTCTCTCTTTTCCTTTTAGGACTCCCACAATGAGTAAGCTGGTCCACTTAATGGTAACCCAGATGTCTCTTAGGCTCTGATCACTTTTCTTATATTTTTTTCTTTGTATTTCTCATACTTGATAATTTTCACTGTCTTATCTACAAGTTTGTTGATTCTTTCTTCTGCCTGCTCAAATCTGCCTTTGAATCCCTCTTTTAAAATTTTCATTTCAGTTATTGTACTTTTCAGCTCCCGCATTTCTTTTTAGTTTCTTTCTTATGTTTTCTATCTCTTTTTTGATATTTTCATTTAATGCATACACCATTTTCTTGACTTTCTCCAAATTTTCCTTCAGTTTTTTAAGCATCTTTAAGATTTTTTTAAAAGTCTTTGTCTAGTAGATGTGCCATCAGGTCTTCATCAGGCACTGTTTCTGTTGGTCTTTGTTTTCCCCTTTGAGTGGGCCATACGTTTTTGTTTCTTTTTATGCCTCATAATTTTTTGCTAACAACTGGATATCTGAATCTAATGATATGGTAACTCTGGAAATCAGATTGTCTCCCTTCCTCAAGGATTTGCTGGATTTTGTTTGTTTATTGTAATTGTTGTAGGTTGCCAAGGATCAGCCTGAACTGCACACTTAAGAGTCTTCTTAGGTCTTTTCTGAGGCTGCACCTTCCCCTGGGCAAGTTCAATGTCTTTCCAACTTACCCCATATATGTGGTTGCTTTTGAATGTCTTAGTCTTCAATGTCTGGCTCCCAAAAAGGGAAAAGGAGAAAAATGAAGGAGACACAGGAAAAGGCACAAGCTCTTTAAATCCCCTGGAAGTCACTTCAGCCAGAGGGGGAGGTGCTTACAACAATAGGGAGAGTTGCAAACACATGGTTGCCATTTCTTTGTCTGTACCTTTGTGTTCAGAGGCAGGCATCAGTGATCACAACATAGATCCCTGTTATTTGTAGGACAGGGTTCATTTTTTCCCATTCGGCCCCTGCACGTTGAGCACAAGCTGCTACTGGAATGTATGCACATCTGGAAAGCCTGCCACAGGGCTAGGGGTAGAGGATGTGCAGCCACTATTGTGTTAAGAGCTGAAACTCACTGAAATTAAGTACAACTCACTGTCCAAGCCTCCTTCTGGAAGTTGCCAATTTTGATTAGACACCAGGGTCCCAAAATAGATACATCAGACAGACTTGGAAAGAGTAATTGTTGTCTAGGTGGCGGGATAGATTCTGCCATGTACACATAATCCTCTATGAGCTATATTTTAAGGGTATAATTTCATTAAATTTAATGCATATACCAAATAGAGATTCATCAAACATAAAATAACATGTTTTATAATAAGCTTGTTTAGGATACATTTAGAAAAGAAATAGTAAATATCTTAACGTAAAATTGTAGAAACAAAAGAAAGGGATTTGCTCCGTGTGCTCAAGAACAAATCAAATTTTTCCTCTTTCAACTTTTTAACTCAACCATTACCCCCACTCCTCTTTCTTAGCATTTTCTTATTGTATCAACTGTGAAACAAGCCAACTTAAAATCAGACGCAAGAGCGGTAGGTAGAAGTTGTACTCAGACTCAAGAAAAAAGCATGCAAAAATTTCTGTTCCTTTTAATATATGGGAAGAGGTTTCAAAATGCAAATAGATAAATGTAGCTAATTAATTGACTTTAACATTAAATTCAGTTAATACATAGCATGTATTATGCTATACCTGGGATTGATGGATTGGCGGGCGGTGAGTTTTCAGAATGCCATTTTGAATTAACTTGTATAATTTTGAAAAAGAGAATCCAGTATGATATATATTTTTTTATTTTGGAGTGTTCTGCCATAAAAATAGCACTGGTCATTACAATCTTCCAGCACTTTTCTCTGAGTGATAAAAGATATTTTGGAAAATGTGGCTTTTATGATCTTTGGGAGGAGGCCTGGAAAAGGAGGGTTGAGAGTTCAGAGTAACACAGGAAATCTGTGTTTATAATGCTTAAGTGTGTGGGTGTGTTCATGTGGGCAGTGCTGGAGAGAAAAAATAAAAGAAAATGTTTGCAAACCATTGCAAGCAGGAGTTGAACAAAAGACTCAAAGAGTCTGTAATATTTATGAAATGTATTCAATATTTACAGAATATACTGGATTGAGGTTATCAAAAACAACTCTTGACACCAAAAGCACAATCCATAAAAGAAAAACATGATATTTGACTTCATCAAAATTAAAACTAAGAGAATGAAAAGCAAACACTAAGAGAGTGAAAAGCAAGCCACATGTTAGGAGAAAATATTTGCAGATCACATATCTGAAAAAGGACAAAACTCAACAATAAGAAAACAAGAAAATTTTTTAATGAGCAAAATTTTGATCTGAGACTTTACCAAATGAAATGAGGCCAAACAGCCTTAGTCATTAGGAAAATGTAAATTAAAATCAAGATGAGATACTACTACAAATATATTAGAATAACTAACATAAATTTTTAAAAAACTAACAATATCAAGGATCAGTGAGAATTAGAAACAGCCAGAATTTCTATACATGGCCAGTAGGAACATAAAATGATACAGCCCCTCTGGGAAACAATTTGGTAGCTTCTTATAAAGTTAAATATATACCTATCATATGATCCAGCAGTAGCACTCCTCAATATTTACCCAAAAGAGATAAAACGTTATGCTCACACAAACTTATAAGCAAATATTTACAACAGTTTATTCGTAATGTCTAAAAGTTAGAGACAATCCCAATATCTTTCAAGTGATGAATAGATACATTCATACAATAGAATACCACTCAACAATAAAAAGGACAAAACTATCTATACAAGTCATAACATGGGTGAATCTCAAATGCATTGTGCTGAATAAAAGCAACCAGGCTTCAAAAAACACACATTATCATTTCATTTATATGACATTTTGAAAAAAGCAAAAGCATAGGAACAGATAACAAATGAGTGGTTGTCCAAGGTTTGGGCTGGGTGAGAGGGGCTGACTAGAAATAGATGAGAGGAGAAAATTTTTTTACAGTGATGGAACTCTTGATTGTGGTGGTTGTTACGTGGCTGTATGTATTTAACAAAACCCACCTGATTGCAGTTCAAAATGGTCAGGAGATCGAGACCATCCAGGCTAACATGGTGAAACCCCGTCTCTACTAAAAATACAAAAAAATTAGCTGGGCATGGTGGCGGGCGCCTGTAGTCCCAGCTGCTTGGGAGGCTGAGGCAGGAGAATGGCGTGAACCTGGGAGGCAGAGCTTACAGTGAGCCGAGATTGGGCCACTGCTCTCCAGCCTGGGTGACAGAGCGAGACTCCATCTCAAAAAAAAAAAAAAAATACATCTTACCGAATGACCATTTAAAAACATTGTTTTCATTTGCTCACATTTATTGCACATTTGTTACACAGAGCTGACATTCTCACCTCCTCCTGACCTTCAAATGTTTCCACAGATAATGCAAGTTCTGAAGTTCTGAATGAAAAAAATTAAGTGATATTTACTATTCTACAGCGACTTGTTGAGGTAAGTAACCTGAAAAAACATGAGAACGTGGGAAAGACTACATTCAAGAGCAACATCAAGCTAAATCTACCCCAGTGATCCGGGAGTAACATTTCAGAGTGGACAGATAGCACCCCATCATTTAGCTTTGTTCTTTTCACAGGTGCTAAGGAAAGCCATGCGATGCCACGCCTGGCAACAAACCCACACTGCTTCAACTTCCTGTGAAGAAAGCCCTACCATGATCCCCACCCACATTATTTATTTTGATGACCCAAACAAATAAGAAAATGTAGCCAGGAGTGTTTCCTTCCATAATTCAAGTAGTACTGGGTTTTAATACAAAGGAAAGCAAGATGCTGGGCAAGTTGGTGTGGTTAAAGACCCTGCACAGGAGTTCTCTTGTGGAAAGTAGCAGAAAACCCACTAATGTTCAGGAGCTCTGGGATCTAGTCTTGATTCCGCCATACAGCAACTTGCTGTGTTACTATATGAGCATTTCAGATAATTTCTCTACGTCTTTATTTTCCCATTGTCTCAGTTAATATCTTGGTTGCAAGAAACAGGTACCAAATCAAGTTGGTTTAATCTAGATACAGATAAATAGAAGGATAGATAGCTAATAGTTCTCAACTGGGGGGTGGTTTTATCACCCCCCCCATCCACCCCAAGTGGACATTTTGCTATGTCTAGAGGTATTTTTGGTTGTCATAACTGGGAGGATTGATGCTGTCATCAACTGGGTAAAGTCCAGGGACTACCCTACAATGCATAGGATGGCCCCCAACAATAAAGAATTATCTGGATCAAAATAGTGATGAGATTGGGAATCCCTGATATCTCTCTCTCTTTCTCTCTCTCTCTCTTTGTATATATACTATGTATATAATATTTATGTGTGTGTAATTTTTAAAGCATAGTATATTATTTCACAAAATCTAGGGAAATTTGGGGGGTTGGAAATCATGGCTCAGGAAGAGTAGAAATCAAGCACATTTTGCAGGTTTTGAGTTCTCAACAGAGTTCAAAGGCCTTCCTCTTAGTGCCCTCTGATTTCCAGGACTCACTTACAAATGCCCATTCTCTGTGAACCTCAGACTGAGGAGAAATGAAATAGACACAGCTTGAGTCAGCTGTTCATTCTGCTCTAGTTGGCTATGTCCAAGGGGGAATGTTCAAGCCAAAGTTCAAGCCAGTGACCATCCTTGGAGACTGGGTCAGGAGCCCTTAGAAAGGTGGAGTTGGGAAAACAGCCCTAAGGAGGCCTATTACATTTATCTATGAGATAACAATAATGCCACTGCTCTTCTGGAGACCTACTATCAAATAAAAGGTTGTGGGCCCCAGGGGAACTTGGAAACAGAAATGGCAGGTGTCTCCTTTAAATGGCATTCATAATATTTCTCTTTTTTTTCTATCTTGAAGAACAGATTTCATTTTTTACACTTCTATAAAACAAATGGAACCATGACTTATGTTCCACAATTTCCATAGCTGATTTCATGAACTTTAACAAGTTTTCCTTATTTATAGCAGTCCCAAGCTTTATTCCCTTAGAGATGTCAGGACGTGGAGGGTAATTTTGCTGCCTGCCCTCTATGCTTTAAAGACCAAGTGAATTGAAAGAACAGTAAATCCCTGCCCCAACACAATAAGTGAGGTCCAGAAGAATTTTACGTGGGGTCTAAAATTCAATCAACTATTCGTGGTCGCGTTATTTTGAAGCTAATGAAATGGATGCCAGGAACCTGCACAGCTTGCCAGTTGGTAGCGCCAACGGAAGCCCATGCCAAACTTGGCTGAGTTTGCCGCCATCTAGTGGCCACTCCCAGCGTCAGTTTACACCTCGCAATGAACAGGAAGCAGGCCTGTGGCTGGCCAGGACCAGCCTTCAGCAGGCCATTCTAGGATTTTCCCGGTTAGCTGTCGCTCTTGGATTGGTCCAGACCAGGAAGACTAATTATTACAGGATTACTTAATGAGGAGATTTTCTGTACTTGGAAACATAAAGCAATGGTTTTAACCTTTGTGAGATTACAGGCCCCTTTGAGAATCTGCCTATATGCATATAATTTTTCACACAATTTCTAGAGGGTTTTGGGCTTACTGAAGCTAATCCATGGACACAAAGGGAAAGACACTGAATATAAACCTGATACAGATGTTAGCTGGGTGTAATTGTAAGCCATTCTGAAGTCGTTTGGAACAGAAAGGGAAAATGGCAATGGCAGGTGTGCGAATAGGAGGAAATCTACTGCTAACTGGAGGATAGTAAGAGTCTTAACTGTCCTCTAAAATGTGCCAAATGCCCGTGGCTCTTTAGTTGTATTTATACATGCTATGTATCTCCACCTTAGCTTTCCACCCTTAAAATTGGTTCCTTGTTTTACATGCCTGAGTTTTTCCTGGCCCTTCCTATTCTCCTCTGGTTTCTATCCAAAGTCTCTAGTGGACCAACAATAGGTTTGGGTTGGGAGTCAGAATACTGCCTGGGATTAGGCCAGCACCCCCCATTGGCTGGGTGAGTGAGCAAGTCCTGCACCCTCCCTGGGCTCAGCGTGAGGATGAGCATCCTTTAACCCCTCTTAGGATGGAATGAGACACTGTGTACAAGTGAAAGACATTGAAAGAGTCAGAAATGGTAGACAATTTTTGGAGTCTGCAATGTTATTCCAAAAACAAGTCCTTCTAGGATACTCCACAGGTAATTCGTGCTTAAAGCGGGTGAAATAAATGTCAGCTGGACTTGCTGGGAGAGAAAGGATGTATTGTCCTATTTTCCAGGGGTCTGTTGACAAGTGGCATTAATAACTATTATTAGTGCCTCCTCCTCACTACTCACATTATAAGCAAAAAGCTTTCACCTTTGGTTTCAGTAACCCCTTAACACGTCACTTCTGACACTAATTCCCTGTGTGAGCAGGATCTGGGGCCGGCCCGGCCTCCACCCTCTTCTGTGCAGCCCTGACATCTGCAGAATCACAGACAGTCCGGTCTGCAGGGAACCTCAGAGAAGAAGGAATGCCTTTAACTAATTCAGGGCACTCAAACCACAACACACACACACAGACGCCTCTCACAGTGGAGGTACACATTTTCCAAAAATTAAAAAGTGCTCGGCCCGGTGCGGTGGCTCGTGCCTGCAATCCCAGCACTTTGGGAGGCCGAGGCGGGAGGATCACCTGAGGTCAGGAGTTTGAGAGCAGCCTGGCCGACATAGCAAAACCCAGTCTCTACTAAAAATACAAATACGCCGAGCATGGTGACAGGTGCCTGTAGTCCCAGCTACTTGGGAGGCTGAAGCAGGAGAATCGCTTGAACTAGGGAGGCAGAGGTTGCAGTGAGCCAAGATCATGTCATTGCACTCCAGCCTGGGTGACAAGAATAAAACTCTATCTCAAAAAAAAAAAAAAAAAGTGGCTTCATGGGGCTGGGCGCAGTGGCTCATGTCTGTCATCCCACCACTTGGGGAGGCCAAGGTGGGAGAATCACTTGGGGCCAGGAGTCCAAGACCAGCTGGGCAATAGAGCAAGACCTCATCTCTACAAAAAGAAAAAAAAAAAAATCAGCCGGGCATGGCGGTGCACGCCTGTGGTCCCAGCTACTTGGGAGGCTGGGGTGGGAGGATTGTTTGAGCCCAGGATGTTGAGGCTGCAGTGAGCTGTGATCACACAGCTGTACTCCAGACTGGGCGACAGAGCAAGACCCTGTCTCTTTAAAAAATAAAATTTAAAAAAGGGCCAGGTTACTCAAAGCTGTACTCTGGAATATTAAATAATGTTTTAATGTATATTTTTAGAGAAGAAAATTTTGCAAAACTCAAAACCACTATGATAAAGTAACAAAATTGCAAACATTTTGGGAATGTGTTGCCATTGTGCTGTGGCTCTGGGTCTTAGCAACACTTATGGCACAGATCACAAACTTTGCTGCATATCCAGTCACTTGGGAGCTTAGAAAAGTTCGAATACCTAGACCACAGCCCTTGTTACTTAAATCCATGTCTCTGGAGTGGAACCTGAGCAGGTGAATTTTTTTAAACCTCCCCAGGACAGCCACGTTTGGTAACCACTAACTTAGTGCAGGAGTTGAGAATGTTCAGCTCAAGCACTGAGGCTGCCTTTGCATGATTCCCTTTAGCCTCAGGGTGACTGCTCTGATCGACAAAGCTATCGACACTCGCAAGCACTGGGGTGCTCACAGAGAATAAATTAAAGGCCATGAAAACTGCAAGACGGGAAATGGTTAAGAGGCTTACAGTGGAATCTAGGCTTGAAAGGGAGGTAAGAGAAGTGGATGAATGTGAGATCTAGGTAGGAGGTGGACAGGACTGACGGTGCAGTCAGTTGGGGAAGGAGGAGGTCATGAGGCCAAGGGATGGCTCAAAGATGACCTAGTTCCTGTGATACAAGGTGGCAGAATGTCAGTCAGTTACATAATTTGCAGAGCCCAGTGCAAAATGAAAATGTAGAGCCCCTTGTTCAAAAATCATTAAGAATTTTAGGATGGTCACAACAAAATAACAAATTCAGTGTGGAACCCTTCTAAGCATAGGGCCCAATGTAATTGGTCCTCTCTTCCACCCACATCCATCCTCCACTTGTTCTTCCTCCTTCTTCCTTCCATCTGCCTCTCCCTCACCCCTGTATGCTGGTATCTCTCTCCCTCTCTCTCTAAGCTTCTCTGTCTTTCTTTCTTCCTCTCCCTTGCCCATCCTCGCCTCTAATCACAGTTACCCACTAAACCTAACTGCCCATACTACAAAACTGAGGTTTAATTCTCATGTTTGGATTCCTGAGCAGAGCTACTTTTCCCAGGGCCCCTGAGTCTGAAGGATTTCTCTGCCCACACTTGAGTTTCAATCATCAAGAAGACTTTGATTATAGGAGCAAGACATACCCCTTGTAGCTCTGTTCAGTAGTCTAAGCCTTAATGACTTAAGACCTGACCGCCCTCAGGGATAGCTAAATGCTCAGTCACCCACATGCTGTTCCAAATTAGCTTCAGAAACCAAAAGCCCCACTTCCCTCTCCATAAGAAAGTCAGAAATATCTCTCTCTGGACCAAACTGTTGTTCAATCACTAATAAGGACAGGAAAAAAAAATGCTTTGGACTCATTTTAACTTACTTAATTTCACTGGGCTGCAGAAAAGTTAACAGGCCACAGGCTATTCCACAAAAATCTCTTTGATACCTGTAATGTGACAGAAACTGTTCTTGGCAGTGACTATCTAAAAGTGCATGAAACAGGCAAAGCCCTGCCTTCAGAAGCTTATGATCTAGTGCAAACATGCAAAGGAATGAGATCGTTTCAGGCACAAATAACAGTATAAAGAAAAAATGTAAGATAATGGGATAAAGAGAGATTGGATTTGCAGGGGCTAATTACAGCTAATTATATGCTAGGGTCAGGAAAGACCTCTTTGAAGAGATAATATTTGAACTAAAACTGGATGGAGTGGAGGAAAGGCCATGGTAAGATCTGGGAAGCACATTTCAGGGAGAACAGCAGACAGGCCTTGAGATGGTGGCTATGAGCACTGGATGTTCAGAAAACTGTTAATAGAAGGAGGGTGTGGCTGGGACACAGTGTGGGAGGAGCAGAGGACTACAGGTGGGTGGAGACAGAGGGGAAGGGGCCTGATCCCACGGGCATAGATCATGAGTTTGAATTTAATCCTAAGTATACTGAAAATTTTAATGAGGAACTGACACATTTGATTTCCACTTTTAAAAGATGTCGAGTCTGGCCACTGTGCAGAAAATACATGGTCCAGGACAAGAGTGGAGGCAGGAAGCCAAGTCAGCTAACTATTTCCTAGACTAGGCAAGAAATGGCAGTGTTTACAGCATTGGAGATAACGGAAATAGTCAGATTAAGGACATAAATTGGTGGTGAATCCAAAAGTCTTTTCTGGTGGATTAGATCTGGAGTGGAAGGGGAAAACATGAATGAAGATGACTCTAGGTTTTTAGCCTGAGCAACTCGGTGAATAGTAGAGCCTTTTGCAAAGGGCAGGTGAACTGGGTGTGGAGGGGTGGGAAGAGGGATGATTCAGAATTCTGTGTTGGACACACTGGGGGAGGGAAGCCCGTGAGATATTCAGGTGGAGATGTGGGGCCATCCAGAACCCAGAAGAGACGTTGGAGCTAATGTATGAAAGTTAAGGTAGGACTTAAAGCCATGGAAAGGGCTTTAAAGGTTTTAAGGTTGGATAAACGGAAGAGGACGGGGGACTGAGCCCTGGGACCGGAGCCAGCTTCACAGAAAACCTGTACACTCATACAGCACTCCATGCTTAGATGGTCCCTGCACTTGGTGTAATGCTTTGCTGTCACTATGTTGAAATTCTTAATAATTTTTGATCAAGGGACCCCACATTTTCATTTTGTACTAGGCTCCACGAATGATGTGGCCAGTCCTGCTTGGGACACTTCATTGTTAAGAGATCTGGTAGAGAAGGAGACTTCATGAAAGCAGACTCAGGAAGAGTAACTAATGAGGTAAGGGAAAGCCAGGGGGCACAGTGTCAAGGAAGTCTAAAAAATTTTTTTTCAAGGAGAAAATGCCTGATTGTGTCAAATGCTGCAGGACAGTTGAGTAAGACGAGGACAGATGCTTAATTGGGCTGACTGATGAGTGAGAAGGAATCAGTCTATCACTTATATTTGAAAGCCTGTGTCAAGAAGATACATGGGGACACCTGTCTTTTTTTTTTTTTTTTTTTTGAGATGGAGTTTCGCTCTTGTTGCCTGGGCTGGAGTACAGTGGCCCAATCTCGGCTCACCACAACCTCTGCCTCCCGGGTTCAAGCGATTCTCCTGCCTCAGCCTCCCGAGTAGGTGGGATTACAGGCGTGCGTCACTACACCCAGCTAATTTTTTGTATTTTTAGTAGAGATGGGGTTTCTCCATGTTGGTCAGTCTGGTCTCGAACGCCCAACCTCAGGTGATCCTCCTGCCTCGGCCTCCCAAAGTACTGGGATTACAAGCGTGAGCCACCGCGCCCGGCCCTGTGGGGATGGGGAGGGGGGTGGTCCCTGTCTTTAAACCCATGCCCATGCCCCTTCTCCCTCCATCTCCATTTCCATTTTTCACAGTCAGGGGCCTTACACACATGAATGTGGACACCCCAGCCCAGACATCCGAACTTTGTTCTGGGCCTCTCTGCAATCAACCGTCTGCAGAAAAACCACTGGGAGGACCTAGAAAACATTCTTGCAGCTCCTGGCCATCTGCGTAGGGAATTTCACAATCTCAGATGGTCTAGAAGGCAGGCAGGGCACAGGGTCTAGGTGGGCATGTCCGCTTGACCAGACTCCTTGCCCTGTGAGGAGGAAGGAGTACAGATGGAGCAAGAAAAGAGCAGGACCCTCTAAAATACATGTTTCCAATGGAGGCCCCTGTTGTCCAGGCCTATGGGCAGCAATGGAGATAAAGATGTGGGTAGACGAAAACTTTTGGTGGTAGGAAAATTGAGTAATTCTCACTTAGTTGTACATATTTTTCTCTATGAATGTTATCAGTGAGAGTGACGGCAGAAGGAAGTGTTAAGACCTTGAGGAGAAAATTAAAAAGTAGGCATAAAAGCTTTGGGGAAAATGAAAGTGAATTTACTAGCTATGTGCTATAGTTTAAATGATGGTGCCCCCTCCAAAATTCATGTTGAAACTTCATCTCCAATGCAACAGTATTAAGAGGTATGGCCCTTGGGAGGTGATTAGGTCATGACAGCTCTGCTCTGATGGATGGTATTAAGATCCTCGTAAAAGGGCTTGAAGGAGTGGGTTCACCCTCTTCTGCTCTTCCATAATGTGAGGTCACGGCACTCCTCCCTTTTGCCCTCCCATCCCTTTCTGCCGTGTGAGACCACCAAGTCAGCATCATCTACAAAGAATGAGCCTTCACCAGACATGGATCTTGAAAGCACCTTGATCTTGGACTTGCCAGCCTCCAGAACTGTAATAAATAAATGTCTGTTCTGTATAAATTATCCAGTCTCAGCTATTTAGTTACAGCAGCACTAGTGGACTCTTAAGACAGTAGACGTAGTAAGTTTGTCTGGCTCTGTTGAGTGCCCACCTCAAATGACTGGTCACAAACTCAAAGTGAATCCAGGCAGCTCAGGGGTGATCTTCTCCAGCGATGTTCAGCTGTCCAGTTACAGGCACTAAGAAGGTGGATTATTAGGTTTAAATAGGGTTAGGGGTTATGATGAGGAAAAATGGCCAGAGAATTTAAGGGTGCATATTCAGTAGTAGATTTAATGCTAGTTATGAATCTATGGTAAGGAGGACCTAATGGGGTGACTGATAGTGAAAAAATGGTGGGACCAATGGAATGGTGGCTCACTGAGGTAATGTCAGAGAATTGCTGGAGTGGGTGAGCTGGGCACATAGGATGTGGTGGGCACAGAGTGGGAAGTCTGAAAGTGAGATTTCAGAGGTGGTACAATTGTAGGAGGTGACATGGTTTATTTATGACTATGAGTGGCTGAGCTGGTTGGAGGAAGTATTACCTAACAGCTCTGCAAAGGAGGTGGAACTACCGGCCCCATTTTTCAGATGAGAAAACTGAGACACAGAGACATTAAAGTGACTTGCCCAAAGTCAAAGAAGTGAGAAAAGGTTGAGCTGGAAATCAAACCCAGGCTCATCTGCCTTTAGGGGCCTCATTCTCAAAGACTGCCTACTACATTCAGGTATGTCTTCGTAGTTAAGTCAAGTGTCCTTTTTTGTTTTTCTTTCAGGAAGTGATTTTTATCTGGAATCTTATTTTTTATCTGTGAAGACACAAAGTTGACTACATTATCAATCACTTTCATTACCATGCTGGGCATTTCAGGCCACAGAAGAATGAGATTGGGATAATTTTGTGCTGGCCAGAAAACTGGTTAAATCCAGGGTTTTCTGGGGAGAAATAATGAAAATAGACCACATTTATTGGTGGAAATGCAACTGCATTGTCCGCGGGCACTCTCTACTGGCTCTAAATCAGAATAACAATGTGGCATTAGAAGCTTGATTTGTGGCTTTTTGGAAGGAGCATATAGACTTGAATGAACATGTAAAAACTTGCCCCTTGTAGATATCTAGGGGCTATGGCTCAAGTGGGGCAAGAAAAGCTTTTGTTACAGAACAAACCCTGTGTCAGCTTTTTAAATGTCACAGTCACAGTCACACTGCATATGTCTAATTCCCTTTAGTGGGAGAGCCCTGCTTCCTCAGAGTGTCTCTAATGAGACTGTCAGAATCTTAATCTTTTTCATCTTCTTAATTCTGAGCCTAGTAAAGTGTCCAGCACATAGTAGGTGTCCAATAAATATGTGTCAATCAGAATAGAAGAAAAATGAGCAAAACGGTACAATCTCGCAGAAGGGAGAGGGACTAATTGTACCTGGGTAATTCAGGAAGCCTTCCCAGGACAAGCTGGGTGGTGGCCCTGGTAATGGGGAGGGAGAGATAGAGTTGGAAAAAATATATATATATCCAGAAAGCAGAATAGCAAACTTACGGGCCAGATATAGGACCCACAAGGGTAGGAATTTTTGTGTGATTTTAGAAAGAAGTACCTTGCAATACACTGACAGATGTGGCTCCCGATCTTTCTGGAGAAAATGTGAGCAAGACTAAAAGATTTCATAAAAACAGATGGAGGAAGCTAGCATGACAGTTTCAAGGAGGCTGAAAAATGAATTTGGAAGGATTTCTAACCATGAGTACTAAAAAGAAAGAATAATGACTCCAGGTTTAAAGATATTTTCTCCTAAATCAATTTTTGCCATAAATTGTGTGGCTTCTCAGGAAATTCAATTCAAGAAACATACAAAGCACCTAACACAATTACAGCTTTGTTTCCCTGGGCCTAGCGACCTGATTCTAGGGTTACTTTCCTGGTTTTCACACTGAGTTCCATGTCCCACGAGCCCCCTGAGTCCCAGACAAATCAGGCCAGCTGTCACTCTACCTGGGAAAGAGAATGAGGAACGCTCACAGGAAGAAGATCAGTGCCAAAATCAAGATCAAACAGATTGGTCTCAGGACAGAGCACAAGGGCTGGGCTGAGAATGGACTGGAGGTGACAACTCTACATCTGCTATCATTTTTACTCTGAGATGTCTGCATAAGGAGATTCCTCACTCACTAATAAAGTGGATTTCTGGCTTCTGAATGACCAGGTGCATGGAATCAAATGCAGAATGACAGTCAAAGAGGAAGAATGCATGCACAAGAATCTTTGGGTAGCAACAGCAGAATTGAGGACAAGAAAGGCGGGAGCCTCATTTTGAAGGTCCTGCTCTTCCCCCACAATTATATCTACAAATAATGATCTGAAAGAGAATGGTAGGCCAGGTACAGGACTCTTAGAGCTAATAGGAAAAACTGCTCTGCCATTGCTGTAACCCACATGTAAGTGATCACAAGCAGTTAAACACTGAGCCCCTGAAGCCCACACTAACAACTTCCAACCTCACTTCAGTGGCCAGAGGTACGCATGACAGTAGGAGATGGTGGGCAGCTCTGGAGGAGGAAGCACTAAGTCATGGAGGAGGGTCTTCCACACAGCAAACAACCCAGAGTCACTCTTTGCCTACCCAAAGCAAGGAAAGTTTGAGGAACTGCTCCTGTCATAGCACAGAGACAATGACATTTCTACAGCAGGAATTCTGCAGGAAACTTACCAGAAGCTATCATTATCCTTATTAGAAAGTCACAACTCAGGCATTTTACTTATTTGGAAAATAACTGGCAAAAATAGACAAACAAAACAAAGCAAAAAGGAAGAAAACAAGAATAGCCATGCAGACAAAATTGACACAATTCATGCAAATTGAGAAGGAAGTGAGTACATGGCATTTGGAAGCATAAAGAGTAAGAAGCAGAACATAACCAGTCAACTGCAGATCAGCATGTGTGCTGTGAGCCAGGAGCAGACACTGGGCAGGAAAGGAGATATCTGCAGATGTTGTAAAGACCATATGTCTAAAGAAAAGAATGAAGAACTAAACCTAATCAAGACAAACAAAACCTTGGCACTGCTGGCTGTGGTTTTCACCAATGACTTGATTCAAAGGAGCTGATATCAGATCTCCATTATAGCTAATGTCCATAACAATAATGATAATTACTAGTGTTTATGAAGCACTTACTAGACACCAGCTCTTATGCTAAAGTTTGACATAGATCATCTTCTCTTACCCTCACAATAACTGCATGAGTTAGCACTAGGATTGCACTCATTTTACAGTTGGAAAACCTGAGGTCCAACGTCACACAGTGACCGATCGATGATACTGGGATTCAAATTCAGGCATTCTGGCCCCAAAGCCAGCTTTTTAACCACTGTATGATAGCTGGCTCATTCCATTATGGTTAGTTTACACTTTGTCAGAAAATTCTTTTTGTCAACTTTATAAAATTATTTTAAAATATTAAAAAGTATTCACATCACACTCAGGAACTCTATATCTTACTGCTTCCTCTTTCACTTTGAAACTCCAAACCAACAAGGAAGCAAATGGTTCAGCCACCATAGGCCAAAATTCCAGCAGTGGGGTATCGCAGCCCCATCCAGAGCTGAGATCCATGTGTGCATATTTTGGGGGTGGATGGATAGTACGGCGTGGAAAGGAGACAGTGCGGCAGCTGTCACCTTAGTCAGTCACAGCTTAAGGAGAATAGATGGTAGTAGCAAAGTTGAGCATCACTTTTAGAAAGGTGGAGGGGTGGTGAGGGGTGCTTGCAGCATGAGAGGCACAGCAGGGCAATGCTGCTTAAGTACCTCTCACATACAAGTGAGCAAATACATGTTTTATGATGAGTGACTCAATGAGTGCATGAAATGAAATGACTGGTCTGAATGTACTGAAGATTGCATAATTTTATGTAACTCTAGGTAAAGAATATGAGTGGTCATGGAATTGCGTTTTACTTTATGAACTAAAAGAAATAACTTTCAACATTTTAATATTCCTTGAACCTTTCTTAGATAAATTGCAATGCTCAGTCACTACTAAAAAGTAGGAAATCTGAAGCTGAGTGTGGTGGCTCATGCATATAATCCCAGCACTTTGGGAGACTGAGGCAGGAGGACTGCTTGGGCCCAGGAGTTCGAGACCAGCCTGGGCAACATAGTGAGACTCCCCCATCTATATTTTTAAATAATAACATTTTTTAAAGTATGGAAATTATTTGCAATGAACACATAAACTCTGATCAAAGACAAAGACTAAAAGTATGCTAATCAAATGGGCGTTAGAAGTTGTGACTCAGCTTCAAATTTAGCTCTGCTTCCTGGCAGCCAAGACAAAGAGGAGAACACAGTAAGTTGCACTCCTGTCTTACTAGAAAGGAGGAAGCACTGCAGTCCCTCAAAGAAGACAAAGTTATTTTCTGAGCACTGAATTCCCAAGCAACTTTCTCACATAGAGTTATACATAGAAGTTGCTGGCGTTCTCCATTCTTCATTCTCATTTTTCCAGTACAATTAGGAGCAGATTTCATGAAATCATTACTTGCAGGGAAGCTATAAACTGAAGATATAACATTAAAAGACAACTCAGTGAGCCCTATTCTGCGAGGGTAGCAAGATAATGTAATCCAAGTACAGCTTCTAGTCTGATCTGAGGTTGGAAATGAGACTGCCTATAAAGAAAGGAAAGAGATGTTTGCTGAGCACCTAATATATGTCATACGCATGAAATATTTTCTTCCTCTCAGCATATGTGTTACTCTCTCATTTGTAGAAGCTAAGCAACTTGCCCCAGATTCACTACTGCTTAAAGCAGAGTCCCAAGCTCATGCACACTTTCCTATATCACACGTCCTCCTTTCTTTCACAATTTTTATCAAGAAGAGTCAATGGACAATTTAGCCCCTTTCTTTGGGCAATCTGAGGTTATTCTCCCCAGTGAGGGCCTAGAGTGCTGGTGTTACATACCGTATTAAGAACAACTCATTTTGTTCAAAAGCCAAAGGATCAGTTACTTGTGGGGTTGACTCATATATGCATGTTCAGAAATGTTCATGGCTCTTATCTAAAAGGAAGTCCATAGTATTGAGAGCTGTAAACTTCTCTGTTTAAATGGCCTGGGAAAGGATTTTTATACTCTCTCTCCAGTGATCAGAAGACCTAGAGACTCCCCGTGGACAAGATGTTTACATTGTGACCAAAGCATGGGTAGGAACTGGTGGTGGTAAGGGAGACCCAGATGGAGAGAGGGCTCCAGGCAGATGAGAAAGAGCTGGAAGCTACAGAAGGGAGGATGTGGCTGAAGTCTCCAGTGTGCAGCAGGAGAAGGGAAGGTGGCAAGAGAGAGGTGGGCAGGTAAGAAGGGCCAGATCATAAAGACTTTCCATTTAATTCCTTCATGCAGAGGGTCTATACATAGTATAAAGCCTTCTGTTTCTCCAAAAAAGTAGATACAATGTGCAGGAAAATCACTGTGAGAAAGACAGCGAGTCTGGGGCCCCCTCAAGAACATCTGCACCTAGATCTTAAAGAAGGTGAATGGCAGTGATGGGAACAGGGGTGGTGGGGCCAGAATTCCTCTTAGGCACCATCTGGGACTCCCATAGCTGTTCTCATCATCACAGCACCTGTCTCACCGCTTTGCAGTTGTTTCCTTGTCTCTGCCCCCACTGAACTGTATGCCCTACAGGACTGTCTTCATATTTCATATTTAGCTCAGCTTCCTGGCAGCCAAGACAAAGAGAACACAGTAAGTTGCACTCCTGTCTTACTAGAAATGAGGAAGCACTGCAGTCCCTCAAAGAAGACAAAGTTATATTCTAGGTCTGCCAGACCTATGGGTATCATTTTTTTTTTCTTTGCAAAGTGACTTTTGGTTTTTAAACAAGCTTTCAAAGAGAAAAAGGATGATGAGTAAAGCATAACACAAAAAATGTCAATTATTTTCTCTCTTTGTAACTTTTGTATCTCAGTTCCTGTCTGGGGACTCTACAAAATTTCCATGCCATCCTCTGTGACAGAATCCCCACAATCTGCCTGTGCCTCGCTGTGGCTCTCCGTCATGCTCTTCCGGTACTATTTGGTCTCAATTGCTGTGGCCACCAGTGGGACTTTGCTTCTGCTCTTCACTCCCTCCCATGTCTTGTATCTTAACACAAGTTCAGACCACTCGACTGGGGTGCACCTTCATGCCAGATTCTTTCCTCAAGCTGCCTTGTGTGTGATAGGACCATTTTCATCAACTTACTTCTCTCAATTGGTCCCAGCATCTTTCCAACACCCCCATAGTGGGCCTTACTCAAAAGGATCACATTCCAGCTGGTGGAGTCTCCACAGAGTTCTCCCATTGGATGCTACATGAAGATGCTTCATAACTGTGAGGTGAGAGACAGGGAGATGGCAGCACTACCATTAATGAAGTGACTTATAGTGATGTATACCCACGCCAGGGCCATTGGGCATCTTAACCCTGGCCTAGTTTCAGACACATAGGCAATAAGAACCATCAAGCTAGCCTCTGCCAATCCAAGTGCACAGTCTCAGACAAAGTACAGAATCTAAGCTGACCTCATCTGGCATGTACAGGGGGAATTTTGTGCATGAGTGGATATAAAACCAGGTCCTGTTTTCCCATCACCACTTAGGTTGGTCCCCACTCTGCTGCTGCTGCAGAAGGCCCAGAGGTGACATCAGTCCTTTTTCCTCAAATGGCCAGAAGGCTGTTGGCCTGGGCAACAGGAAGCATGCACTTCGTGGAGAGAATTTAATTTATGCCTAAATGTTAAGTCAACAGCAACATTACGGACAGACATTTTTACTTAAATAACCAATGGCAATGTAACCTCTGCATAAAAATAGAGTGGGCCCTGGAAGGAACAGCTCCCTTGTGTAGCTGTTCACTGTCTACAGAAGGCCATGTTCATATTCTTTTTTTTTTTTTTTTCTTGAGACAGAGTCTTGCTCTGTCGCCCAAGCTGGAGTGCAGTGGCATGATCGTGGCTCACTACAACCTCCGCCTCCCGGATTCAAGCAATTATCCTGCCTCAGCCTCCCAAGTAGCTGGGATTACAGGTGCCCGCCACCATGCCCAGCTAATTTTTTGTATTTTTAGCAGTGACTCTACTTGCATGTGTGGGGACCTTTATCTATCGGGGACCTTTATCTATCAGGGACCGGAGGCTACTCATGGAAAGCAAATACTTTGGGCACAGCAAACAGACCACATTCAGTCCATAACCCAGGCTGGTCTGGTTAGCATATAGTAAGTTTGGTAATGAATTGTAAAGAAAGCACTCACCACTTTCTGATGTTCAGAAAGCTGAACATCAAACAAACACAAATCAGTTCACCATGGGCTATATAGTTTCAGGATTCTCCTGAAACTGGGGAACCAGCATTTCAGTGTTCAAATAAGGTACAAAATGTGCTCAAGTAGACTGGCCTGGTCATTGGGAAGCCATGTAACTCTTTCAAGAAAGCCCTGTAACCTGGGGCTGGAGGTCCAGAAAGTCTGGACCTGTCCTCCAGTGATGACAATTCAGTTAAAAAGGCAAAATATTTGAGTAACTGCGTGAAGGCAGTGAAAGGCTGTCATGATTCTAAAATTGAAAATGATAAAGGATCACAGGAAGAAGTGTGTGCTCTTGGCTCCACCTCAAGTCAAGACTGTTTGTTCTGCATTTTCCTTTTTCTTCCAACCCCTATTCCTGCCAGGATCAATAGGTCAGATTCAGGAAGTTCTGTGACTTTTCTTCATCACTGCATGAAAATCTGTCAGACTCATGGTAGTGGACTCAGGTGAGTCTGCCATCCAGCAAGACCCTCTTCAGCTCTGAGATGGAAGTACAGTGGAGAGTCCCTCCCCTCGCTCTCAGAGACTTTCACTTTCACTCCAGCTCACAAGATTCTGGGGAAACTGGAAGCATAGCTCATCAAAAAAAGCTAGGGCCCCTTTCCTGGGTCACATTCTGGGTCAGTGTCTTGCTATTTCACCAAGGGCCCATTCTAGTGTCCTTCCTAAGCTATGGCCTGGCTCCCTGAGGACAGATCTCAATAAAAGCCTCCAAAAAATTGAGCTACAGAGTGAATCATGAGTTAATATTTGGGTTCTAGTCCCAAATGACCTTATATTCCACCCTTTTGGTGATCATCTACTCCAGGAGTTCTCAATTAGAGAAGATATTACCCTCACCCCCATCCCCAAGGAACACTTGGCTATATGTAAAGACAGTTTTATTTGTCACAACTGGTAGTGGTAGGGGGGTGTTACCATCACCTAGAAGGTAGAGGCCAAGGATTCTGCTAAACATCCTATAATTCACAGGACAGGCCCCACAACAAAAAACTATCCAACCCCAAATGTCAATGGTATCTAGGTTGAGAAAACGTTAAAACCACAGATTGTCAGCTTTCCTGACATAACTCCCAGTTCCACAGGTCTTCCCAATAGAGGTAAGTTTCTTTGATATATTGGTAAGCCAGTTCCTACAGTTACACCTGGACACAGGATGCTGGAGAGGGGACTGGAAGTCCTGTGACTGAGTCAAGGGCTCTCCCCCATCAGAGGACTCAGATTATGATCTGAATTCTAGTTCATGTGACACTTATAAATGCATCCTACTGTAGTCCAGTCCTTCAGGGTGACAAACTTATAGATAGCATGGATAATGACAAGGGCTCCTCTGTATTTCATTATGTCCTTATTATTATTTTTTCATTAAGTAATACTAAATAACATCATCTGCTTGTTTTTGTTGGCTGAAGCATTCATTCAGCCAACAAATATTTATTGTGTGCCCAGTTAAGAACAAGCACTGTGCCCTATACTAAATGGGTGAAAACTGTCTGCTGGGGCTAGTGAACATAGACCACAGTACCTACAGCAGGAATTCTTCCTCAGGTGAGGATGAAAGTGGGGGGTGCTTGTCAAAATGCAGGATCCTGGGCCTTCCTCCAGAGATTCTGATTTTGTAAGGATGGTGCCCAGAAATCTGCATTTTTAGCCAGCACTTGATGTGAGTCTGATATAGGTTATCTATGGGACCATGCTTTAAGAAACATTGGTAAAAATCATGAAATTCACTCAATCAAATCCCAGACCTGAGTATATGCAGTCTTGAGCTCTAGTGTGGTAATTTCCTATATCTGTGAAAAAAATCATTTAACTATTAATTGTCTCAACTTTCTTGTTTTTTAAACCAAAGGAGAGTAAGACCCTAATAACCTGTGTTCAAACATAGGTGGAGAGAAGGCAGAATGACCTTATTTATGTAGAAGCAGGACACTTTCAAAGGAACAGAACCATATAATTTGTATGACATAGATTGAGCATTAGCCAAGTACATTTGTATCAATGATAGTTAGGAGGAAAATCTCTTGCTTTTGTAAGAGGTATGAACATTACCTTTTCTCTGAACTGACCTCAGCATACAATCATTCACAGCTTGATTAGGGAACGCTAATCTCCCCTAGTTATCAAGATAAATGGCTTCTCTGATTACTCTGTTTTCTTTCAAACCCTTTCTCAGACCTACATCATTAATGCTCCGCTTGTGACTTTTCAATGGAGCACTTATTTTAGTAGCACACTTAACCCCATTAGAGGTTCAAATCTAAACCTTTTTCCAAGCAAAATTCCTCCAAGCTGTTAGAAACACCTTAATACTTATCTATATCTAATATCAAGGAAGTTATCTCATGTATGGGTGAGATACATAAATGTAGGCAATAGTTTTCAGCCCGATTGCTCTGATGTGAATTACTGTGACCAATTTAGCAATAGAAGAAATCTATGTAAAGAACTTCATAACGAATATATAGATTAAACTTAATGTATCACTATCATCATTAGAAGGACAGGGTATGGATTAAAGGCCAGACTATCTCAGAAAATATGCCAGTCTCCCTTAAAATAATAAAAAATACATCTCTTTTCCAACTCATCTAAGAATTCCCTCCCATTCTGTTCCTTTAATTATATTTTTATTAAGTAAGGTCTTTATTATACTTTAGTACGTTTTTATGTTCCTGTCTTGTTTTTGTTGTCTACCTTTTGCTACTACCTTTTAATACACCTTGACTCCTGGGCTCACAAAACAGAACACCCATTGAATTTACTTACAGATTGAGCACTTCAAAAGACTCTAGTCTTTGTGCTCCTGTTCAGAACCATTCAAAATATGGATGAGTTTCCAAACAGGAAGGAAATGGAATATGCTAAAAACTCACAGTTTTGTGTGTAGTCTGTAGCCTTAAATCATCCGAAGTACCCCAGATCCTGCACACCAAGGAGTGCCATCCCACTGTTTTGTCCAAATGAAAGAGAACCCCCTCCCAGCATTTTAGAACTTGGACCTGGCATGCCAACTTAAATGCAAATGGTCCCTCAAACTCAGATTTGCTGCGAGATCCATTTTTAAGTAGACTATGCTCCCTGCAGACCAACATGCAAATGGTGCTCGAGTATACGTAAGAATCACAGAGGCAACGAAAAGACACCAACCATACCTATTTTCGCAGCCTCCACTTTCAGGTTGAAATCCCAGTTCCTTGGCAATTTTAGGGACATTTTGCTTCCAGTTTAAGTGAGTAGTTAGTGAAGCGGTGAGTCTGTCACAGTTTGCGCCCTTCTTGTCTTTTCACTCTTTCCCTCTGTTTTTGTGTCTGTTTTTGTTCCTCCTTATGATTGCTTCACAAGCAATCTTAGGCTTGAGGCTGATTTGCCAACGTGTCTCCTCCTTTCTCTTAGATGAAAGGTCCATCCATCTGTCACTGGAGGATGGCACCCAAACTCCCCCAGCCTCCACCCTCAGTCCCACAGGGGCTAGCACCCTGCTTTTCTTGCTTTCAGTTTTACCAGAAATATCCCAGTTGACACTTCCCTCTGCGTCATGGGAAGCAAAGCTCCTTTTCGAAAGAATCTCAGGCCTTACTGAGTTGAGGTCGTGATAAACAACTGCTGCCTCTTGGTTTTGTGTGTGTGTGTGTGTGTTTCTTTTTTAACTGTCTGCTTCCTTGCATTTGAGGAAGTGGGTGGCTGTTCAGTGAAGATGATACATTATGAGCACTCTTTCTTGAGAAAATGGTTTTTGGAAATGCTTGAAAAACCAGAATGGTTGCTTCTGTTATAAAAGATTACAGTTTTAATTAGAAGAAAATGTCGAAACTCCCATCATCTACTTCAACTCTAAGCTCTCCTCTTCCTCACCTAACGGATCAAGCATCCAAAAATGGTCAGAAAAACAACAAGCATTCCCCCAAAGTTATCTTCTTTTAAATTCTTCCTGCTGTAAGGACCATGTCGCAAGCTCTCCAGGTGCTCAGGATAAAGTTTGCAAGTGATCTCAGCCTGATGTAGGGAGGGTTTTGATGTATTTGGCTTAATGAAGCAACTTAAGCTAGGTCGACCCACTCACATATCCTAAGGGTTCTTTGGCATTGTACACAGGGTGTGGGCTTTAGAATCAGGGTGTGTGGGCTGTATACATGGTGTGGGCTTCCATTTGCTAGCTCTTCAACTTTTGAACAAGCAACTGAATCTTTCCAGACCTTAATGTCCTCATCAGTAAAATGGGGTTGATAATAACCACAACTCAAAGGGTTTTTGCAGAGGAATCTAGTGCAGAGCTTGACACAGAGTGGTTGCACCACACACATTAATTCAACCTTTATTCTATTCTATTTAGTTCAGTTCTGTGACAAGCTTTCATGTTTAACTGGGTCAGCCTAACCTAGTGCTTAAGCATTTGGGCCCTGGAAACAGATCACTGGTAGTCAAATCCTGGCTTTCCTGCTGTGGGACTATGGACAAGTTTCTTGACCACTTTGTGCTTCAATTCTTATCTGTAGATGGGGCAAATAATAGGGCTTACTTCATAGGCTGTTGTGAGGCTTTAGTAGAAAAGCCAGTACAAAGTGCTCAGAACAGTCACTGCTAGCCAGCATCTAAGCTGCACGCCTTGCTCCATTCATTCTCCAACTCTCCTAGATGACTCTGTCATACTTTCTTCTTCACCTGCCACTTGCTTACTCTTACTGACGACCTGGGTTCCCGTTTCATTGAGAAAATCAATGTAACTGAAAGAGAATGTCCACAAGCTTCCCTCACTCTATCTGCTCACCTACCTGCATGCAAGCTGTATCCCTGACCTTATTCTTGGTACAATGGGTGAACTGGCTGTTAACACTCTCCCATCCCTATTGCATCATCAATTTCTTCTCTCTCTTTGATCCTTCCTGTCAGCGTTCAAACTTACTATTTTTTATCCCATAAAAAATCTCTCTGGATGCCACCACCCCCTTGGGCTAGAGTCCCATTTCTCTCCTTCATTTCTGAACCAAGCTTTAGTAAGAATTGTCTAACTTGCAAATATCTCTCCTCTTATTCTCTCCCGAATCCCTTGGTTGATGTTTTTGCCCCTATGACTCCACAAAATATATTCTCATCAAGGATACCTACGACTTCCCTGTCACTAAACTCACAGGTCAGGGCTTCATCTTCATCTCACGGGCCCATCAGCAGTGTCGGACACATTTGATAGCTCTCTCCAACTCTGAGCCCTCTGTCCATGGGGCTCCCACGGCCCATGGTTGGCCTGGCTGTCTGCCTGCCTTTCTGGCTTTTCCGTGTCTGTTTTCTTGCTGATTCCTTCTCATCTCTCTGACCTCTAAATATTGAAGGAAACCAAGACTCGACTGGACTCTTTTTCCATCCACACTCACACCTTGGTGAGCTCATCTGTCTCAAGGCTTTAAATGTCACATATTTGCAGATGATTCCAATGTGTATTTCCAGCCCAGACCCCCTGAACTCCAAATCACATGGATCTCTGCTTAGATCTATAGTAGCCATCTCAAACTAAATGTATCCAAACTGTATATCCAGAGAACGAGGCTGAAGGAACAGTGGTGACCTGGTGTATACTCCTGTCTTCAGGAATGAAAGGAGCACAAGAGAGAAGAACCTTGCAAGCGCATTTAACGCCTCTGCGCACACCCTGTCTGCTCACATTCCATTGGCCAACACAGGTCACATGGCCAAGCTCAAAGTCAGTGAGGCCGGAAGTACACCCAGTCCTCAGCAGCAGTGGGGAGGGAGAAGGGCCGGAGGGGTGGAAGAAGGGCCGGAGTGTTTGCTGATCAAGACTCCAATCCACCACACTCACCCAGTCTACCCAGCTACCCTCCAGCCTCCCCAGGGAGCTGGATTCCGCTGAACTTGACTCAGCTACTTGGAGACATTGCACTACTGCCTGCCTGACCCAAACACCACTGCTCTTTTTCGTATCCCAACTTAATTAAGCGGGTGTGAGAGAGGTAGCTGTCTGGCCCGGCCCAGCAGCATCTCCACGGGGGAATTCGACACCATCTAAAATTTCAGTCCTGGGACCTTTAAACTGAGGAATGTTGAAAATATTTTGAAGGTGTCATTAAGAAACACGCAGGGAACTTCCTTTACTTTTCAGGGTAGGTTCCTGTCAGTCTTGGAAAAACTCGTGACCCATGGGGGAAGTTAGTTGTGCAGATGCGGAAAGGCAATCAGATGGAAAGCACACTCCCCACAAGGGCCCAACACAGCAGCCTTCCCCCACCACAGAGCTCTCTCTCGGTCAGTCAACTGGGTACTGCGCTCCCTCTCTCTGATCTTCATAAAATGAAGAGCCAAATGCCTTGCCTGGTCCCAAAGTTTGAATTAGCATCTGCAGTAGCGCAAGCAAACATTGTTCCATCTGTTGGCTTGTTGAATGATAAGCGGATTTATTAAGGACCAAATTTTTGCTGGACATTGGAAGAACGTTCGTGAACAAGCAGACGTGTTTTCTGCTTCCCCACCTCACCGCCCTGACACCGGCTGTTGTCTCTTACAGTCTGTTGGGGGAGAAGAACAATTAAGTGAACGATTAAATACAGTGTGAGAGAGCTATGTTGGGGAAAGTGTAGGGAGCTAGGGGGGGTGTATATGCGAGGGGCCTAACTGGACTTGGGGAGTGAAGGAAGGGTTCCTGGAAGAAGTGTCTTTTAAAGTAAGGCTTGACAAATGAGTTAGGGAGGCAAGGGGGTTGGAAAAAGGATTCCAGACAAAACCAACAATATGAATGAGGCACGGAGAGAAGAAAGTTCTTCAGGTCGCTCCTAAGAAGGATGAAAGGGGTGGGGCTGAGGAGAAACGAAGCTGGAGAGATAGTCAGGGCTGAGCAGGGCTGGATCACACAGGGCAGGTAAACCTTGACAAAGAGTTCTGACTGTATCCTGGGGAAAACGGAGGTCACTAGGGAGTTTTCAACAGGATAGGGGTGAGGAGGCTGTGGCAGATATCTAAGAGAGAGGAAGAGTGAGGGAGAGAGGTCGGCAGCATGGGCATGGAAAGAAGGGAAAACAACACAGGAGTCATGTGAGTGACAGAATTGATAGCCCCAGGAGAATTATTACAGCAGAAAAAAGAGGCACCCAAGATCCCAGCTCGTCACTGGAAGGGTGTAGTTCCAATCACAGAGATGGGGCACGCACAAAAACAGTGAGGATTGGTAATGAGGAACAAGGAGAAAACGGTGGGCTTAGTTTGGGGCATGTTGATTTAGGGACCCAAGGGGCACTTGAGTGCAGATCTTCTGCACTCAAGGCTCATGTGAGCCTAGAGCTCAAACAGACTCATTCATTCATTCACTCGTTTACTCCATAAACATTTGTACAGGCCTGCGTTGGATGCTGATTAAACAAGAAGGATGATTAAGAACCCAGCCTAATCCTCCAATGAGTCATGAGAGAGAAGTGTAAACTTGCCGTGCAAGATACAAAAATAGTGCATGCACAGGGTAAAGTGGGAGCAGGAAATGGTTCCCTCTGCTTGGGTGGCATCCCAGGAAAGGCGACCCATGAGACAATAGTCAGGAAGCCAGGTGGGGGAGTGAGAGGAGAACGCTCCAGGCAAATGAAATGGCAGATCGCTGTGAAAACACAAATACGGCCCCCATTTAGGGAAGTATCAGAAATGATGTATGGCCCCCAAAGATGCCCCATACCCACTAGTTGAAGTTGCAGGAGCTGCTGGGGCCAGGGTCTGATGCACTTGCTGAAGGGTTGGACTCTAGCCTGAGGAGAACTTTTTTTTTTTTTTTTTCTGAGACAGGGTCTCACTCTGTCAACCAGGCTGGAGTGCAGTGACACAATCATGGCTCACTGCAGCCTCAACCTCCTGGGCTTAAGCAATCCTCACGCCTTGGCCTATGGAGCAGGTGGGACTGCAAGCTTTCACTACCATGCCCGGCTAATTTTTTAAAAACTCGTTCTGTAGAGATGGGGGTCTCACTATGTTGCCCAGGCTGGTCTCAAGCTCCTGGGTTCAAGTGATCCTTCTGCCTTGGCCTCCAAAGTGCTGAGATTACAGACATAAGCCACTGTGTCCAGCCTGGAGAACTCTTAAAACATCTTTCGTTATTATTTTTACCATTACAGAAGTCCGTGCATAATCACCATACAAGTGTTTTAAAAGCAAAAAGAAAATAAAAATCATTGTTACCACTTAATGTGTAATAAGAACTTTTCCCATTCTTGGTTTCCTACTTCTCCCTCACCTTCTACTCATGTGTACATGTAATATATGTATGTATGCATGTATTGTAAATTTTTTAAATGGTGCATATGCTGTCTTATAAACCGTTATCTTCCTTTAACAAAAAAAAGTCATGAAAAAGTATCTGTCATTAAGCATTTTTCCAAAACATCATCAGTGGCCTCATGATTTTTAATTATATGATGAGAGCAAAATTAATTTAACAAATCCCTGTGTCATTGAGCATTGGAGATATGCATAAATTTTCATAATATTCTTATAGCTAAATATCTGGATAAATCTAGTCCTTTTCCCCCCTCAGGGGGAATTCTTAGAGATAGAAATGCTGGGAAAGTGAATAAGAATATACTTATACTAAGGTTTGCTATGTGCTCTCAAATTGCTAAATCACTGAATTGTACACTTTGATGGGTGAATTGCATGGTATGTGAATTATGTATCAATAAAGCTCATAAAAAAACAAGCAGTCAGGTGAAGAACAAACATGAAAAAGTTCTACGGTTTATGTTTCCATTAACAATATATGTAGGGCCCAGTTCCCTCAGAGCCTCACTAACAGTTGGCATTATCATTGCTTTTATTATAAATCATTTTCAGTTGAATAAGCAAATACTTTTTTTATTAAATAGTGGAACTAAAGTTATTTTTTAATGTGTTTATTGGGCATTTGTAAGGGTTGGATGTGTCTAGGTGTCGATGTGTCTGAGTGATTTTGCAAGGAATCAGTGCAGGGGGAGTTTCTTATATCTTTATTTCTGATTTGCAGCCCACTGGCTCTAGGATCTTCTTCAGGAGCATCAGTTATCTGCATGTTAGCTCTCCACTCTGTCACTTCCTTGTCTTTCATTTTGTCATCTCTGTTACTGTTATCTGCATTTGAAGACAGTTTCTCATGTTTGTTCTTCACCTGACTGCTTGTTTTTTATGAGCTGTATTGATACATAATTCACATACCATGCAATTCACCCATCAAAGTGTACAATTCAGTGATCTAGTACATTCAGAGTTGTGCAACCATTGCCACAATCAACTGTAGAACACTTTCATCTTCCACAAAAGAAACTCCATACCCATTAGCAGACCCTCCTCATTTTCCCCAGCACTAGGCAACCACTTTATGTCTCTATAGATTTGTGTATGGACAAAGGTGTCTGTTCTGGACATTTCACATAATGAAGTCATATACTGTAATATGTGGTCTTTTGTGACCGGCTTCTTTCCCTTTGCATGTTTTGAAGTTTCATTCATATTGCAGCATGTATCAGAACTTTATTTCTTTTCATGGCCAAATAATATTCCATTGTGTGGATAGATCAAATTTTGTTTATCTGTTCATTTAGTGGATGGACATTTGGATTGTTTCCAGGTTTTGGCTATTATGAAAAATGATGCTATGAACATTTGTGCACAAGTTTTTTAAATTTTATTTATTTATTTATTTACTTATGTTTACTTATATTACTTATAAAGATTGGAGTCTCACTATGTTGCCCAGGCTGGTCTCAAACTTCTGGGCTCAAGTGATTCTCCTGCCTCAGCCTCTCAAAGTGCTGGAATTACAGGTGTGAGCCACCATGCCTGGCCTTGTGCACAAGTTTTATAAACTATTATCTTCCCCTGACAAAATGGCATTATCATTGCTTTTATTAAAAATTATTTTCAATTGAATAAGCAAGTTTTTTTTTTATTAAAAAATCATCTCTCTTGGGTATGGGCATAGCAGTGGAATTTCTGGGTTATATGGTGACTTTATGTTTAAATTTTTGAGGAACCACCAAAATGTTTTACAAAGTAGCTGCACCATTTTACATTTCCACCAGAAATGTATGAGGGTTTCATTTTTTTCCACGTATTCCCCAACACTTGTTATCATCAGTCTTTTTTTATTTTAGCCATTCTAGTGGATGGTTAGGATGAAATGTTATTATCTCATTGGGGTTTTGATTTGCATTTCCCTGATGACTAATGATGTTAAGCATCTTTTCATTTGCTTATTGGCTGGTTTGGTTTTCCAAAGCAGAATTCCTGCTTCGTGAAACATCCGATGATGTAGTCCCACTGAACCTGCATTTCCTCAAGACCACATCCAGCTAAAACTCAAGCCTTCAACTTTGACTGAAACTTTCCTACTTTTGCCTTATTTCCATTTAATCTTTCTGATGTACATTGTACTCAGTATCATTTCAAATTTCCAGCAGACTTTTTTCTATGTACTTCAGCTGCATTTCCCCTACCCCTTGCCTAGTTCTCTAGAACTTTTAAGTGATGCTGTGCATGAAAAGGCAGTCACATCTTTCTAGGAGTGATTAGATCTGCTGAAGAGAGTCACTTGTCACCAGATCTCTCCCTCTCCTTCTCCATCGAGCTCTCCAGGTTGTGGTTGTCACCGTCATCCCTCATTACCATGATGGTTGTAGCTGTTGTTTTCTGCAGGGATTTAAAACAATGCCTGGGCAGGGGAATGGAGCAATCCTATTCCAGCTGCCTCACGGATGAGCATCAGATAAATGGATGGAGGGAGAGGCAGAAATCAGTTTTCTGAACTTGACATAGTTTGGGTCAGAGTGAAGAACAGACTCCAGGAGAGTCAGAAGGTGAGGGTCTACCTTTGTCAGGAGGTCCCTGGCCATGGCACAAAGCCGGGGGAGGTTTCTCTGAACACAGGCCTTTGTGAAGTAGGGTGATGCCCTGTTAATCAGCAGATGGAAGCTCCGCAGAGGCAGACCCTCTGAGGCAGATCAAGTGCCCTAAATTGGCACAAACCTTTACATTCCTGGGAGACTGTGCCAGGTGCTATTGTGGTCACACTTGTATTGATATTTTCCTTCTAATAGATTTAAGAAGAAAAGCATAATACTTTTTGTACCCACATCTTAACCAAAAGTGAGGGGAAAAAAAGATGGCCTGAAGTCAAGCAGATTGGGAGGAAACACATTTCTTTGTGGCCGTGAGTCAGCCAGTTTCACTCGCTTGTATTTCCCACCTGGCTCGTGCAGGCATTTGAACGTGGGCCCCCGTGTTGCAGACGCACTCAACCAGTAACCACGCTTTTAGCAAATACTAAGTGCATAGGCCGGATGGCTGTATCTTGTGGTCTTGACTGACAGATGCCTCAGCATGTACGTCCTGGAATATAGCATTTGGAGACACCAAACGTAAAGATCTTTTTTATTTGGATTTTAATAGTCTATATCTTTTTAAAAGCTGTATTTACAAGGCACAAAATTAAGGTTTTATTCCCATTCCCTTGGGTATATGGAAAAAAAACAGAAAGGAAAAGAAAAAAAAAAGATTTGTGCAATAGGACTATGCCTTTTTGCAAGCTCAGCAGAGGCAGACCTGGCAGAGGAAGAGATTTCTGGGCTCTGAACACTCTGTGTGAGCCCAGTGGATGGGGTGCAGGCTCCTGGGCTCAGACCACAGAGGCTTGTTCCTCCCAGCCCTGAGCAGTCAGTTGGAGGCACCTCCTCTCGTTACTGATGTCACCTTTGCCAAGGTCCCTGGCATTGGATCTGATGTCTGGCTACAGTTTGATAGTCTATTGATCTTTATTTTTTCTAAGTGTCCCATAGCCAAAAAAAATTGTCCCATAGCCAAAAAATTTATATCTGGAGGCCTGAAGGCCAAGACGGGCATTATTACTGCTGGTGCTCTACCTGGAAGAAGGCTGCTCTGTGAATGATGGGCTCAGGAAGGGAAATGTCTATTTATATGGGAAATTCGTTCCCAGGGGATTATAAAAGAATCTCATGTTTTCCAACAGGAAGGAGCACACTGAGCAAATCAGGAGCAAATGTCCCTCACGTAACACCTCCTTTTGGCCATTGTTCTGTATTACGTTACATTAATTTGAACCACGTGAAGCTGCCAATATTTGACAGCTTTTGACTGGCAAGAACAATCTCATATATTTCCACATAATAGACCCACTCTGCCTCCTGCCACTCATTCATTCAACAAATATAAAGGAACCGTTCACCTATTAGGGATCAGGCAGTGCTCTAGGTGCTGAGAACACAGCCAACAAGAAGACAGATGAAAACGCCTGCTTTTGTGGAGCTTGTTCTAATGAGGAAAGAGACAAGAAAATAAATAAGTGAAATAAATGTAACGTGTTAGATGGTGGTAAGGGCTGTGGAGAAAAAGAAAAAGTGCTACGGGAAGGGGTGAAAGAAATGTCAGATTGAGGGGAGAGGGGAGGGAGATTGCATTTTTAAATAGTTGGACAGCGAAGGTGACATTTCACAGAATAGGTGACATTTGAGTAAAGACCTAAGCCAGGTTGAGAATGAGCCAGGTAAACCTATGTGGGAGAACCTTCCAGCAGATGGAGGTGTGAGTGCAAGAGCTCTGCCAGAGGTGAGAGGAGGCCTAGCACTTCAAGAGACCCCAAGGAGGTCTTGTGTTCACAGCAAAAGGAGGAAGGGGAAGATAACAAGAGATGGGTCAACAAGGTAATAGGGGACGAATTGTATGGGGCTTCATAGGACTTTGCTGGAACTTTGGCTTTTGCTTAGAGTGAGGTTTACAGCAGAGGAGTGCCTTGATTTGATGTATACTTTTAAATAATCAGGCTGGGCATGGTGGCTCATGCCTGTAATCCCAGCACTTTGGGAGGCTGAGGAGGATGACTTGAGCCCAGGAATTCTAAACAGCTTGGTCAACACAGTTGAGGCCCCATCTCTAAAAGAAAAGAAAAGAAAAAAATTGGCCAGGTAGGATGGCATACACCTGTAATCGCCGCTACTCAGGAGGCTGAGATGGGGGGAATGTGTGAGCCCAAGAGTTTGAGGCTACAGTGAGCCACAATCACATCACTGTACTCCAGCCTGGGTGTCAGAGAGAGACTCTGTTTCAATAATTATTATTATTATTATAATAAAATAATAAAAGATCGCTGTGGCCTCGCATTGAGAACAGACTGAAAGGTGGTAGGGCAAGGGTAAAAGCGGAGACCTTAGAGCTGACTGCAATGGTCTAGGTGAGTGAGACAGCAGGTCTGCACCAGCGTGGCCTGCTCAGCTCACTGCGCATGATTGTGCAGGTGATGCAGGGAGCAAGGCACCAGCCTCATGGATAGGTGGGGCTGGAGTCTAGTCAGGGCACTGAGCATCAGCCCAGAGTCTAACTGTGGGGCTTCAGCCATCCAAGGAAGGAGTATCGTTCTCTACTCAAAGGCTCTGCCACCCATTCAGTCATGGGGGTGATGTTTTTCTAAATTGTAGAAAAGCAACACAATATAGACCAGCAAAGGCTCTGCTGGTAGCCAGAAGGTGATGAGAAGTGGCCAATACTTCATATATATCCTGGATCAATCTTATCTGCTCTCCCAACGGGTTGGATGACAGGCGTGACAGAATGAGAGAAGTCAAGGGAAAAATGACAAGGTCGAGCACGGCCTGAGAAAATGGAAAGGAGAAGGTCCCGTTTGCTGAGATGGGAAAGACAGGGAAGGAGCAGGCTGGACAGAGGCTGGAGATAGGCCTGCATTAGGCCAAAGATGCCCAGTAAACATCTCCAAATGGAGATCCTACTGCCACCCAGTAGGCAGCTGGGTCTGAGTCTGGTGTTTAGGGCAGAGGTCCATTGGAGCATAGTTAAATAATGTCAAAGGCTTCTTTCCTCAACCTTAAATATTTTTTGTCACTCAGAGTGGCTCAGGAAGAACATCAGCAAATACAATTGGTAATGGTCTGAGGGTCAGCAGGTGGCTATAGTCCCATCCTCTTAGCATCCCACAGAGGTCATGCACTGTGGAGCTTCCCCAGTGAGGCAGCTGTCTGCTGTTGCAGAGGGGCTAGTATGAGAGAGGTTTTGCTCAGGATAAATAAACATTATAGATTTAGGTGTCAGGTAGTCTAAGCTTAGAGACCAGATGTTTAGAGAGTTGGGGGAAAATGTCAGCTCCTTAACACCTGGAGAGTTCAGGGCCAGTCCAGTGTGAAGTGCAGAGAGTTTGGGGCCCAGTCCAGGAGAGACTGAGGCTTTCTCCCTGGAAGAAAGAAGCCACTCTTCCAGGCTGTCCAGAGAGCTCCAGAGGTCACTCATCTGACGGTCCTTCTCAGCTGCATGGTTCTGCTCTCTGGCCCCAGTGGCTCATCAATGGAGGCCATTGTCCTGTCATACTCAGACCTCAAAGAAGAGAGAGATTTGACAAAAATTAGCTGGGCGTGGTGGCACACCTGTAGTCCCAGCTACTCAGGTAGCCGAGGTGGGAGAATCACTTGAGCCCGAAGGTCCAGGCTGCAGTGAGCTGAGATGGTGCCACTGCACCCCAGCAAGGCAACCGAGTGAGAGCCTGCCCCACCGAGAGAGAAAGAGAGAGAGAGAGAGATTTACTCCCACATCACCCATTTCCCAGTATCAGATGTGTCTACACCTGAACAATTAGGGTCTCTCCTCCTCCTTCCAAAATGAAATAAACCACCCTGAAGGGCCTGGTTGACCCCTTCTGCAGGCCTAGTCAGGCATCATTCATTCCACGTTGGTATACTCTGCTAGAGAAAACACCAGGGCCATCACTTCCACAGGCTGGGACTAGGGATAGAAGAGTTAGCAGGTGCTCACAGTCCCCATCCTCTCAGCTAGCAGTGTGGGACTGTGCCGCACAGAAAAGACAGCTTCTGAGAAAAGCATTTGGAATGAAGAAGCCCAAGAAGCCTCTGGATGCAGGAGCCATAATATTATACAACAGACCATAGAGGCCTGCAGGACTCAGCACAGTCATGAAACAGCCACCAAGGACTGGGAAGCCCAACAGGGAATCTATGTGACACAGAGATGGACTGCTTACCAGCTAAGCGGCATGTGGTTTGAGTGAGCTGGGCTGCATCCCACCAGGATGTGGCATGGCCCACAACTAGAAGGCTAACTTTATAGGCTCCCTGCCCCCGATTAGGGAACTTCACTTTCTTGAAAACATTCTCAAGGCATGAAGTTGTCTGTCTCTTCCAAGGGAATGATCACAGACTACTATGATCATGGATAACTCCCTTTGTCATGTGCTGGATTCCCTGACAATCCCACAGCAAGAACTTCATTTATGACCACTGCCTCCCATGACCACACCCAGCATCGTGGAATTTGCTGGATATTCTACACTCCTATGAACCATTACCGGTGCATCTAAATGAGCACTGGAATGGCCGGTTCAAGAAGCAAAACAGAGGCGCTGTCACCCTTGCTTCATAAAAAAAGAGAGCAGAGAGGTGATGGGAGCCCTCTGCTGGAGCACAGGCCCACGTGTTTCCAGCTGAACTCCAGACCTAGCGCACCTCTCCCGTTTGGAGAGTGGGGAGCCTATGTGGCTGTTGACCTTGGCCTGAGGGTGTCTGCACCAAGTGACACTCGTATTTGCCTCAAGCACTTTGCATGGTGCTTTGCAAAGCTGTCCTTGAGGGCTCATGTGCCCAGCTTGATGGGGAAAAATTGGGAGGTTCAGGAGCCTGAGCTAGGGTGAGACATGGGCCCTCGAGCCAGAGTGGGTTCAAATCCTACCTCTTCAGCTCACTGCCTGGGTGACCCTGGGCATGTTGCTTAACCTCTTTAAGCTTTACTTCTTATATATAAAAAGCACTCAATATAGTGTCTGGAATGTAGCAAATTCTTTTTTTTTTTTTTTCAGACAGGGTCTCGCTCTGTCATCCAAGCTGGAGTGCAGTGGTGCAATCTCTGCTTACTGCAGCCTCCGCCTCCCTGGTTCAAGCGATTCTCCTGCCTCAGCCTCCCGAATAGCTGGGATTACAGGTATGTGCCACCATGCCTGGCTGATTTTTGCATTTTTAGTAGAGTCAGGGTTTTAACATGTTGGCCAGGCTGGTCTTGAACCCCTGACCTCAAGTGATTCACCTGCCTTGGCCTCCCAAAGTGCTGGGATTACAGATGTGAGCCACCACGCCTGGCTGCAAATTCTTAATAAAGAGAAGAAAATAATTTCCAGTGTTGAAATTAGGAGTTCTGAAGAGCCCTTAGAGCTTGTGGCTTATTAAGAAAATAAGCTGAATAACTAGTAAGTTAAAGTGTGCTGAGAGACCTTCCTTTCCTTGTTTAAAAGGCCTATCAGGCTGCAAGGCCAACTTGAGCCAGCTGGGGAGGGTCACTCAAAAGAGTGAGAAAGGACGCTGTCTGTCCACAAAGCACTGCATGCTGAGGTGCTGAGGGTGGTGACCAATTCTGGACCACAAACCTTTGGTGTGGTTTAAGGAGCCGCTCCTTGCCTGCCCCATGGCCCAGCAAGTGTGCGAACAATGACACACCCAGTTTGATCAGCTTGGACACACTGGGTGAGAGGAAGTGGTGTCGTGGGAAGGAGTAGGTAGGAAAGGAGAGAGTTATAATCTCGACACCTAGAGAAGAGCAAGGGATCCAAGTTATGGAAAGGCAAATTTGTAATCCTCTGTCGACCTTAGGTTTCTGTGAGAGGAAATCCAATACAACAGCTGGAGAACTGTATTTTTAAGACAAACCTGGACTGCTCCACCACCCAGCTTCTACTCTCCTGAAATCACGAGATGCTCAGCAGGGTGCTGCCAGAACAGGAAATAACTAGAGCAGCTGATTTCACTGCTGATATGAAAGTCATGGTTCACCTTGAGTGATTACACGTAGAACACCAGACCTCCTGGGGAGAGGAGGAGCTGGTGGGAACCTGTAACTTTAATGTAAACTGAGTCCACACACTGGCAAAGATAACACTTTGACTTTCATTGCCATTTCAAATCCAATTCCTTCTCATGACTGTCATCATGACTTTGTATGTAAATAGGGCAGAGATTAAGTCATCCCTTTTCACAGAAAAGAGGTGTGGAATGGAGGAGTAATTTGCTTACAGGTCAGGTCAGAAATCCATACTTTATCCATGAGTTGTTGCAAACCTAATGCTCAGAAATATACAATACGATCATTACAATGAAGTATAAAATTCAAAATAAAACAAGGAATTAATTTTTGATTGCTAGTTCTGATGAGTTTGGACCAATTTCATAAAAGGCGTCACCAACCTTTATCTCTTATGCAAAAAAGCTTTGTTCAGAAAATTTGAGGTAGCCAGTGCAATTAAAACTTGTGTACATTTTTATTTGAAACATAACTATTTCCAATGTTAATCAAGTTGGCATTAGTTGAAGTTGCCCCCAAGAAGTTTCATGTGTAGCTCCAGGGACATAAGGAGGGAAAAAGCAATGAGGATATTATGCCACAGTAAGGCTTTGGAGTCTGGGGGTGCTTTGAGTGTTTCTGCGTTCAGCCACATCTGTGAGTACAGATGGATTTCAGTCCACAAAGCACTGCATGGTGACATGCTGAGGGTGGTGACCAGTTCTGGACCAAAAACCTCTGGTGTGGTTTAAGGAGCCCCTCCTTGCCTGCCCAGTGGCCCAGTACGTGTGCAAACAATGGCACATGCAGTTTGATCAGCTTAGACTCCCCAGGTGAAAGGAAGTTGTGTTGTGGTAAGGGGTAGGTAGGAGAGGGGGGAGTTATAATCCTGACACCAGATAAAAATCGATTTCAGTTTTGAAAGATAATTTTGGTCAAGCAGAGGAATCTACTGGGATCACCTTCAAATGCCCCAAAACATCTAGCGTAGAGAAAGTCTATTAGAAAATAGCCTACAAATTTTAAAACTACATAGATTTTTGCCCACCTTACTGTAGGACTTTGGGAATCAGGAAGGTGAAGAAAAGGCAAAAAACAGACTGCAGCCATTATGCATCCAGAACTTGTCCTTTTGGATGATACCAACAACAAAGTGATTATGGCTACATAATGGCTACATAATTAAGAAGAAGTTAATCTCTGTACAGAGTAAAGTTTCCAGAGCAAGTATAGGAGCTTTTTTTTTTCTTTTTTCTTTTCTTTTCTTTTCTTTTTTTTTTTTTTTTTGACTGAAATGTTTCTATGTCTGCAATTCCTGTTTTTTCCCAGTTTCATCCCATGGCTCCACTAAACCCTTAAGGCACAGTTTATCAAGGAAGCCCATTAGAGTGGCATCTCTCAAGCCACTTCCTGCCAAGGGACAGCATTTCTGTCTAACTCCTGTAATTTTGAAGATGGAGACCTTCCCTGACTGGGTGTGTGATTTCTAGAAAAGAACCCTGATCAGTCAGCTGATAGTGCACAGGAAGTTGCTCTGGCTTTTTACCGAAACCATCAATTTGGTCTTCATGTAACATTAAAGATTCCTTTTCAAAAGGAAATCTTTAAGCATGGACTTTAGATCAGTGAACGCGACAGGTCACTGGACAAACCTGGACATAGGCGTACCTTATTCTGAGTTTGGGAATAAAACAGGTGATTATGATGGTGGCATGAGTCAGGTACCAAGAGAAGGTCAGAGGCTGGGACCCATGGGGGTCTGGGTACCAACCCCTGCTCTGTCATTACTGGGATTTCTGAACCCCAGACTTCTCATCTACATGGATAGGGTGATAATATCTACTGTGGGGTATTCTTATAAGAAGTAGGTTTCATGTATATGTAAAGTGCCTGGGTCATAGCAGGCACTTGTTAAACAGTAGTGTTAATAATCATTAAGTTACCTTAAAATGGTATCTGACAGCAAAGTTGTGGTAGGCTGAATAACAGCCCCCGAGGATATCCACATCCTAATCCCTAGAACATGAGAATGTGTTCCTTTACATGTATATAGAAAAAAAAAAGTTATTTTTTTCCTCTACATTTTCAACACTTTGCATCTGGTCACCAAAATGTGGGCGTTGTTCTTATTTGTTTGTTTGTTTTGTGGGGTTTTTTTTCTTTTTTTTTTTTTTTGCCATGTCGACCAATTCCCTGATACCAGCTGGGTGTCCTACAATTCAATTCGGTTCTGACACTATCTACCTGGAGTTAGCATCAGGTGCCACAGACGAAGGGCGCAGTCTTTCAAAACTGCCCCCACTTCAGACACCAGTCAAAAGTCCAGGGTTCTCACTTGTGCTTCTAACAGACTGGCCATAAACTGGGGCTCCCATGACCCTCTCCTTGGGGTTGATAATTTGCTAGAATAGTTTAAAAAACTCAGGGAGACACTTATTGTGTTTGCCATTTTCTTTTATAATAAAGGACATAAAGAGGTATATAGGATGAGGTCTGGAAGGGCTCTGAGTGCAGGAGCTTCTATTCCTGTGGAGCTGGGGTGCACCACACTTCTGGTACATGGATGTGTTTACCAACCCCAGAGCTCTCCAAAACCCATACTTGAGGGAAATTTTTTTTTCTTGGAGGCTTCATCATGTAGGCTTGATCTATTACTAACTCAATCTCTAGCTCTTCTGCCCTCCCCAGAGAATGAAGGTTGGGAATTAAAAGTGCTAAGCTTCTAATCATGGCCTTGTCTTTCTGATGACAAGCCCCTATCCTAAAGCTATCCAAGGCCTCATCAAGAGTTGTTTCATTTGAATAAAAGACACTCTTATCACCCAGAAAATACCAAGAAATTTAAGAGCTCTGTGTCAGGAACTGGACTCAAAGACCAAATGTTAGAACAAATGATGCTGCTAGTACCCGTACCACTTAGGGAATTAGAAAAGTTTAGGAGCTCTATGTCAGGAACCAGGGTCAGAGACAAATATCTCTATCTATGTATCTATCTAGGTATCTATGTACCTATCTATCTGTCTAGGTATCTATCTATTTATCTATCTATACATACACACACACACACACACACTTATATATTTCTTATTATTTCACAATATGGTAAAAGTACTTTGCAGATGCGATTAAGTCAAGGATATTGAGATGGGGATGCCATGCTGGATTATCCAAGTGTGCCCTTATAAGAAGGAGGTAAGAAGAGATTTGACTGTAGAAGTAGAAAGTGTGAGTACAAAACAAAGTTCAGAAAGATGGAAGAAAGGGGCCATCAGGCAATGCTGGAAGCCTCTAGAAGCTGGGAAAGGTGAGAAAATGATTCTCCCCTTAGATCCTCCAGAAAAAGAAAATGTGATGTGATGCTGCTGGTCTCTGGATCAGACTTTGAGTAGCCAGGCTCTAGAGGTCTACTTTGAGGGGACACATTTGATTGGCAAAGAAGATACTTTTTTTTTTTTTTAACAAATCTGCCCTTAACTAAGTTCCCAATTCTCTGTAACCCTTTATAACACTCTTTGATGAGTGCATAGTAGCTGCTGAGTGTTCACAGCTGGTAGTACACCATTTACTTCTACTCCCACCAAGTGAATTATCTGTTGCCCAGCTAATGCATTCCAAGATGATATAAACCGTACTTACTATTCTAATTATATGATAAAGTGGGTTACTTAAACCAATGAAATATGAGTGCAAAAGAAAAAACAGAGCTCTTTTTATGAATATTAAGTTAATGGCTTTGGAAAGGAAGAATAAATTTATATTGGCAAAAATATGTCAATTCACATGTGGGTAAGTGGAAGGGGGACTCATAAAAACCCCTACACTTGGAACACCTTAAAATATGTCTTAGTTTTCACTCCCACTTTAAAGAAACCAGAACTTTTCTGCCATTGCTTTATGGATAGTGTTTATACAAAGAAAAGCCATAGGAATATGCATCTGCTTTTTAAGTTGGAATGTGAAAGGCCGAGTGACTGCTGTCACTCAATAGCGGTGATGATAGGTTTGCTCACAGCTCAGACCTTTGGCTTCACATATGCAAGACTGCAGTTTTTACCTAACACCCTTGTCAAGCCTCAACTCCACAAACCTGTCAGAGGCTGTGATTAAGTTATCGTCTTTTGCAGAGGAAGTGTCTAAAGCTTAAAAAGAAAAGATTGAATTGACTCAGTTCTAGAGCCAGTAAAAGCCTCAACATCCTGACCCTGGGCCAGATCACAATGCTTCTCCCATACTGTGCCTTTTAACATAGAGGTCCCTGATTCACACAGCAATGAACCTAAGGTTTGATGTATTCAGTCATGTGCCACATAAAGACATTTCTGTTGATGACAGATCCCATATACAGTAGTGGTTTCATAAGATAATAATATTGTATTTTACTGTACCTTTTCTATGTTTAGATATGTTTAGATGCACAAATACTTACCACTGTGTTACAATTGCCTACAGTACAGTAACACGCTATACAGATTTGTAGTCTAGGAGCAATAGCCCGTACCATATGGCCTAGGTGTGTACCACCTAGTTTTGTGTAAGTATATTCTATGACATTTGCACAATGAAATCACCTGAAATCACCTAACAACCTATTTCTCAGAACATATCTTCATTGTTAAATGATGTGTGACTGTATTTAACTAAAACAGAAACATTAAGGAATACACATAAAACAAATACTGCGAAAAATATTGAATGTCACATTCTGACATTTAAAGAGAGATAGAATCTACATGAATCGTTCAACCAGGATCAAAGAGTAAAGAGAACGACCAGCTGTGGCAAAACCATGTCACAATGAAGGAAGTTTGGTTCAGAAAACTTATACAGTAGAATAAGGACGCCTATCTGAGATGACCCTAAGATCCCACGGTGGTTTCTCACCAGTGTAAGTGCTACCTCAAGATAACATCATGTGGTTGAAGGTTTGAATAAAACGATGTATATACATTCTCAATCTGCTTGTGCTGGACAACTGAAATTTCAGTTTCACAAACTTATGAAGGCAAAGGGACCCATGTTCTTCATCTTCTTAGAGAGAAAGATGTCCACCCAAGCTTCAGGGAAGGATAGATATAATCTAGGGCAAACTCAGGAGCTCTGAGAGCCCCTCCCCATCAAGTTGACTCACCACAGTGTCCCCATCTACCTTGAATGGTCTGCATTTTGGAAGAAGCCACAAAATGAAGAGTTAAGAATCATTTCCATAGCATTAGCGTATGTTCCAAGAGGGTTACATGGATGTCCCAGAGGGAATCTTGCTGGGCAGCTCTCCTCCTCCACTATTTCATCTTTCTTTCTTCTTTTGAAAAGGGAGAATGATAACCAAGTCTCAGTAAAAGCAAACAATGAAACAATCTGGGCCTTCCCATTCAAGTTGGCAAGCCAAACACTCCTTTATCTCTCTGCTTTCCCCAAATAGATGGCAGTAAGGAAGATAGGAAGAATGGCGGGCACAGGAAAGGATGGGCAGGCCAAGGATTTTCATTAACTTCTGGAAGCCTGTCAGTGGATGGAATTACACTCAGGAAGTAACATTAGCAGAGGGAACAACAGCTCAGAACATGGCCCAGAGAAGGATGAAAGAGGGCAGGGCGCCAGAAGGGCCCCGGACTCAGAAATGGCAGGTGTGAAAACGACTGAAAATACCTATGGAATAAAGAGTGAAGTAGATTCATTTCTCCTCCCAACCGCCCTCACCTGTTCATGTAATAGTGGCTTTTATGGCCCAGCCTACCCAGAGAGCTGTTCTTGGCAGCCACTTATCTATGTCTGGGAGGAGATACAGTTCCAGAATGGAACTGTGTTCGGGTGCCTCACTGCTAAACCAAACTCAACATGTTCTTAACTTTAAAAAATAATACATATCATACAAGAAGTCCACAGTAGGATGGCTCCCAGATGGTTACTCTTGGGGCTCTGGCATTCATTCCTCAGGCATCCAGGTTCTTCCCTCGGTTCACCTCCTCCACTCAGTGTGTCCACAAGATGGCAGTAGCAGCCCCATGCCTCTCACCTACACGGGAAAGCACCCGGTGCAATGCCTCTTACTCTTCCCAAGCATCTTTTTCAAGAGCACGACCGCCTCCCGGAAGCCCCTAAACAAGCCTCCCATTGCACTGCATTAGCCAGAGCAGGGTCACGTGCCCACCCCAAACCAATCACTGGAAGAAGAAATGAGTTTTGTCTCTTTGTTGTTGTTGGTGGTGGTGTTTGGTTGTTTGATTGGCTGTCTTAGAACGGGGCTTCTCAAACTTGAGCAGGCATCAGAATGGCCTGGAGAATTTGTTAAAATAGCACATGGGTTGCTGGGCGCCACCTCCAAAGGTTCTGATTCCATAAGTCTGGGGTAGGGCCCAAGAATTTGCATTTCTACCAACTTTTCAGGCAGTGCTGAGGATTCCAGTTCGAGAACCACTGGATTTGAGGAAGCAACCAACAGTGAAAAGTCCCATCCTCCCCAGGCACTTTAGGAGTGGTTCTAGCCTGACTTCCTGCTCACAAGGTTCAAGTTAAGCCTTCCAGCGCACAAGCCCCACCCTCATGCTCAGGGCTAGTCATGCCTCTCAGTCAGGGAAGTCATGATTCTAACCACCAGAAGAGCTAAAAGCAGAAATGTCCAAAAGTGGCAACCTCAGGGGAGTGCTGGGAGAGAAGGGGAGGAAGGGAAGTGAGACATTTTATTATTGTCATATGCCCATCTGAACCCATTGTATTTTTCTTTCCTTCCGTATTTTAATAAAAAATACTTTTTAGTGCACATTTTTTTTCTACTAAGGAATATTTTCAACTTTTTGCCCTTCTCCAACCAGGCATTTCTGTGTATCAGGATGAAGGCTGTGCCTGCTCCTGAATGACTACTGGGTAAATAACGAAATTAAGGCAGAAATAAATAAGGTATTTGAAACCAAAGAGAACAAAGACACAACATACCAGAATCTCTGGGACACGGATAAAGTAGTGTTTAGAGGGAAATGTATAGCACTAAATGCCCAAAGGAGAAAGCAGGAAAGATCTAAAATTGGCACCCTAAACATCACAATTAAAAGAACTAGAGAAGCAAGAGCAAACGCATTCAAAAGCTAGCAGAAGACAAGAAATAACTAAGATCAGAGCAGAAGAAAGAGATAGATACAGGAGAAACCCTTCAACAAATCAGTGAATCCAGGAGCTGGTTTTTTGAAAAGATTAACAAAATACATAGACCACTAACCAGACTAATAAAGAAGAAAAGAGAGAAAAATCAAATAGATGCAATAAAAAATGAAAAAGGGGATATCACCACTGATCCCACAGAAATACAAACTACCATCAGAGAATACTATAAACACCTCTATGCAAATAAACTAGAAAATCTAGAAGAAATGGATAAATTCCTGGACACATACACCCTCCCAAGACTAAACCAGGAAGAAGTCAAATCCCTGAATAGAACAATAAGTTCTGAAATTGAGGCAGTAATTAATAGCCTACCTATCAAAAAAAAAGCCAAGGACCAGACGGATTCACAGCCAAACTCTACCAGAGGTACAAAGAGGAGCTGGTACCATTCCTTCTGAAACTATTTCAAACAATACAAAAAGAGGGACTCCTCCCTAATTCATTTGATGAGGCTAGCATCATCCTGATACCAAAACCTGGCAGAGACACAACAAAAAAAGAAAATTTCAGGCCAATATCCCTGATGAACATCAATGCAAAAATCCTCAATAAAATAGTAGCAAACTGAATCCAGCAGCACATCAAAAAACTTATCCACCATGATCAAGTTGGCTTCATTCCTGGGTTCAACATCAACAAATCAATAAATGTGATCCATCACTTAAACAGAACCAATGACAAAAACCACATGATCATCTCAATAGATGCAGAAAAGGCCTTCAATAAAATTCAACAGCCCTTCATGCTAAAAACTCTCAATAAACTAGGTATTGATGGAATGTATCTCAAAATAATAAGAGCTATTTATGACAAATCCACAGCCAATATCATACTGAATGGGCAAAAGCTAGAAGCATTCCCTTTGAAAACCAGCACAAAACAAGGATGTCCTCTCTCACCACTCCGATTCAACATAGTATCGGAGGTTCTGGCCAGGGCAATCAGGCAAGAGAAAGAAATAATCAAATAGGAAGAGAGGAAGTCAAATTGTCTCTGTTTGCAAATGACATGATTGTATATTTAGAAAACCCCATCGTCTCAGCCCCAAATCTCCTTAAGCTGATAAGCAACTTCAGCAAAATCTCAGGATATAAAATCAATGTGCAAAAATCACAAGCATTCCTATACACCAATAACAGATGGAGGACCAAATCATGAGTGAACTCCCATTCACAATTGCTGCAGAGAATAAAATACCTAGGAATACAACTTACAAGGGATGGGAAGGACCTCTTCAAGGAGAACTACAAACCACTGCTCAAGGAAATAAAAGAGGACACAAACAAATGGAAGAACATTCTGTGCTCATGGATAGGAAGAATCAATATTGTGAAAATGACCATACTGCCCAAAGTAATTTATAGATTCAATGCCATCCCTATCAAGCTACCATTGCCTTTCTTCACAGAATTAGAAAAAACTACTTTGAATTTCATATGGAATGAAAAAAGAGCCTGTATAGCCCAGACAATCCTAAGCCAAAAGAACAAAGCTGGAGGCATCACGCTACCTGACTTCAAACTATACTACAAGGCTACAGTAACCAAAACAACATGGTACTGGTACCAAAACAGATATATAGACGAATGGAACAGAACAGAGTCCTCAGGAATAATGCTACACATCTACAACCATCTGATCTTTGACAAACCTGACAAAAACGAGCAATAGGGAAAGGATTCCCTATTTAATAAATGGTGCTGGGAAAACTGGCTAGCTATATGCAGAAACCTGAAACTGGACCCCTTCCTTACACTTTATACAAAAGTTAACTCAAGATGGATTAAAAACTTAAACATAAGACCTAAAACTGTAAAAACCCTAGAAGAAAACCTAGGCAATACCATTCAGGACATAGGCATGGACAAAGACTTCATGACTAAAATACCAAAAGCAATGGCAACAAAAGCCAAAATAGACAGATGGGATCTAATTAAACTAAAGAGCTTCTGTACAGAAAAAGAAACTATCTTCAGAATGAACAGGCAACCTACAAAATGGGAGAAAATTTTTGCAATCTATCCATCTGACAAAGGGCTAATATCCAAAATATACAAGAAACTTAAACAAATTTACAAAGAAAGAAACCCGTCAAAAAGTGGGTGAAGGATATGAACAGACACTTATCAAAAGAAGACATTTATGTGGCCAACGAACATATGAAAAGAAGCTCATCATCACTGGCCATTAGAAAAATGCAAATCAAAACCGCAATGAGATACCATCTCACGCCAGTTAGAATGGTGATTATTAAAAAGTCAGGAAACAACAGATGCTAGAGAGGATGTGGAGAAATAGGAATGCTTTTACACTGTTGGTGGGAGTGTAAATTAGTTCAACCATTGTGGAAGACAGTGTGGAAATTCCTCAAGGATCTAGAACCAGAAATACCATTTGACCCAGGATTCCCATTACTGGGTATATAACCAAAGGATTATAAATCATTCTACTATAAAGACACATGCTAATGTATGTTTATTGCAGCACTATTCACAATACCAAAGACTTGGAACCAACCCAAATGCACAATGATAGACTGGATAAAGAAATGTGGCACATATATATCATGGAATACTATTCATCCGTAAAAAAGGATGAGTTCATGTCCTTTGCAGAGACATGGATGAAGCTGGAAACCATCATTCTAAGCAAACTAACACAGTAACAGAAAACCAAACATCTCATGTTCTTGCTCATAAATGGGAGTTGAACAATGAGAACACATGGACACAGGGAGGGGAACATCACACACTGGGGCCTGCGGGGGGTGGGTGGCTGGGGGAGGGATAGCATTCGGAGAAATACCTAATGTAGATGACGGGTTGATGGGTGCAGCAAATCACCATGACACATGTATACCTATGTAACAAACCTACACGTTCTGCATATGTATCCCAGAACTTAAAGTATATTAAAAAAATTTTTTAAAAAGATGGAGGTTGTGAATGGAGCTTAATGGAGGTGAGAGTAGCTATTCTTTCAAGAATACTAATAATTCATGCCATTGCACTCCAGCCTGGGTGACAGAGCAAGACTCCATCTCAAAATGAAAATAAATACTAATAATTGAGTTAAAATCATCATAATGAGGTTGGCAAAATATCAACCTGTGGTTTGCACCAAAATTTATCTTAGCAAAGTCACTCTTCCCCTTTGGAAATACTTTGAGAAGGACTTATGGGAAAATTCACCTCCATTCCTCCCCCATCCACCACAACCAGCACCATGGATGTTCATGAAGGTCAGCACCAAGGCTGAAGAGAAAGCAGCTGAATGCACTACAAATAAAAGGAGAAGACATTGGATTTCCTCGGCAAATTCAGCACAGAAAAGAAGGCAAGTTAAATGGGTGCCATTGAGAGGGAGGGGGCTGCATTCTGTATGAATGATTTTGTTGTGGTGGAAACTTAAAAGGCCAAGTTCAAGTTTGACATAGGATGACCTAGACAACCAGGGAGGAAGTGGAAGTCCAAGGAGGCAGAAAAGACTCTGAGAACCATATAAGGTGAGTCCACACTAGAGAGATGTAGCAGAGATCTTGGTTTTCACTTTCCATAGGCCCATTTATTAGAGAGTTGAAGCCAATTTTGCCTCCATCTCAAGCAGCAGGCAGCCCCCTAGCTAACTCTCAGTTATATAAGAACTAGAAAAAGCCACCAAGTTTATGTCAGGGACCAAATATTTGAGCCTTGTGAAATCACCAGATGACTGAGGACTCTGACCTTCTGAGAAGGAGCTGTCACTCACCTGCTGCAGAGACATATTTATGGAGGGAGATGGAGCGGGGGGTTCCAGCAGTGTCCAGAGCCACTTAGGCTGGAAGTCACTGTAGACCAAAAGCTGAGTGTGTCCTTTAGCTGGAACAACTTTGAGAGCTCCTAGGCTGGTGCTTATCTATGGAAGAAGCCAGTAAAGCCAAGTCTGAATCATTGCAGGAGACTCTGTAAGTAAATAAATAAAAGCTCTGTAGTTATTTTTAGCCCAATTCAGTCCATAATCATTATTTCATTCACATCTGAAGAATAAAGACTGATTCAAATAATACTTATGTTCCATTTGGTTCTAGTCATCATTCCCCACTAATGCCCAGGAAATAATCTGGAGGTCTTCCATTAGTGCAAAATTATTGTTATTAGTCCATTTGTTTGGAGATTTAATGGATTCTGTTCATAGATGAATTTCTTCGAGAATTCAAATTTATGTACTTTTTAAAAAGCATTTCTTTTTCTCTTTACAATTGCAATTCTGGGTTGAATTATTATTTTTTTCCTGCCTTTCTATGGCTATTTTTTTTTAATTTGTAAATTACCTGATTGGTCCATTTGCTGACTGACCTAACATAAAATCAACCCCGTGCTATCTGCCCTGGGTAATTGGCTGCTTCCTTTATGAAGAGATTGTCATCAGACTCTTTTATAAAGCATCTCAGAAGGGTTAACACTATTACCTTAAGGAAAGCCATTCTTTAATTTATTAGAACAAAAGAATTGAGGAGAAATCTATTGGCGAAACAGTCTCATAATCCAAAATGCGATTGGGTTCTGCTCTCTTTGCCTCCACCCCAGGAGGATCATAAAGCAGTGCAGACATCCACATAGACTGGCCTGTGTTGCATTTGTCCTCCTAGCACTCAGAGACAAAGACCACATGGCTGGCTCAGGGAGGCACAGAGTGACTGATACACAAGGCACACTCACTTGCCAAATTACGGGGTGTTTGGATCTTGGTTTAATATGTTCCAGATCATAACCTGGTAGAGAAAAGACTGTTTATCCACATCGGTAACCACTGGGAATAGTTGACAAAAGGAAAAAACTCTTGTTTCTTAGCTCCCTCTGCTGGTCTTTCAGAAAACCACCTGTCCCCTCAGGATCCCATCCTGAGCTTTGTACACATGGAGGGCCAGCTTCCTGCCAAATGTGAGCTGGTAGGAAAGTCCGGTCCACATCAACTAGGAAGACAGATCTTGGCTTCTCAAGGAACCTGGTGATTCAAAAGATGAGAACGGAAGAGGGGCCTCCCCGTGGCAAGTCCAAATTCAAACACAGATTCTCCAGCCCACCCCACAAAGAAATAAGACTGAGGCATGTTTACTCTGGTCCCGAAGCTATGTGTTAGGTTTAATGCAAACTCTGACTGCCATAGTTTAAACCTATATCACTTATTCAGGCTTAGTAGGGAAAGAAATGGAGAACGGTTGATCAACCTGACTCAATATGTTTGGTTATTTAAATGGGACCTATAGCTTTGTTTCCTCGAACAACAACAAAAATGTTATTAATTATGTTATCTTTTCTTCATGGTTCCTATTCTCCTAAAAGATTTTCAGGAACCAATAACAGCAATTCCGAGAGATTTTCAGCAATATACCCAAATTTCCAAAGATCTTGCTGCTTTCTCATCTTGAGCTTTCTTATTTCTTGTCCCTAAAGATTTTCCTAGTTCCACTGCATTCTTTCTGAAGCTGGTGAGCAGCCAGCTGACCCACCCAGTGACAAAATTGCATCTGAGCTTTGTACACATCGAGGGCCATCTTCTTGCCAAATGTGAGCTGGTAGGAAAGTCCGGTCCACATCAACTGGGAAGACAGGTCTTAGCCTTTCCCAACAACTCCCAACCTGTTCACAGCCATTCATTGTGCATGATGGCAGGGAAGCCAGGGCACAGTGCTGAATGACACACAGAGCACACTGAGCCCATAGTCCTGAGGTCTATGGATCAAATCCATCCCTGGCAAAAGAAGAGATTTTTTCATGTCGATTCAGAGACTAAAAGGTTGGTTGTCATTGGCCAGAGCACTATTTACACTAGTTAGAGCTCCCCAAGAAAAATGATTTCAAGGCTCTAGGCTATGTCCATGACCTTGGCCAGATAGATGCCTTACAAATGTATGGTCTCAGTTATTTCCTACCAAAGGAAGCAGTCCAAAATTTGCCCAAGTAGTCATGGGTCAGTCAAAGCACACATAGGACAAGGGAACAAAAGATTTACATAGTTTTTTCTATCTAGGAAGATATTATAAACACATAATATAATACCTTCCGGCAACCCTTCGTTCTTTACAAAGCATATTAATACTGTTTTACAGTCAACTGTCACACTACAAAACCATACTGATTTGTTACACTGGTTTGTTATAATTTGTTACTATGTGTCTGTGTCTACATATGGACACATACACATATATTTATACATATACCTGTAATTTTTAAATCAGGGAGTTTTTTGAAAAATGAGTTTGCATTTGTATTAGTCTGTTCTCACGCTGCTAATAATTGGCAATTAATGCAAACTTATTTTCTAGTCTTCTTCACAGCAATTTCACTTTGGATTTTAATGTTACATTCCCTGGCTTTCTACATTCATTCATTCAACAAATGTCTATGAAGTATCACTATGTTCTAAGTGCTACTTTCAGTGTTGGACATAAAGCAATGAACAAAGCCACTGCCTTCATGGAGCTCATGTTCCTTAAGGGAATATATAAAATAGTTCACATAATGAAGGCTTACCTAAAGGTAAAGAGAGCTATGGGTGAGTGTGATGGGAAGGTCTCTTGGAAGAGGTGACAGGGGAGAGGAGCTCAGGGAACTGATATGAAGGAGCAAGTGGTGTGAATATGTGGAGGAAGGGTACTTCAGAACAGAAAACACAGATATGAAGGCCTTGAGGTCATTATTGAATGCCTTCTAGGTTTCAGGCATTGTATTAGAACTAGATATATAATGGTAGACAACATGGGCATGAACTCTCACTGTCATGCACTTATAAACTCTGGGGGGAAGAGTCCAACGGAGGGATCTGAGGGTGGGAATGAAGCTGACTTAGTTAAAATGGCAAAGAGAAGGGTATTCTCAGAGTCCTTGGAAGATCAGTTGATGTGCTCCAGGAAGAGAGAAGGTGATATGGTTTGACTCAGTGTCCCCACCCAAATCTCCTGTCAAATTGTAATCCCCATGTGTCAGGGTAGGGATGTGGTGGGAGCCTGTTGGATCATAGGACCGGATTTCCCCCTTGCTGTTCTCATGAGAGTGAGTGAGTTTTCTCAAGATCTGTTGGTTTAAAAGCATGTGGCTTTCTTCACTCTTTCTCTCTCTCCTGCCACCTTGTGAAGAAGGTGATTGCTTCTCCTTTGCCTTCCACCATGATTGTAAGTTTCCTGAGGCCTCCCCAGCCATGCAGAACTGTGAGTCAATTAAACCTCTTTTCTTTATAAATTACATACACTTATAGCAGTGTGAAAATGGACTAATACAGAAGGCCAGCAATGCTAGACTCCAGTTGGCTAGAGGGAATACAGGTTGAGATGGATTTGTAGGGATAGGCAAATGTCAGATCATTTAGGGCTTCCTAGGTAATTAGGAGTTTGAAGTTTATTTAAAGTGTATTGTATAGCCATGAGGGGATTTAAGCAGAGAGTAGCATTACCTGATTTGTATGTTCAAAAGATTACCCTGATTGCTGTGAAGGGAATACACTGGAAGAAGAGAAGGAGTATAAAAAGTCCACCGAGGAAGCTACTGCAGTAGCTCAGGGGAGAGATCCTGGAGGAGGACCACAGTGGCCACAATAGGAACGGAGGGACAGATTCCAGATCTATTTTTGGAAATAGGAGTCATAGGTCTTGCTGTTGGACTAAAAGAGAAAGATGAGGAAGAAGGAGAATAAGATGCTTGCCCCTTTCTTACAGTGGGCAATAAGTGTTCAATGCCATTGACTGAGAGGATGAAGACTGGGAAGAGGAACACATTTGTCGGGGAGGGGTGGAGGTCCAGAGTTGCATCCTGGACTTTTCAGTTTGAAACTTTTCAGTTTGAAAAGTCCACAAGGTCATTGAAGGAATATCAAATGAGCAAATTTTACATGTCATTTCTTTAAAAGGAAGTCATTAAGTTTGGATGTTTGGTAACTTCTAAAGCGACCTACTTAATATGAGCATTCAGGACTATCCTTCAGATTGATAAAGAGGCTAAGCTTCGCCAGTGTCTGACTTTGCTTGGCCAGTATCGTGCAGGGATGCTGATACTAAATTGATTGGCACACAGAGAAAAGGAATAGCCTTCTAACAACTAAACTAGTTGCACTTCGTGTGACAGATCCCTTAGGCACAGAATCTGAAAGAAGATTAGTAACAAAATGAAACGTCTATGAAAGTCTACTTACAACAGATACACATAAATCAGATTCTAGGTGATTCTGTGCTTATTCACAGCATCAAGGCAATTAATATGTGTAAAAAATAATACAAGTGGAAAAAAATGGATAAATAGGTGGATGGATAAATGGATGGATGGATGGATGGATGGATGGATGGATGGATGGATGGATGGATAGATGGATGGTTTATATTAAAGTCAGGAAGATTTTTCAAGAAGAAAAATGTTCCTGGTTTTCTATTGAAAATAGAATACAGGCATAATCCATGTGATCTTCGATCTTTGCCTTTAAATCTATGGCAGATACTCTGTGTTGTCTATCTATCCTCTTAATCCTCCTTTCTTCCTTCCTAATAGAACCCTAATTATATGCAGTTTACCATCCCCTCTACAACCTATCATGCATTTCAGGGAAAACTGCTCCTACCACAAGCCTCAGGGAATATACCCTGGTTCTAGTAATTCAGTTACAGTAATCTCATTTCTCTTACTTGTTATTTAGAGATGGGCATGTGACTCAATTCTGGCCAAGGGTACCCAATTAGAAGCCTTCTGGAAATATTTTGAAAGGATTTCCTCAATAAGGAAGACAATGCAGAAAGAAACCTTCTAGATACAATCCTTGGAACTGCTGCAGCCTCTTGCAAGCATGAAGGGTCTGGTCTGAGATAAAATCTGACACAATGAGAATGAGGAAAGCAGAGTGAAAAGATGGTGGGCCAACTCAGCGTGGAGCCAAAACAACTCTATGGAGGCACAACTCAAAACCATCTTGCCTCGTGACCACCGATTTCTTCAGGTGTCCCAGAGCTTGCCTGTTGGCAATAAGTCAAGAGAGACAGTGTGACTGCTCTCATATTTAGGCATGTGCAACTCAGACAGATGGGTGAATTAATACCCTGTAGGGCAGAAATTTGAGTGGAGGGAGACAGAAATCAGCTAACAAATTCTCCCTTTCTACCTCAATTGGAAAGTTCTGAGAAATAGTCATGTATATGGCTTCTTCAAAGAGAGTTTCATGTTATCAAGCAATCAGTCAGCTTGATTGCAAGTAATGGCTACCCAGGTAATGCACCCTCATTTTGACTCTCCTTTCCTGTCTCACTAACTTCACTCGTATTCCCTGGAACTGGAATCCCTAGTGAAATATTGACACAAGCCTTTGCCAAAGGCTTCCCTTTAGGGAAACCAGGCTAAGACATGAGTCAGTTTTTTTCCTCTGACTTGTAGCTACCTTAACTAATTTATCATCTTTCTATTCATCAATCACAGCTATTTAGCCTCCATCTGCAGGCTTATCTCTGAAACTGGATTTGGCTTTCTTTAAGAGAGAGCTCTAGGTCAGTGCTCAGGGACTTGCTGTCTTTTAATAGAGGACTTCTTTGATTTCTGTTAGCAATGTTTTATAGATTTCTTTATACAGGTCTTACACATTTTAAAATATTTTATGTTGTATGCTATCGTAAGTGGTACTTTTTGGAGTTTCAATTTCCAATTTTTGTTTCTTTCTCTTTTTTTTGTTTTGTTTTGTTTTTTGAGATGGAGTCTCATTCTGTCACCAGGCTGGAGTGCAGTGGTGCGATCTTGGCTCACTGCAACCTCCGCCTCCCGGGTTCAAGCAATGCTCCTGCCTCAGCCTCCCGAGTAGCTGGGACTACACGCACGCCCACCACACCCAGCTAATTTTTTGTATTTTTTTAAATAGAGACGGGGTTTCACTGTGTTAGCCAGGATGGTCTCAATCTCCTGACCTCGTGATCAATCTGCCTCGGCCTCCCAAAGTGGTGGGATTATAGGTGTGAGCCACCGCGCCCAGCCTTGTTTCTTTTTTTTAAATATTTTTCCTTTTTGAAACAAGGTCTGGCTCTGCTGCCCAGGCTGGATTACAGTGGTACCATCTTGGCTCACTGCAACTTCTGCATCCCAGGCTCAAGAGATCCTTTCACCCCAGCCTCCCGAGTAGCTAGGACTACAGGCATGTGCTACCACACCCAGCTAATTTTTGTATTTTTTTGTAGAGATAGGTTTTCACCATGTTGCCCAGGCTCCTGGGCTCAAGGGATCTGCCTGCCTTGGCCTCCCAAAGTGCTGGAATTACAGGCATGAGCCACTGTGCCCAGCCAATTTCCAATTTTTCATTGCTAGTATATACAATTATAACTTTTATATATTGACCATGTATCCTGAGACCTTGCGTAACTCATGTATTAATTCTGCTAACATTTTGTAGGTTCCTTAGGATTTTCTACACAGATGATCACATCCGAGAATAAAAATGCCTTTTGCTTTCCCCTTTCTAAGCTTTACACCTTTTATTTCTTTTGTTTGACTATTGCACTAGCTCAGACCTCCAGGACAATGTTGAATACAAGTGGTGAAATTCACTGCGCAGCAGTGGTTCACACCTGTAATCCCAGCGCTTTGGGAGATTAAGCCAGGCAGATCACTTGAGTCCAGGAGTTTGAGACCAGCCTGGGCAGCAATAGTGAGACTCTGTCTCTTTCTACATATATTTTTAAAAAGTGGTGAAATTGGACATCCCTGCCTTCTTCCCAGTCATAAGGGAAAAACATTCACATTTTCATCACAATTTAGATATAGTTTTTGTTTGTTTTTGCAGATGTGTTATATCAAGTTGAGAAACTTTCCTTCTGGCCTGGTTTTCTTACAGCTTTGATCATGAATGAATATTGAGTTTTGTCAAATGCCTTTTTGGCATCTATCAAGATGATCATGCGATTTTTCTTTTCTATTCCATTGACAGAGTTAGTTATATTGATTTAGTTTTGAATGCTAAACCAACTTTGTGCTCTTGAGATAAACTCCATTTGATTATGATATAGTTTCCTTATTATTTATTGTTGGATTTGATTTGCTAATATTTTACTGAAGATTTTGTGTCTAACTTCATGAGGGTTATAGTCTGTACTGTATACTGGCCTCATATAACTTGGGAACTATTTGCTTCTCTAATACTTTCAGGAAAAGTTTGTACAAGACTTGTATTATTTTTCCTTTAAATGCTTGATAGAATTTGCCAATAAACTTACCTATGACTGGAGTTTGCTTTGTGAGAAAGTGTTTAACCACAGATTTAGTTTATTTAATAGATATATATGGGCTAATCAGATTACCTATGTCTTCTTAAGTGAACTTTACTAGTTTACCTAGTCTCTTCTATTTTTTTCTAGCTAGAGTTTTTTTAATTTCATTGATCTTTTCAGATAATGAAATTTTTATTACATTTTTGTTGATTTTTCCTCTATTGTGCTTTTGTTTTCTGCTCTCGTTGTTATCATTTCCTACTCTTCATTATTTTCTACTATTATTACATTTACTCTTCTTTTTCTGGTTTCTTACAATGGAGAGTTAAATAAGTGACTTAAGACCTTTTATTCTTTTTCTGAAAAAAGATTTTAATGCTATAAGATTCCCTCTAAGCATTACTTGAAGTCTAGCTTGCAAATTTTGATATGTTGCCTTTTTATTTTCATTTCATTCAAAACATTTTCTAATTTCACTTTTGATTTCTTCTTTGATCATAAATTAAAATGTGTTGTTTCATCTTCAGTTATTTGAGGATGTTTCTGACACATTTCTATTTTTAAAAAATAATTTCAACTTGTAGATTTAGTGGATACATGTGCACACTTGTTACATGAGTATAGTGCATGATGCGGAGGTTTGGGATATGAATAATCCCTTCATCCAGGTAGTAAGCATAGTATCCAACACTTAGCTTTTCACCCCTTGCCCCACCGCCTCCCTGCTCCTCCTAGTAGTCCCCAGGGTCTGTTGCTGCCATCTTAATGTCCATGAATACTCAATGTTTAGCTCCCACTTGTAAGTACAAACATGCAGTATTTGATTTTCTATTCCTGTGTTAATTCATTTAGGATAATGGCCTCCAGCTGCATCCATACTGCTACAGAAGACATGATTTCATTCTTTTTCACGGCTGGGCAGTATTCTATGGTATATATGTACCACATTTTCTTTATCCAATTCACTATTGATGGATAGCTAGGTAGATTCCATATCTTTGCCATTGTGAATAGTGCTGCAATGAACATAAGAGTATGTGTGTCTCTTTGGTAGAACAATTTATTTTCTTTTGGATATATACTCAGTAATGGGATTGCTGGGTTGAGTGATAGTTCTGTTTTAAGTTATTTGAGAAATCTCCAAAATCCTTTCCATAGTGGCTGAGCTAAATTTACATTTCCACCAACAGTGTATAAATGTTCCCTTTTCTCTGCAGCCTCACCAGCATCTGTTGTTTTTTGACTTTTAAATAATAGCCATTGTGATTTGTGTGAGATGGTATCTCACTGTGGTTTTGGTTTGCATTTCTTTGATGATTAGTGATGTTGAGCATTTTGTCATGTTTATTGGCTGCTTGTCTGTCTTCTTTGGAGAAATGTCTGTTTATATCTTCTGCCCATTTTTTAATGGGGTTGTCTTTTACTTGTTCAATTGTTTAAGTTCCTTATAAATCCTAGATATTAAAACTTTAATGGAAGCATATGTTCAAGGAGTATACGTTATATAATTTGAATCATTTAAAAATTATTTTAAATATTGCCTATCTTGATAAATGATGTATGTGCACTTGAAAAGAATATGTATTCTAGCGTTGTAAGTGGATTTTTCTATAATTGTAAAGTAGATAAAACTGGTTGATAGCTTTGTTCAGATTTCTATATCCTTACTTACTTTTCCTCTACTCATTTTATTTATTTCTAAGGGTAAAGTATTAAAACCTTTAGCTGTAATTTTGAATTTGCCTTTGTCTGTTTTCTGTTTTATCAGGTTGGGTTTTTAAAAATTATATTTTGAAATTCTGTTATTAGGGTCTTTGTTCCTTTTTTCCTGCACTTTTTAATTAATTTGCTATTTTTATAAATCTATTTTATTTTATTTATTGGATTATTAGCTATAACTCTTTTATTTATTTATGTATTGGTTAGTAGTTGTTATAGGACTACAGTACTTAAACTTATCACTGTCTACCTTCAAGTAATATTATGCCACTTTACATGTAGCATAAACTCCTTTCAACAGTATACTCTTATTTTCCCTTGCTCTGTCACTGTGCTATCACTGTCATACATTTTAATTTATATATATTATAAATACAACAAAAAGTTTAATTTTTGCTTTAAGCAGTCCATTATCTTTTCAAGAAATTTAGAAGAATAAAAGTCATTTAAGATTTCCTACCATATTTGCCATTTCTATCACCCTTCAATCCTCTGTGTATATCCAAATTTTATTTCCATCTAGTATTATATTCTGCTACCTAAAAAAAAAATTTTTAACCTCTATCATAGTGCTGATGTGCTGGCAATGAGTTTTCTCAGGATTTGTTCACCTAAAAAATATTCATTTCACCTTTATTGTTGAAATATATTTTCACTAGGTATATAATTCTAGGAAGACAGGTTTTTTTGTTTTTTTTTTTTTTTATTTAAGACAGTGTCCATTGTCTTCTGGCTTGCATCGATCCCAGTGAGGAGTTGGCTGTTATTCTTGTATTTGTTTTTCTGTATGCGATGGGTTTGCCCCTCCTTCTATCTTCTCTTCAAGACTTTCTCTTTCTATTTAGTTTTCAACAGTTTGGCTTTTTTCATTGTATTGTTGTTCTTTGAGCTGTTTGGATCTGTGGTTTGTTATATTTTATTAATTTTGAAAAAATTTTGACCACTATCTCTTCCAATAGTTCTTCTGCTATATTGTCTTTCTCTTCAGCTTAGCAGACTGCCTTTGTTAGATGTTTGATATTGTTCAGAAATCTTGAGTTCTTTAATTGTTTATTTTCTGTTGCTTTATTTTCTTTGTGTCTTATTTTGAGTAATTCCTAATGATATATCTTCAAATTTGCTGGTTATTTTCTCTCCTGCTTCTCTATGACATTCTAACCAAAAGAAGTATATTTCTTTAGCATCACAGATTTTAAAATCTATAACATTTGATGTGACACTTTTTTTTGAGACAGGGTCTTGCTCTGTCACCCAGGCTGGAGTGCAGTAGTATGAGCACAGCTCACTGCAGCCTCAATCTCCTGGGCTCAATCAATCCTCCTGCCTCAGCTTCCTGATTAGCTGGGACTATAGGCACAGCCACTATGCCTGGCTAATTTTTTAAAAAATATTTTTGTAGAACTGGGGTTTTGCCATGTCGCTCAGGCTTCTCTTAAACTCCAAGTCTCGAGTGATCCTCCTGCCTCATCCTCCCAGAGTGCTGGAATTACAGGCATGAGCCACTGTACCCAGCTGACACTTTTTTACAGTTTTATTTTTTTTCTGCTGAAATTTCTCATCTGCCTATACAAGCTGACCACCTTTTTTACTATATTCTGTATTATATTAATCATAGTTATTTTAAATCCTTTGGCTGATAGTTTCAACATCTTGGCCATTTCTGAGTCTTGTTCTGTTCTCTTTATCTCTTGATAATATGTTTTTCCTTTTTTTTCTCTGTCTTATAATATTTAATTGAATGCCAAACAATGAATGTTAAAGAATGGTAGAGAGTAAATTAAATAATGTTTATGTTGGAAAATTGACACAGTTATTTTTTCAGACCAAGTGTGTTTGTGTGTGTGTGTAGATGTGTGTGTAAAGGAGTGAGTTGATCTAGCCAATAATTGAGCTTAGTTTGGATTTTCTTTTTCTTTTTGGTGCTATAGTTTTAGTGTACCACTGCACTGGCTTCCTATTCCTTCAGTGGTAGATCATTGCTACCTTGTGGTAAGCAGTCTTGAGTTCCAGATGGTTTTTGTTAATAATGCCACCCTGCCTTCAGTTTTTAGCCAGGCCTGGCCTCTTGTGTCACAGAGATGGTCTCTGTACTCACTTTTACTCAGTGGTAGTTGCTGGTTCTTCAGTTGAGGCTCATGGTGGCAGCAGGGGCTGTTTCTCTGTTCTGCTTCAGCCTCAGTTTTAGGCAGTCTCTGTCTTCCTGAATCACAGAATATGGCTTTCTCTTTGTCTGTCTTCCTCCAGTGCCAGATAACCTTTGTCTTCTACGAAGTCCAGGGCCTAACACACAGGTAGGTTTCCTGCTACTCCTCCTTATAGCAACAAAACTCTGGCTTGTATTGGCAGGGAGGTTTTGGGCAAACCAGTTTCTTGCCTCTCCTTCAGTGGCAGCATACTTCAGTTTTTGTATCAGTGAATGATGTCACTCCAAGCAAATTTTCTGTTCCTTCCCCAGGAGGAGAAAGATTTTTTTCCTAGTGTCCAGGCAAGGTGGAAGAGCAGGAGTCTTTTTTACCCTCTTCAGCAACAGCCAACTTAAGCCTGGGATGAGATGGCCAGCCAGGGGATGTGGGAAGAGGAAAGTAGGTGGAAGTAATAGGGATGGGGGAGATGCAACTCTGGCAGCAGATGACTTCACCTCACATCAAATAAAGTGAAGTCCAGGATGTAGGCAGTTTTATTTCCCTCCCTATTCCCAGAAGCAGATGGGTTTTGTTTCTTATTGTGAAAGCATACAGATTATCTTGACTCTCTGAGTGGCAGATAATTACTACCTTGTATTCATACAGAGCCAAGAGATTAAATAACCTTTACTAGGTACTCTTGCCTTACCCTCAAGCCTTGGCAAACTCTGCACACCTGCACCATTAAAATAGGCTGTCTCACTAAGGTTAAATAAAGCAATGCTCTGCCTTCTTTTCTCAGCGCGATCTCATGTCCTTTCCACGATCTGTTTAATGCTATGTTTTTGCATTTTTATTGGTGGTATCATTTTTTTAAATGATCCCCAAGTGTAGTTCTGAAATGCTACCTGTCATTCCTAAGCACAAGAAGGCTGTAATTGTGAGAAAATATTTTGAATGGTCCATTTTCAAGGCATGATAAATCTAAGGACTGGCAGCCAGCCTGTGGATGTAACCAACGGCATGGCTCATGCTCCTAGAAAGTCATGATAAGCGAACAGAATGTAGAGGAGCGGTCAGCCCATAAAAGGGAAGAAACGTTCATTATTGGGAAGTTGAAACTCAAGTGGGGAAGGGGACTGGGGTATAACCTTATAAGGGGAATCATAAAACTTAGGCGGCATCCAGGAAGTTTGTAACCCCATAGTACTCAACCAGTGACGAACTGGGAGAAGGACTTGTGTGCTAGGAGATAAATTACCTGCTGTAGCTGCCCCCAGTGTGTCTGCCTACCAGACACCCCATCTTGCAAGACCGCCATTAAAAGTCTCACTTTCGCTGTTCTTCATGCCTCTGGGTCCATTCTTTGAGTGTGGACGGGTGAGTGTGTTTCTCACAGTAATGAAACCACCTTGGCAAAAATTATAACAGAAAATTTTGACAGTGAAAGAGCTCTGACATATCTGATTCCATCTTGCTTTGAACCTCCAAGATGTCCTTGTTCATTCCTGAGCATATGCTGAACTAATTTAGGAGAAACTTAGTTTATAGTTTAACTTTGAATCAAAGATGATAATAGCCCTTTCCCAAAACAAACCCCTTTCTTGCTAGGGGACCAGACTGCCTTTGTGGGGACTGACAAATTAGCCACAAGATTAGAAATTATGGTTTAGTAGTCATACAGCAGGTGGCTCCAAGATCCTGAATCTCCCCACATTGCTCCTGGGGATAACGTCACTATTGTTAAACCTAAGACCAGTGCTTGAGAGATTTTTACGGAGCCATACTCTATGGTTCAGCTTAGCAGCACCGAGATCCATAAGCTGGTTCATCTGGTCTTGTGGTCCCACCCAGGAACTGATTCAGTGCAACAGGACGGCTTCAACTCCATATGGTTTCATCTCTGACCCAACCAATCAGCACTCTCCCCTTTCTGACCCCCTACCCACCAAATTATTCTTAAAAACCCCTATTTCCAAGTTTTCAGGGAGACTTGTTTGAGTAATAATAAAACTCCAGTTTTCCGTACAGCTGACTCTGTGTGAATTAAATACTTTCTTTATTGCAATTCGCCTATATTGATAAATCAGCTCTGTCTAGGCAGCAGGCAAGGACCCACTGGGTGGTTATGGTAATGTGCCTTGTGGAGAAAATATATGTTAAATAAGCTTTGTTTGAGCATGAGTTACAGTGCTATTGACCATGAATTCAATGTTAAAATCAACAATATATATTAAATAAGATGCCTTTAAATAGAAACATATATAAAACAAGGTTATATATTGATCAGTTGACAAACATGTTATAGCCAAAGACTCATAGGAACCTAACTCTATATTTTCTCTAGGACCGATGGTTCTTTAATTCACTAATTCAGTGTTTAGAGTGACTTTATAGAGCATAATTACCATGAATAATGAGAATTGACTCTATATTTGTATGAATATTGAGGGAAATTAAATATTTTACCCCAAAATATATTTCTTTGACTTATTTTGAAATGGCTGCCACTTGGCTGACAGAAGTGGCCTTGCAAAGCTGTCTCAAGTGGGGAAGTTTTACATCTGTAAAGAATCTCTGTTAATGCAGCCACGCCCCTTCCCTTTCTATTTCTTTCCCTGTATCCAGCAGAGATTGAGAGTCTGACTCCGTTTACCAGCTATTCTCTCTGAGACAGCCTTCATCTACATAACAAGGCCACCTTTGCTAGCCAAGTCTCTTCCCCCACCTCTCATAACCTGTTTTAGCAGAATCTAGCCCCCATTCTTTCTCTAGCCTCAAAATGGGTTCTTCTTGCCTACTGCCCAGATACAGCCAACTTATCAAGACAGGAGAATTGCAATAGCAAAGGAGTTTAATTCATGCAGAGCCAGCAGAATGGGAGACCAGAGTTTTATTACTCAAATCAGTCTCCTCAAAAATTTGGAGACTGGAATTTTTAAAATAATAATTTGGTGTTTAGGAGACCAGGGAATGGAGAGTGCTGATTAGCCAGGTCAAAGATTAAATTGTAGGGGGTCAAAGTGGTTTCTTCTGGCTGTCTGGTCAAAGTGGGTTCCTAAGTGGTATCACAGAACTGACTAAGCCAGATAACCAGTCTGGGTGGAACCAGCTAATGCATCAGAATGTGGGGTCTGAAAAATATCTCGAACGCCAATGTTAGGTTTTACAATAGTTATATTATCCTTAGGAGCAATTGGCGAGGTTCAGAATCTTGTGGCCTCTAGCTGCATGACTCCTAGCATGACAGTTTAGTATTCTGGGAGCCCAGGCACAAAAGAGTATGTATTCATTCATGCTAAGTGGAAGGAAGTGGTAGGAACCCTTTGGCCATTAAGAATTCCTTAAAATTTTAGTTTTCTTTTTATTTGCCTTCAAGGTTCCTACCACTTCCTTCCATGCTCTCGCCATGCTAAAACCCAATTTGTATGTCTTATCTCTCCTCACTGGGGCCTGTAACCCTTTCAAATTCATGTCACCTAATCATTTTACAACCTTAGATCTTGATGGACTCAAGAATTCCATAGATTATCTGGCTCTTTGTCCTGTTAGTAGAGTGACATTCCCTTTCTGTTTTCTATATTCTAAACAGAAGCAAAACTTTTACATTGATGTTTTACTGTTATTGGATTCTGCACTCCCTAATGACCTCAATCAAGGTGACCTGCTACCTAAAAATAAAACTCAGTAACCAATATTCTGAATGTATTCATACTTCTAATATCCTGTATCTTCATATTTTAGCTTTAAGCTATTCTAATATTAATTTCAGTTAAATTGTATATAAAAAACAAATAGCCTGGCTCTTACCTGCCTACACTGTTACTCTAGTCTAGGTATTTCTGGAGTAACAGTGTGAGCAGGTAAGAGCAGGTAGTATTCGTGGGCTGTGTACATAGGGAAGTTTCACTCTCATGGTATCTGTATAGTTCCATAGACACTGCCATTAGCTGTGTCTTCCTTCAAATCTCCACTGCACACAGTGTAACTGCCCAGTGGGGTTCTCCTTGCCCACTGTCCAGATGCAGCCAGGTTATCAAGATGGGGGAGGGAATTGCGGAAAAGAAAGAGTTTAATTTCTGAACAGGAGACTGGAGTTTTGTTACTCAAATCAGTGTCTCTGAAAATTCTGAGGCTATGGTTTCTCAAGGATAGTTTGGTGGGCAGGGAAATGGGTGCTGCTGATTGGTTGAGGATGCAATCCTAGGATTGTGGAAAACAGTCCCTGTGCACTGAGTCAGGTTCTGGGTGGGGCCACAGGGCCTGTTGAGTCAAGAGTATCTGGTTTGGATGGGGCCATCTGGTCATCAGAAATACAAAACCCTGAAAAGACATTTCAAAAGGCCAGTGTGTTCTATAACAATGATGTTATCTGCAGGAGTAATTAGGGATGCTGCAAATCTTGTGTATGGAATAATGGCTGGTAATCATTTATGCCTATATCTTAGCAGAATTTAGCCTCATCTCATCCTCCTAACCTGGTGGTCTTTCATTAGTTTTGCTATGGTGGTTTAGTTTTGGGGAGGGCTATTATCATTTGAACTATAAACTAAATTTCTCCCAAAGTTAGCCCAAGCCCAGGAATGACCAAGGGAAGTTTGGAAGTTAAGGGCAAGATGGGGGTTGATTAGATCAGATCTATTTCACTGTCATAGTTTTCTCACTGATACAATGTTTGCAAAGGCAATTTCAACAGCAGTTTCCTGACTTGTGGTCACCATCACATTGCCAAGAAGATCCTGCCTCTGCTCCAGCACAGCTCATCCGGGTTGACCATCTCTGCTGCCCGGGCTATCCTGCTGCAAACAGTGAGCGAGCCACAGGGCACCCATCTGTGCAATGTTCTGAAGAGGAATGACTGAGAATGGTTCACTCCATTTTGTGTTATGTGCTGAATGAGGAATCCCAAAGCAGGATTGCTGGATCCTGGTGTATTACAGAATTTCCAGTTTTCCCTTCAATCTTATTCCCCCATGGACATGTGGGGATCTAAGCTAAGGGAAGATTTAAGGAATAGTCTTTATGTTCTCTGAATCCCTAATCCCCCTGGGAAATATATCTTTTCACTGGTTCAAACTCTTCATGCTTGGCTCCCTCTTGCCTCAGGCTACGACTTCACAAAGCGGAGTGAAGTAGGCCATCCCATCAGCCCACCAGAAAAATCAAGTTATGTCTGTACTCCAGCAGTGTGCACAGCTTGAATCCCACACAGGGACACACAGCACAAATTAGAAGACTCCTTTGTCCCCAATGCAAATAGCCATCTGTCAAATCTGTTCACCAATTAACCAAATATGTCTGAACTCTTCACAGTAGGCTGTGCCTCCAGTTGCAATTTCCATATTGAAAATATGTTTTTCATTAGCAAAGGTGCTTTTCCCCCAGAGGAACTTAGAAAAATGCAAAGCAGCTTCAAACATTCACAGTGCAGTTGGAATTGTTGCATTTTAATCATACAAACTGACATTTATAGGTTCTTATCTTCGGGAGCAGTGAGATGGTGGAGGGCCATATGTATCCAATGTCAAGAACAGAAAAGGTCAAACAATTTAACTAAGAAATCATTTTTTTGGAAGTAATTTAATGAACCTGAAGAGAAAATAAAAGCATTTTACAACAACATATGTTATTTTTTATGGGTACAATGTTAAAAATGAAAACTAAAGAAACAACAGAGACACTTAAAAGTGAAAATGAGTGTGAGCTTCATAACGCGCATACTGTAACAGATCACAAAATTTCAAGTTCTCACACCTGATTGCTTTTATAGGTCATTAAAAAGAAAAGATGTAGCAATATGCATATTATCTCATGTCACTGAGATTGAGGAACAGAATTTAAGATCCTTTTAAAATGTCTCCTTTAAGTTTACAACTTAGCAATACAGAAAAGTTAATACTTGTTATTCATTTGATTATTCTCCCACCTCCTGTACATGCTGCACATTTTAATTGGCCCAGTTGCAGATATGCCTTCCTTCTCACCACCTCCCTTCCCATACCAGCATCTCTTCTCCTCTTCTACTTCAGATTCCTGCTGCCCTCCCACATGTACTTTTGAATAAGGCTTTTGAATGGCATGAGTTCTTTATACCTCAGTGTGCATTTTTGCCAGAGTCATCTCCCTCAGGGATACTTGGATTCTAAAGCTTTATTTCCAACTGGGTACTGAAAAGTCTTCTTTTAAATGAGTATCCAATATCAGCTGTCCTGGAGATACATGTAAACTTGATGCAAAACTTCCAATTCCAAAGCCTTGAAATCCAAAGCCCTCCTTATGATTTTTGTGCATTTCCAGGAGTTATTCTCCTGGTATTCCCCGCCAATGGCTCCTGAATCTGCATGTGTTGTCTCTGTCGTGCATTCACCTGGACTTAGAAGTCAGCATCATTTTTTTTTAGTTTAACAGGATTTGCTGAAGATGTGGAGTTACATTGAACAGTGCACGTCTCTCTACCATCTCACATGTTCCTTTCTACCTTTTTCCTTCTTTCAGCAGGAGTTGGGAAGGCTGCTGGAAGACAGCCAACTTTAGTAGCTGAGTAAAGACTAGAGTTCCAGCCATCTTCAAAGCACCACCAGGAGAGGAGTTGAGTGAGGAGAGGTACCAGTGGCAATGGCATGGCGGTGGTTCTTGGAAAAGGACTGTACCTCTGAAGCACTGTCAGCAGCAAAAAGGGAAGTGTTACTGCAGGAGGAAGGAGCAGCTACAATAGTCAATTCACCCAGCTCCCTAAGATGAGAGATTTGGAAGGATGAGATGAAGTCAGCCCACACTGGCACTGGTCACACATCTGTTTATTGGAAGAAGTGCACCTTCTCTCTTAGTGCAGGATTTTGGCATAGGTGCAAAGATAGCTTCACTGTTTTTATTTTTGAAGAACATGAATATTATAATTGCCTCTGCTCTGTGGCATAAACTCTAAATAATGCCTCCTGACTTAAAGAAAAACAGACAACTTAATAGTCATTAAAAACAATTTAAGATAATTCAACTACATTCCATCTCTCTTTTTTTTTTTTTTTTGAGACGGAGTCTTGCACTGTTGCCCAGGCTGGAGTGCAGTGGTGCAATCTCAGCTCACTGCAAGCTCCGCCTCCCAGGTTCACACCATTCTTCTTCCTCAGCCTCCCGAGTAGCTGGGACTACAGGCACCCACCACCATACCCAGCTAATCTTTTGTATTTTTAGTAGAGACGGGGTTTCACCATGTTAGCCAGGATGGTCTCGATCTCTTGACCTCATGATCCACCCATCTCAGCCTCCCAAAGTGCTAGGATTACAGGCATGAGCCACCATGCCCGGCCATATTCCATTTCTTAAGGATTCACCTACTCAACCCATAGTCAAATGTCTTGTCCTCTCTTCTAGTTTATCCCTTCTCAATATCTTCCATGTAGATGGAAGTGACTTGAGACTATTCTCTTTTGCATTCTCAACTCCTAAGTTAATACTCCCTGAAATCTATCCTACTGGGTTCTTCTGGACTCCATCTCATTCCTAGATTTATTGTAATTTTTCTTTCATTTCCAGTATAAATTCTCTAGCTAACACTTCTCCTCTTGTCCAATAAACTAGACCTCATAATAATAAAAATGACCACCAAGGAGAGTAGAATAGAGGAGAGAGAAGGAAGGTAGGAAGGATAGGATAGTGTAAGGGAAGTACCAAGTTAACAATGCTAGAATTTCCAGAATGTTCTTTATGGGCAAAGGGAGGGTCAGAGATTATGAGTGCTTATGCATTATTTGATTTTGTCTGTATTGTTCAAGGAAAATGAAATTTCTTTGAAAAATTCAAAGTATTTTTTGATAGGGAGGAAACACTTCTCCATCACCTTTGTGTCTAGGTAAAGAGCTTCATTGAAAAAATAAAAATATAACAGAAACTTATAGTGGGATTTTCTGAGGTTGGCACTAACAGATGTCTGTGGCCTCTGTCCACTAGAGCTATTTGAGCAGACCCTTACTGCCAGAAGAGACCACTGTAATGAAAACCTTAGTTAGTCCTCTTGGAATTATGTGGACTAAAGTGAAATTATTGAGCAAGGGGTCTAGGGACTTTGAGTGGACTGATGACTCCAAGGAGGGTCTGGCCTCCTGTCATTTGCTTTCTGCCTCTCAAATTTTGATAGCATATTTATACAACTGTCCAGAGCTACCATTCCCTCCTGGATAGGAATTTTGCCTGCCAGGTACCAGTGAAAAATGAGGACGAGACCTCTGGCCCCAGCTATTGGCAGAGAGTCAGGCTTATTGGTGTACTCCTGCTGGCTGGAGCATCACTGAGAGCTCACAGGCCACGTGCTGAGAGAACATCACCCTCAGCAGCACATTTGTCAGAAAGCTGTTCTCACCTGGACACCTGAATCCATTACAGGCTTTCCCCAAACCCAGCAACACTGGAGACCTGGCTTCTCTCTACAAATACTCTACCCTTCGAAATCTCAGTCTAGTGAACAAACCTTTTTCTCCATGCAGAGTCCAGGCCAGGTGTGTTGGGAACATAAGCCCCTGTCAAACACCTCATTGTACCTCCATCTGCAGAAGAGAAGCATGTTTTCCTGACCTTCCGCTGGTAATCACCATGTTTTGGGATGCATGGTTTTTCATTTTAGACATTGATGTCAATTTCAAACAAGTTATATTCCTACCACACTCCTAACAAACCATATTTTAAATTAACATGCAATATTCAGATTTTAAAGCAAAAGTGCAAGCTAAAATATTAACCTGTTAATTGGTTAATAGTTATAAGGCCTAATGACACCTTTGAATCAAAAGATATACTGTATTCTGCTTCATTTTGCAACAATACTAGGAGGTAAGAAACACTGACTATTTCCTGGGTGTCAGGTACACAGTACCTTATTTCATCTAATCCATGGTCAGCTCCTCTTTGGCTCTCGGTACTGAGGATGAGTTCTGGTCCCAGAGACCAGAGACAGCAGAGAAGACACAAAGTAACCACAGGCCTTTTTCCATTTCAGTTGGTAATACACCTCTTCGTTATGAGAGTTAATGCAAATGAGCACAATCTAAATGAAGCCCCGCGGAATTACTCAGAAAGGGGAAGGCAATGCAAGATTTCCAAAGGAGTCTTGCAGAGAGAAACAGGAGAGCCCTGGGTGGTAATAGCTATCTCATTTCCTGCTAGCACTTTCTCGCCACATCACACCACTTCTCTGTTTTTCTGCTTTATCAATCAGTAAAATGAGAGCCTCAAGACAATAAGGCCCATGGCCCAGAGATCATGATTAACTGCAAGATTCAAAATCAGCTGCAAGAGAACGAAGCTGTCACATGGGTTTCTAAAGAATATTTGCCTCTTTCACTAAAGGGAGAATGAAGGTTGCTTAACCTCTCTGTGAAATAAGTTTCAGTTCCTCTTCTATGAATGACTGGCTAAACTTCATTTTCTCTAAGACCCTCTAGTATTCAGTTCTCTTCCCACCTGCTTGGCCTAATCCTGCATGAGAGGCAATGATTGGGAGCAGGAAAAGAAGATATGTAATTTAGTTTCTGAGGAACAAGTCTTCTGGAAAGCTTTGTAATTAACCTATTTTCCCCAAAACTGATTCTCTGTCACCCTAGGACACTGACAATAAACCATACCCATGATTTATCTTCTTACCTACTTGCAGTAAAGGAAAGAATAATGAACCAAGAATTGCAAGACCAGATTCTTATCACAAATCTCAAATAACTCTGTAATATTTGCGTAAGTAGTTAACCACCCTGGAGTGCTTTCTTAATTGAAAAATAAGGGGGATCCAGGCATGGTGGTGCATACCTATAGTCTGTAAACCAAAAATAAAATTCTAAGGCCCCCCAACCATCTGAATGGGCCTCTTCTCTTGGCCAAGGGCATTCCAAAGTTAACCTGAAAATCCAGTTCAGTCCATGATGGGAAGGGGGTGCTAGACATGCTCCATTATACCCTCCTCCCTTTTGGAATTACTCATAGAAAAGACTTTTTGAGTCTGACAGGAAACATTTGCAATCTATTCTCTCTAAATCCTGCTACCTAGAGGCTTCGCTTGTGTAATAAAACCTTAGTCTCCACAACCCTTTATCTTAACCAAAACACTCTTTCTAAGTCTTTAGATAATAACTATTTCAATCAATTGCCAATCAGAAAATCTTTGGTTCTACCTATGATCTGAAAGCCCGCAGCTTCCATTTAACCTGCCTTTCTGAACCAAACCAATGTATATGTTACATGTATGGATTGATGCCTTATGTCTCCCTAAAATGTGTGAAACCAAGTTGTGGCCCAACCACCTTGGACACATATTCTCAGCATCTCCTGAGGGCTGCGTCATGGGCTATGGGTCACTCAAACCTGGCTCAGAATACGTTTTTTTCAAATATTTTACTGAGTTTGACTCTTTTCATTGACAAGTCCCAGCTGTGTGTGAGGCTGAGGTGGTGGGATTGCTTGAACCAGGAGTTCAAGGCTGCAGTGAGCTGTGCTCATGCCATTGCACTCCAGCTTGGGCAATGGAGTGAGACCCTGTCCCCTAAAAAAAAAAAAAAAGAAAGAAAATAAAAAGCAAAAGGGGGTTGGACCAGGTGGTCTCTAAGGACCCTTCCAACTGAAACTCAGCAGTGCACGTAATGTGGAAGAAAGGCATTTTCATCATCTAAAGTTCTGAAGCATTGAACTCAGCAGTGACCCAGCATGCACAGCAAATTGCCCCGGAGTAAAAATTGCTTCCTGGAAGTGTTATTGATAAGCACTTACTTTTCATACCAGGTTTATATTTCCTACAAGAATAGCTCGGTCCCTTATTTAGAATGTGATGCCAATTTCACTACAGTTATAATGTTGATTTGAGTGTAAAATTTCATGGAAAACACACTTCTTCTAATTATTGATTTTTGCTCTGCCCAGTAGCTAAGAAATAAATGAATACATGATCTCTCCTTCAACAGCCTGAGGTTTTTTAAATTAAGAAGGAGAAAATAAGAGCTCAAAAATACTTTTGAGTAAATGAATAGTAAAACATGTAATACTTTCCAAACAATTTATTTCCTGCCATTTATGTTCCACATGAAAGTGACTAAATTCATGGTTATTGCACCTCATCATAGTCCAGAAACTATAATAATAGGTTCTGGAGATACAGAAATTAAGAGATTATTATTTAGTTTGAAAAGAGAAAATAGAGTAAATGGTGAAAGGTAAGTGTATTAGTCCATTTTCATGCTGCTGATAAAGACATACCCAAGATTGGGGAATTTATAAAGAAAAAGAGGTTTAATGGACTTACAGTTCCATGTGCCTGGGAAGGCCTCACAATCATGGCAGAAGGCAAAAGACATGTCTTACGTGGCAGCAGACAAGAGAGAATTGAGAGCCAAGCAAAAGGGGTTTCCTCTTATAAAACCATCAGATCTTGTGAGACTTAATCAACACTATGATTCAATGATCTCCCACAGGGTCCCTCCCATAACACATGGGAATTATGGGAGCTACAATTCAAGATGAGATTTGGGTGGGGACACAGCCAAACCATATCAGTAAGGTAGTCATATTCAGCTTCACTTTAAAATTGATGCCATAACGCGGTGGCTCACACCTGTAATCCCAGCACTTTGGGAGGCCGAGGCGGGCAGATCACGAGGTCAGGAGATCGAGACCATCCTGGCTAACACGGTGAAACCCCGTCTCTACTAATAATACAAAAAAATTGGCTGGGCGTGGTGGTGGGCGCCTGCGGTCCCAGCTACTCGGGAGGCTGAGGCAGGAGAATGGCGTGAACCCGGGAGGCGAAGCTTGCAGTGGGCTGAGACTGCGCCACTGCACTCCAGCCTGGGTGACACAGCAAGACTCTGTCTCAAAAAAAAAAAAAAGGAAGTTTTCATACAGAATGACAAATAAATGTACTATAAAATATATTAAAGCATCTTTGAAAATGTATTTTCACTGGTTATTTTGAATTTTAGTAAACTGAGTTGAAATTGTAAATGGGAAGAAAAGGACTTAACAACATTTAAAAGAATAATCTCAAATTGACAATGGTAAATTCAGCAAAATTACTAAAACACAAAAACTTCCAACTGACTTTTATACAGTAGACTGCAACAAAGAATATAGAGAAGGAAATGCCTGCCTGGTTTAAAATAAAAATCATGTAGCATGTCTGCTCTGATTCTTTAATAGCATCATATCAATCATGTGTTGTGAAGCCGTCACACTTCTATAGTGAAACATAATTTGACACTTAACTGTATACAGTGCTTAACATTGTCATGTGTATTCTACTTGAGCATTTTGTAAATTAAACTAAACACTGCTATAGAAAAAAAAAAAATTGATGCCATAAATGTGGTTAGGTTTTAATGGAAAGTTCACATTTTTCTAGCAAATCCACAGTCATTAAGATGTTCTTTCCTGCATGTGTGGTGGGCCAGGGGCAGAACACACATGGACAGGTATGTGCCCATACGTGTTCGACGGCCCAGGTGGGACATCGGATCTATTTGGGAGGACTGTTTCAATGGAAAACTATAAAGAAGGACCACAGAAGTCGGCATCTTGTGGTAGGGGTTGTACCATTTTGTGTTCCCACTAGCAATGTATGAGAGTTGCAGTCTTCTCCACATTCTTGCTAATATAGTATTGCCAATATTTTTTAAATTTTAGACGTTCGAGTTGGTGGAAATTGCCATCTCACTGTGGTTTTATTTTTCATTTCTCTAATAACTAATGATGTTGAGAACCTTTTCTTTTTTTTTTCTTTTCTTTTTTTTAGTGTGAAAACATTAAGCAATTTTATTCCTTCTCCCATGGACATTTAAACCAACATTTCTGGACTTACTCTTTTCTCCATTTCTGGATGAAATCTCAGGCATGTGCTACTCGCTTTCTGGGTACTCTAGAAATAATCACATAGGCCCTTTTGTTTGGCATGTAAAAATCCAGTTCTGTCTAATAGATTCTTAACCAGTCGAGTTCCATCTAAGTAGAATGCTTCTCTCCTACCCTAGCTTGCTCTGTTTCCATTCAGACGCCTCTCTGTGGGAGGGCCTGCTTCCTTCCCTGGACCTTTGCATATCCCATACCAGGAGCTGTGAACTGAATGTTTGTGCCCCCAACAAAATTCTTATGTTGAAACCTAAGGCCCAAGGTGATGGCGTGAAGAAGTGGGGCCGTTGAGAGGTGATAGGGTTATGAGGGCAGCCTTCATGAATGGCATTACTGCCCTTATAAAAGAGGCTTGAGGAGGCGTGTTTCCCCTTCTGCCACATAAGGACACATGGAAGGTGCTATCTATGAGACACAGGTCCTCACCAGACACTGAATCTGACAGTGCATTGGTCTTGAACTTCCCACCCTGCAGAACTGTGAGTTTCATTTATGAACTACACAGTCTAAGGTATTTTGTTATAGCAGACTGAATAAACTAAGACACCAGACTAAGTTCTGCTCACCTTTAAGTCATCACACACAAGGGCCTGTTGGGGGATGGGGGGAAAGGGGAGGGAGAGCATTAAGACAAATACCTAATGCATGCAGGACTTAAAACCTAGATGATGGGTTGATAGGTGCAGCAAACCACAATGGCACATGTATACATATGTAACAAACCTGCAGGTTCAGCACATGTATCCCAGAACTTAAAGTAAAATAAAATTTAAAAAAAGAATACCAACAAAACAAATATATTCTCTGTCCTTGTGGAGATTATAGTATAATGAGAGAGAAACTTTTCATGTGCTAATTAGCCATTCATACATTTTCTTTTGTGAAATATCTGTTCAAGGCTTTTGCTACTTTTTATTGGGTTGGCATTTCATTGTTAATTTTTAGTAATTCTTTATTCTGGATTAAAGTTCTTGTTAGATATACGTATTACAAATTTTTCCTCCTGGTTCGTGGCTTGCCTACTTATTTACTTACTGGTGTCTTCATATGAGCTGAACATTTTCATTTCGATGAATTCTAATCTATAAAATTTTATTTTATATTATGTTTTTATGTTCTGTCCAATAAATCTATTTCTGCCCCTAAGACTGTGAAGATACTCTCCTATGTTTTCTTCTACAAGCCCTTTAGTTCTTGCTTATATTTTTAAACCTTTGAGCCATCTGAAATTAATTTTGGTGTATCTATAGAAAGAAGGTTTGAGGTTCTTTTCTTGCCATTTAGCTATTCAATTGTTCCAGGACCATTTGTTGAAAAACAAACAAACAAACAAACAAACAAACACAAGTTGCTTTTTCACATTGAATTGTTTTGGTGCCTTTGTCAAAAATTCATTGCCCGTATATGTGCGGGTCTGATTCCGGACCTTCGTTTCTGGTCCTTTGATTAAGTTGTCTGTCCTATGCCAATACCACACCATATTGATTACCATAGTTTTATGGTAAGTTTTGAAATCAAGTGGTAGGTGTCCTCCAACTCTGTTCTTCTTTTTAAATTTCTAGATCCTTCACATTTTATATACATCTTAGAATCAGCATGTCAATTTCTACAGAAAAGAGCTTGCTGGAATTTTAATTGGAATTTTGTTAAATCTATAAATTTGAGAAGAATAAGTATCATAACAAAACTGAGTTTTCCAATCCACAAACATTGGATGGTTGATTGGATGATCCACTTAATTCTTAAAAAGTTAACTCAGTGTCTTCTTTAATTTAATAACAACAGGATTTGGAGTTTCAAGTACAGAGGTCTTGCACATCTTTCCTTCCTAAGTAACAAATGGGTTTTAATACTATTGTAAATAGTATTGCTTTAAAATTGTATTTTCCAGCCAGATGTGGTGGCTCACACCTGTAATCCCAGCACTTTCGGAGACCAATGTGGGAGGATCATGTGAGGCCAGGAGTTCAAGACAAGCCTGGTCAGTAGAGTGAGACCCCCATCTCTACAAAAGAAATATTAATAAATTAGCTGGGTGTGGTGGCATGCACTATAGTCCCAGCTACTTGGGAGACTGAGACAGGAAGATTGCTTGAACACAGGAGGTTGAGGCTGCAGTAAGCCATGATCGCATCACTGCACTCAAACCTGGGAAACAGAGCAAAACCTTTTTACTTCTTCTTTTCCAATCTTTATGCCTTTTTAAATATCGTTATTGCCTTATTAAACTAGCAGAACTGTAGCATAATGTTGAATGGAAGTGGTAAGAGCAGGCAGCCTTGTCATGATCCAGATTTAAAGGAAAAACATTTATATTTTATCTAGGTTTTTAGTAGGCACTCCTTATCAGGTTAAGGATGCTCACTTCAATTACTTCAATTACTAATTATTTATTCGTTAATGTGGTGAATTATGCTGGTTGTTTTCCAAGTGTTTTGCCAATCTTGCCATCCCAGGCTAAATGTCATTGTTGTGATTTTACATATGCATACACATGCACACACACACACATATATATTACTGGATTACATGTAATACATATATACATTCAAATATATTTTAATACAATTGAATATATTACTGTATCCAGTTTTCTTAGATCTTATGAAGAAATTTTTCATCTAAATTAATTAAGAATATTAGTCTATAATTTCCTTTCATTGTAATATCTTTGTCAGGTTTTGGTATCAATGTTATTCTAGCCTCATAAAACTATTTGAGACAGAGATTTTGTTACTGCTATTGGTGGTGGTTGTTTTTATGAGGGAGGGGGCGAATGAGTTTTGATTGCAAACCTAGTGTTCTAAATAGATATGAAGTTATTAAGATTTTCAGCTGGGTGTAGTGGTTCACACCTGTAATCCTAGCACTTTGGAAGGCTGAGGCAGGAGGATCACTTGAGCCTAGAAGTTCAAGACTGGCTTGGGCAACATAGTGAGACTGCATCTCTACAAAAAAATTTTAAAAATTAGCCAAGTGTGTTGGTGCACACCTTAGTCCCAGCTACTCAGGAGGCTAAGGTGGGAAGTTTGCTTGAACCCAAGAGGTGAAGGCTATGGTGGGCTATGATCTTGCCACTGCACTCCAACTTGGACAATAGAGAATGTCACTGTCTCAGAAAAAAAAAAAGAAAGGAAGGAAGGAAGGCAAGCTACTAAGATTTTCCATTTTTTGTGTGTGTAAGTTTGTTAAGTTGTATCTTGCTAGAAATTCATTCATTTTATCTGAATTTTAAATTTTATTAGCATAAAATTGTTCATATTACCCCCTCTTTTTAATAAATATAGAATCTTCACTGATATCTCTTGTTTCAATCCTGGTATTGGTTATTTGTATTTTTCTTCTCTGTCTTGCTGAGGATGTATCAATTTATTAATCTTTTCAAGGAACAAACTTTAAATGTGTCCATTTTTCAGCCTTCTTTTTATTTTAAAATTTGTTTTTATATTTATTATTTACTTTCTTCTACTTCCTTTAGATTTACCTTTTTCTTTCATTTCTGGCGTATTCATGTGAAAACTTAGGTCATTAATTTTAAACCATTTTCCTTTAAGTATAAGCATTTAAAACTATAAATTTTTTCTAAGAACTGTCCCACAAATACTGATATATTATGTTTTATTATCATCCAGTTCAAAATATTTTTTCCTTATAATTTCTTCTTTGAATCATTGGATTATTTTTAAATGTGCTAATTTCTAAACTCTGAAGAATTATTTTAGCTGTATAATTGATATTGATTTATTATCCAATCACATTTGTCAGAGAACATACTCTGTATAATGTCAATTCTTTGATATTTATTAAAACTTGTTTTATGACCCAGCCGATAATCTATCTTGGAAAATCAATGTGTATTTTGTAGTTGTTGGATACTTAAGCTTTTTAAATATATTGGCATAAAGTTGTTCATGATAATGTCTTATGATTTTTAAAAGAGCTACTCTATTTGTACTTATATCGTACTTTCATAATTTTTTTTTCCTGCCTTTTCTTCTTGTGTCCTTTGTCAATTTTGACAGGGATTTCCCTCTTCTACAAGTCTTTTTAAAGAACAAACTTTACTGGTTTCATTGACCATCCACATTTTAATTTTTATTGTTTTCTGTGTTACTAATTTCTGATTTCTAAATTTTTGTTTACTAAGCTGTGGCATACCTTCCACCATGAAAGACTAAGTTCCATGTGGGAAAGGAAAGGACCTTTTCTCTCTAAATAAGTATTTAAGTAAATGAATACATGAAACAACTAATGTTTATGTGCCGCTTCCAGCATACAACCTGGTGTATGCTGAACAACCTGGTGTATGTTAGTACACAGGACTCATTTGTTTAATTCTTAACTCCTTCCCTCTCGGTAACATTTAATGCATCCTCTTCTTTCACACAGCCTCTGTTTGCTAGTGTTCCAGGACTTAATCATTGGCCATCTCTTCTTTCTATGCATACCTTCTAGACAATCTCATGTGATCCAATGGCATTAAATATTGTCTAGACATTGATGGCTCGATTTCCAGTCCCCGTTTTTCTCAAGATTTCCAGAATGGTATATCTGAGTACCTTCTCAATTCCTTCATTCTAACTTAACACTTAAACTTACTCTTTTTGAATATCTTACTACTCTCCCAAAGCCTGGTTATCCCCAGCACTCCCAATACATGAAATGTTACCACTCTTTGCCCCGTTTTTCAGGAAAAACCTTGGAAGCACCCCAACTCTTCTGTCTTCCTATATTTAATACTGGTAAAGTCCTATTAGTTTCAAATTCAAAATATAGCCTGAATCCATCCACTTTTCCCATTGAAATAGTCCTCCCAAATAGATCCAATGTCCCATTTGAGCTGTCAAACACGTATGGGCACATACCTGTGCATGTGTGTTCTGCCCCTGGCCCACCACACATGCAGGAAAGAACATCTTAATGACTGTGGATTTGCTAGAAAAATGTGAACTTTCCATTAAAACCTAACTACATTTATGGCATCAATTTTTAAGTGAAGCTGAATATGACTACCTTACTGATATGGTTTGGCTGTGTCCCCATCCAAATCTCATCTAGAATTGTAGTTCCTATAATTCCCACATGTCATGGGAGGGACCCAGTGGGAGGTAATTGAATCATGGGGGTGGGACGGGTCTTTCAGGTGCTGTTCTTATAAATAGTGAATAAGTCTCAGGAGATCTGATGGTTTCATAAAGAGGAGTTCCCCTGTACATGCTCTCTTTGCTTGCTGCCATGTAAGACATTCCTTTGCTCTTCCTTCATCTTCCACCATGATTGTGAGGCCTCCCCAACCATGTGGAACTGTGAGTCCATTAAACCTCTTCCTTTATAAATTACCCAGTCTTTGGTACATCTTTATTAGCAGTATGAGAACAGACTAATACACTTGCCTAGGACACATTTATATCTCACCAGGACTAGCGCTTCCTAACTGGCCTCCTTGTCCCACCCCTGCAACCACAGTCTATTCTACACATGATAGGGAGAATGCACATGTTAAAGGCACTTCGTATTGATTACTCCTCCACTCGAAATTCCCCTATGTCTTCTCAAACACTTAGAATAAAATACAAAGTCCTTCCACGGACTACATGGTCTTGTGTAATTTGGCTTCTGGCTCCCCAGTTTCTATCACTAATTTTCCTCCATTCTATTCACTCTGCACCACCTACCCCGGCCTTCTCACTATTCCTTAAACACTCCAGTCTTTTTCCCATTTCAGGGCCTTTGCACTTTTTCTTCAACCTGGAATTTTCTGCCCAGATATGCCAACAGCTTTTTCCTTTACCTTATTGAGGTGTCTGCTCACATGCCACCTCTTTCAAGAAAACTAAATCTAAAACAGCCATCAATCTAAAATAACCATCATCCCCAATTGCTGTTGGTCTTCATTTTCTTCATTTTCTACAGTATATATTCATTTGTTTATTCCCTGTCTATCCCCACAAGGATATAAACTCCAGAAGCCAAAGCTTTTTCTGATTTTCCCACCCACCAGACTTCTAGTGTTTAGAGCACTGCTTGCCACATAGTAGGCCTGTAATAAGTATTTGTTAAGTGAATGCATGAAGTAACAACTTTGAACTTACACTGCAACCCTAACTGAATGGGAAAACAATTTTTCTAAAATCCTACTACCAATTAGTTATGCAATCTTCAGCAAATTCCTAGAGCCAAACTTTCTTTTCTATAAAACAAAGAGTTTAGATTAAATAATTGCTACATTGTTTTCCAGCTTGTATATGTTCACTTTATAAACCCTAAAATTTCTGTAGAAAAATAGAGAATGCAGAAATAAAGCTGTACACCTATAGCCATCAAATCTTTGACAAAATTGACCAAAATAAGCAATGGGGAAAGTATCCCCTATTCAATAAATAGTACTGGAATAGCTTGCTAGCCATATGCAGAAGAATGAAACTGGACCCTTACCTTTCACTATATACAAAAATTGAGGAGGAGCCAAGATGGCCGAATAGGAACAGCTCCGGTCTACAGCTACCAGCGTGAGCGACGCAGAAGATGGGTGATTTCTGCATTTCCATCTGAGGTACCGGGTTCATCTCACTAGGGAGTGCCAGACAGTGGGCGCAGGTCAGTGGGTGCGCGCACTGTGCGCGAGCCAAAGCAGGGCGAGGCATTGCCTCACTTGGGAAGCGCAAGGGGTCAGGGAGTTCCCTTTCCTAGTCAAAGAAAGTGGTGACAGACGGCACCTGGAAAATCAGGTCACTCCCACCCGAATACTGCGCTTTTCTGACGGGCTTAAAAAACGGCGCACTAGGAGATTATCTGCCGCACCTGGCTCGGAGGGTCCTACGCCCGCGGAGTCTCGCTGATTGCTAGCACAGCAGTCTGAGATCAAACTGCAAGGCCGCAGAGAAGCTGGGGGAGGGGCGCCCGCCATTGCCCAGGCTAGCTTAGGTAAACAAAGCAGCCGGGAAGCTCGAACTGGGTGGAGCCCACCACAGCTCAAGGAGGCCTGCTTGCCTCTGTAGGCTCCGCCTCTGGGGGCAGGGCACAGACAAACAAAAAGACAGCAGTAACCGCTGCAGACTTAAATGTCCCTGTCTGACAGCTTTGAAGAGAGCAGTGGTTCTCCCAGCACGCAGCTGGAGATGTGAGAATGGGCAGACTGCCTCCTCAAGTGGGTCCCTGACCCCTGACCCCCAAGCAGCCTAACAGGGAGGCACCGCCCAGCAGGGGCAGACTGACACCTCACACAGCCAGGCACTCCAACAGACCTGCAGCTGAGGGTCCTGTCTGTTAGAAGGAAAACTAACAAACAGAAAGGACATCCACACCAAAAACCCATCTGTACATCACCATCATCAAAGACCAAAAGTAGATAAAACCACAAAGATGGGGAAAAAACAGAGCAGGAAAAACTGGAAACTCTAAAAAGCAGAGCGCCTCTCCTCCTCCAAAGGAACACAGTTCCTCACCAGCAACGGAACAAAGCTGGAGGGAGAATGACTTTGACGAGCTGAGAGAAGAAGGCTTCAGACGATCAAATTACTCCGAGCTACGGGAGAAAATTCAAACCAAAGGCAAAGAAGTTGAAAACTTTGAAAAAAGTTTAGAAGAATGTATAACTAGAATAACAAATACAGAGAAGTGTTTAAAGGAGCTGATGGAGCTGAAAACCAAGGCTGGAGAACTATGTGAAGAATGCAGAAGCCTCAGGAGCTGACGCAATCAACTGGAAGAAAGGGTATCAGCGATGGAAGATGAAGTGAATGAAATGAAGTGAGAAGGGAAGTTTAGAGAAAAAAGAATAAAAAGAAATGAGCAAACCCTCCAAGACATATGGGACTATGTGAAAAGACCAAATCTACGTCTGATTGGTGTACCTGAAAGTGACGGGGAGAATGGAACCAAGTTGGAAAACACTCTGCAGGATATTATCCAGGAGAACTTCCCCAATCTAGCAAGGCAGGCCAACATTCAGATTCAGGAAATACAGAGAACGCCACAAAGATACTCCTCGAGAAGAGCAACTCCAAGACACATAATTGTCAGATTCACCAAAGTTGAAATGAAGGAAAAAATGTTAAGGGCAGCCAGAGAGAAAGGTCGGGTTACCCTCAAAGGGAAACCCATCAGACTAACAGCTGATCTCTCGGCAGAAACTCTACAAGCCAGAAGAGAGTGGGGGCCAATATTCAACATTCTTAAAGAAAAGAATTTTCAACCCAGAATTTCATATCCAGCCAAACTAAGCTTCATAAGTGAAGGAGAAATAAAATACTTTACAGACAAGCAAATGCTGAGAGATTTTGTCACCACCAGGCCTGCCCTAAAAGAGCTCCTGAAGGAAGTGCTAAACATGGAAAGGAACAACTGGTACCAGCCACTGCAAAATCATGCCAAAATGTAAAGACCATCGAGAGTAGGAAGAAACTGCATGAACTAATGAGCAAAATAACCAGCTAACATCATAACGACAGGATCAAATACACACATAACAATATTAACTTTAAATGTAAATGGACTAAATGCTCCAATTAAAAGACACAGACTGGCAAATTGGATAAAGAGTCAAGACCCATCAGTGTGCTGTATTCAGGAAACCCATCTCACGTGCAGAGACACACATAGGCTCCAAATAAAAGGATGGAGGAAGATCTACCAAGCAAATGGAAAACAAAAAAAGGCAGGGGTTGAAAGTTCATATGGAACCAAAAAAGAGCCCGCATCGCCAAGTCAATCCTAAGCCAAAAGAACAAAGCTGGAGGCATCACACTACCTGACTTCAAACTATACTACAAGGCTACAGTAACCAAAACAGCATGGTACTGGTACCAAAACAGAGATATACATCAATGGAACAGGACAGAGCCCTCAGAAATAACGCCACATATCTACAACTATCTGATCTTTGACAAACCTGAGAAAAACAAGCAATGGGGAAAGGATTCCCTATTTAATAAATGGTGCTGGGAAAACTGGCTAGCCATATGTAGAAAGCTGAAACTGGATCCCTTCCTTACACCTTATACAAAAATCAATTCAAGATGGATTAAAGACTTAAACGTTAGGCCTAAAACCATAAAAACCCTGGAAGAAAACCTAGGCATTACCATTCAGGACATAGGCATGGGCAAGGACTTCATGTCTAAAACACCAAAAGCAATGTCAACAAAAGCCAAAATTGACAAATGGGATCTCATTAAACTAAAGAGCTTCTGCACAGCAAAACAAACTACCATCAGAGTGAACAGGCAACCTACAAAATGGGAGAAAATTTTCGCAACCTACTCATCTGACAAAGGGCTAATATCCAGAATCTACAATGAACTCAAACAAATTTACAAGAAACAAACAAACAACCCCATCAAAAAGTGGGCAAAGGACATGAACTGACACTTCTCAAAAGAAGACATTTATGCAGCCAAAAAACACATGAAAAAATGCTCATCATCACTGGCCATCAGAGAAATGCAAATCAAAACCACAATGAGATACCATCTCACACCAGTTAGAATAGCAATCATTAAAAAGTCAGGAAACAACAGGGGCCGGAGAGGATGTGGAGAAATAGGAACACTTTTACACTGTTGGGACTGTAAACTAGTTCAGCCAGTGTGGAAGTCAGTGTGGCAATTCCTCAGGGATCTAGAACTAGAAATACCATTTGACCCAGCCATCCCATTACTGGGTATATACCCAAAGGACTATAAATCATGCTGCTATAAAGACACATGCACACGTATGTTTATTGCGGCACTATTCACAATAGCAAAGACTTGGAACCAACCCGAATGTCCAACAACGATAGACTGGATTAAGAAAATGTGGCACATATACACCATGGAATACTATGCAGCCATAAAAAATGATGAGTTCATGTCCTTTGTAGGGACATGGATGAAACTGGAAATCATCATTCTCAGTAAACTATCGCAAGAACAAAAAACCAGACACCACATATTCTCACTTATAGGTGGGAATTGAACAATGAGAACACATTGACACAAGAAGGGGAACATCACACTCTGGGGACTGTTGTGGGGTGAGGGAGTGGGGAGGGATAGCATTGGGAGATATACCTAATGCTAGATGACGAGTTAGTGGGTGCAGCACACCAGCATGACACATGTATACATATGTAACTAACCTACACATTGTGCACATGTACCCTAAAACTTAAAGTATAATAATAATAAATTAATTAAAAAAAATTAACTCAAGATGGATTAAAGATTTAGTATAACACCTCAAATTATAAGAATCCTAGAATAAGGCCAGGCACAGTGGCTCACACCTGTAATCCCAGCACTTTGAGAGGCTAAGTGGTTAGATACTTTGATCCCAAGAGTTCAAGACCGGACTGGGCAACATGGCAAATCTCTGTCTTTACAAGAAATACAAAAATTAGCCAGGCATGGTGGCAGGCAACTGTAGTCCCAGCTACTCAGAAGGCTGAGGTGGGAGGATCACCTGAGCCCAGGAAGGTTGAGGCTGCAATGAGTCAAGATTGTGCCACTGCACTCCAGCCTGGGTGACAGAGTGAGACCCTGTTTTTTTTTTTAAAAAAAAAAAAAAAAAAAAAAAAGGAATCCTAAAACCTAGGAAATGCCATTCTCGACATGGGCCTTGGGGAATAATTTATGACTAAGTCCTCAAAAGCAGTTGCAAGAAAAACAAAAACTGACAATTAAACTGAAGTGCTTCTGCACAGCAAAGGAGACTATCAACAGAGCAAACAGACAACCTACATAATAGGAGAAAACATTCACAAAGTATGCATCTGACAAAGGTCTAATATCCAGAATCTGTAAAGAACTAAAAAAAATTCAACAAGCCAAAAACAGCTCCATCAAAAATGGGCAAAAGACATGAACAAACACTTCTCAAAAGAAGACATACAAGCAGCCAACAAATATATGAAAACATGCTTGTCATCACTAATCATCAGAGAAATGTAAACCAAAACCACATTGAGATACTATCTTGCACCAGTAACAATGCCTATTATTAAAAAGTCAAAAAACAATAGATGTTGGTGAGGCTGAAAGAAAAGGGAAAGCTTATACACTGTTGTTGGAAATGTAAATTAGTTCAGCCACTGTGGAAAGCAGTTTGGAGATTTCTTAAAGAACTTAAAATAGAACTACCATTCGACCCAGCAATCCCATTACAGGGTATATAGTTAGAAGATAAGAAATCATCCAACCAGAAAGACATGTGCACTAGTATGTTCATTGCAACACTATTTACAATAGCAAATATATGGAATTAACTTAAGCGCCCATCAATGGTGGACTAGATAAAGAAAATATGGTACATATACACCATGAAATACTATGCAGTCATACAAAAGAACAAAATCATGTCCTCTGCAGCAACATGGATGCACCTGGAGGTCATTATCATAAGTGAATTAACACAGGAACAGAAAACCAAATACTGCATGTTTTTATTGATAAGTGGGAGCTAACCATTGGGTGCTTATGGACATAAAGATGGAAACAATAGAAACTGGAGATGACTAGAGTGAGGAAGAGGGGGAAGAAGGGTTGAAAAACTAGTACCCAACAGTTGTTGGGTACTATGCTTACTATGTGAGTGATGGGATTATTCATATCCCGAATTTCAGTATCACACAATATACCCAGGCAACAAATTTGCGTATGTACCTTCTGAATCTAAAATAAAAGTTGAAAAAGAAAAAAAGTTCCGTAAAAGTTTCGATTGAGGTATTTTTAGGTGGGAGCATCAATACTAGACTGAGTAGCAAGAGTGTAACCTGGGTTTGAGGGAGGCTCTGTGACAATTGCTGAAATGGAAGTCCAGATCCACTGGGGATTTGGTTCCTTACAACTCATCATGTATCAGGAATGGCTCTGACCAGGGTCACACACAGGTGTACTTGGGCTGGCAGGAGAAACTGATAAGATGCCAAGTCTTGTAGTCATATATTCTTCTAAATTGCAACAAAATGAAGAGTTAAGCCTTCTGACACATATTCTTGCAAAGTCTTCTCTTTCATAATTAAGATATTCACAACCAAAAATTATAAAAGCTTATAGCAGATAAAACCTTCCAAATAATTTGTTCTGGCCCATCCTGCTCTAACATTCCTCTTCTCCTCTTAACTGGCTTCATTTGATCCTGGCCCTAGTTAGGTTCTCATTGAGGCCATTTCCTCCCAACTCACTCCCTATATTTCAATACATTGCTTTATCTTCTGCATGTTGTCCCATAACCTAGTTGCATTTTCCTGAGAGAAAATATCCATCGTGTTATTCAAAAATACAGGAAAATTTTACCCTTTTATGAGAACTTATTAGAATGAAGAGCCTCCCTTGGGCATTAGCCCACTGTGAGGGAAAGTTAAAACGTCTAGTTGCTCCCCCAAGTACAGACCATGGCTCCATAGGTGAGGACTCAAAGACCATGAAGAATCACAACTTTACCTGCTCTCTGGGGCTTTACCGAGGCTGGGGACCAGAGTAGACTCTTTGCCCTTGGCCATTGAGATTGAGAAGAAAACCTGCTCAACGTTATCAAATCAGGTCTCCTGAGGCTTCTAAGGGGCAGAGTGAAGTAGCAGGATAAGTTTTTGGCAACAAATCAAGACCCCAATCTCCACTCCATGTTATTTCCAAGCAGCTGTGCGGCCTTTCTGGACCTCAAACCTCAAACCTTTAAAATTAGGGGCTGAACCTCCAGCCTTCAGTTACACATGACAGATTAAAGACTCCCGTGAGTCTCTAATGTTTCCTAAACCTCATGAAAATGACTGCAAAGAGATTTTTTTTAACAAAGAAAATGAAAGCAGGAATGGAAATAAGATAATGAAATTTAGAAGCTGGAAAGCAAATGAACTTAGTTGTCCAAGAAGGCTAAATCCCCAAAATCAGTGAGGAAAGCTGAGAAGCAGCCATGTTTGAACCATTGAACCCTCCGAAGTTCCAGGAATTAGTAGGACTTGGCATCTTTGGAAGTGAGGGTAAAGACAAGGTTGAAAGCAGGGAGATGAAAAGAAAGTCTGTTGGAAAAAATTTTGACTCCAGATCTCTTCCCATCATTACTGACCTGGACATCTGCTCTGACCTATTCAGATAAAACCAGAAGGCTATTTTTTGAAGAGGATTAAACAGAGATGTTGAAGATTTGGGCCATAAAACACAGTTGATGGAAGGGGTACCGTCAGAAAATAGGGGATTGAGTTTAAAGTTGACAACCTGAATGTAGAGAGCCCAAAAAGGACACTAGGAGATCCTTCTCTGAATCATAACCAGCCCAAGAGAAAAGAATTGAAGATAAATCTTGTTCCCAAAAGATCTAGCCCAGCTACAGACCCTAGTATCATGTCCATAGTGAACAAGCCTTCTCTTTATGCCCAGAGCTCCAAGACAGCCTATCAGTACCTCATTATTAAATATGAAGGAAGAGTCAAGAATTACCAGGCAACTTGAGGAAAGCATCTAATATAAAAGACAGACCAAAGCAAATAGAAAAAATAAGGGTTAACCCTTATTAAGCGTATACTGTGAGCTAGGTACTATTCTAAGTACTTTATGTATATTTACACACTTAATCTTCACAATCACCATTTAAGTAAATACTATTATTACATCCATGGAAAAAGTGAAGGAACTGAGGCATGGAGACATTAAGTAACTTGCCCAAGGTCACACTGTAAGCTGAGAAGCTGTCATTCTAAGCTGGCAATCTGTCTCGTGTCTATGTCCTTAACCACTAAGCCTAGAAAATGATAATAATTAATAAAATACAACACACTTGTTAGCAATAGAGACAATTCAAAGAACAGAGTAGTTCACAAAGTAACAATAATATCCCCTGAAAGATAAGAGAAAAAATTGCATCTAAGATACAAGAAAAGAATGCTATAAAAATTGAATATTTGGAGCACTAATAGAGTCTTAGCAATTAAAAATATAGAAACTGAAGTGAAAAACTTGATGGAATGGAAGGCTTCCAGAAATTAAAGCCAGTCATAGGTGGTTTCCCAGCTTCCAAACTTTGCCCACTCCCCTGCCTTCCCCAGCAATTTTCATGGCAATGGGCCAAGTGCTTAATTTTAAACCCTAATTTAGAGCCAAGTCAATTCCTTGTTTAAAACTCTCCATCAAACTCCACTCACATTTAGGAAAAAAATTTACACTCTGCCATGACCTGTGAGGGATTGGGTGATCTGCTGTGTGGCCTCTTCTCCAATGTCAGCTCCGCTCATGCCCTCCTTACTCCAGCCACACTAGCGTCTTACTGTTCCTCATCTCTCCAAGCTTCCCGTCTTGGGACTCTGGACTTGCAAGTTCACTGCTCGGAAAGTTCTCCCAGATATTTGAAGGGCTGGCTTCTTCATCTTGTCAGAGGCATTTGAACCAGAGTCACTCCATCTTGAATAGGGGCTGGGTAAAATAAGGCTGAGACCTACTGGCCTGCATTCCCAAGAGGTTAGGCATTCCTAGTCACAAGATGAAATAGGAGGTCAACCAAAGATACAGGTCACAAAGACCCTGCTGGTAAAACAGGATGCAGTAAAGAAACCAGCCAAAACCTACCAAAACCAAGATGGTGATGAAAGTGACCTCTGGTCATCCTCACTGCTTAGTTCATTACACACTAATTATAATGTATTAGCATGCTAAAAGACGTCCCACCAGCGCCATGACCGTTTACAAATGCCACGGCAATGTCTGCAAGTTCCCCTTTATAGTCTAAAAAGAGAGGAATTCTCAGTTCCAGTAAATACCCCCTTTTCCTGGAAACCTCATGAATAACCACCCCTCGTTTAGCATATAATCAAGAAATAACTATAAGTATACTCAGTCGAGAAGCCCATGCCACTGCTCTGCCTATGGAGTAGCCATTCCTTATTCCTTTACTTTCTTAATAAACTTGCTTTCACTTTGCTCTAGGGAGTCACCCTGAATTCTTTCTTGAGTGAAGTTCAAGAACCCTCTCTTCGGGTCTGGTTCGGGACCCCTTTCCGGTAAAACAGTCTCCGTGTTCAAGAAGCCAAGCTATTCCTGACCTCTCAATCTAAACTACCTTCAATTCCTTTCTGCCTCATTCCTTCAATTGTCACCTCCTGGCCCTTTACCCGGCTCTCCTTTTTTTCACAATACTTACCACTATCAGAAATTATGTTTACGAAATACTCTTTTTTGGTTTTTTGTTTGTTTGTTTGTTTGATTGATCTAGACTGTAAGTTCCATGAGGGCTGAAACTTTGTCTTGTTCTTTGCTGAATTCCCAAACACCTACATGGTACTGGTACATAGTAGCATGAATAATTTTGGGTGAAAACAATGATACCAACTTCACTGGCTGTTTTAAAAAATTCCTGAATTTTCAATCTGAAAAATAATAAAGGTTGTATAAACTAAAAGAAACTGGTTTCATTTTTGTTCCACCCATGAGCCCTGGAGGGGGTAACTGCAAGCATAGTATCTGGGCTAAGCAGTATGCTCTGACATTTCTTCTCTTAGTCCCAGAGATGACTCCTTTCTGGCCAAGCCTCAAGCACAGATGGGGAGCAAAACAGCATTTCTATTAAGTATGTAAACAAGCCAGCAGGATGCCTAGGCTTGTTATCTGCGTGAAGAAAATGCTTCCACTGGGGCACTGCAAAGGGAAAAGAGTTCTCAGTCCCCAAAGAGCTGAATTCTCCAAGAAAGTGATTCTTGGCTGATGGTTTAGAGAGAATTCTTTGGAGGAAGCTCAGCAATGCTGATCTACCTTTCACAGCTGTGCAGGTTTCTCTCAGCTCCATGCCAGAATGTGAGGTAGGATAGGTTTTCTTTAAACCACAGGGAGGGTTTTCTGAGAAGACCATTTACACTGTCAGCTCCTATGAATTCCCCACTTATAAGAGGGACGTAGAGAAACAAATGAGGAGAAATCCAGTGGTAATACAAGAAGTTCATCTTACCCTAAACAATAACCTCACTTCCCAAAAATGCCTTGTTTCCCAGGGAAGGACTTGGCAGGTATCTTCAGCATAACAGTGTAGGGTTGGCAACTGGAGCCTCTGTGTGTGTGTGTGTGTGTGTGTGTGTGTGTGTGTGTGTGTGTGTATTTATATGTATATGTAATACTCACTCATTGTTCATTACCTGACTGCTGATGCTTGAGACCACGACTACTGTGGTTTTCATAATGTAATTAGCTATATCTTTAGTGAGATTGTGTCCCTGCAGTGAGAAAAGACCCCCTGCCCGACCACAGGCACACCCCAAATGTGGATTGTGAGCAATCCTTGAAAAGAAGTGTTTATTTTTAGTAGATGTATGTGTATATTTCTGCCCAAGTATTTACTCAGTGAAGATCACATTATAGAGACCATGAATTAGGGCCAACTACTCCTCACCTCACACTGGATGAAAGAAGGAATTAGGCTTCATGGGCACAAGTCTATCTGAGATGGGCTACTGGTGTCCCACCCATTAAATACTGAACATATTCAGATTTTGAGAATAGTAAACTGCTGTGAGTGAATAAGAGATTCACTCATAGTAAACCATTATGAGTGAATAAAAGATGGGGAAATCCGATCAAAGGAAATGCACGAAGCCTGGTCCTCAACTGAAGGTGGGAGGTTTTTCTCCTCTCTCCTATGTTGGGGAATTTTGGAAGAGGTAGACAAGCTCCTACACCATGCAGGTGGTGGGAGCCCCCTCGTGGAGGGGCATAGCCCACAGACTTCAGCAACAGCCAGAGTGAGCTGACTGGCTGAACTGATGGGCAAAGATCAAAAAGGAATGTGTGAAACCTAGACCTTCAGAAGCCTCAGCAATAGTTGGAAAGAGGATCATGCCAGAACTTCCTGCTGTATTATAGACAAGTAAGACTTAAGCAATGCAATATCACTGTACTCTAACTACCCTACTGGGGTAGGCTGAGGTGGGTGGTGTACTTACTTGGTTTGGTGATATGTCTCCATGGATACGCTGATTGACTGCTGAGAACATTTCATCTGAAGACCCAACCTCTTCCTAGCAGTCAAAAAGTTCTTTTAGATTGGGTGTGGTGGCTCACGCCTGTAATCCCAGCACTTTGGGAAGCCAAGGTGGGTGGATCACCTGAGGTCAGGAGTTCAAGAGCAGCCTGGCCAACATGGTGAAACCCTGTCTCTACTAAAAGTACAAAAACTAGCCGGGTGTGGTGGTCGGCACTTGTAATCTCAGCTACTTAGGAGGCTGAGGCAGGAGAATTGCTTGGACCTGGGAGGTGGAGGTTGCAGTGAGCCAAGATCATGCCACTGCACTCCAGCCTGGGTGACAAGAGCAAGACTCCATCTCAAAAAAAAAAAAGTTATTTTAAACGTCTTAACAGCTGGAATGAGGTATGCTTTCCTTTGCAAACTGCCATTTTGAGACTCTAGATATTTTTTCTTTGTAGATTCCAAAAATAATGACACTAATGCCTGTGCTAATTCAAGGATTCTATATATTTCTGTGTATGTCCAGATGAAGATGACCTTCTTTGTCCCATATTTTTATAATGCTGTTAAAAAGCAAAATGTGCTCATTAGTGTGTTTACTGTTTATTGATGTTCAAACTGTTCTTCCTTGAAATTCATGGAAGACTTTGGTTGGCCCACTTCTTAAATAAAAAGGTCAGAGAGCTATAGGACTACATTTTAATGCCTCATGAGAACTGTTTTAACCCCAAGTTTCTCCAAGCCTAATCCTAATCATCTATTCATTTTAGCTTTCTGGTATTGACATTTCAGAGAGCTCAGTTTTGAAACAGCATCATAGGAACCTGCTTCTCTACTATCCATAGCCTCAGAACTCCCATCTTGGTGGCCAGTTTGGGGGTCTTTTCTAATTATCAGTGCATGGAAGCTAACAACTCCATTGGATTTATCTGTCCCACCTGTTGCCTTTTTACTTTATGGCAAAGGGCAAAACCTCAGAAACATTGTGCACTTAGAGTTAATTCTCATTACAATGAGCCTTTGTCCTCAAACACTCTCTGCACGTTAGTAGACATAGAAGGGTCAAAGGAAAGACCATATAAGGTGTTCCATCTCAGTGTCATTTAGAGGTATTCTTTCCAATCCTTGGTTTCATCTCTTTAAGTGCAAAAATAAAAGAGACCCTAGAAGCTAAAAAATAGTGTAGCCTAGTGACCTCATGTTCTGAAACCAAAACATCCTGCTTCTGAACTGTAGGCTAACCACTTACTGGACAAGTGACTGTCAGGAACACTAGTACCACCCAGTCACAAGGTTATAAGGATTAAATAAAATTATGCTTGTAAAGTACTTAATAGAGTGCACAGAGACACTGGATTAACTCGAATTAATAGTGTAATATATTGTTATATCCCATATCGCAATAGTCAAAATGAACATTTAGGTAGATCTTATCCTCAAAAAGAAAAACTTGCCTATGATAAAGAGAATGCACCTTAAGATCATGTTAAAAAAAAAAAGTCCTCACAAGTGTGGTAAACTGAAAATGTTTAGATTCTATTTTTATTAAGGTCCTAATATGCTGGAGAATATTGATATCCCATCCATGTAGTTTGACAATGCAATCTTTGTTGAAAAGATGGTGATTATGTGGAAGACAAAACATAGTCAGAGCTAACTGATACTGAGTTATTCTGGGTGTCCAGTTAAGGGTACTTTTCCTAGGGTAGCAACTAGGAACAGAATTCCATAGACAGTGACTTAAACCAGGTGGAAGCTTATTGGTATCTCACTAGGAGAAGGGGAGATAATCAGTCCAGTGTTGGCATGGACACCACAGGTTACCATGGGCCCATTATCTTTTCTGCTCTCTGGACCACCATGCCTACAATGCAAGACTGAGTTTTATTATCAAATATGGCTCCTGGAGCTTCAGCCATTACATCGCATTTTAAACAGCAGAATTTTGGAAGGGAAAGAAAGTACTTCTCATTTTAGAGAAGCAAGTTCTCTACTTTCTTAAGTTTCCTCTTAGGTTTTACTGATAGGCACTTAGTCACATGATCATTCTTAGCAGCAAGGGAGTCTGGGAAATACAATTTTATTCTGAAGTAAAATTTTGATTTCTTTTTTTGGTATAAATTTAAGGGACACAAGTGCAGTTTTGCTACATGGATATATTGTGTAGTGGTGAAATCTGGCCTTTTGGTGTAACCATCACTCAAATAATGCACACGGGACATATTAGGTCATTTATTATCCCTCATCTCCCTCCCAACCTCCCATCTTTCCAAGTCTCCAGTGTCTATTATTCCACACTGTATGTCCATGTGTACACATTATTTAGCTCCCACTTATAAGTAAGAACATGCAGTATTTGGCTCTCTATTTCTGAATTATTTTACTTAAGTTAATGGCTTCTAGTTTCAAACATGTTGCTGCAAAAGACATGATTACATTCTTTTCTATGGCTGAACAATATTCTTATGCAGCACATTCCTACATACTACAAAGAAAATGTAGTTCTATGTACTACATTTTCTTTCTCCAACCATCTGTTGATGAATACTTAGGTCGATTCGATATCTTTACTATTGTGAATAGTGCTGTGAGAAACATGAGTGCAGGTATCTCTTCGATAATAGTGATTTCTTTTCCTTTGGGTAGATATTCAGTAGTGGGATTGCTAGAGCAAATGATAGTTCTATTTGTAGTTCTTTGAGAAATCTCCATACTGTTTTCCATAGAGGTTGTACTAATTTACATTCCTAGTAACAGTACATAAGTGCTTCCTTTTCTCTGCATCCTCACCAATATCTGTTTGTTTTTTACATTTTAATAATAGCCATTCTGACTGGTATAAGATGACGTCTCATTGTGGCTTTTATTTGCAATACCCCAATGATTAGAAATGTTGAGCATTTTTTTTATATGCTTGTTGGCCATTTTTATGTCTTCTTTTGAAAAATATCTATCCATACCTTTTGTCCACTTTTTAATAGGGTTATTTGTTTTTGTTGTTGTTGAGTTGAGTTCTTTGTAAATTCTGGATATTAGCCCTCTGTTGAATTTACAGTTTGCAAGTATTTTCTCTCATCCTGCAGGCTGTCTGTTCTCTCTGCTGATTATTTCTTTGGCTGTGCAGAAGGCATTTAGTTTAATTAAGTCCCATTTGTCTATTTTTAGTTTTGTGGCCTGTGCTTTTGAGGTCTTAGTCATGATTTTTTTGCCTAGAGCAATGTCCAGAAGAGTTTTCTCTAGATTTTCTTCTAGAATTTTTCTAGTATCAGATCTTACATTTAAGTCTTTAATCCATCTTGGGTTGATTTTTGTATATGGTGAGAGATAAGGGTCCAATTTAATTCTTCTGCATATCACAATCCAATTTGCCAGTACCTTTTGTTGAAAAGGGTGTTATTTCCCCAGTGTATGTCTTTGTTGACTTTGTCAAAGATCAGTTGGCTGTAGATATGTGGGTTCTCTGGGTTTATTTCTGGATTCTGGATTCTGTTCCATTGATCTATGTGTCTTTTTTTATACCAGTATCGTGCTTTTTGGGTTATGATAGTGTTACAGTATAATTTGAAGTTGGATAATATGATGCCTTCAGCTTTGTTATTTTTGCTTAGGATTGCTTTGGTTGTTTGGGCTCTTTTTTGGTTCCATATAAACTTTAGGATTGTATTTTTTAATTTTTTGAAAAGTAACATTGGTATTTTGACATTCTGATTCTTTTACAAAGTAAAAAGAGAATACTGGAAAGTAAATTAAAGCTAAACTTCCCAGTCACACTAAATTCACTTTCTTAATTGGAATAATCTGAATTTTCTCTTTCCCTTCCCATTCCTGGTTCCTATTTCTCCTTTTATTTGTAAAGTGGCTAGTTTAATTTTCTCTATAGATTCTGTCCTCTCAGTTTCTTATTCATTCCAAATATTTCAATTACTGAGTTTATGCAAGGGAAGGATTATGTTAAGGCAGCTAGTCTGTGGTCAGTTTTTATTCATTACCAGAGGAATTCTCTTAAGGTAAGAAGGTAGGTAGCTCAGCCAAATCTCCTTGGAAACCTGTAGGTCGCTCCATCTCCTGAAATAGATTAGTGGTTTGATATGACAAGAGTCTTTATCTGTGTACAGATAATCCACTTAGCAAAATATCCCTATTCAGGATTACTTATGTAAAATAAAACTAGAATCTATGGATTCATGACTCATGACTGCTTTTTAAAAAGTCACAAAATCCCTATAATGATCTGTGTTTAAAGGGGAAAAAAGGAAATGTTTCATAACCTAAATATTCCCCACCTAGTGAGGTGACTGAAAATTGCATATAGAGACCTCATCATTTGTTTTGGGTCAAGGACCATATTGAATGTGGGAAAGGAGGAGCTATGGGGACAATGAATTATCTTCAGACCATTCCTGCTTTACCAAACTTCTTAATTTCTTTAGACTTGACATTATTAGTGAAGTTTGATACTGAGTAAGAGCTCTAATTTGTGAGTCTAATTTGATGATCTGGTCTTTGTGATAGTTCAAAGTGAATGGTAGCCAAGTCTCTCTAATTTCCAATTTTCTCCTAAACTTGTAATTAATATTTCTAACCACTTGCTGGATATATCTAAATATTTTATCAGTACCTCAAAATCAACATATATAATAATAAACATCTTATCTGCCTCCTAAGCCAGTCCCTGCTCCTGAATTGCCAGTCATCCAACCTCCAAATGTCACCATCATCCCCTCCTACTCTTCCTTCCTTTTCTCCAGTAGCACTTTAAGACCTTCACTCCATTCATGTCTTCCTTTGTACTTTTACTACCTCTTAATTGGTCTCTCTGATCCCATTCTTTCTGGCCACTAATCCTTCCAACATATTAATCTTCCCATAGTTATCTTCTCTATACACACACACACACACACACACACACACACACACGCACACACACACACAAACATACACACAATGGTTTTCTAGGGAATATATAGAGAGAGATATATCATTAAACCTTATGAAGTAAGCAACAATAAGTTATATAGGTATACAAATAGATGTGATAGATAAAATCCAAGGCTGTTTTCAAATTAAGGAAGGAGCACAATCTCATACACATATGATGGAAAATGGTTCCAACTCCACCCTTTAAAAGTGGCACCATGAAGAAAGGGAGTAGATAAAATGCTGAAAAAAAATCATGCGAATACCCCTCACTGTGATGGAAGCACACTGGTTGTGGGAGGTAGACATCGTAGAGGAACAAACTAAAGGTTCCCTTATGGATTAAAAGTTTCTTCCCACCACGATGGATAATGACATACCAGAAATGGGAGAAACTGCCAGAATTTGCCATTTTGTTTTTCACTGACTGGAAAGAAGACAAGAAAATGTTTGAAAAAATAACCTCCCAAAGCTAATATTTCTAAAAAGAAAAAATGATTTTGAGAGTGGAATAATACAGAGTGGTTGCAGGAGAACAGAAAATTCCAGGCAGCAGTTTCACATGACTAGCAAAAGGAAACTGTTGAAATAGACACAGAATCTAGGGACTGATAAATCCCTGAAAAACAGGGTGTGAACCAAGCTGGCTAAGACTGACTGGACCCAACATGGTGCTGGATTTGACCTAGGTTTCACTTAGGACCTCATTTTATGCTCGTTAACATACTCAATCACATACTCAACAGCACCATGACAGTTCCAGGAACACCCATATTTGGTGTAAAAATGGGTGGCCCCACAGTTCATACAAATCTTCACCTTTTTCCAGGAGTTTTCATGAATATTCCACCCCATGGTTAGAGAAACCCATAAAGGTAGCAGCCTCAAATCCCTCGTGCACAACTCTTGAGTATGCCTGCTCTCCCCTTTCTCAAGTGTGTATTTTTCACTTTGTAATAAATCTCCATACTTTCACTATTTTCTGACTCATCCTTGAATTCCTTCTGGTGATGGTATAAACAGCCTGGACACTGGCTGGGGTCGAGGTGACACCTGTGTTCGGGAAACCCCCGCTGGTATTAATTTAGCAAAATTGAAAGAGAAAACTAAGGCAAGAACTTGATTTTGGCTTTTCTAGGGTGAGTGACTCGTAAGAGATATGCGTGGGGAGCTCCAGATCACCCTCTTCTACTGCAATGTATAGTGCTATGACCAGCACTACACCAGTCAGGGAACTATTAGGAAATAGAGGGGAGACTTTAATAAAAGACAGGTTTGCAATGGTATGGCTAGAGCTAAGATGAACCAACAAGAGACAGGGAGTGCCCTGAGGTCATTAAAAAGGGAGCCCACCAGCCCTAGGCCTGAGGGCAAAGGGGAGGAACAGCTACCAGGACCCAAAGAGACCAACAGCTATAGCTGTTAGCTGCCCAGTAGTGGTGGGGGCTGCCAGCCCTCATGATCTGGAAAGTTGGGACTCAACTGAACAAATCCTCACCTCACTCTGCTTTATCCTCTAATGTCCCATTGGTGCCTGCCATTGATCTAATCCAGAAAGAAACTAGAGGGAAACGTTGCTCAATGGTATAGTCCAAAAGTCAGTCTCTAGGTGATACAGCAAGGTAGAGAGGGGATCTACACAAGCAAGAGTAAAATACTCTACCCAGAAGCCTTCAAATTTTCTCACCAAATGAGTGGGAGAGTAGAAAGAGATGTAGACCGGGGAAAAAAAAGTAGATAAAACTAAGAATAACTCATCTAGAGCAGATCATCACTGATGGAATGGAAGGCTCAGTAGTTCTGAGTTGAAAAAATAATCCAAAACCCTGGGCATCACCCCCAAGGATGGGATATGCAGTGCCAGCAAAACTGAATTCCAGAATAGAACTTTTAAAAAAATAACACAACGAAGACACAGCCCACCAATCATGGCTACAAAGAGTTCTCTCACTTCCATCCCCAGCAATATGAAATGTGGAGCACCAACTCTCTAATTGAAGCTATAAACAGAGGAAGCAACCAGATAAAGAGGAAGTAGAATAAGGGAAATTCAGTCACCCTGATTTGGTCAACACACTGGGGAACAGAGCTGGGTCTGTCCAAGATGAATAAAATAAAAATAATCACAACAGGAAAGCTATGCAGAATTATGACAAACGAAAAGAAATCAAACAATGAGAGAGAGAGAGACACAAAGGAACAGAAAGAAAAATGAGCAGTCTACCCTGGAAGAAAAAAAAATCATGGAAAACAAAAGGAAATAATAAAATAAAGAAATGACAATGTTTCAACTCTTAAATACATAAAGAGAATATGGAAAGTATGAACTAATCAATACATATATCAAATATAATGGAATAAAAAGGGCCATGTCAGAGCTAAAGAGACTCTACATGTCCAAACGTAAAACTCTGCTCAAAGGAAAACTCACTCCCTTAATTGCTTAAGCTACGAGAAAAAATAAAAATAAAATAAGTCTATCACTCTACTCAAGAACATGTGAAAAGGCCAGCAAAATCCAAATGAGGCCAGCGGAAGCAAAATAATTCATGTGAGAACAAAAAGCAATAAGTAAGAGGGTAAAGCAATAGTTTTGGTAAGTAAATCTGCAATGCTGCTTTTACAGGATGTTTCTTTGTGCTTCCCTGCAACCAAAATACCCTCTGTTCTTAAGAGCAATCATTCAGGGACATAAGCTGGAATCGTGTCATTCACCTTTGTAACATCTGAGCCTAGGACAAGAAATGTCTGTTAAATACTTGTGTGAAAGAGTCCTGGAACTCCAGTTTATCAGGAGAAACCCTCCCTGGCTTCTTGGATGAATCCGCGTCATGCAGATCAGAACTGGGGCCGTTGAGAAGGCAGAGAGATAGAAAGTCAGTGAACCACAATGCCCGCTCAGGCATCTTTACAAGAAAAGTGTCCAGTAAAGATCTATTGATTTAATTCCATTTAAATTTGTGGGCCTGCTCCTTCCTGCCATCTCCATTTCTCCCAATGCTCACTCCAGTGTTTTGGCCTCCCCCCGGGCAGGTGTTCAAAACCAGTTCAGGGGACTGTGAACTTGGATGGGAAAAAAAATGTTTGTTATTCTCACTAACCTGTAACTGAACTTTACGTTTCCTGCCATTATGAAGCAGGCAACAACCACACTGGTATTAGCAGTCCCTGAGACTGTCGCCAAGAGATATTTTACATCTCATTAGAGTTTGGAGAGAGGTCTCAAAATATCGTTTACATTCATTGCTACTTCAAAATCATGGTAGTTTTTAGCCCTGATGCTAAATCTTATTATGTAAGACATTAAAGATTTAATATAAAGAAATGAAATATAAATATTTATATAATTATACCACAAACTTAAACTAATTTGAGAATTGCATTTTAATAGAATTGATTTCTTCCATATTCTTACGTATTTTATTGAATAAATTTGAAAGCATTATTTTGAGAAGAAGCTGTGAACTTCACTGGATGCCAGAAGCTCCCAAGACACTCAAAAGTTAAGGACTTTTGCATTAGGGTCAGTTGTTACGGGTAAATGAAACTTCTCAGAGAAGGAAAAATAAAGATGGGAGTGGTGTTATTCTCAGTTTTTGAGAAAATCTGGTTAATCTAGATGATGATTTATCACTTAATGATTGGATTTAAGGAGAGAGGTGTTTATTTGGTTTACTAGAAAGCCTAAGGAAGGGCTAAACACTTCATGTAAAGGCTGCAGCACAGAGTAATTAAAAGCCTGAGCTCCGGAGTTGAACTACTGGGCTTCAAATTTCAGCGCACCATTCACTGCTTGTGTGACCTTGAGCAGCTTCTGTGACTTAAGGCTGTTTCCTCATCTGTAGGTGGGAGTGATACTTGCCCCTGACTCAGAGGATGGTACGAGGACTGACTGAGACAATTCCTGTAACATGCTCAGCTCAGCCCAATACATGGCAGATTCTCCTTGCTGTTAGTATTAAAGTCAGCCAAATTTGTTTCCAATAACCTTTCCCTTCATATTCTTTTTTTTCCTAATTATGAAATGCCTCCCTCACCCCATCACACAGACCTGTTTCATACAGCCAGTTTCTCTCTGTCCTTGGCCCACCCCCCGACCCCGCCTCACTCCCATCAAAACCCACTCTCAGATAAGGCTCTGGTATTGCCTTCTTATGTCTCTGTGTGTTTTCTAGTTTCTGAGCTACCTCTTCCAGGAATAGCAATCCCATCATTGTGTGAGAGGTCCTCCCCTCCAGGGAAGAGCAATTTCAGCCTCCAAAAGCAGATAAAAGAAGTATTTCAGGCTGGCTCATGCCTGTAATCCCAACACTTTGGGAGGCCAAGGCAGGTGGATCACTTGAGGTCAGGAGTTCAGGACCAGCCTGGCCAACATGGTGGAACCCCGTTTCTACTAAAAATACAAAAATTAGTTGGATGTGGTGGCGGGTGCCTGTAATCTCAGCTACTCAGGAGGCTGAGGCAGGATGATCACTTGAACCTGAGAGGCAGAGGTTGCAGTGAGCAGAGATCGCACTACTGCACTCCAGTCTGGGCAACAGAGTGAGACTTTGTCTCAAAAAAAAAAAAAAAGGAAAGAAAGAAAATGTTTCTCTTGCCAGGTGAAACACTCATCCTTTTGCTTCTCTGCACCTTTTTCTTCTGTCCAGCTCAAGTCTCACCTCCTCCCAAAAGCCTCCCAGCCTCTCTTGTCCTCAACAGCAGGGGCAGGAGGTGGCCCTTGATGTGACTAAACTCTGAGCACACAGGGTCTGCCCACCCCTCTGGACGTTCAACCAAGTATGGCTTCTTCTTTTTTTTTTTTTCTGAGACGGCGTCAAGCTCTGTCACCAGGCTGGAGTGCAGTGGCGTGATCTTGGCTCACTGCAACCTCGGCCTCCCAGGTTCAAGCAATTCTCCTGCCTCAGCCTCCTGAGTAGCTGGGATTACAGGCATGTGCCACCACGCCCAGCTATTTTTGTATTTTTAGTAGAGATGGGGTTTCACCATCTTGGCCAGGATGGTCTCGATCCCTTGACCTCGTGATCCGCCCGCCTCAGCCTCCCAAAGTGCTGGGATTACAGGCATGAGCCACCGCGCCCGGCCAAGTGTGGCTTCTTTATTTCTCTCCTCTGATTTCCTGGGGAGGGCAGCTGTTCTCATGAACAGGGGCCTAGTGTCATTCCTTTTAGATTCCTAGGAACACCCAACTAGGCAAGGTAAAGAAAGGGTATCTGTAAACATTTTTTAGCAGTTCTTCCTTAAAATCTCCTGGCCTCCATGCCTGTGCTGTGAGTTCCCAGGGGGTAGAATGAGCTAAACTTGGCATGCAAAAGAACTAGGAATGTCTCTGCTAAACTTCTTAAGTAAGGGGTCTCCAGAGAGGGCCAGACAGGGGTTGAACAGTCACCTCAAGGATTCTTGAAAAGGATCCTGCCCTTTGTAAGACTCTGATGCTCCCTGCATCCAGGAACACTGTGGTAGAAGAGCCCTGGACTCAGCTTCAGGAGCCTTGGGGTCTAACCCTGGCTCTCATAGTGACCAGCTGTGTGACCATGAACAAATATCTTCCCCATTCTGGACTTCAGTTTCATCAGCTGTGAAATGAGTGGTTTGAATTTGATATTCTCACTTTGACTGTAGGAAAGAGAATTGGACTCATTGTTTGTGGATATATTCCAAAATATATCATATATTTTTCAAGAATAGGACTCATATGTATAATTTTCTGATCATCTTGCAAATTCTTTGGCATTCTTTTTCATAAGGAGCCTGGAACTTGTTTCATGCTTCAGGTATTGCTGGAGTGATCACCACATTGCCTTGTTTAGTGTCATTCCAATTATTTTTTAAATTGTACTCAGTAGACAAAATCTCCAAAAGCTTTACTGTAAATCTGCCCTTATACTTTAGTTATGGAAACAGTTTGATTTTACAAAATCACATCTTTATCCTTCCGTATAAGACAACATACTTATCTGTTTGCATACTGAAAGTATTTAGAGAACAGAATAGATACACATAGCACAAGTGTCATATTGTGAGGCTTACCACAAGTTTTTGGAGAAGCCATCAGCTGGGCAGCTAGTTAGATGAATCTGAACATGGCACGGTATATCATAGGTTTGTCTCTTGCTCACTTTGCACGTGTGGATATTAAGCCTGTTCAGGTTTAGCCTTAGCTTATGTAATAGACATAAACAGGTCCTCAAATTTCAAGTCTTGGCACTCAGATGCTAAAAAGTATTAATGGCTTTACCAGAGCAGACTTCTAGGAAGCGGATCTATAAATCAGTTAAATCTCTTTAGGATGGAGAGGGGAAGTTTGTAGCATGAGTTAGCACTGATCTCACAAATCATACGATCATGGAAACTACTTAGTGTTCGCTCAAAGAACCGTGTCACTACAACTAGGAAAAGGATAGGAAAGGAGGTGGAATTCACAGGACATGACGCTCCATGATTTTCTGTATATCCAAGTATTTTCATTTCACTTGATAACAACACAACACCCTCATTCACTACAAAATTACAAGCAGACACTAATATTTGGAAGTAACACAGATAGTTGAGTGAAAAATTGATACATTTTAGGCTGAAAAGCAGAGTGGGCTTTGGTTGCCGCATATAAAAAGCTCCTGTTTAATACAATCAACTCTTGTTTAGCATTCTTAATGAAAGCGGTGAACATAATGACAATAAATTGTATCATTTTTAACTTTTTAATACAAAAGCTAACCTTCCAGATTTTAGAATGCAATATATGATCTTATATAAAAAATAAAAATGGCCCTCCAATGCATTTTTGATTTAGGCTAATATTTTAATTAATTTTACTCTCCAAGAGCATTCTGATTAAATTGTAGGGTAAGTCTACTGGGTGATAAATGGGAAGAAATAAATAGGTTTTTGTAATGTGTCTTTCAGGGAAATAAAGTAACTATACAAAATAAACTTTGCTGCCCAAAATAAGGAGTTGACTATATTTGGAGGGGAACATGTCATACAGGTGCCACTTAAATAACCTTGTAAGTGCGCTGCTCTAGAGTTAAATAAGAAAAAGACAAGTCCACGCTGTAGCCTACACACTCGTGAGAATAAAAACAGACTGAGAAACAACTATTCCATTGCCCAGATTCATGCTGGCTGGGAACAGTCATGGGAAGATGATCAGCACTTCTAGTATCACAAAGATACTCCGATTCTGGAGTATCCAAACCCCTAAACTCATCTTCTAACCGGAGACTCAGCCACCCTTTCCTTTATGCGTCTACCAGCAAATCTCATGACCTTGTTTGCACAACCATGTCATTAGGCACATAATGCATACAGCACTGTTATGAAGCACAAAGGAATAATTTACACAAAGAAAAATAAAAGTGGAGACGGCCAGGTTTCTGGATACACAAGCCAAAGTAAGAGGTTTTTCTTGTCCAGGCGCACTACACGTAGTTCCTAGCCCATCCTTTTGATAACTTGTGTGGTTGAAGGCATCTCCCACGTATTGTCTCATTGGCTTCTCATAGCCACTCAGTCAGAAGGTATCACAGGTATCACAGAAGGTACCACAGAAGGACAAAGGTGTTACCTTTGTCCCCTCGGAGAGGCTTTGCCCAGGGCTACACAGTTGACAGAGTCAAGTCTGGCTCTCAGATCTTCCAACTCCAAAATACCAAACTCCAAAACTCAAAACATCAAACAAAGGAGGCAGGTTAGAAAGTGGGATGAGTCTTCAACAACCTATGGGGTCACTGAAGCTCATTGTTTGGTCTGACACTACCTATCTGTGTGTCCCCTTCTTTCCTGGGTGCCCAGACTTCTGGAAGATGCATCTGACCTGCATCCCCTGCCACTGGATCACATGACTTCATTCACGCTGAGGACTAGAAACGTGTGGCTTATCCCTCCTAAGAGGACCCCTATTTTAGAAGCAAAGCAAGTCTTAATCCAAAGGAACAAAGACTAGGATGGGATTCAGGTGCCAGTAATAAGGATATCTTGCCCTCAAATCATATCGATGAGGATACCTTACCATGCTGTCTGGTTAGGAGGGAACTCTTCATCACTCACATTTGAGAGCTGGTGAAAACAGAAAAATGAATGAAGGCCACATCCAGGAGGTATTGTGTCCATTTTCAAAGATTCTATGCTTCACAAGCATGGAGGCGTGAGAGGGAAGGGAAGGACTTAAGGGGAAGCCTAATTGGTCCAAATGAAATAACAGGTGGGAACGGTATCATCTGTATACCTGGAGAGCCTGAGCCCCTGCCACACCTGAGCTGCATTGAGCCCTGCATGCTTCCAGTTTTGCCTTCCCGTTCTGAGTCTCCTCCACTTGCATCTCCCTTCTCACTGAAGGCAAAAAGTCCATGGAGCCAGGGGACATGCTTACCCTGAATCCAGGCTTCCCCCTCTGGACTTACTCCAGGTACCCAGAACCCCATAATTCCCTGTCCAAATGGCATCCAGGGTCTATGTGTCTTCTTCGCCAAGCCAGTCCTTCTGATGAAGAGCCTTACCACCTATGTGCAGAGCCCTGGGCCTGAGGGTGGCCATAGAGCAGTGTGGGAGGAAGAGTTTGCACAGAACTTGGCCATGAATACTGGGATGTCCGTGCACATGCATGCAAGGCCCCTCGCCATGAAAGATGAGAGGATAAGGGCTACAGAAGGAGCCTAGAGTCCCTTTCGTATTCTTGCTCCAGCCTTGCAAATGTTAGGCATGAAGTCCAGTGCAAGAATAGTCCCAGAGATACTCTCACACTACGAACACATGTACTGCAATCCTAGATACCTACTCCAGTTCTTTTGTGGAAACTCCCTTATTTCTATCTACACCACCACATTTTCCTTGGTTTAATTCCAATTTCATTTTGCCAACTAAATGTCATCAACATATATAGGTTTTACCAGTACCTACTGGCGTGTAAATTAGACATTCAGCAAATGCCACTGTTGATAGTGTCTGGTCACATGCATTTTAGAAACTCTGAGCTCCTTGAAAACATTGCTCACAGAGTGGTCCATTTACTTTACCCTCTGCAGCAAACAAAAAGTTCCAGGTTGATGTGCATCCAAGCACACTAGTCAGTGTCCACAGGACCCTGCTTTGTGTTTAAACTTTGCAAAGTCCAGGGGGTTATTTTAGTCTGATGCAGTCCACCTCTTCGGTGGCAGGCATCCCAATTGTCTTGAGGTCCAGGTCTGCACTGGACTTACCGCCATTGTAAGAAGCCTTCCAGTGGAGCAACATGATCTTTTTGAAGTACTTGACGGTGTCGTTCTTGACGGTCACGAAGCACAGAGTGTTGATCATGCTGTTGCTCATGGCGATGCACTCGACGATGTAGAAGGCAGTGAGGTAGTGCTTCTCCTTCACAAACACGGTGGGGAAGAAGTCGCGCACGATGGTGAAGCCGTAGAAGGGCGCCCAGCATAGCACGTAGGCGGTGAGGATGCACATGAGCACCAGGACCGTCTTCCTGCGGCAGCGCAGCCTCTTGCGGATCTGCTCTGTCTGGAATCCAGGGACCGCCTTGAACCAGAGCTCCCGGGAGATCCTGGCATAGCACAGGGTCATGGTGACCACGGGGCCCACGAATTCTATGCCAAAGATAAAGAGGAAGTAGGACTTGTAGTAGAGCTGCTGGTCCACAGGCCAGATCTGGCCGCAGAAGATCTTTTCCTGGCTCTTGACAATGACGAGGACCGTCTCGGTGGTGAAGTAGGCGGAAGGGATGGCGATCAGGATGGACACCGTCCACACCAAGGCAATCAGGCCAGTGGCTGTTTGGCACTTCATCCGTGGTCTCAGCGGATGGACAATAGCCAGATACCTAGGGCAAGAACACAAGTGGAGGCAGCCACTGTGAGAAAGAAGTGCTGGATAATCTTTTTTTTTTTTTTTTTGAAACAGGGTTTTGCTCTGTCACCCAGGCTGGAGTGCAGTGAGTGCAGTGGCATGATCATAGCTCACTGCAGCCTCGAACTCCTAGGCCCAAGCAATCCTCCCACCTCAGCCTCCCAAGTAGCTGGGACTAGAGGTGCAATGCACCACACGCGCTAATTTTTTATTTTTATTTTTTGTAGAGGTAGAGTCTCCGTATGCTGCCCAGGCTAGTCTCAAACTCCTGGGCTCAAGCAAACCTGCTATTTCATTTTGCAGCATTCTAAGGAGCAACAAAATGGTATGTGTGGAGGAAACTCCCAATGGTACGTGGGCTTCTGCAAAAGGTCAACTTGAAGCAAACCCCAATGTCATCTCTAATTAGCTATGCAACCTCAGCCAAGTTTTGTTGATGCTCTGACCCTTAGTTTCCTTATCTGCACAAGTATTGTTGGCTGTTAAATATTAAATGTGATAATGTATGCACTATGCCTGGCACAGTTTTAAGCCTAATAGGTACTCAAAATGATAACAATTAGTATTAAATATAATAATTCCTCCCATCGGTTTCTAGCCTGGCACTGTTCCCAGCTCCTTCCTGTTCTTGGGCTGTTCATTCTAATTACCTCTCAGTTTAGAGCTAAAAGGGCAAGATAATTCAAAGAGTTGGGAGAATCTGCCCTTTCCAATGGAAACAGTGGGCAAAGGTTTTTCTTCATTCTACATTCTAAAAATTGTTGCTTTGCATGCAAAGGAGGAGGAAAAGCATGTGGCCATGTGTGTCATTTTCAGGTGGAAAAATGGAAGGCAGTGAGAGATGAGTGACTTTCTCAAGGTCACAGACCACAGGACCCTTCCTTGATAGAAAACATTTAACCCTACCTCACAGGATTGATGTGAAAATCAATTGAGAATATACGTGAATGTATTTTTTTTTCTAACCGCAAAGCACCAGACAGTAAAAAGATACTGCTTTTGTCCTTTCAAAAAAAAACCCACATTGCTGTTACCACAGTGGTCCAGGAACACAAAGAGAGAGCACTTTCTAGGGGGGAAATGAGTCATTGTGCGGCATGAGAGCTGATAGCCTCTTTCCGAGAGAGAACGCACACAGCTTATGCAGAGAGCTCCGGTTTCCTGGAAGACGTCCCGTGGCTGGCAGAGGGTGGAAGTTGGGGAAGGAGAGAGATGGGGAGTGAAGTGGGAGGGGATTGACTGGTCAACAGTGGAAACAAACACAGTCTCACGTGTCCAGAACTTATTCCAGGTAGAGCCCAGAGCAAACGTGAAGGGGGCCTGAAGGAAAGCCAAACCGGTTGTTTCCTTTGAAACCAATCCCTATGAAGTTATCTTCCTTGGAATTTTGATTTGAAGAAAGGTTCATTCTTACTTATTTTTTTTTTTCCTGACTGTATTTCTGCTCTTTCTGTCCCTCCCCCACAGCCTGGGCAGTCAAGCCTATTGAGCATCCTTTAGAGAGTTCACAGGAGTGAGGCTCCAGCTCTTCTAGCCCCAGATGTTAAATAAAGTAGGATGGGTTGCGCCCACTCTGGACGCCCGGCCGACTGCCATCCCTGGCACTCTAGCCAATCTCCCGAGTGCCAGAGGGAAAAAAGGGAAATGTCTGCAGGGTGTTGGCAATGCCATTGTCAATGCACGAGTGTGGGCCCTTCATTAAGATCGCGGTGCTCCTGATGTAACCAGAGCCTCAAACTCGCCCTGACTCACAATGAAAATGGAGAGTTAAGACATTCTGCTCTCACTGGCTCCATTGCTGTCTGTCTACCCCACCACATTCCACTGATTACTCTGAGAAAGAAATTTCCTATTTCATATTTATTCACTATAAGAATTTTCACCACATAATTCTATTCCTTTTCCCGATAGTAGCTACCTAAGCCTTTATGATGCTTCAAACACAGAGTGTGTTTTCAATAAATGTGGGAAGGAACAACCACCTAAGACTCAGAAGACCACAAATCTAATCCCAGCTTTGCCAGAAAGTTGCTCTATGAATCTGAGTCATTTTTCTTATCCCTGTAGGTTCACTTCCCTCATCTGTAAAATGGGAATATCACCTAGATGCTATGAGGCGCCAGTGAGACACTGCACATAGCAACAGTAAGCTATTAATATACAAGGAATTACTAGCATTTTAAAATGTATTTTTTCCCAGAGCTATTCTGTATACACAGCAATTTTCTTTTACCTGTTATTGGCAAACACTCAATTTGCAAGTCCTCTCCTCCTTTCTATTTTATAGGATAAACTCTACACATCAAAACTAATCTTCAGGGTAATCTGTGACTACCTATCAGATAGTCATTTCATTCTGGGTCTCTCTGACATCACCCCAACTCCATCCGCAGAATTAGTGCCATGAGCTGTGCAAGAGGCCTTCCTGATATATTTACAAATAGGTAAATTGCAGAAAATGATTTCAAGAATTTCCATCAGCTTTGTCAATGCTAGGACCAGAACTCCAGAACTCTAGCATTAGTAATGTTGTGTTTGCTTATGTTTGTAAAGAAGTTTACAATTTACAGAGCATTTTCAAATCCACTTTTTCACTAGATAATTCCAACCCTACTAAATAGGTAAGACAGTGACAATGTCCACTCTATAGATGAGAAAACTGAGGCTTGGGGAAGTTAAATAACCTGCCAAAAAGCCATACAACTAGATATCAACAGAACAATGACTCAGACCCACATCTTGCTGCAAAGCCAGTGGCCTCTCTGAATGCTATTTACCCCCTCTTCTTTCATCCAAGAGCAAAATGATGCCCCCTCCTCTTGCCTTCCTGGCATCCCAGCAGCCCTTCTCCTCTTTCCTCTCCATCACAGTTGGTTTCTAACTATTGGTGTTCTAAGAAGGGGTCTGACATCTGGCGGCTGCTTTTCTCTGCTTATATGTATGCCCTTGGCTTGCCCTGTGTGTCTGCCACTACAGTGGCTTAGGTCCAGATTCATGTAGAGCTAACAGTTCCCAGAGAACAAGGAATAAAGGCTGCTAGACAAAGAGATGGTCCAGGCAATAACTGTGATAATAATGGGCTGGAAAAGAAGTATTTGGGCTCTGTCTCCGTTCCCAGGACCAAGCCCCAGATCAAATCATGGTAACAGTGGTCTCAGCAGCTACTAGGCTAGTCATGGGATGGGCAGAGATAACACAACCTGATCCTCAGGCCAGTGGCCCTGACTAATGAGCTCACCAGGAGGTTTCTGTGCTTCCTAAGGTTGGGTGAGATTACTCAGGCCTTAGCTTCATCAAGACAGAAGAAGAGAGCTTCTTCACAGGTACTTTTCTGGCCAGTTTCCTCAGGACTCTGGGTAAAAGAGAAGTTCTCTGGAGCCCCCACACGCTGTGGGATCTTAGTGTCTCCACATCAAAAGGAAACCCATACCTGTGGCTGGGGCAGAGGTCTCTCATGATCCTTTTTTGTTTTGTTTTGTCTTTTTAAAAGACAGGATCTTGCTCTGTCACCGAGGCTGGCTGGAGTGCAGTGGCATGATAACAGCTCACTGCAGCTTCTATCTCCTGGGCCCAAGGGTTCCTCCCACCCCAGCCTCCTGAGTAGCTGGGACTACAGGCACATGCCACCATGCCCGGTAAATTTTTTTTTTCTTTTGTAGAGACAGGATCTACCTATGTTGCCCAGGCTGATCTTGAACTCCTGAGCTCAAGGGATCTTCCCGCCTAGGGCTCCCAAAGTGCAAGGATTACAGGCGTGAGCCACCACACCTGGCCTCATTTTCCTCCTGCCCTCAGGTCTGACTCCCTCTGCCTGGCTGTTGAGACCTTCTGGAATAGATTCTATTCTTTCTGATCTCTACTGTCCTTGTGTTTCTTACCCATACCTGACATCCCTCTCTAAAGTACCTCAAATTCACTTCAGGCAATCCCACCTCTAGGCTTTTCCACACACTGTTCTACCCACTCTCTTGGGAAAACTTTCCTCTCCTTTGTTGATCTTCATTTGTTGAAGGACAGTTAGAAATCCACCTCCTCCATGAAGCCTCCTCTGACTACTCCGGCACAAAATGATCTCACCCTTCTCTAAATGTTATTTAAAATTTATCCTTTACTTATTCTTTAACTGTTTTGTAAGTGTTAGTTCTCCCTGGTCCCACCCTACCCCCAACTCTAGATGGTCAGCCCCCCAAGAGCTGTGATTATGTCTTACTTCTTTTATAACCTTTTACTCTCTGTGAATTCTGAGTACCTAACAGGATTTTGGTGCAACTTCACCCTCATTGAGTGCCTAGCGCTGGGTGAATAGACATGTAAAAAGCTGGCTGGACACAGTGGCTCACACCTGTAATCCCAACACTTTGGGAGGTCGGGGCACAATAATTACTTGAGACTAGTTCAAGACTAGCCTGGGCAGCATAGCAAGATCTCATCTCTAAAAAAATTTATTTTTAATATATAAAAAGCCATGGGGACAGTTCTCAGAAAGATTGCAACTATTTTTGGGAAAACAGGACATAAATATGTTTAACCATGAGACTGGGAAGCAGTCTGGGGCTAGATAATAAAAGTTTGGAAGAACAGGTGAAAGAGTTTGAGCCATACTTTGTAGACAATGGAGTTATTAGAGGTCTTTTTTTTTTATACTTTAAGTTTTAGGGTACATGTGCACATTGTGCAGGTTAGTTACATATGTATACATGTGCCATGCTGGTGCACTGCACCCACTAACTCGTCATCTAGCATTAGGTATATCTCCCAATGCTATCCCTCCCCCCTCCCCCCACCCCACAACAGTCCCCAGAGTGTGATATTCCCCTTCCTGTGTCCATGTGATCTCATTGTTCAATTCCCACCTATGAGTGAGAATATGCGGTGTTTGGTTTTTTGTTTTTAAGCAGGAGAGTGGAGACACGTACAAGACAGAAGATTAATTTGGCTGCAGCCTTGCTTACTTCCCTCGGGCCACATGGAGGCTTCTCTCTGTTCCTCTGTTTGTAGAACCCATCTGGTTTGTTCCTGCCTCTGGGCCTTTTCACTTACAATCCCCCTTGTCTGGGATGCTTGCTCCCTGTCTTCCCAAGGCAGGCTCTTTCCCCCTGTGTCATTCAGAAGCCAGTTCAAAGGCCTCTCCTCGGAGACCCTTCTCTTGACTACTCACCTAGAATAGGTCCCACCCTCAGCCACCCTCGACATTTTACCTGTGTACTTCTTTTGTTCAGAGTATTTCTTGCTTCTGAAATTACCTTCCTTTTGTGTTTGCCTGACTGGATCTCTCTCCATCCTTTGGTTATAAGCTCCAGGAAAGCAAGGAGTTTTTTTTGTCTTATTCACTGTCGTATCTCCAGTGCTTGCAATAGCATCTGTCACATCACAGTTACTCTATAAAAATGGATTGTTTAAATGAATGAATGAATGAAAGTTTAGGATGGATTGTCAGGGGAGTAGCGTTGACAGATGGGCAGATCCAAGAAACACTGAAGGCAGGAAGACCAAGAGGAGACTAGGATACCAGCCCTGAATGAACAAACGGGTATTGCCAAGACCTGGAGGTTGAATGAATGCTGGTAAAGAAGGGAGAGCAGCCAGGACAAAGGAGACTTTCTTCTAGGTTAGATGCCTCGGAGAACAATGGAACCAATAATATAGACAAATACAAGCAGGTAGATGATAAATAGTTCTGTTCTGGCATTTTGTAAAAATCTTGTATTTTTTTTAAATCACATCATAAAAACAATAATTTCAATGAAAGCAAAAAGGTTAGTGTGTCAGAAATGTTCATTAGTTTACCTGCTTTTTTGTTGTAGACATTCCTATAAGGGTTAATTTAAGAATTATCATATCCACTGTTTATTTATTGCTTACTGTTTTGAATATTGTTCTAAGAAATTAAATATATTTATTTCATTCAATCCTCAAAGCAACCCAATACAATAGGCTTTCTTTTTATCCTCATTTTGTAGGCGAGAAAACTGAGGCAGAGAGAGGTCAAATAACTAACATAATACCCAACACACAATACAGCTGGTACTTAAACCCAGGCAGAATAACTGCCAACATGGCTACAGAAATTTCATTAAGCAAAAATAAAGACATTTTTACAACTAAGTAGATCTGTTATAAACCAAGATAAAAATTAGTTGCTCCCAACTGATCAAATCCTGAACAACACGTGAGACCAGAGAAAAATTAATGATTCCTAGACCACAATTAGATGGTAACAACACATACAAATAAAAATAATTGCAGCAAAGATCACAAACATCAATAAAAGAATGGGCATTGGTGCAGCCATTCATCCACCAAGACCATTGGGCAGCCCTGTGAAGGCACATGGTGCTTTCCTTGAGGTCTGGGTACAAGCTTCCTATCATAACCCCACTCAACCATAGAAGCTCCCACGGTGCAAAGCATTTTTTCTAATTCATCTTTCTTATTGTATCTAATTTCCTTTGTGTAAACTCACACTGCAAGAGAAATGCTTGCAGTATTTCAGACAAGCTCTGTTTGGTATGAAAGGAGGTTATAAGCTTGAAGAAGTTCAGTAGATGGAGACTGACTGATTGACATAGATATCACTCTTACATGTTCCAAATAACCCAATGCCCCTTAGTGTATCCTGGCTTCCTTTCCCCTTGAAGCTACTTCCTCCTACCATTGTTACTCCGTTCAAGTGGTAAAATGGATCTCATCCGGGGAGTAGGGTCCCACTCCACAGGAGGCACCCTACCCTGCTTTTAGTAGCTGAGCACATGTAGTTTCTCGCTAGTATGAAACTTCAGGAAATGACTCTGTATGCTTTGTCCTGTTCATGGGCTAAGAGAGAAGGTGGCGGCTTCTACTTTCAAAAAAGTTCAGAGACAAAGTCCCTGGAGCTCTTCCTTGGCAGCTTTGAAAGGAACCTACGAAGTAGATACTCTACTTGACTGCTCCCCTCCTGCTCCTTCAGTGGGTTCATGCGGGGTCCTTGTCCAGGTAAATGAAAAGCTGCAGGGCTCTTTGATTCAGTGGAGGGAATTTGGCCTCCAGGTAAATGAAAAGCTGCAGGGCTCTGTGATTCAGTGGAGGGAATTTGGCCAAGAAGAAGTAGCACTCTGCAAGGATCTACGGGGACAGACCAAGGGCTATGTAAGCTGCTAACTTCCTGATGTCCTTCCCTAGAGAAGGGAGGCAGAGTTTCCACCCCTCAGCGGTTTTATAGACAGAGGTTCCTTGGTAACCCCCTTTTTTCAGGTTATCCTTTTCGGTCATCCCACCCCTGGTCGCCCTGCCTACGGTCTCAGAAAACAAGCTCTCTTAGCTGTGCTCCTCCCTAGAACACTGTCCTGACTGTGAGGGCCAGGTCAAACCCCCTCAGATCCTTGAGGCCAGAGAACAGGGAGAGCATGTATGCCTCAGGCTCTCTGGGTTAAAGGAGAGAGACAGGCTGTTCAGATCCAAGTACACAGAAGCCTGATTTGATCCTCAGGATAATTGTCTCTAGACTGTAACCAGGTGCTTTGTAATGACAGTCCAGCTGTGGGCAGAGGAGCTAGCAAAGATTGTCCCCCGAGGAACAAAGACCAGCCTGGCCCATTAGCACAAGTTTACACTAAAGGAAGAGACTAAGTTGAAGAAAGATATGCAGAGGCTGCTCTTACTGATTTTATTTGCGATCACCAGAAACAGGTCTTCTGCACTATCTGTGCAAATGGACTAAAAGGTGCAAAGTGATTAATGCAACAACAAAAAGTAAATAAACATATGTTCCCTTTTTTTTCAAAACAAATCCCTCAATCTTTTTATTTTTATTTATTTATTTATTTTTTAGAGACAAGGTCTCCCTCTGTCACCCAGGCTGGAGCACAGTGGCATGAACATAGCTCACTGCAGCCTGGAATTCCTGGGCTCAAGTGATCCTCCTGCCTCAGCCTCTCAACTAGCTAGGACTACAGGCACACACCACCACGCTCAGCTAATTTTTTAATTTTTTCAAAAGGTGAGGTCTGGATATGTTGCCCATGCTGGTCTCGAACTCCTGGCCTCAAATGCTCCTCCTATCTCGGCCTCCCAAATTGCTGGGATTATAGGCTTGAACTGTTTACCACAGCCAGTCATAAATCCTTGAATCTTATTTAAAAACAGATGATGCTAGAAGGTCATATTTTAGTAGAGGAAGTCTTGATGAGATAGAAACCTCCTTCAAGATTTCCACATTGACTCAAGAGGTAACTGCCTGACGCTTAAAGTTTCCCTCGATATCTCCTCTTACCTGTCTACTCTAGACCTTGAAAGGTGTAATATCTAGGAAAACATCCATAGCAAGGGAGATCAAAAGCTTCCCATCACCCAACTCTAGAGGGCTCTGCTGTCTTCTGTCTGAACAAAGCTGGAAAAGGAGAACTCTTCTCACTGTCAGTCAATGGGCAAGCTTTTGAGTCCCCCATGCAACCACATCTAGGGGGAATAGAGACACCTCTCATCAATCTGCAACTGCAGTACAGGAGGGGGCAATTCCAATGCCCCTTCCTCCCTGACCGCCTTTGTTGTCCCCACTGCTGCTGCACTCACCTGTCAATGGCGATGGCCAGCAGGGCATTGGTGGAGACATAGAGAGAGACAGTGCGCAGGTAGTTGACAGAGGTGCACAGGACGTGGCCGTGCTCCCAGGAGAGCTGGCGCACCACATAGTAGTCCATCTCAAAGGGGCAGCAGACAATGGCCACCAGGAAGTCAGAGATGGCCAGGTTGGCGATGAGCAGGTTGGTGAGGTTGCGCAGTTTCTTGTAGCGGACCAGGGCAGCGATAAAGATGAAGTTTCCAATGCCGCAGACCAGCATGATGCCCACCAGGGCCATCCCAATGACAATCTTGGCAGCAAAGAACGTCCTGGAATTGGTCACATCCTCATCTTCATCCAAAGGCATATCATAGTCGCTGTAGCTGAAGTTGAATGGGAAGGAAGTGGCATGGGCTCCATGAGGGTTGAGCACAGAAAGGAAGCTGGTGGAAGTGTTGGTGGCATTGTCATCCATGAACCCCATGGTGGTCTCCATCTGGCCAGGTGGTGCTGTGAGCAACACTGCTCAGAATTCCCCAGGGCAATGTCTGCAAGGCTGATGTCACCCCTCTCTGCTATCAGCCAGCTCTCCCTTAATGAGTCAGAATGTCTCTGCCAGCATCTTTGGGGTATGGTATCTGAGCTCCATTCTAAACCTTTGAAAGACATACAAACAGTTGGCTATATGTTGCAGTAAAGCTGGCCAAATTCAAAACCACCCTGTAACCTAAGCAGACCTATTAGCTCCCTGCCCAGAGTGAACATAGGGTGATGGAGTGGAAATAAAGGAACCAATGAGAGAAAATGAATGAAAACCACATACTCAATTAGGGAAGGGTGGATTGCTATAGAGACAATCAAGCACTGGCTCAGTTTATTTCTGTTCCACTGAAGACTCAGAAGTGTTGCACCTTTTCTCAAGGACAAAAGTTGGGAGTGTGGGGAGGCTGAAGAGAAAGAAATTTCTTTAAATGCTATTTAAGAGGGAGGGCTTTCAGACAAGCCTGTCTGCTCTCCTTGCTCTTCTGGCAGAACATGGCTCTAAAATCACAGAGCCATAGAGCAGCCACCTTCCTCACTATTTGCTGGACTTCCTGTTCCCACATTAGAACCTGCTATGACCCTAGAAGCTGGGAACAGCATTTATGAAGGCCTGTCCCCAGACAGAGGCTGTAGGGTAAAGTCACAGCCTGTGACTAACCAAGTGATGAGAATGGGGACGCTAGAGCAAAATTTTTCCTTGGCTGGTTGAGTGTCCAGGGGTAAATAGCTTAAACACTCAGAGGTTCAACTTCTGCCAGGCAGGAGATCAATAATGTCTGCACAGCCTGGAGCTCCCTGGAGGAGAGTGTTACACCCTAGAACTGCAAGGAGTTACTACTGCGCTCTCAGGCCTCCTCTGTCAGCTGCAAGGAAGGGGAGCGAAATCCTGATACAGGGACTCCACCACACCACATAATGGGGCTGGGGTGAGGGGTCTAGGGGGGTGTCAGCTGCCCTGGTGGGGACAGGGAGGCAGCCAGAGTCCCCCTGTCCCCTGCTCTCTCCCTGCAGTCCCTCCCAAACCCTGAAGACATCAGACCAGGGAGTGGGACGTAGAAGGAGGGCTGAGGTCTGGAGAGCACCCTAAAACAAATGTCAGGAGAACAGAGGGAAGAATGCAAGCCAGAGTTTTCCTGGGAAAGGAAGATGAGGAAGATGCCCAGGACCCCACCTCCCCACCCCCAGGAAAGCCTGCTCTCCATATTCCTCCGAGGCAAAACATCTGGAGCCTGTCTTCTTGGGGCCAAGTTTAAAGTCCCTCTGCGCCCCAGTGAGGCTCAGCCCCATTGCTGCCTCTCTGTCCTAACTCCTTACCCTGATTTTTTCCTTCCTCCGAGCTCTCAATTCTGTCTGGCTCAGCCCTTGCCCTCTGCCCACTCAGGGAGGAGAGGCAGAACTCAGCTGAAAAGAAGGAGGGGGGCAGGCTTGGAACCCAGGCGGGACAAGCCCCACTCCTTGCAGGTCCCGTGGGTCGCAGAGGCATGCCACTCCTGGAGGGGTACCCCTACAAGCATGCTACCTGAAGGGTCAAAGTAGTGTTTAAAAGCAAAGAATACAGAAGCTTCGGGGGTGGAGAGGAGGGCGTCACGAGATTAAGGATGATTGTCCAGAGGTCTTTTCTCCTTTATTCTCACCGTTCAGAGGGGAACCCCAATCCTACCCCCACCTGGTGACCTCTCGATCGCTAGAAGCCTCTCTCACAAACCCCTGCTGGCAAGTCCCCCGCCTGCTCCCAACTTTCTCCCTGGAGCCTGGGCAGCTTCCCCTAAGGACAGAGGAGGGGAAGCCTGGCTCTCCTGAAGAAACTCACAGGAGTGAATCCCTGGCAAAGTCCCCTCTTCACTCAGAAGCCGCCGCACCCCACGGCCGCAGCCAGTGCAGCGCGGGGTCCCTGGAGCATCCTCCCCGGGAGGGCGCGCTCTGTACCTGCGGCATCGCGGAGCCCGGCAGGCAAGGTCCGGGTTTCTTATTCCGGGGCCGGATCAGGAGACGCTTCTTCCAGAAGCCGGCAGGCGAAGGGCAGGTCCCCGCTCCCTTCCTCCTCTGCTCGGGGCTCTTTCCCGGCTCTGGCGGGGGAGTTACCTTCGCGCCGCCGCTGCAGATCCCCCGACCCGGCCCGCGCCGGACTCCCTGTCCCCGCCTCCGGTGGCCGTGAGGCGCCGAGGTGCGGGCTCTTGGCGAGGCGTGTCGCCAGCTGGGCTGCAGAGGCCGGGATCGCCCTGGGCGGGAGCGTCCGGATCGCCCTGGGCGGGAGCGTCTGGAGCTCCCAGGCGGCAGCTCGCGACGAGGACGCGCGGGAGGGAGCCGGGCCAGGCGGGCTGCGCGTTGCCCGGCTCAGGCTTCGGAACGGCCGCCTGGGGCAGGAACGGGGTCGCTGGGGCTCCGGGCAGGGCTCTGCGTCAATCCCGCGCCGGGGGCACCCATGCAGGGCGGCTGTGCCCGCCTCGGGGCACGGGGCTCCTCGGCGGCTCACCTTGGCAGCCCAGCGCCGTCGGAGTGGACGGACACGGCCCCGCTCAGCCGCGAGCTTGCAAAGGACCGAGGAGCCTCCCCCGCTGCTCACACACCTCCTCAGGGGACACTCAGGGGCCGGCCCCAACCTGGTCCCCTGGGCCAGCCTGAACGGACACCAGGGCCATCTTTGTTGCCAGCTGCCCTACCTCTCCGTAAAAGAGGCTCAGAGAAGTGCTTTCTGGAGAGCAAACAAGGGGGCGGGGTAGCACACTGGAGAGAGGAAGGACCCCCGCCCAGGGATGTCTGCTTAGAAGGCTGGGACGGACAGCGCTGACTTACAGAGCACAGTCTACCTTTACAAGCCCATAGATTCCTCAAAACGTGAGGCATATAGTCCCGCAATCCCACTCCAAGGTATGTAACCCCAAACTATTGAAAGCAGGGACACACATACACTGATGTTCATGGCAGCACTATTCACAGTAGCCAAAAGACAGAAACAACCCAAATGTCCATCAGCTAAGTGGATTAACAAAATACATATAGTATATACATGCAATAGAATATTATCCAGCTGTAAAAAGAAATGATAACAAGTGTTGGTGAGAATGTGGAGAAACTGGAACCCTGTGCACTGTCGGTAGGAAAGTAAAATGGTGAAGCCACTGTAGAAAACAGTATAGGGTTTCCTCAAAAAGTTAAAAAATACAATTACCATATGATCGAGTGTTTCCACTTCCGGGTGTCTAACCCAAAAAATTAAAAGCAGGGTGATACGGTTTGGCTGTGTCCCCACCCAAATCTCAACTTGAATTGTATCTCCCAGAATTCCCACGTATTGTGGGAGGGACCCAGGGGAAGGTAATTGAATCATGGGAGCCTGTTTTTCCCATGCTATTCTCGTGATAGTGAATAAGCCTGACGAGATCCTGTGGGTTTATCAGGGGTTTCCACTTTTGCTTCTCCCTCAGTTTCCTCTTGATGCTACCACGTAAGGAATGCCTTTCACCTCCTGCCTTGATTCTGAGGCCTCCCCAGTCATGTGGAACTGTAAGTCCAATTAAACCTCCTTTTGTTCCCAGTTTCCGGTATGTCTTTATCAGCAGTGTGCAAGTGAACTAATACACAGGGTCTCAAAGGCATGTTTGTACATCCATGTTCATAGCAGCATTATTCACCATAGCGAAAACATGGAAACAATCCAAATGTCCATCAATGATGAAGGGACAAACAAAATGCTCCACATACACACATACACTCACATGGGAACTTCCAAAAGTTTGTGGGAAAATGGAATTAAAAGATAAAAATACATAAACTTTAGCTCTCAGCATAAGCTCCATCACGTTCAAGATGCTTTTGTAATGATGGCAGACATTTAGTCCATCTCTAAAGGACTAAGGATCCTGGGAATTTTTCTATTTTATTTATTTATTTTTATTTTTTTGTTAAAACAGGGTCTGGCTAGGTTGCTCAGGCTGGTCTCAAACTCCTGGCCTCAAGCAATCCTCTCACCTCAGCCTCCCAAAATGCTGGGATTACAAGCATGAGCCACCAGGCCTGGCATGGGTCCTGGGAACTTAACCATGTCAATGAAGCCCTTTTTTTTTACATTATTAACGTAAGAAAAATAGCTGCTCCTTAAAGACTTTTTAAGATTAGGAAATGAAGTCAGAAAGAGCCAAATCAGGATGGTAAGAAGGATGGCTAATAATTGCCCTTGTTCAATTAGAGGAATGAGCAGTAGTATTGTCATGGTGGAGAAGGACTCTTTGGTGGAGCTTTTTCAGGCATTTTTTCTGCTAAAGCTTTGGCTAATTTCTCAAAATACCCTCATAATAAGCAGATATTTCATTCTTTGGCCCTCTACAGAAAATCACATGCAAAATACTGTGAGCATCCCCCAAAAACTATTGCTATGACCTTTGCTCTTGATTAGTTTGCTTTTGCTTTGTCTGAACCACTTCCACCTCTTGGTAGCCATTGCTTTGATTGTGCTTTGTCTTCTGGATCACACTTGTAAAGCCTGTTTTTTCTGTTATTACAGTTCTTCAAAGAAATCTTTCATGATCTTGATCCCGCTTGTTTCGTATTTCCATTGAAAGCTCTATTCTTGTCTACAGCTGATCTGGTCACAACAATTTTGGCACCCATCAAGTGGAAAGTGTGCTCAACTTTAATCTGCCAGTCAGAAATGAGTAAGTTCAACCAACTGAGGTGTCTGTGGTGTTGGTTATGTTTATGCTGTTAATCATCAGTCCTCTTCAATTAGGGCATGAATAAGGTTAATTTTTTTCTCACAAATTATGTGGATGGTCTGCTGCTGCAGACTTCATCTTCAACATCCTCTCGTCCCTTCCTGAAATGAGTATCCACTTGTAAACCGCTGATATCTTTGGGTCATTGCCCACAAAAAGCTCTTCGTAAAGTATCAGTGATTTCACCATTCTTCCACCCAAGCTTCACCATAAATTTCATGTTTGCCGTTGCTTCAATTTTTCAGAATTCATGTTCCTCTGAGAGGGGCTCTTTTCAAACTGATATCTTATCCTTCTTAGTGACTCAAACTAGATCCTGTTCAGACATGTTGTAACAAATGAGTACGAGTTTATTTGGGTGCAAACAAAAATTGAAATCCATGCTTACTTTTTTCATAATATGCATGCTCCCCAAATTTTTGAAGCCCCTTCATGTGTATGTGTGTGCGTATATACACAGAATGCAATATTATTCAGCCTTCAAATGGAATGAAATTCTGACACATGCTACAACACGGATATACCTTGAAGACATTGTGCTAAGTGAAATAAGCCAGTCACAAAAGACAAATACTATATGATTCCACTTACATGAGGTAGCTAGAGTAGTCAAATTCATAGAGACAAAAAGTAGGATGATGGTTGCCTAGGTCTTGGGGAAGAAGGAATGGGGAGCTATTGTTTAATTGGTACAAAGTTTCAGTTTTGCAAAATGAAAATAATTATGAAGATGGAGAGTGGTAATGGTTGCACAACAATCTGAATGTACTTAATACCACTGAACTGTATATGTAAAAACTGTTACAATGGTAAATATTTTTTTTCACTTTACCACAATGAGAAAATGGGGAAAAAAGGAATGGTGTACTGACACATGCTACAACATGGGTGAATCTTGAAAACATGATGCTAAATTAAATAAGCCTATCATAAAAAACAAATATTGAATGATTCCACATATATAAGATACCTAAAATAGGCAAATTCATAAAGTCAGAAGGTAGAATGATTGTTACCAAGGGATGAGGGGGAGGGGGAATAGGAGATTATTATCTGATGGGTTCAGAGTTTCCGTTTGGGATGATGAAAAAGTTCTGGCAATGGATAGTGGTGATGGTTGCACAACATTGTCAATGCATTAATGTCACTGAATTGTAACTTAAACAGTTAACATGGTGAATTTTATGTTATGTGTATTTTACATATGCAGCCATGCATCACTTAGCAATGAGGATATGTTCTGAGAAATGCATCATTAGGCAATTTCATTGTGTGACTATCATAGAGTGTACTTAACACAAACCTAGATGGTATAACCTACTATACACCTAGTCTGTATGGTATAGCCTAGTGCTCCTAGGCTACAAATTGGAACAGTATGCTACTATACTGAATACTATAGGCAATGGTAATATAATGGTAAACATATCTAAACATAGAAAAGGTACAGTAAAAATATGGTATTATAATCTTATGGCACCACCATCATATATGTGGTTCATCTTTGATCAAAACGTCATTATGTAGCCCATGACTGAATGTATCTCCTATAGCATAGCTCGGACTTCCTTAGCAAGGCATCCACAAAGGCCTATACGATGTTGGCCTCCAGTTTTCTGTAGTGGAAAGAGAGTGCTGCCTGGGATCTGGATCTTTAGTACATTTTGCCACTATCAAAATATACTAAAGGTACAAAATGTATATGACTTTAGGCAAGTCATATACCTTCTCTGGGGTTCTCTTTCCTCATTTACAAAATGAATGAGTTGAGCTTGCACTAGGAAATCACTGCCAAGTTCCAATACTTCATGCAGTTTCTTCCCCTGGCCCATATACCTCCCTGGACACTTTCTCCTGTCATTTGCAAAAATGTCACAGCTGTTACACATCTCTGAGGCTCATGTCACCTGGAAGGTGGAAGAGGACAGTGGGAAAGAGCATAAGATAAGGAGTACCGCCTCCTTTCTACCTAGCTCTGCACATGTGAACGGTGTCACCTTGGGCAGTGTGGTAACCAAAACCTAGCCTTTCTCTTTTGAAATTAGGAATTACAATAGCTTCTACTTCATAAGGTTGTGGTGAGGATTAAATAAAATATGGTGGGTTAAATGCTTAGCACAATGCCTGGCACCTAGCAGGCACCTGAGAAATGCCAGCTATTACTATTCCTTGGTGATTCTTTCTATATCTGGCCTCGTATGGGGTCGTAACTAATCTTGAGACTTTGCTCACATGTCATTTCTTCCAGGAGGCACTCCTTAATTCCTCCAATGGTTTTCATGTCTTCCTTACGTCTTGTTGGTTCTCTTTAAATGCACTTTTGTGCACCAATTTGCTTTCCATCTTGCACTCTTTCTGAGAAGGAGCTATGTCTCATTCATTTTTGCATCCTATTCTGCAATGTTTTTCAGACTTGCCTGATTATATGAATTATCTGGAGTGGTAGTTGAACCTACTGATTCTTAAGTCCCACTTCAAACCAAGGGAAGGGGCCTAGAAATCTAAATGTTTAAGCAGCACCCCAAGTGATTTTCTTTCTTTAGAGTCAGGGTCTCACTCTGTCACCCAGGTTGGAGTGCAGTGGCACAATCATAGCTCACTGCAGCCTCAACCTCCTGGGCTCAAGCCATCCTCCCACCACAGCCTTTCAGGGTAGCTATGACTGCAGGTGCATGCCATTATGCCCAGCTAAGTTTTTCAGGTTTTTTTGTAGAGATGTGGCCTCATTATGTTGCTCAGGCTGGTCTCGAACTCCTGGCTTTAAGCAACCCTCCCACCTTGGCCTCCCAAAGTGCTGGGATTACAGGTGTGAGCCACTGCACCCAGCTCCAGGCAATTATTATTATCAAGTGAGTTTGAGAATCTAAGAACTTACAACAGAGCTAGGCACAAGATACAAAACGTTCATTTGTCATTCCATGTAGCATATGTCTTCCTGACTGCATTTGTCTCTACTCAAAAATAAAAAACAATACTGGTTTGATATGAATGATTGTGATAAAATTCATAGCCTCTAGAATTGATGAGGCATCACGGAATGCATTCACTATCTAATACTGCATAACAAATCATCCCAAAACATAGCAACTTAAAACAAATATATTATCTCATAGATTCTGAGGGTTAAGAATCTGGGAGTGGCTGAGTTGGGTGATCCCAACCTCTAGGTCTGTCATGATATTGGAGTCAAGCTATCAGCCAGGGCTGCAGTCTCATCTGAGTGTTCAAGTGAGGGAGGATGCACCTCAAAGCTTACTTATGTGGTTGTTGCCAGGCCTCAGTGTTTTACTGGCTATTGCTGGAGACTTTAGTTCCTTACCATGTGGGCATAGCTCTAGGTTTCCTGGGTGACTTCACAATGCGGCAGTGAAACTCTCCTACGTGTGCTATATGCTGTTCATCACAAAACAAACCCTGGTACAATGTGGAAAGGGAGCCACACAGGTGTGTGAATGCCAAGAGGTGGAACCACTGGAGGCTAACATGGAGGTCATCTTGGAGGCTGACTACCACACAGAACTTAGAATTTTCCTTTTCCACTTCAAAGATCTGGCAGGAAATGGTAGTTGAGGCTAACAATGAATTTAGCCACAATGAAGATACGTTTGACCTTCAGTGTAGGGAGGTGGTGGATAACTTCTCGGGACAGAGTCAGGAAGGGCATAACCGGGGTGATTTATTGGCCTAGCACCTCCTTAGGGGAAGTGGAATAATGGGAGTGGATGCAGTCTGTCAGGCTCTCTGCACTGCAAGCCCTGCTGGGGACTCAGAACGGTTTGGGTGACTGCATGTTATTTTCTGTCCCTCCCACCTCCTCCTCTATCTGAGAAACAAGCATCTGTCTGGGGCCCTCTGAGGAGTTAATCCTATTAGAATTTTAATGATTTGTCTCTGTGACAGAGTTAAACCAGGGCTAACTTGGCTTAAAGCAAAATCTGGCACTCATTTTTTTTTTTTTTAAGAAAGGAAAACAAAATCTGATCCTGGCACATGCCTCTAATCCAACCCTTGGGGAGGCCAAAGCAGGAGATTCGCTTGAGCCCAGGAGTTTGACACCAGCCTAGGCAACATAGTAGGATCTGTCTCTAAAAAAAATACAAAAATTAGTAAGGCGTGGTGGAGCACGCCTTTAGTCCCAGCTACTCTGAGGTAAGAGAATCACTTGAGCTTGGGAGGTCAAGGCTGCTGTGAGCTGTGATGGCATCACTGCACTCCTGCCTGGGTGACAGAGCAAAACCGTCTTTCTCTCCCCCCGCCCCACACACACACAATCTGGAACTCCATTGATAAAATTGTTTAACTTGTTGCCCTAAGGATGCCAAAAGCCTGGAAATTTTCTCTGTGATTAGATTCTGTGGGCCCAAGAGTCAGAAGTGCCTTGCCTCACCCTGCCCACAGAGAGATCCATAATATCTGAGAGAATTTGCTATCCCAGGGAGTCCTGGCCACACGTGATCAAAATAACTGGTTTGGGAAGTACTTCCTTTGCAGAGGTTCATCCACTCTAAATGATGTCCATGGGCTACTTTGGATTTTTTTCTTTCCTATTCCACTGGCAAGAATCATCCCAAAGGCCTTTTGAGTTCTCGCTTTTTCATCATTTTATTCTATAATTATGCCCCTTGGGTTCAGACGTGGACATTTTTAACATCTTAGGGCTTAGGGCTTTTCTTCAGCCATGCAAGTCCTGTTGCATGTGTCGACTCTAATACCTCAGAGAAACTCGATTCAAGGAGGGCCTTAGAGGTCATTCGGTGAACATGCATGTTGAGAAAGGAGCCAACAGATTTTCAAACGGGGAAACTACCGGCCCAATGTACCGGTGGATTTCAGAGCTCGCATAAGAATCCCAGTCTCAGAGCTCCCATAAGAATCCAGCCCCCGCCCTGCACTCCTCTGGCCCACCATGCTCACAATGCATATCTACCTGTCCTCACTTTGCCCTCCTTTCCATGATCCTTGGCTCCAGAGTCCAGCCACAGTTTCTCCTGTCTGACAAATTTACTAAATCAGCTTATTTTCTGCTTTCATCAGATTTGAACTCCAGCATACACTCATCTAATGCTATGAAAGAAATAAAGGATTCCTGGAAGATGCCAGAGCTGGCTTAGAACTCATCCTGCTTCCTTTTCCAATTACCTCTGCAGCGTGCGAGCCAGTAAGCTTGACTGGTCTCCCAAAGCCCACTCAGCTGATCCGGTGGGCCGCTCTCTGCTGGTCCTCTCCACTTCCCCACACCCCAAGGAGGAGGTATGAAGGAAGACTCAGATAGGTACAGACACACGCCCCTCCTTCCTGATGGGGACCCAAACACCTAAACAATGTTAACTCTTTCATTAGTTTCACTCGCCTAATTCTGCCCCAAACATATTTTCCATGGGATTATTTTGGAAGTTGGCAAACTATTCATATGTTTATCAACAAGAATAAACAGGTAATAGCTTACAAGAATGTTTTGTAAAAGAAGAGCATTAGGAGGAAATTTGCCCTATTAATATCAAAATATAAGAAATAATGAGTGTAAATATAAGATGTACCTGGTGTCAAGATCCGGATATGCCTGGGCGTGAAGTCTGATAGCTCAGTGGAATCGCCATTCTGGAGTATTTTATATGGAGACAGTTGAGGAGACAGGTGAAGGTCAGAGACAGAGCCCACACATGGTGTCTGCCTCAGATTCTGGTCTTCCTGACTAAGTCCAGTGGTGGCAGGGTCATGGGCAGTGGGACTCTGGGAGACAGGAGAACACAGGTAGTGCTGCTTGGGGCTTCTGGTGCAGAGGGGGAAGGAAAGTCCCCTCCTTGAGAAATATGGCCTGATTTTAATGCACTGAAGGCCACGTGAAATGCCACAGTGCCCTGGCACCTTGAGGTCACAGCTTTTGAAGGCATGAGATGGGTCTTTGCTACTGACTTGGTGCAGTCTTAGGGAAAGTAGCGCAAGCAGGCCCCCAAAAGTCTTTATAAGAGGATGTGTTGAGGGGTTGGGCAGGAGGGAAAGAATGTAACAGAATTATTTAAAAACATGGATATAAACTCCCCAGAGACTCCCAGTGATAAGGGATTGGGATTTTCTGCATTATGTAGATGGAAGCAGGAGTCAGTTATCTCTGTGTGTAGGTCCGTGGTACCCTCAGTCCAGGGAATCCTGGTGAGACTGGAGTTGCAGGAGAATGCATTAGAGAAGAAGCAGCCTATACTACCTGTATCACAGAGTACAACACTTAAAGGTAGCAATTTGGTGATTCATATCCATTGTCTTTTGAGTAATATTTCCCACTATCATTCTTTGATACGGATAGTCCATGCTTACAGTTTCTTCTAAGTAAAAAAATTAAAGAGGTATTCATATATAAGACTGTAAATGTTAGAAAAACCCCAAATCATTCAGAATTGGGTTAAATAGTGTATTAGTTTCCTAGAGCTGCCATAACAATGGAGTGACTTAACACAACAGAAATGTATTCTCGCATATTTCTAGAGGCTGAAGTTCAAAATCAAGGTATCAACAAAGGCATGCTTCCTCTGAGCTCTGGGCAGAACCCTTCTTTGTCTCTTCCTAGCTCCTGGGGGTGCCATCCACCTGTGGCCTTCCTCCGCGTACAGCTGCATCGCCCCTGTCTTCAGATGGCCTCTTTCTCTTACAAGGACATGGGTCATATTGAGTTATGACCCACTCTAATGACCTCAACTTAACCCAATTACATCTGCAAATACCCTATTTCTAAATAAGGTTACATTCACAGGTACTAGGGGTTAGGATTTCAACATAGTCTTTTGGGGAATACAGTTTAACTTATGCCAAGTATGTTATGATACATATATGTGTGATGGAACACCACATAGCTATCAAAAATGGGGCTGTGAGGCTGGGCGGGTGACTCATGCCTGTAATCCCAGAACCTTGGGAGGCCAAAGTGGGAGGATCGCTTGAGCAGGAGTTCAAGACCAGCCTGGGCAACAGAGTGAGAGCCTATCTCTACAAAATTGTTTTTAAAAGAATGGGATCTATGCTATTAAATGTCAGTATAGGAGGACAGTGGCTACTCTTGGGAGAGAAAGGTGACTAGAAAGAGACATTCAGGAGGCTTTTCAGGTGCTAAAAATATTCTGTTTTTTGATCTGGTAGCTCATGACAAGGAGGTATTCAGCTGGTAAAAATTCACCCTGCTGTATACTTATGAAATGTGTACTTTTTTGAAAGTATAGTAGATCTCAAGGAAACGTTCATTAGGACACGGTGCTGCAAAGGTATATTGATTGGCATGGAAAGATAGTCACGATATATTACGGGATGGAAAAACATCAGGTTGCAAAACCATATTGCAATATGATTCCATTTGGAGGGAAATGTATCCATAGAAGAAAAGGTCTGGAGGGACAAAGCAAACTGCTAACATTCACTCAGAGTGGAAAGAAAATGCAAGTGTTTTTCTCGTCCTTTCAACTATCTGCATTTTCTGATTTTTAAAATGAACTTATATTATTTGTGTAATGCTTTAACTCTCATAAATGAAAAAAGGATGAAGTAACTAATAATAAATAGAGGACTCAACTCTTAGGGAAAATTATTTATTTAGATTTTCTCTCATGCTATAGTCCAAAATGCAATGTGGAAAGATTAAAGGGTTAAATTCCAAAAGTCAAAAGCTGGGGAGCTAAACATTGGATACTGATGGCTATAAAGATGGCAACAATAGACACGGGGGACTACTCAGGGGAAGGGAGAGAGGGGGACAAGGATTGAAAAACTAACTGTTGGATACTATGCTCAGTACCTGGGTGATGAGATCATTCATACTCCAAACCTCAGCATCACACAAAATACCTAGGTAACAAACCTGCCCATGTACCCCCTGAATCTAAAATAAAAATTGAAAAAGAGAGAGAGAGAAAGTAGAGTATGTAACAGCTTTACACTATGTCAATATAGATAATAACTATTTAAAAACTGAGAGATAATGAAGAGGGCATATTCAAAAATATTTCAGACTGTTTTCAATAATCATATGGGGATTGATAGTATTAATATTTGTATTTCAGGAGTATTGTATATGTATTTTTGAATAAAGCAAATAAATAATTATGATACTTCCTATTATTATCTATAGTTGGAATCCAAGGGTCTTACTATGGAGGAAAGGAAATAAGCAATTGAAAAAAAAGTCAAAAACTGAAAGAAAATATTGATAAACATTTATCTGATTTCAGAGTGGTGAAGGCTTTACTATGCACAAAAAAAGCAATAGATTATATTCCAAAGGAGAAGATTGATAGATATTTCTGCATTAAAATGCAAACATTTGGAAGTCAGCAAAATCATAAACAAAACTAAAAGATAAATGTCAAACCCAAAAAAAATATGATGGATATAGCAAACAAAAGGTCAACATCCTTAATATATGAAGTAATGTTACATTCTAATAAGGAAAACACTCATATCTCAAAAGACAATGGGCAAAATACACAAATAGACAATTAACACAAAATAAATACAAATAACAATACAATGTATTTTAAAATGCTTATCTTTACCAGTAATCAAAGAAATGCCACCTAAAAACAATGAGATACCATTTTGTCTATCAAGTTAGCCAAGAACATAAACTGTAAACATGGAAACTGGATTAGTGAATTGAATTAAGAATTCAAATAAACACTGTAACTTTGGAAGTATCTTGAGCTTTTTCAGATTCTTCAGCCTTTACTGCATTCTGCCTAGAGTTGCTTTGTAATAAATCTAGGTTGATGCAGTTGATTCCACACAACCATTTTCCCCTTTTCTGATTTTAGATCTGCCTGACATTTGTTTGAGCTGCTGCCAGGAAAACAGTCAGAGGTACCGGGCCAAGAAGGTGACATCATTTGAAGTCAAGTCAAGTGTCTGAGTTCTGTGCTGACCGCCTGTACTTGAAAAGAGACATGCTCAGGAGAAGGATGAATTCAAATTACACCTAGGAGATTTTACTTTAAAATGCGTAATTAGTCTTTCATGTGGTGTATTGAATAAATTTCAAAACTTGTCTTACATTCAGATCATTTTCAAGTTGCATGTGCATGTGTATGTGTGTGTGTGCATGCATGTGTATATTGGGAAGGAGTGAAATACATGCCAAAGCCCCTTTTATTACTGGCCAAAAGCCAGGCTGTAGCAATACAGTTGGCCTAATGAAACCACCTTCAATGTTTATTAACCAGTAATTACAGAGCACTGTGAAAACGAGAGGACTGGGAATATTGAGACAAAAAGGACTAAGACTTTCTGTAAAGTATGTAAAGTAGAATGGAAGCCACCACTTAGTAAGAAGGGTTTGAATAAAGAGTTGAAATTGCTAAGACAAAAATACCACTTTGTATGGAAGCACCTTGCCCTCAACTCCCTGGCCTTTTCATCAGCTTTTTCCTTGTCGATGCTGTCATCTTATCCAAGCTCAGGTGTGTCCAGGGCTCCTGCTCACCTGTGCCTGCTTTCTCTCTTTCTCTTTCTCTTTGTCACAGCATCAAATACTATCTTCATGAACAAGGATGTGTGTGTGTGTGTGTGTGCGTGTAATGTTTAACTCGGCATAGTACATGATGTATATATTTTCAATGTGATATAATTTGGATAGGTGTCCTCTCTAAATCTCATGTCAAATTGTAATCCCCCATGTTGGAAATGGGACCTAGTGGGAGGAAACTGAATCATAGGGGTGAATTTCTCACGAATGGTTTAGCACCATTCTCTTGGTGCTGTTCTTGTGAGATTTGGTGCTTTAAAGTTGTGTGGCATCTCCCCACTCCCTCTTACTCCTGCTTTTGCCATGTGATGTGCCAGAGTGCTCCCCCTTTGCCTTCTGCCATGATTGGAAGCTCCTGAGGCCCCCCTAGGAGCACACGCCACTCTGTTCCCTATAGAGCCTGCAGAACTGTGAGCCAATTAAACATCTTTTCTTATTACCCAGTCTCAGGTATTTATTTAGAGTAATGCAAGAATGGCTTCACACACACACACACACAATGTCTTCAAGTTTTGTCTGTAGTCACAAAAGTCATATGTATTGTAAAAACAATTTCAAACCATATGAAATATAAAAAACAAAATTTCTCACACCTTTATTACTAATTCCACTATTAGCAGTTTTGGTATAGGTATTTTTCTAAATACAGAGTGTCTTAAAATAACCTTTTACAGAATTCATTAATGTGATATTAGCATATGTTCATATATATTTTAACCAATACAGATAATAAACTGTAAAGTCACAAATGCTCAAGATACCCACCTCAGTGCCAGAGCATTAGTTTAACATTCTAGTGGCTTACATGGTTAGTTAGAATACTTTGTATGGGCCAGACATGATTCTTTGTGACATCAGGTTAGAGATGTCTTCTGTACTGCCAAATTTGCCAATTTACTACACAAGAACAAACAGAACAGGGCTTAGGATATGAAAGTGTCTTGGAGAATCTTGGCGTTTTCCTGGGAGGACACTGTGAAAACAAGAAGGTAGTTCTTATAATGGGTTGACTTACAGGCTCAGTGGCATTGACACCAAATGGTAAAAGGAATGTGATCTCATTTTGTACGTCAGTGAAGTGAACAAATTGGGGGATTTTGTGTGTGTGTGTGTATATATATATATATATCAGGGAGATTGTATATACATATGTTATATACTTCTATTAAACAAAAAAGTAGGTTGGGCACAGTGGCTCACACCTGTAATACCAGCACTTTGGGCAGCCAAGGCCTGGTTGTTTGAGCCCAGGAGCTTGAGACCAGCCAGGGCAGCATAGCAAGACCTTGTCTCTACTGAAAATAAAAACTAGCTACTTGGAAGGCTAAGGTGGGAGGATTGCTTGAGCCTGGGAAGTTGGGGCTGCAGTGAGCCTTGATCACACCACTGCACTCCAGCCTGGGTGACAGAGCAAGACCATGTCTTAAATAAATATATATGTTATATTATTTTCTGCAGTTTGCTTTATTTACTTATCAATGTGTATCCTGTCTATACCATTGCATATATAATGGATTTACCTCTTTCTTTTTAGTTGCTCAATGTAGTGTTCCATTGTATGGATATACCTCAATTTCTTACCTACTGGTAAATATTGATTTGCTGCCAGTTTTTAAAGATTATCAACTGTGACTCCACAACTCGTCTTCTCTAATACTTGTTATTACCAGTTGTTTTACTGTTGTGGGAAGATAGGGACCCCGAATGGAGGGACCAGCTGGAGCCACGGCAGAGGAACATAAATTGTGAAGATTTCATTTTAATATGGACATTTATCAGTTCCCAAAATTAATACTTTTATAATTTCTTATGCCTGTTTTTACTTTAATCTCTTAATCCTGTTATCTTCATAAGCTGAGAATGTACCTCACCTCAGGATCACTATTGTGTTAACTGTACAAATTGATTGTAAAACATGTGTGTTTGAACAATATGAAATCAGTGCATCTTGAAAAAAAATATAATAACAGCAATTTTCAAGGAACAAGGAAAGACAACCATAAGGTCTGACTGCCTGCAGGGTTGAGCAGAATAAAGCCATGGTTTTCTTCTTGCAGAGAGCCTATAAACGGATGTGCAAGTAGGGAAGATATCACTAAATTCTTTTCCTAGCAAGGAATATTAATAATTAAGACCCTGGGAAAGGAATGCATTCCTGGGGGGAGTTCTATAAACGGCCGCTCTGGGAGTGTCTGTCTTATGCGTTTGAGATAAGGAATGAAATATGCCCTGGTCTCCTGCAGTACCCTCAGGCTTATTAGGGTGGGGAAAAAACCCCACCCTGGCAAATTTGAGGTCAGACCAGTTCTCTGCTCTCGAGCCCTGTTTTCCGTTGTTTAAGATGTTTATCAAGACAATATGTGCACAGCTGAACATAGACCCTTATCAGTAGTTCTGAATTTGCCTTTGTCCTGTTTCCTCAGAAGCATGTGATCTTTGTTCTCCTTTTTGCCCTTTGAAGCATGGGATCTTGTGACCTACCCCCTGTTCTTGCACCCCCTCCTCTTTTGAAATCCTTAATAAAACTTGCTGGATTTAAGGCTCAGGTGGGCAACATGGTCCTACCAATACGTGATGTCACCCCTGGAGGCCCAGCTGTAAAATTCCTCTCTTTGTACTCTTTCTCTTTATTTCTCAGCCAGCCAACACTTATGGAAAACAGAAAGAACCTAAGTTGAAATATTGGGGGCGGGTTCCCCCGATATTTTACAAAGGATGTTTTTCATTTATTACGTTGATCAAGCTATAAGCCTTAGGATTGACCTTCTATGGTAGAATTGTAGTAGCCTGATGGTGAGTGGGAGAGATATTTGGGGAACAGACTGATCTTTCCTGGAGCTACAGAAGTTGGAAAATTAGTTAACTCCTTGCTAATGAACCACTCTGCACTCTCCTCCAGTCTGCTAAGGCTTCCCTGAAACTGCCCCCATTCTGCCAGTCTGCTGGGTAAGGCAGTGCAGAGTGCAGCCCATACAAAATGCAGACAGGAAGATGAATGGGGACTGAAGCTCAGCCCATGTGCCTCATGCCATGCTGATAGATAGCCTTTCTGTGGCCCGAGTTCATCTAGTAGAAGGGGCATCCTTTTCTAGTTTGCACAGAGACATATTAAGCACTAGCAGTGGCCCAGATTTTGTCCATTGGATCAATACTTGGCCTTATTTTAAAGCCTGTGCTTTATCAATTCAGCTTGCCAGTGGATGATCATTTACATCTCATTTTACATTCCACCATTCTATATTCACTTAAATGAAGAGGACCCAACATGGAAGGCTAGAGTACACAGTTCACATTTCTACTCGTTATCTGTATGATGGTGTGAAACTTGCTTACCTTCTCTCAGATTCAGCTTTGGCATAATCTCTAAGGTCCCTTCTAGCTCTAAAACTGCATGATTCTTTGTGACACCAGGTTAGAGATGTCTTCTGCACTGCTAAATTTGTTCCAAATCAATGAAGTGAGTTCCCTGGGCTTTGAGACACAGCCCCTATCACTGAATGAGTGGCCTAGGAGAAGCCAGAAAGCCTACTTTGACACCATTAACCACACTCTCACTGAAGCCGATCAGCTTTGCTCCCATATGCTTTAGACCCTGGTGCATATTCCTGAAGATGTCCTTTGGTTGCCACAGAACCCATTCTGCTCCACCTTCTGAAACTTCCAGTGGTAGTCCTCAAGCTTGTTTTTGCAGATGAAAGATGGTTTGGGAAGATTTCAGGTTCTTCTCAGAGACCTGTTTGATGTGGACCACCTGTTGCTTGCCTGCACTATTGGCAAGCATTAGGTACTTGTCAACGTCATCCTTTGGGCTGTTGGTACAATGTCAATCTATTCTGTCAGCTTCAGGATCTCCTCTTGCAGGGCAGCAATAGCAGCTTTTGTGCACTGAGCACCTAGTGTTCCATCGATGAGACCTGGGTGGATGTTGCCATCAGTGTTGGTGGACACTGCACTAGAGATCTGAGCAAGAGTGCTTACTTCCAAATGCTCCATCTATTCTGCAGTTGCCTCCTCTCCTGATTGACATGTAGCAGCAGCACAAGCTATTTCCACCACAGCTGAGCTGGTAGGAGCATTAGTCACAGATGAAGAAAACCTAGGTTGGCTTGACTGCTTGATAGCTGCCATATCCTGGCCGTATACCCTACTGATTTTGAGACTTTCCTTTGAGGCCTCTGGCTTGCCCTGCCTGCCATAAAAATTTGTCTTGTCTTCATCTTGAATGGTACTTGGATTTGTTGCAGGAACTGATTCAGAGCTGTGGGGTGGGAGGTGGGGCTACTCTCAGTCTCAGCACATGTGTTCTGGCTTTCCAGATCTATTTCAGGTTCTGGATCTGCCTGAATTTTCTGCACATCACATGGAGACATGGATGACTTCTTGGGCTGCTGCCAGAAGAGATGCTTCAAGCCTTGGCCAATCACATTAAAGTACTCCAGAGCACTATGGGTCATTCTAGACAATTTGTTTTCTGACTCTGTCTGCTTCCTGGCCTTTGCATCTGCAAAGTAGAAAATGTGGCATTTTCTACTTTGAAAACTTTTCATTTTCTTGATGATATTTTCCCCTTATCTCTCCTCCTCTAATTAAGGAAAGACTGCAACCAAACTATCCCTCCCTGATACAGGACACTGTACCAATAGAGCAGTCCCTCCTCCATCCTACCTCAATCACACCCTGTGGTTCTTTATAACACAGTATATCTTTGATGCTAACTGTCACCAGGAAACCTTTCTCCTTAACCCAATGAAACAATAATCGTCTTTCACTAATGTCTTAGCCGTGTGATTGTGTGACTAGATTATACTTGGAGTCAGTAACAGAAAACAAACCACATACACTAATTATAAAATCTTTGGATCTGTTTTTAATTCCATGCAACTGATGTGGTAAAGTGACAGAAGATGAGCTAAACACAAATCTGGATTTTGTTCTGTCACTATCTGGGTGGCCTTAAAAATGCTACTTGGCCTCTCTGGGTCTCAATTTTCTCACTCATTCAGAAAAATATCATTTGATTACCCTCTATGTGCCAGGTCCTGTGTTAATCACAGGTAAAGAAGACATGATCTAGACTCTGTTGGTAGGGAAGATAAATAAAAAGAAAGAAAAGAACAGAAGGGAGGGAGGGAGGGAGGGAAGGAAGGAAAGAAGGAAGGAAGGAAAGAAGGAAGGAAGGGAGGGAGGGAAGGAGGGAGGAAGGGAGGGAGGAAGGAAGGAAAGGTGAGAGGGAGGGAGACAAGGAGAAAGGGAAGGAAGGAGCAAGTAAATATATAATAATAAATTTTAACATAAAATTTGTGCTTTTCAAACTTTTACTTTAGCCAAAATACTATTTGTTCAAGACAAATCTAACGTAGCAGCACTGACTTGCAAAATACGGCATGGCCCCACCATGTTGATCTCTACCACTCTCTCCTATGGCACTCTGCCCTTGTTCATCCCACCTCTGCCACTGTGGTCTTGTCATTCCTGAATCATGCTAACTCACTCCCAACTCAGGGTCTTGCCACCTGCTGCTTCCCCTGCTTGGAACATTTCCCCCATATCTTCAGATGACCTGACCTTCATTTCATTCATATCTTTGCTTAAATATCACCTCAGAGAGGACACCTCTGATAACCCTATCTAAAATCATTTTGTGTTCCCCAGTGCCTTCCTACCTTGTTCTGCTTTATTTTTTTATCATTTATTTCCACTTGAAATTATATGTTTTTTCATTTTTATTTTCTCTCTCATCAATGTAAATTCCATGACAAGGTCTCTGCTTTCCTAATTTCTCTTTGTAACTTCTTTTATCAGGCCAGACTCATAGTAGGAGCTCCATTAATATTTGTCAAATGAACATTAGGAGAGAGATGACTAAAGGGGGAATGGTTCTGTTGAAACATTGAGATAGGAAGCTAAGTCCTGTGCAATCTATTTCCTCCCCATGTAGCCCCTGAGGACACTTTCAGGTCTAACACTGCAGGACACAAATTATTTCATCAGGAAAGAGGTCTTAAACATTAAACTTTATTTTTTATTCATTTTTAAATTCCAAAACATGTACTCTGTTCTAGAATAAAAGCTATGCTATGTGCTTGGTCTCAAGGAGACAATAACATTATCTATTCTGTTTGGAGTTTATTGTCTAGCTATAAAAAATTAATCTAAATTAATGGGATGATATGATAGAGAAGCTGGGGCACACAGAAGACAGAGTAACTGCCTGCAGGACACCTTACATTTCTCCTCCATAAAAGGGATGTTTACTTCTCAGCTACAAAGTTTACTATAAGAATAAAATGAGAAGATGGATATGAAAGTGTTTGAAATACTGCAGAACATCCTCAAAAATCCAGTGTGAGTATGATTATTCAAGATTAAATAGAACATCAGGAAAAATGGCAGAGTAAGAAACTCAGGAGTTTTGCCCCCTATGAAAGCAACAAAAAATAAACTGTCAAAATCTTTCAACATTAACTTTTTTGGAACTCTGGAAATTAGCCAGAGATTGAGTAATATAAGAACTTATTCAAAAAAAACTAGGTAAGGGCCAGGCGTGGTGGCTCACACCTGTAATCCCAGCACTTTGGGAGGCCAAGGCAGGTGGATCACAAGGTCAAGAGATCGAGACCATCCTGGCTAACATGGTGAAACCCCGTCTCTACTAAAAATACAAAAACTAACCAGGTGTGGTGGCATGTGGCATAGTCCCAGCTACTCAGAAGGCTGAGGCAGGAGAATCGCTTGAACCCAGGAGGCGGAGGTTGTAGTGAGCTGAGATGGCACCACTGCACTCCAGCCTGGTGACAGAGTGAGACTCCGTCTCGGAAAAAAAAAAAAACAAAACAAAACTGTAAGAACAACAAGCATTGTGGGGTTTCAATTTACCCTAGTGCAAGCCCTTCTCCCAGGCCCAGCAGTAGTCTTGGAAATAATAGCCTATATTCCCAGCACCACTGGAAGTGGATTAACTGTATTCACAAAAAATTTGTCATTATGTAACCTATCTGGTGACTTCCTGGAAGACTGCTTGAAAGCCTTATCTTTATCTTACTTGACTCAATACTTACCTACTGTTAAAGCTAAAGCTGCTAACCAGGGGGGCATTTGTCAAAAACAATTATAGGCAAAAGTTTTAATCATTATTGCCAAAGGCAATGAATAATAGTTGGGCAAACAATAGACTGACCTCAAAACTTGAAGAGAAAGAATGGGGAATGAAAAGCTTTAAAACACTTCCACATATTTCTGGGAATCTAGAAAGCTACATGCTTGCCCAGAGCTGTGCACATACTCAAGAAAGACGTAAAAAGGCTCTTACTTTTGGCTGACCCTGAGACTCTGTACAAAAAGAAAGTGAAGCCCAAGGCAAAGTTGTAAGCTGTGCTAGGCTGAGTTTTGAAGGCATGCCTCAACACACACAGAGCCCTTAGAAAAAAATGGAAGAATTTTTAGTTCCAGGTGTCTAAGAAAATCTCTGTCCAATCATTAGGTGACCACTAAGCTCATAGAACAGAAACTTCAGTTACCACACATGACAAAGAATACAGACGTTACAGAATTCGTTCAGAAAAGTCACTTAAAAAGGAAAGGCCCAACGTACAACAAGCAGCAAAAGCGAGTCATCTAAGCAACCAAAGAAAAAATACACATAGGTTGGACTTTATCAAATTAAAAGCTTTTGGCACCGAAGGACACTATCTCAAGAAAGTGAAAAGACAAACCACAGAATGAGAACAAACATTCGCAAATCATATATCTAATAGGGGTCTAGTATCCAAAATATATAGAACCAGGCACAGTGGCTCACACCTGTAATCCCAGCATTTTGGGAGACCAAGTCAGAAGGACCACTTTAGGCCAGGAGTTTCAGACTAGCCTGGACAACATAGCAAGCCCCTATGTCTATAAAAAAATTAAAAATTAGTTGCGTATGTGGTGGCATGTGCCTGTACTCCCGGCTACTCAGGAAGCTGAGGTGGGACAATCCTTTTGAGGCTGCAGGGAACTATGATCATGCCACTGTACTTGAACCTGGGTGATAGAGTGAGGCCCTGTCTCAAAAAAAAATTTTTTAAGTGAAAGTAAAATAAAATATAGAGAGAATTCTTCAACAACAAGATGACAAATAACCCTATTTTTAAATGCACGAGTGATTGGAATAGACATTTCTCCAAAGGAGATATACAAATGGCCAGTAATCACATACAAACATACTTAACACCATTAGCCAATGGGAAATGCAGAGTGGGCACAATGCCTCATGCCTGTACTCCCAGCACTTTGGGAGGCCATGGCAGGATGATTGCTCGAGGCCAGTAGTTCAAGACCAGCCTGGGCAACAGAGCAAGACCCTACTTAAACAAAGAAAAAGCAGGGGAAATGCAAATCAAAACCTCAATGAGATACCACTTTATATGCACTAGAATAGCTATTTTTTTTTTAAAAAGGAGACTAACAACCATTGATGAGGATGTAGAGAAACTAGAATCTTCATAATACAGTGATGGCAAGAATGTAAAATGGTGCAGCCATTTTGGCATTAAGGAAAAAAAATTGGCATTTCCTCAACTAGTTAAATATAGAATTATATGACCCAGAAATTTCATTTTTACATATATACCCAAGAGAATTAAAATATATGTACACTTATTAATTTGTACATGAATATTAATAACTGCATTATTCACAATAGCCAAAAACATCAAAATGTCTATTGACTGATGATGAACGGATGAAGTGAAGGAATGGAATATTATTTGGCAATAAAAAAGAATGAACTGCAGATACATGCTAAAACACGGATAACCCTTAAAAACATTACGTTAAGTGAAAGAAGACAGTCACAAAAGGCCGCATACTGTATGATTCCTTTTTTATTAAATATCCCCAGTAGGAAAATCCATAGATACAAAAAAGCAAATGGTGGTTGCTGGAGTAAGGGAGAATGGGGAATGACTGTTTGTCATATACTGAATGTCTGTGTCCCCCCAAAATCCACATATTGAAGCCTTAGCCCCCTATGTGACGGTATTTGGAGATGGGTCCTTTAGGAGGTAACAAGGTTTAGAGGAGGACATGAGGGTAGTCCTTTCTTAATTACTAGGACTGCTAAAACAAATTAACATAGACTGAGTGGCTTAAACAACCAACCGTTCTAGAGGTTGTAAAGTCCAAGATAAAGGTGCTGGCATATTTGCCGTCTGGTGCAAATGATTCTCTTCTTATAGTATCCTCACATGATAGAAATAGAGACCATCTCTCTTGTGTTTCTTCTTCTAAGGGCATTAATCCCATCCATGAGGGCTGCACCTTGATAACCTAATTACTTCTTCCACCTCCAAATACCATCGCACTAGGAATTGGGGTTTCAACATATGAATTTTGGAGGGACACAAACATTCAGTCCAGAGCAGGCCCTTATGATTGGCTTAGTGTCCCTATAAGATTAGGAAGAGACTGGTATTTGCTTTCCCTTTGCCATATAAAGACATAGCAATATGGGGTTCAGGACATGCCATCCCAAAATATGATTGCAGGAGATAAGAATATGTACTTTGGGCATAAGATTATATGGACTGGTTATTTTGATAAGCTAGACACAAGAGAAGTTCTGAAAAGTTACCCTTTTGTAAGAGAAGTTTGCATGTATAAAGGAAATCTCCATTGGTAAGGGTATCTCCCTCTCTGTATCAGGAAAAATATGACTAAACTAAATCACTAGAGACTCAATCAATGGAGAAAGTATTGACTTAAATCTGTGTAAGAAACTTTACCCTTGTTTTAAGATGCTTTTTTGGCCATCTCTTAATGAGGCATTTCCTTCCTTCCTTCCTTCCTTCCTTCCTTCCTTCCTTCCTTCCTTCCTTCCCTCCTTCCTTCATTTTTTTGAGACAAGGTCTCATTCTGTTACCCAGGCTAGAGTGTAGCAGCATGATCATGGCTCACTGCAGCCTCAACCTCCTGGGCACAAGCAATTCTCCCACCTCAGCCTCCTAAGTAGCTGGAACCACAAGCATATGCCACCAAGCCTGGCTAATATATTTTTTAATTTTTTGTAGAAACAGGGTCTCCCTGTGTTGCCCAGGCTGATCTCAAACTCCTGGGCTCAAGCGGTCCTCCAGCCTCAGCCTCCCAAAGTGTTGAGGTTACAGACATGAGCCACTGCACCCAGCCCCACACACCCTTCTTTCTTTATCTCAGAGAATGATGGTATTTAGGCCTAAAGTCTAAGACAACTCTTTGAGATCATCTCTAGAGATTTACTCATCATTCTGGGTCAACTCCTAAGTATACAGGAGGTATACATGTTATTAAACTTTGTTTGTTTTTCTCTTGTTAATTTATCTTTTTTACAGAGTCCAGCTAAGATCTCCAGAAGGGTGGAGAAGAAAATTATTTTTCCTCCCATACAGCAAGAGGGCAGCCATCTGCAAGCCAGGAAGAGGGCCTTCAGCAAGAACCTTACCACACCAGCACCCTGATCTTGAACTTCCCAGTCTCCAGAACTGTGAGAAATAAATGTCTGTCATTTATGTCACCCAGTCTATGGTATTTTGTTATAGCAGTGAAAGATGACTAAGACACTGCTTAATGGGATGATGAAAATGTTTTGGAACTTGATGTAATTGGTGGTTGCATAACATTGTGAGTGTACTAAATGCCACTGAATTGTTTATTTTATAGTGGTTAATTTTATGTTATGTGGATTATACTTCAATTTTATTTCATTTTATTTTATTTTATTTTTAAGAAGTGTCTGGAATTCCCATCTGGAATTTATTTTTATTTATTTATTTATTTATTCAATAGGTTATTGGGGTACAGGTGGTATTTGGTTACACAAGTAAGTTCTTTAGTGGTGCTTTGTGAGATTTTGATGAATCCATCACCTGAGTAGTATACACGGCACCCAATTTGTGGTCTTTTATCCCTCATCCCCTTCCCACCCTCTCCCACTGAGTTCCCAAAGTCCACTGCATCATTCTTATGCCACTGTGTCCTCATAGCTTAGCTCCCACATATCAGTGAGAACATAGAATGTTTTGGTTTTCCAGTCCTGTGTTACTTCACTTAGAATAATAATCTCCAATCTCATCCAGATCGCTGCAAATGCCATTAATTCATTCCTTTTTATGGCTGAGTAGTACTCCATCGAGTATATATACCACAGTTTCTTTATCCACTCATCGATTGATGGGCATTTGGGTTGGTTCCACGATTTTGCAATTGCAAATTGTGCTGCTATAAACATGAGTGTGCAAGTATCTTTTTCGTATAATGACTTCTTTTCCTCTGGGTAGATACTCAGTAGTGGGATTGCTGGATCAAATGGTAACTCTACTTTTAAATTCTTTAAGGAATCTCCACACTGTTTTCCATAGTGGTTGTACTAGTTTACATTCCCACCAGCAGTGTAGAAGTGTTCCCTGATCACCACATCCACACCAACATCTGTTTTTTGATTTTTTTTGATTATGGCCATTCTTGCAGGAGTAAGGAGTTATCACCTTGTGGTTTCGATTAGCATTTCCCTGATCGTTAGTGATGTTGAGCATTTTTTCACAGGTCTGTTGGCCATTTGTATATCTTCTTTTAAGAATTTATACATCAATTTTTAAATTGCAAAATAAAAGATTAAACAGAAGCCTCCACATAATTTGAAAAATTGGTTTGCTTAAAATTAAAACTGAGCTTACACAAGAGGAAATAAAAGTCTAGGGATACATCTCACTAAACACTTCTGGTCTAGACTATTGATTATGTTGCTGCTGTTTTTAGAAACAAATTATTCCCTAATACTATATTCCCCATCTTCATAGATCTTTATAGTCCTGCTTCTCCTGTGGGAAAGAAGGGTTTATATCTTGAGTTACACAGTTGTATCTCGGTATCCACAGAGGATTGGTTCCAGGATCCTCACAGGCACCAAAATTTACAGATGCTCAGGTCTCCAATATAAAATAGTATAGTATTTGCATATAACTTATACACATCCTCCCATATACTTTAAATAATCTCTAGATTGCTTATAATGCCTAATACAAAGTAAATGCTATGTAAATAGTTGCTATATTGTATTATTTAGGGAATAATGACAACAAAAAGTTTGTACATTTTCAGGACAGATAAAATAATCCTTTTTTTTTTTCCTCAACTATTTTCAATCAAAAGTCAGTTGAATACCTGGATGTAGATGTGGATGCAGAGCCCACAAATGTGGAGGCCCAACTGTATTTGAATTCTGATTGCCTCAAAAAAGATGGGAATAGCTGTGCTAGGGCCCTTTGGCTATGGGCCAAATTCCATTCAATTCAATTCAAGTGTTTTTAAATACTTCTTTTTCCCCAGCTAAAGAAGAAATTAGGCCAGGTGAGGTGGTTCACACCTATAATCCCAGCACTTTGGGAGGCCGTGGTGGGTGGATCATGAGGTCAGGAGTTCAAGACCAGCCTGACCAATATGGTGAAACCCCGTCTCTACTAAAAATACAAAAAAAAATTGCCGGGTATGGTGGCACATGCCTGTAATTCCAGCTACTCGGGGGGCTGAGGCAGGAGAATCGCTTGAACCCAAGAGGCAGAGGTTGCAGTGAGCAGAGATCGGGCCACAGCACTTCAGCCTGGGCAACAGAGCAAGACTCTGTCTAAAAGAAAAAAAAACGGCCGGGTACTCCAACAGACCTGCAGCTGAGGGTCCTGTCTGTTAGAAGGAAAACTAACAAACAGAAAGGACATCCACACCAAAAACCCATCTGTACATCACCATCATCAAAGACCAAAAGTAGATAAAACCACAAAGATGGGGAAAAAACAGAGCAGAAAAACTGGAAACTCTAAAAAGCAGAGCACCTCTCCTCCTCCAAAGGAACACAGTTCCTCACCAGCAACGGAACAAAGCTGGAGGGAGAATGACTTTGACGAGCTGAGAGAAGAAGGCTTCAGACGATCAAATTACTCTGAGCTACGGGAGGAAATTCAAACCAAAGGCAAAGAAGTTGAAAACTTTGAAAAAAGTTTAGAAGAATGTTTAACTAGAATAACCAATACAGAGAAGTGCTTAAAGGAGCTGATGGAGCTGAAAACCAAGGCTGGAGAACTACATGAAGAATGCAGAAGCCTCAGGAGCTGATGCAATCAACTGGAAGAAAGGGTATCAGCGATGGAAGATGAAGTGAATGAAATGAAGTGAGAAGGGAAGTTTAGAGAAAAAAGAATAAAAAGAAATGAGCAAACCCTCCAAGACATATGGGACTATGTGAAAAGACCAAATCTACGTCTGATTGGTGTACCTGAAAGTGACGGGGAGAATGGAACCAAGTTGGAAAACACTCTGCAGGATATTATCCAGGAGAACTTCCCCAATCTAGCAAGGCAGGCCAACATTCAGATTCAGGAAGTACAGAGAACGCCACAAAGATACTCCTCGAGAAGAGCAACTCCAAGACACATAATTGTCAGATTCACCAAAGTTGAAATGAAGGAAAAAATGTTAAGGGCAGCCAGAGAGAAAGGTCGGGTTACCCTCAAAGGGAAACCCATCAGACTAACAGCGGATCTCTCGGCAGAAACTCTACAAGCCAGAAGAGAGTGGGGGCCAATATTCAACATTCTTAAAGAAAAGAATTTTCAACCCAGAATTTCATATCCAGCCAAACTAAGCTTCATAAGTGAAGGAGAAATAAAATACTTTACAGACAAGCAAATGCTGAGAGATTTTGTCACCACCAGGCCTGCCCTAAAAGAGCTCCTGAAGGAAGTGCTAAACATGGAAAGGAACAACTGGTACCAGCCGCTGCAAAATCATGCCAAATTGTAAAGACCATTGAGACTAGGAAGAAACTGCATGAACTAATGAGCAAAATAACCAGCTAACATCATAATGACAGGATCAAATTCACACATAACAATATTAACTTTAAATGTAAATGGACTAAATGCTCCAATTAAAAGACACAGACTGGCAAATTGGATAAAGAGTCAAGACCCATCAGTGTGCTGTATTCAGGAAACCCATCTCACATGCAGAGACACACACAGGCTCCAAATAAAAGGATGGAGGAAGATCTACCAAGCAAATGGAAAACAAAAAAAGGCAGGGGTTGCAATCCTAGTCTCTGATAAAACAGACTTTAAACCAACAAAGATCAAAAGAGACAAAGAAGGCCATTACATAATGGTAAAGGGAACAATTCAACAAGAAGAGCTAACTAACCTAAATATATATGCACCCAATACAGGAGCACCCAGATTCATAAAGCAAGTCCTGAGTGACCTACAAAGAGACTTAGACTCCCACACATTAATAATGGGAGACTTTAACACCCCACTGTCAACATTAGACAGATCAACGAAACAGGAAGTCAACAAGGATACCCAGGAATTGAACTCAGCTCAGCACCAAGTGGACCTAATAGACATCTACAGAACTCTCCACCCCAAATCAACAGAATATACATTTTTTTCAGCACCACACCACACCTATTCCAAAATTGATCACATACTTGGAAGTAAAGCTCTCCTCAGCAAATGTAAAAGAACAGAAATTATAACAAACTATCTCTCAGACCACAGTGCAATCAAACTAGAACTCAGGATTAAGAATCTCACTCAAAATTGCTCAACTACATGGAAACTGAACAACCTGCTCCTGAATGACTACTGGGTACATAACGAAATGAAGGCAGAAATAAAGATGTTCTTTGAAACCAACGAGAACAAAGACACAACATGCCAGAATCTCTGGGACACATACAAAGCAGTGTGTAGAGGGAAATTTATAGCACTAAATGCCCATAAGAGAAAGCAGGAAAGATCTAAAATTGACACCCTAACATGACAATTAAAAGAACTAGAAAAGCAAGAGCAAACACATTCAAAAGCTAGCAGAAGGCAAGAAATAACTAATATCAGAGCAGAACTGAAGGAAATAGAGACACAAAAACCCTTCAAAAAATTAATGAATCCAGGAGCTGGTTTTTTGAAAGGATCAACAAAATAGATAGACCACTAGCAAGACTAATAAAGAAAAAAAGAGAGAAGAATCAAATAGACGCAATAAAAAATGATAAAGGGGATATCACCACCGATCCCACAGAAATACAAACTACCATCAGAGAATACTACAAACACCTCTACGCAAATAAATTAGAAAATCTAGAAGAAATGGATAAATTCCTCGACACATACACTCTCCCAAGACTAAACCAGGAAGAAGTTGCATCTCTGAATAGACCAATAACAGGAGCTGAAATTGTGGCAATAATCAATAGCTTACCAACCAAAAAGAGTCCAGGACCAGATGGATTCACAGCCAAATTCTACCAGAGGTACAAGGAGGAACTGGTACCATTCCTTCTGAAACTATTCCAATCAATAGAAAAAGAGGGAATCCTCCCTAACTCATTTTCTGAGGCCAGCATCATCCTGATACCAAAGCCAGGCAGAGACACAACCAAAAAAGGGAATTTTAGACCAACATCCTTGATGAACACTGATGCAAAAATCCTCAATAAAATACTGGCAAACTGAATCCAGCAGCACATCAAAAAAGCTTATCCACCATGATCAAGTGGGCTTCAGCCCTGGGATGCAAGGCTGGTTCAATATACGCAAATCAATAAATGTAATCCAGCATATAAACAGAATCACAGACAAAAACCACATGATTATCTCAATAGATGCAGAAAAGGCCTTTGACAAAATTCAACAACGCTTCATGCTAAAAACTCTCAATAAATTAGGTATTGATGGGACATATCTCAAAATAGTAAGAGCTATCTATGACAAACCCACAGCCAATATCATACTGAATGGGCAAAAACTGGAAGCATTCCCTTTGAAAACTGGCACAAGATGGAGATGCCCTCTCTCACCACTCCTATTCAACATAGTGTTGGAAGTTCTGGCCAGGCCAATTAGGCAGGAGAAGGAAATAAAGGGTATTCAATTAGGAAAAGAGGAAGTCAAATTGTCCCTGTTTGCAGACGACATGACTGTATATCTAGAAAACCCCATTGTCTCAGCCCAAAATCTCCTTAAGCTGATAAGCAACTTCAGCAAAGTCTCAGGATACAAAATCAATGTACAAAAATCACAAGCATTATTATACACCAACAACAAACAAACAGAGAGCCAAATCATGAGTGAACTCCCATTCACAATTGCTTCAAAGAGAATAAAATGCCTAGGAATCCAACTTACAAGGGATGTGAAGGACCTCTTCAAGGAGAACTACAAACCACTGCTCAAGGAAATAAAAGAGGATACAAACAAATGGAAGAACATTCCATGCTCATGGGTAGGAAGAATCAATCTCATGAAAATGGCCATACTGCCCAAGGAAATTTACAGATTCAATGCCACCCCCATCAAGCTACCAATGACTTTCTTCACAGAATTGGAAAAAACTACTTCAAAGTTCATATGGAACCAAAAAAGAGCCTGCATCACCAAGTCAATCCTAAGCCAAAAGAATAAAGCTGGAGGCATCACACTACCTGACTTCAAACTATACTACAAGGCTACAGTAACCTAAACAGCATGGTACTGGTACCAAAACAGAGATATACATCAATGGAACAGAACAGAGCGCTCAGAAATAACACCGCATATCTACAACTATCTGATCTTTGACAAACCTGAGAAAAACAAGCAATGGGGAAAGGATTCCCTATTTAATAAATGGTGCTGGGAAAACTGGCTAGCCATATGTAGAAAGCTGAAACTGGATCCCTTCCTTACACCTTATACAAAAATCAATTCAAGATGGATTAAAGACTTAAACGTTAGGCCTAAAACCATAAAAACCCTAGAAGAAAACCTAGGCATTACCATTCAGGACATAGGCATGGGCAAGGACTTCATGTCTAAAACACCAAAAGCAATGGCAACAAAAGACAAAATTGACAAATGGGATCTCATTAAACTAAAGAGCTTCTGCACAGCAAAACAAACTACCATCAGAGTGAACAGGCTACCTACAAAATGGGAGAAAATTTTCGCAACCTACTCATCTGACAAAGGGCTAATATCCAGAATCTACAAAGAACTCAAACAAATTTACAAGAAAAAAACAAACAACCCCATCAAAAAGTGGGCGAAGGACATGAACAGACACTTCTCAAAAGAAGACATTTATGCAGCCAAAAAACACATGAAAAAATGCTCACCATCACTGGCCATCAGAGAAATGCAAATCAAAACCACAATGAGATACCATCTCACACCAGTTAGAATGGCAATCATTAAAAAGTCAGGAAACAACAGGGGCTGGAGAGGATGTGGAGAAATAGGAACACTTTTACACTGTTGGTGAGACTGTAAACTAGTTCAACCATTGTGCAAGTCAGTGTGGCGATTCCTCAGGGATCTAGAACTAGAAATACCATTTGACCCAGCCATCCCATTACTGAGTATATACCCAAAGGACTATAAATCATGCTGCTATAAAGACACATGCACATGTATGTTTATTGCGGCATTATTCACAATAGCAAAGACTTGGAACCAACCCAAATGTCCAACAATGATAGACTGGATTAAGAAAATGTGGCACATATACACCATGGAATACTATGCAGCCATAAAAAAGGATGAGTTCATGTCCTTTGTAGGGACATGGATGAAATTGGAAATCATCATTCTCAGTAAACTATCGCAAGAACAAAAAACCAAACACTGCATATTCTCACTCATAGGTGGGAATTGAACAATGGGAACACATGGACACAGGAAGGGGAACATCACACTCTGGGGTCTCTTTTGGGGTGGGGGGAGGGGGGAGGGATAGCATTGGGAGATTTACCTAATGCTAGATGACGAGTTGGTGGGTGCAGTGCACCAGCATGGCACATGTATACATATGTAACTAACCTGCACATTGTGCACATGTACCCTAAAACTTAAAGTATAATAATAATAAATAAATAAATAAAAAGAAAACAATCAAAAATAAATAAATAAAAGAAAAAAACAAAATTAACATGTTGAACCATTTGTTATTTCCTTTCCTGTGGTCTTCTCAGAAAATGAACATTTAGGTTCTATCACACATGCCAAATCCTGTCCAGAGCCTGGGGTAGGCGTTTTGGTTACAGAGCATCACCAGGCTGCCTAGTATTTTTATGGGACACAAAGTCCTGCCCTGTGGAACCTTTAAGGAAAGGAGTGAGATCCAGCTCAAAGGTCAGCAATTTGAGTAATCAGCAGAAAAAGCTCCAGCAAGAGTAGCTAGTGGATTAAAAACACAACCCTATGTAATTGTCAGAGGCATTTAAACCAGAGTGACTCCATCTTGTATAGAGGCTGGGTAAAAGAAAGCTGAGACCTACTGGGCTGTATTTCCAGGAGGTTAGGCATTCTAAGTCACAGGATGAAATAGGAGGTCGGCACAAGATACAGGTCATAAAGACCTTGCCAATAAAACAGGTTGCAGAAAAGAAGCCAGCCAAAACCCACTAGAACTAAGATGACGATGAGAGTGATCTCTGGTCATCCTCATGGCTTATTATACACTAATTATAATGCGTTAGCATGCTAAAAGACACTTCTACCAGCACCATGACAATTTACAAACGCCATGGCAATATCAGGAAGTTACCCTACATGGTCTAAAAAAGGGAGGAACCCTCAGTTCTGGAAATTTCCCACCCCTTTCCCAGAAAACTCAAGAAACCACCATTTTTTAGCATATAATCAAGAAGTATCTGCCTTCACTTAGAAGCCCTGGTAATGCCACTTAGATGACTGCATCTTAGACAGTCTAGCTCTCTCTCTCTCTTTTTTTTTTTTTGGTGGGGGGGAGGGGAAATGAAGTCTCACTCTTTTGCCCAGGCTGGAGTGCAGTGGCACGATCTCAGCTCACTGCAGCCTCCACCTCCCGGGTTCAAGAGATTCTTGTGCCTCAGCCTCCCAAGTAGAGAGGATTATAGGCACCCACCAAAATTAATTTTTTGTATTTTTAGTGGAGACAGAGTTTCATCATGTTGGCCAGGCTGGTCCTGAACTCCTGGCCTCAGGAGATCTGCCCACCTTGGTCTCCCAAAGTGCTGGGATTTCAGGCATGAGCCACTGCGCCCAGCCACCATTCTTTTATTCCTCTACCTTCTTAATAAACTTGCTTTCACTTTACTGTATGGATTCGCCTCAAATTCTTTCTTGTGTGAGATCCAAGAACCCTCTCTTGGGGACTTCATTGGGATCTGTTTCTATTAACATAATCTTAATCAGTCATTGTTACACCCTCTGCCCCATAGGCTTTTCAGATTTTAAAAACAGTTAACATTAAATGTTTTTCACTGAGCCAGACAATAGATAGTCAAAATTTACCTATGCACAGTGGCCCCGTCTAACGTGTTCAAGTTATTTCTGGATATGGAAGAGACAACTAACTACCAGTGGGGAAAATCCATGTTCTTCTGAAGATTTCTCTTCCTTCCTTGAAGATCCAGTTATTCTCTGGGTCCAGACACCATTCCCTGCCAAGGAAGGGAGCAAATGTTACTGAGCACCTGCCATGTGCTGGCACTGTATGTACATCATTCATTTCATACTCACCACAACTTTAAGAGGTAGATCCTTGATACAGTTTGGATGCTTATCCCTTCCAAATCTCATGTTGAAATGTGATCCCCAGTGTTGGAGGTGGGGCCTAGTGGGAGGTGTTTGGGTCATGAGGGCAGATCCCTCATGAATGGCTTGGTGCCCTCCCTGCACTAATGATGAGTTCTCATTCTATTAGTTCAAGCAGGAATGGTATTTTAAGGGAGGCTGGCATTTCCCGCCCCCCTCTCTCTCACCACGTGACACCTTTGCTCCCCCTCCACTCTCTGCAATGAGTGAAAGCTTCCTGAGGCCTCACCAGAAGCTGAGCAGATGCTGGTGCCATGCTTGCACAGCCCACAGAACCATGAGCCAAACAAACTACTTTTCTTTATTAATTACCCAGTCTCAGGCATTCCTTTATAGCAATGCAAAATGGATTAACACAATTCTCTCATTAGCTCCAGTGTATACTAAAGAGAGAGAGTAATGTCCCACAGTCACAAAGGTAGTAAACAGCAGAGCCAGAATCTGAACTCATGGTTCTAGAATTTGAAACTTATACCCTTTCCATTTTGGTGAGGTAAATGAAGCAGGAATGTGAAGAACAGGATTAAAAACAGGACTGAATGTGGCATCCCAATTCTCAGCTTTGTTATGGGGAACTGCTGGGACTTAAGACACAACACCACAAAATATGACTATAGGAGACCAGAATATGCCACCTGAAAATATACTTCTTTGACGTATTTCAAACTGGTTATTCTGAGAAACTGCAGTCACAGGAGTCCTTGAAAAGCTGTTCTATTGCAAAATAAATTTACATCTATAAAGGAAATCTACATTAATAAAGTACCTATATCAGGAAGAGGGATGCTCAAAAACAACTTTTATTACCTGAGAGCAGGAAATGCCATCTCAAAATATGCCACTTTCATATGCTGATTACTTCAAACTGAGGGTACTTGGAGAACAGCAAATGCAGGGAGGGGCTGTCTCTAAGCTCCCTCTATCTGCTTTCCTTATCGGCCTACAGAGAGATCCTCCAGAAGGAACTCAGTTGTCATCAACCAGGGAAGACTGGCTCACATCACAGCAGAGGAGACTGGGGTTGGCAAACCATGCATAGACAAACTTGGTCACAGACCGCAACTACACTTCTGATGGCCCATTCACCTTCCTCAAAACTCATTTACTCCACTCTAAGTTGCCTACATCCCCTCACCCCACTGAAGAGGGTATATAAGCTTCCAGATCCCACTGAGTTTTGGGTATTCTTTTTTCTTTCATGTGATGCCTCTGCCCCACTGTGCCCCCGCCTCTGCACATAATGAATTTGTATACCTTTTTTCCTGTGAATCTGTGTTATGTCAATTTAATTCACAGCTCAGCCTAAGAACCAAGAAGGGTGGATGGAAGCCATCTTTGACTTCCCTACAGGACCAAGAGTGTTCCTGAGGGTTTATTTTGTTACCTCTAGAAATGTGATTTTTAATGAGTTTTGCATCAGAATCACCTGAGGAATGTTTTCATTATACATATGCCTGAGATTCACCACTCCAGTGAAACCCTGTCTCTACTAAAAATACAAAAACATTAGCTGGGCATGGTGGCGGGTGCCTGTAGTCCCAGCTACTCGGGAGGCTGAGGCAGGAGAATGGCGTGAACCCAGGAGGCGGAGCTTGCAGTGAGCTGAGATTGCACCACTGCACTCCAGTCTGGGTGACAGAGCGAGACTCTGTCTCAAAAAAAAAAAGAAAAAAAGAAAATTAAAAACAAAAACCATATGATTATCTCAATAGATGCAGGGAAAAGTTTTTGATAAAATCCAACATCCCTTCATAATAAGAATGCTCAACAGACTAGGCATCAAAGGAACTTATCTCAAAATAATTAGAGCCATCTATGATAAACCCACTGCCAACATCATACTGGATGGGCAAAAGCTGAATGTACTCCCCTTAAGAACAGGAAGAAGACAAGGCTCCCCTCTCTCACCACTCCTATTCAACATAGTAATAGAAGTCCTAGCCAGAGCAATAAGACAAGAGAAAGAAATAAAAAGCATCCAAATAGAAAAAGAAGTCAAAATATGTCTCTTTGCTGATGATATGATTCTATACCTAGAAAACTCTAAAGATTCCACCAAAAGGCTCCTATAACCGATAAATGACCTCACTAAAGTTTCAGGCTACAAAATCAATTTCAACAGGCATTAGCATTTCTAGACACCAATAATGTTCAAGCTGAGAGCCAAATAAAGAATACAATCTCAATTACAATAGCCACCCAAAAATAAAATACTTAGAAATACAAAAACCAAGGAGATAAAATATATCTACAAGGAGAAATCCAAAACACTGCTGAAAGAAATCACAGATGACACTACCAAATGGAAAGACATTCCATGCTCATGGATTGAAAGAATATCATTAAAATGGTCCAACTGCACAAAGCAATCTACAGAGTCAATGCTATTCCTATCAAACTGCCAATGTTATTTTTCACAGAATTAGAAAAAACTATCTAAAATTCATATGGAACCAAAAAAGATCCTCAATAGCCAAGATAATCCTAAACAAAAAGAACAAAGCTGAAAGCATCACATTACCCAACTTCAAAGTATATAAGGCTACAGAAACCAAAACAGCATGGTGCTGGTACAAAATAGCCATATAAACTACCAAAATATCTGGAATGCAATGAAAACAAAAGCAGTGTTAAGAGAGAAGTTTATAGTGCTAAATGCTTACATCAAGAAGTTAGAACGATCTCAAATTTGGAATAGAGAACCCAGTCATAAAGCTACTTACCTACAGCCATCTAATCTTTGACAAAGCTGACAAAAAGAAACAATGGGAAAATGACTTCCCATTCAACAAATAGTGCTGGGATACCTAGCTAGCCATATGCAGAAGAATGAAACTGGACATTTACCTTTCACCATATACAAAAATAAACTGAAGATGGATTAATGATTTAAGCATAAGACCTCGAACTATAAAAATTCTAGAAGAAAACCTATGAAATACCATTCTGAACATGGGCCTTGGAAAGGAATTTATGACTAAGTCCTCAAAAGCAGTTGCAACAAAACAAAAAATTGACAGTTAAACTAAACAGTTTCTGTAAAGCAAAAGAAACTATCAACAGAGCAAATAGACAACCTACATAATGGGAGAAAATATTTGCAAACTATCATCTGACAAAGGTGGAATATCCAGAATCTATAAGGAAATTTAACAATTCAACAAGCAAAAAACAAATAAAACAACCCCATTTAAAAATGTGCGAAAGACGTGAATAATCACTTCTCAATGCAAGTGGCCAATAAATATATTTTTAAATGCTCATCATTACTAATCATCTGACAAATGCAAATTGAAACAACAACAAGATACCATCTCACACCAGTCAGAAGGCCTATTATTAAAAAGTCAAAAAACAACAGATGCTGGTGAGGCTGTGGAGAAAAGGAACATTTATATACTATTGGTGGGAATGTAAATTAGTTCAGTAGCTGTGGAAAGCAGTTTGAAGATTTCTTGAAGAACTTAAAACAGAACTACCATTCAACCCAGCAGTCCCATTACTGGGTATATACACAAAGGAAAATAAATCATTATACCAAAAATACACATACACTTGTGTGTTCATTGCAGCACTATTCACAATAGCAAAGACATGGAATCAGCCTTGTTGCCCATAAACAGTGGATTTGATAAAGAAAATGTGGTACATATTTATTTCTATACACCATGAAATATACACAACAATAAAAAGAATGACATAATATCTTTTACAGGAGCATGGATATAGCTGGAGGCCATATCCTAAGCAAATTAACACAGAAACAAAAAAACAAATACCACATGTTCTCATTTATAAGTGGTACCTAAACATTGGATCCACATGGACAAAACAACAGACACTATGGACTACTAGCAGAGGGAGGGAAGGGAGCAAAGGTTGAAAAACTACATATTATACCCAGCTCAGTACATGAGTGACAGGATCATTCACACCTCAGACCTCAGCATCACACAACATACCAATTGACAAATCCACCCACATACCCCCAAATCTAAAATAAAAGCTGAAATTATAAAAAAAGAAAGTCTCTAAGAATATATTGAAATGCATATTAAAACTATTAAGGCAGCTTATTTAATGGCCCAATAAAAGATCAGCATAGGAAAATTAAGTTGTTTCCTTATTCATAGCAATAGCAATAACTAATCAGAAAATGTTTCATTCACAAAGGTAAAAATAATTATAAAGTACTTAAAAATAAGAGTAACAAGAAATGTGCAAGACAAGAACACTATAATGAAAATGGACATGAAAAAAGAACTGAGTAGATGGAAGGGGTCAGGACACCTGGTTGAGATTAAATTTTGTAAATATATTAGCACTTCCCACATTAAATTGTACATTTAATTCATTCCCATTAAAAATTCGAATAGAATTCCTTATTAAATTTGACAAATGTATTCTTAAGTTAATCTTTAAGAATAAGCTTCAGTTTGCTTTCTCTGTGCCTTCTGTTAGAAGGGGCCTGCTTCTCAGTATCAACGGTAAGTTTTACCCTGTGGTAATTAACCAAAGAGGCAGAAGCTGAGTTACAAATGCTTCAGCAATGGCATGCCTCCCAGCTACAGCCACAAAAGTTTTTGCTTCTGTTTCAGTAGATTTACTAACGTGGGGGTGAGGGTATGCTTGTGTTTTTGCAGGAGATGAGCAAACCATGTAGGTACCCTCAAGATGTGTACAACCATGGAACAGGAGACTGGAAGGACCCATGGATCCCAACCATGGACCAGGTTCCCCCAGTACAAGCCATGCTGAGAAACTGCTGGAGCACCAGGGTTTTACCTGTAGATGCTTAACGGACCAATGCTTTCTGACTGAACTCCTCTCTACCCTGAATACAACAGACCCTAATAGGTAGGCAGGAGTATCATCGCCCCTATTCAGCATGAAGAAGTTACAGAAGACAGACTTTCATCCTTCTGCAACCCCTAGGTTGTAAAAGGGAAAGGGGAGACATGTGGGAAGCATTCAAACCAGAGTGACTCCATTTTGAATAAGGGCTAAGAAAAATGAAGCTGGACCACCAACCAGCAATTAAGGGCTACACATCCTGCAATTGCCTTGCTCAATTAATTTTTTTAAAAAAGGCCACCTTATGCTAGTAATAATGATAGCTGTGGCGATTTTATAAAAAAGAGAAGGGGGCACGTTGGGAGAAAAGAGTGCTGGGAGAGAAACTGAGGCAGGGCTTGCATGTCTGCTAGACTTTCTGGCTCCTTGCTTCTAGCACTACCATTATCTCAAGCAGCCATATATTTCTCATTCACTTGATACACCATTTCCTTTCAATCCCCACATCCTCACCACTTGTTTCTTTGTTTGAGCACCAATAAATAGCATGAGCTCCCAGAGCTCAGGGCCTTCGCAGCCTCCACACTCGTGATGGCCCCGTTTCCCACTTTCTCTCTCAAACTGTCTTTTTCTTCGCCCCCAGGACCTGGTGTTTGGTCTTATCAACGCTACACAAATGTAGGTCCAAATTCTATGCTGTCATTTAGTACCTTTAACTTCCACAGCAGGAAGGGGAACATCACTTTGCTTTCATTTCAGGTACTTGAGAAAGTAAGTGGATGCATATTAGAGGTATTTGAAATCACCTAGAGAAACCCAAAAGACTAGAAACAAATATTCACCTTAACAAGTCTGGATGCCATAAAACATTTTATAACCAGGAGTTTCAAACCTACATGTCTGCCTAGAAGGCAATGTAAATAGGTTAAGCTGTAAGAGATAACTAGACTTGAGGTTTATCAAATGCCTCAGGTCTTCCGGTGAGGGTAGAAGTATTGAGTGTTAGTGTTTATGGTGACTACTTAATAAACCAGCCAGTTGTGACATGGCCCATGCTGTGGCCTGCAAAATGTTCCAAGTAAGTTAGGGAAGTTGATGATAATTGAAATGGGGGCCACAGTGACATCACTGACCACATGAAAACAAGAAGATACAAATCTGCTGGAAAAGCATCAGAATCAACTACAGGAGACAGAAGTTATTTTAAGAAGACTGTGTCCAATTTGCCACTTCCAATGGTAGAAGATGCATTTACTTATTACTCCCTGATGTATGACTTTTCATTTAGATCAACCATTCTTTTAAGTTAATTAACTCTGTTTTAATTGAAAGTTTTTTGGTGTGTGCAAAAAATAAAGCAATAGCTATTAATGTATTGGCTCCATTTATAAAAGAAAAATTATATATAAACATTTTATATTGGTGTCCTCAAATAAGTCCAAATGAAATTCAGTTGAGCTGATTCCAACAAAGGTTTAATCTTTTCTTTTTCAACATTCAGAATTATAGTAAAGTTTTTGGAAGTTTATTCTAGCAAAGGAAAACATTTGAAATTATTGTAAATGTTATTATAAATCCAAGTAATAAGTTCAACAATGAAAATAGAAGTACTTATTGTGTGTGTCCATCTAAATTTTAATGAAGCATAGTATTATGGTAAAAGCAATGTTCTTCTTAAGAAACTTATGGAGCAGAAACATACAAAATTAGGTTTCTGCACACAAATTCATAATTATAATCAAATTTGCAATATTCTAAAAAACAAATGGAAGCCACAGTTGGCACCATTTATAAATATTACATATATACACAGAATAACATAAATACAACATCTTTACATTGATAATATCATTCAGTTAAAAAAAACTCTTTAGGTTGGCATCAGGCATTCAGTTAAAAAGAAACTCTTTAGGTTGGCATCCAGTACTTTTTCTCTTTGTTTTCTGTTATTAATCAGATTCTAGAAATGTTTGTGCCTTTGAAAAACTACTTCATAAATCAACTTGTCTCAGAAATGTATTAGAATTTTTAATACTTCCTCTAAATTTTGATTGCATTTTGAGCATAAACAATTTAAAGTCTAATTATTCAATGACTATAACACCAAAACGACTTAAATTTTGAAACTTTTTGCAACATGGTACAAGTCCCAAGGAGGGCAATTTGGCAATACAGAGTGAAATTATATTTTCCCCTTGACCTAGCAATCCCACATCTAGAAATTTACCCTGAAGGTATGCTTCCATAATTATGAAATAATACATGTATGAGGTTACATTTGTGGAATTATTTTTAATAAAGACTAGAAGCATCTGACATACCCACCAATAAAGGACCTATTGAATAAATTATCATCAAAAAAATTTTTTGAAATGTTTAGAAAATTACAATTATTGAAAACAAAGCTCCTAAACAGAAATGTTGACATTTATTTCTTTCAAATCTGGAGAAAGGGAAAAATTAAATGAGAGCTTTAACTCTGATAATGCTTTGGAATATCTCTACCTGTGAGAAGAGCCTTTTTATTTTTTTAACTGTGGAAAAAACACATAAAATAAAATTTGCCATCTTAACAATGTTTAAGTGTACAGCCTCAGTTATGTTAAGTATTTTCAAATTGTTTTGCATCTAATCTCCAGATCTTTTTCATCTTGCAAAATTGAAATTCCATATTCATTAAACAACTCCCCATTTTCCCACTAGTCTCAGCCTCTGAAATCACTGTTCTTTTTTAATTTGACTACCCAAGCTACCTCATATAAGTAGAATCATGCAATCGCTTTGTAACTGGCTTATTTTACACAGCATGATGTCTTCAAGGGTTATTTATGCTGCAGCATGTGTCAGAATTCCTTTTGTTTTGAGGCTGAATAATATTCCATCGAATGTATATGACATGTTGTTTATCCAATCATCTGTCAGTGAACATGAGCTGCTTCCACTTCTTGACTATAATGAATAGTGACACTATAAACATGAGTGTACAAATATCTCTTTGAGATCCTGCTTTCAATACTTTCGGAAATATGCCCAGAAGTGGTATTGTTGAATCATACAATAATTCCATCTTTAATTTTTTGAGAAACATTTTTTTTTATAACATAGTGTTTTCCACAGCGGCTGCACCATTTTACTTTCCTATCAGCAGTGCACACAGGAGTTCCAATTTTTCCACATCCTCATCAATGCTTATTATTTTGTTTTATTTGGTTTTGATAGTAGCCATCCTAATAGATATGAGGTTTTGATTTGCATTTACCTAATGAGTAGTGATTCTGAGCATCTTTTCATATGCTTGTTGATCATTTGTATATCTTCTTTAGTAAAATGTTTATTCAAGTCGATTGCCCACTTTTGAATGGTTATTTGTATTTTTGTTGTTGAGTTGTAGGCATTCTTTACATATTCTCAACATTAAACCCTTATCAGATATAATATTTGCAAATATTTTCTACCATTCTATAGGTTGCTTTTGTGTTGTTGATTACATCCTTTCGTGCACAGAAGTTTTTTATTTTGATGCAGTCCAATTTGTCTATTTTCACTTTGGTGGCTTGTGCTTTGGTGTCATATTCAAGAAATTATTCCCAAATCTAATGGCACGAAGTTTTGTCCTTATGTTTTCTGCTAAGGGTTTTATAGTTGCAGGTTTTGTGTTTAGGTTCTTTAAATCCTTTTAAGTGAATTTTTGAATATGGTATGAAGTAGGCATCCAACCTCATTATTTTGCATTTTTCCAGCACTATTTGTTGAAAAAACTATTCTTTCTCCACTGAACTGTCTTGACACTGTTGTTAAAAATTATATGACCATATATATGATAATTTATTTCTGAGCTCTCTAGTCTATTACATTGGTCTGTATGTCTGTGTTATGCCAGTACCACACTGTTTGGATTACCGTAGCTTTGTAATAAGTTTTGAAATCAGAAAGTGTGAAACCTCCAGCCTTGATCTTTTTCAATATTGTTTTGGCTATCTGAGATGCTTTGAGAATTGAAATATATGACTTTTAGGATGGATTTTTCTATTTCTGCAAAAAATATCATTGATATTTTGACAAGGATTGCATTAAATTTGTAGATCCCTTTGGAAGTGTTGGCATCTTGGTGATATTAAGTCTTCTAATCTATGAACACAGAATATCTTCCCATTTATTTTTGTCCTCTTTAATTTTTCTCAGCAATGTTTATAGTTTTCAGTGTGTAAGTCTTTTACTTCTTTAACTTTATTCTGAAATATTTTATTCTTTTTGATGCTATTGTAAATGGAATTGTTTTCTTAATTTTGTTTTCAGATTGTGTATTGTTAGTGTACAGAAATACAACTGATTTTTGTGTGTTGATTTTACATCCCACAACTTTGCTGAACTTATTAGTTCTAATAGTTTTTGTGGCATCTTTAGGGTTTTCTACATGTAAGATCATGTTGACAGTAAACAGAAGTAATTTTACTTCTTCTTCCTTTCCAATTTTGATGCTTTTTAAAAAACTTGCCTGATTACTCCAGCTAGGACTTCCAGTACTATGTTACAGAAGTACTAAAAACAAGTATTTTTATTTTGTTCCTGTTCTTAGAGGAAAAGCTTTTGGTCTTTCACCACTGAGTATGTTAGCTGTGTGGTTTTCATTTATGACCTTTATATGTTGAGGTAGTTTTCTTCTGTTCCTATTTTGTTGAGTGTTTTGTTCATTAGAGGGTATTGAATTTTGTCAAATGCTTTTTCTGCATCAGTCTTCATCAGGGATCTCAGGCTGTAATTTTCTTTTCTTGTAGTGTGTTTGTCTGGCTTTGGTATCAAAATGAGTTTGGAAGTGGCCCCTCCTCTTCGATATATTGGAAGAGATTGAGGAGGACTGGTGTCTATTCTTCTTTAAATGTTTGGTAGAATTCACCAGTGAAGCCATCTGGTCCTGGGATTTTCTTTGTTGGCAGGTTTTTTATTACTGACTCAATCCCCTTTACTAGTTATGAATCAGTTCACAATTTCTGTTTCTTCATGATTCAGTCTTGGTAGGCTGTGTGCTTCTAGGAAATTATTCATTTCTTCTAGGTTACCAAATTTGTTAATGTACAAGTGTTCACAGTATTATCTTATAATCCTTATTGTTGTAAAATTGGCTGTAATGGCTCCTGTTTTATTTTTTATTTTAGTTGGGTCTTCTCTCGTTTTTTCTTAGTTAAGCTGAAGTTTTGTCCTTCGCTATTCATTTCTAATTTCATTCCATTGTAATTGGAAAAGATACTTTGTATGATTTAAATTTTCTTAAATTTGTTAAGACTTATTTTGTGGACTAACATGGTCTGTTGTGGAGAATGCGCACCTGAGAAAAATGTGTATCTTATTCCTGTGGGTTGATGGTCTATATATGTCTGTCAGTACCAATAGGTCTATAGTGTTGTTCATGTCCTTTAGTTTGCTTATTGATCTTTTATAAGCTGTTCTCTCCATTACTGAAATTGAGGTATTGAAGTTTCCTATTATTGTAGATCTATTTCTCCTTTCAATTCTTTCAGTGTTTATTTTGTATACTTAGGAGCTCTGATGTTGGTGCATATATATTTATAATTGTTATATCCTCTTGGTAAATTAATCTTTTTATCATTAACAATGTTCTTTTTCTCTCTTGTAACAGTCTTTGACTTAAAGTCTATTCTGTGTGATAGTAGTAGTATGCTATTCCATCACTTTTGGTTACAATTTGCAAGGAATATTTTTTCCGTGTGTTTAATTTCAACCTATGCATGTCCTTAAATCTAAAATGAGTCTTTTTTGTCTCTAAAGTGAGAGAGCATATAGTAGAATCATGGTTTGTTATTCATTCAGCCAATCTATGTATTTTGGTTGGAGAGTTTAACCACTTACATTTAATATAATTACGGATAGGGAAGAATTTACTACTGCTATTTTGTTAATTGTTTTCTGTATGTCTTATAGCTTTTTGGTTCCTGAGAAAAGAATTTTCTGATGGAGCTCCTACTTATAATTAGATAATTGTATACCCTGTGCTGGAATGAAATGAAATTGAATGGGCCTATGATTTATATATATATATATATATTTTTAAATTATACTTTAAGTTCTAGTGTACATGTGCACAATGTGCAGGTTTGTTACATATGTATACATGTGCTATGTTGGTGTGCTGCACCCATTAACTCGTCATTTACATTAGGTATATCTCCTAATGCTATCCCTCCCCACTCCCCCAACCCTACAACAGGTCCCAGTGTGTGATGTTCCCCTTCCTGCATCCAAGTATTCTCACTGTTCAATTCCCACCTATGAGTGAGAACATGTGGTGTTTGGTTTTTTGTCCTTGCGGTAGTTTGCTGAGAATGATGGTTTCCAGCTTCATCCATGTCCCTGCAAAGGACATGAACTCATCCTTTTTTATGGCTGCATAGTATTCCATGGTGTATATGTGCCACATTTTCTTAATCCAGTCTATCATTGTTGGACATTTGGGTTAGTTCCAAGTCTTTGGTATTGTGAGTAGTGCTGCAATAAACATACATGTGCATGTGTGTTTATAGCAGCATGAGTTATATTCCTTCGGGTATATACCTAGTAATGGGATGGCTGGGTCAAATGGTATTTCTAGTTCTAGATCCCTGAGGAATCGCCACACTGTCTTCCACAATGGTTGATCTAGTTTACAGTCCCACCAACAGTGTAAAAGTGTTCCTGTTTCTCCACATCCTCTCCAGCATCTGTTGTTTCCTGACTTTTTAATGATCACCATTCTAACTGGTGTGAGATGATATCTCATTGTGGTGTTGATTTGCATTTCTCTGATGGCCAGTGATGATGAGCAGTTTTTCATGTGTCTGTTGGCTGCATAAATGTCTTCTTTTGAGAAGTGTCTGTTCATATCCTTCGCCCACTTTTTGATGGGGTTGCTTTTTCGTGTAAATTTGTTTGAGTTCTTTGTAGATTCTGGATATTAGCCCTTTGTCAGATGAGTAGATTGCAAAAATTTTCCCCCATTCTGTAGGTTTCCTGTTCACTCTGATGGTTGTTTCTTTTGCTGTGCAGAAGCCCTTTAGTTTAATTAGATCCTATTTGTCAATTTTGGCTTTCATTGCCATTGCTTTTGGTGTTTTAGACATGAAGTTCTTGCCCATGCCTATGTCCTGAAAGGTATTGCCTAGGTTTTCTTCTAGGGTTTTTATGGTTTTAGGTCTATCATTTAAGTCTTTAATCCATCTTGAATTTATTTTTGTATAAGGTGTAAGGAAGGGATCCAGTTTTTCCCAGCACCATTTGTTAAACAGGGAATCCTTTTCCCATTTCTTGTTTTTGTCAGATTTGTCAAAGATCAGATAGTTGTAGATGTGTGGTATTATTTCTGAGGGCTCTGTTCTGTTCCATTGGTCTATATCTATGTTTTGGTAAGAGTACCATGCTGTTTTGGTTACTGTAGCCTTGTAGTATAGTTTGAAGTCAGGTAGTGTGATGCCTCCAGCTTTGTTCTTTTGGCTTAGGATTGACTTGGCAATGCAGGCTCTTTGTTGGTTCCATATGAACTTTAAAGTTGTTTTTTCCAATTCTGTGAAGAAAGTCATTGGTAGCTTGATGGGGATGGCATTGAATCTACAAATTACCTTGGGCAGTATGGCCATTTTCACGATATTGATTCTTCCTATCCATGAGCATGGAATGTTCTTCCATTTGTTTGTGTCCTTTTATTTTGTTGTGCAGTGGTTTGTAGTTCTCCTTGAAGAGGTCCTTCACATCCCTTGTAAGTTGGATTCCTAGGTATTTTATTCTCTTTGAAGCAATTGTGAATGGGAGTTCACTCATTATTTGGCTCTCTGTTTTTCTGTTATTTGTATATAAAAATGCTTGTGATTCTTGCACATTGATCTTGTATCCTGAGACTTTGCTGAAGTTGCTTATCAGCTTAAGGAGATTTTGGGTTGAGACAATGGGGTTTTCTAGATATAGAATCATGTCATCTGCAAACAGGGAAAATTTGACTTCCTCTTTTCCTAATTGAATACCCTTTATTTCTTTCTCCTGCCTGATTGCCCTGGCCAGAACTTCCAACACTATGTTGAATAGGAGTGGTGAGAGAGGGCATCCCTGTCTTGTGTCAGTTTTCAAAGGGAATGCTTCCAGTTTTTGCCCATTCAGTATGATATTGGCTGTGGGTTTGTTATAAATAGCTCTTATTATTTTTAGATACATCCCATCAATACCTATTTTATTGAGAGTTTTTAGCATGAAGGGCTGTTGAATTTTGTCAAAATTCAACATCTTTTCTGCATCTATTGAGATAATCATGTGGTTTTTGTCTCTGGTTCTGTTTATATGCTGGATTACGTTTATTGATTTGTGTATGTTGAACCAGCCTTGCATCCCAGGGCTGAAGCCCACTTGATCATGGTGGATAAGCTTTTGGATGTGCTACTGGATTCGATTTGCCAGTATTTTATTGAGAATTTTTCCATCGATATTCATCAGGGATATTGGTCTAAAATTCTCTTTTTTGTTGTGTCTCTGCCAGGCTTTGGTATCAGGATGATGCTGGCCTCATAAAATGAGTTAGGGAGGATTCCCTCTTTTTCTGTTGATTGGAATAGTTTCAGAAGGAATGGTACCAGCTCCACCTTATACCTCTGGTAGAATTTGGCTGTGAATCCATCTGGTCCTGGACTTTTTTGGTTGGTAAGCTATTAATTATTGCCTCAATTTCAGAGCCTATTATTGGTCTATTCAGGATTCAACTTCTTCCTGGTTTAGTCTTGGGAGGGTGTATGTGTCGAGGAACTTATCCATTTCTTCTAGATTTTCTAGTTTATTTGCGTAGAGGTGTTTATAGTATTCTCTCATGGTAGTTTGTATTTCTGTGGGATCAGTGGTGATATCCCCTTTATCATTTTTTATTGTGTCTATTTGATTCTTCTCTCTTTTCTTCTTTATTAGTCTTGCTAGTGGTCTATCAATTTTGTTGATCTTTTCAAAAAACCAGCTCCTGGATTCACTGATTTTTTGAAGGGTTTTTTTGTGTCTCTATCTCCTTCAGTTCTTCTCTGATCTTAGTTATTTCTTGCCTTCTGCTAGCTTTTGAATGTGTTTGCTCTTGCTTCTCTAGTTCTTTTAATTGTGATGTTAGGGTGTCAATTTTAGATCTTTCCTGCTTCCTCTTGTGGACATTTAGTGCTATAAATTTCCCTCTAAGCACTGCTTTAAATGTGTCCCAGAGATTCTGGCATGTTGTGTCTTTGTTCTCGTTGGTTTCAAAGAACATCTTTATTTCTGCCTTCATTTCATTATGTACCCAGTAGTCATTCAGGAGCAGGTTGTTCAGTTTCCATGTAGTTGAGCGGTTTTGAGTGAGTTTTTTAATCCTGAGTTCTAGTTTGATTGCACTGTGGTCAGAGAGACAGTTTTTTACAATTTCTGTTCTTTTACATTTGCTGAGGAGTGCTTTACTTCCAACTATGTGGTCAATTTTGGAATAAGTGAGGTGTGGTCTTGAGAAGAATGTATGTTCTGTTGATTTGGGGTGGAGAGTTCTGTAGATGTCTATTAGGTCCGCTTGGTGCAGAGCTGAGTTTAATTCCTAGATATCCTTGTTAACTTTCTGTCTCGTTGATCTGTCTAATGTTGACAGTGGGATGTTAAAGTCTCCCATTATTATTGTGTGGGAGTCTAAGTCTCTTTGTAGGTCTCTAAGGACTTGCTTTATGAATCTGGGTGCTCCTGTATTGGGTGCATATATATTTAGGATAGTTAGCTCTTCTTGTTGAATTGATCCCTTTACCATTATGTAATGGCCTTCTTTGTCTCTTTTGATCTTTGTTGGTTTAAAGTCTGTTTTATTAGAGACTAGGATTGCAACCCCTGCCTTTTTTTGTTTTCCATTCGCTTGGTAGATCTTCCTCCATCCCTTTATTTTGAGCCGAATAGGGCTATGATTTTTATAACATCTGAAACTCTGCTAAAAGACTCCAAAAGCTTATACAGACAACTTATATTTGATGTGTCTGTTATGTAAAAACATTTCTTAAGAAAAAATATTCTGAATACAGGTAAAAGACAGTACCTCTGAAAATGTTGGGGTTGACATATTGTTTCATTTCAATATAAAACAAAATAGATTTGGGAATAGCCTCCATTTAGAATAATTTTCTTTAAGCTTACTGGGTACTTCAATATCTATACTGAGAGTATTTTCTCCATTAACGATATTATGTTCTGCAGAGAAGAAACAAATGAAGGCATAAACAATTTCAAATTCATTAACCATAAATGACAACTGTGAACAAGACTTCAGATAATTTTATGAAAAAATTAAAAATTAGATCATATTTTAAAAAATACATTCTTTAGTAAAATACTACTGTCACAGAATTAGAGACAAATATGGTTAAGAAACTGATTCAAGTACAAGAATATGTATGAAGAATAAATATTCTGCTTGTATTATTTTTTTAAATTTAAAAACATAATGAAATTTTAAATTTGGGCTAATTATAGACACAGATGTATTTATATTTTTAAAAGGATTTCATTTTTGAAAAATGATTTGAATAAAACTATTTTGCAGGTCTGCTAATACAACAAAAAAAAATTTGTTGTTTAATAAATAAGTATTTTAAAAGCATTTTAAAAGATTTTAGTGTTCTCTTTCATTTTCAGAAGTGTTCCAATGTGGTGTTGAATTATAGTCACCCTCACTGTACATAACATATCTGGACATCCCTAAACATAGGCTAAACATAGGCTCATCCTTACTTGTCCTTAGACTCAGAAATTTCATTTAAAGATGAGGCTGCCTCCCATAGGCAGCTGTATTCTTGAAGGCTACACCCTCCACTAACATGGGAGGACTGGAGAAAATCCAAGCTAGGTACCAACCAGACAAAGAAAGAACCCCAGCATGTTCTGCAATAGCCAAACTGATCCTGATAAGGAAGGGAAATTTTCTCCCAAGCAATTGATTCTCTTTGAAAGATTTGAGAAAAGGGTGCTGGGATTTCAAAGAAGAGGGCAACCTGCAGAGCCCACAAAGTAAGGGAAAGAAAGGTCACAAAGAGGACTTTGGATACACAAGAAAATAACAGCTGCATTACTCACAGTAGCAAAGACATGGAATCAACCCAAATGCCCATCAATAATAGACTGGATAAAGAAAATGTGGTATATATACACCACGGAATACTATGCAGCCATAAAAAAGAATGAGATCATGTTCTTTGCAGGGACATGGATGGAGCTGGAAGCTGTTATCCTCAGCAAACTAATGCAGGAACAGAAACCAAACACCACATGTTCTCACTTATAAGTAGGAGCTGAATGATGAGAACACATGGACACATGGGGTGGGTGGGGAACGACACAGGCTGAGGCCTGTCAAGAGGGAGAGCATCAGGAAGAACAGCTAATGGGTGCTGGGCTTAATACCTAGGTGATGGGTTGATCTGTGCAGCAAACCACCATGGCACACGTTTACCTATGTAACAAACCTGCATATCCCGCACATGTACCCTGGAACTGAAAATAGAAGTTGATAAATAAAAATAAATAAATGCTGATAACTTGGAAAAAAAGAGAAAAAGAAAATAACAGCTGCAGTTACATGTATCTAGTGCCACCACACCATGTGCTAAGCACTTGATGGACACATTACATACATATTTTCTCCTCATCCTTTCAACACTTCTACAAGATGGGTGTGTTATCCCCATTTTCCAGATAAAAATCTGAAGCTCACCCAGGTCTGGGAGCTCTTTGCTGCTACACCACCCTGTCTGCCCCGGTAGAGGGCGATGGAGAGCATATACAAAAACAAAAAGAAAACAAAACAAAAAGCATGTAAGTAAAGAAAGGCAAGTAAATCAAGGTTACAACTGGAGAAAACGATTTGTTCTTATAAGCAAGAATGACTAAAGACCTTAACAGACTATGAAAAACCTAGATGTTCAAAATAAATTGGCTTTGGATACACTTGAGAACAGTGGGCTGCCAGAGCCCTTATTAAGTCTACCAGAAACAAAAATGCCCTCTTTTGGGTGAAACATGTGCAGGGAGCCAAAGCTGGATATTAATTACCGAGTGACTTCAACTACCAGCCACCCTCTAGAAGTCCGCTGTGAAGTGGAATGTAAAATAACACAGGTAATCACAGACACAGGTTGCTGGAAATGATGCAAACACATTATTCTCCCCAAATTAAAACACTCTACTCATGTCCAGAGCTTGAAAATTTGTTTCCCAGTAAAGGTCAAGAAAAGCAAACATTGCTTGAATTTAATTATTAAGCCAGCTGTCAGTCACTGGCAGTGACACAAGCAGGAAGACATTTCAAGGCAGGAAATCAGCTGCAGTTAGCATGACAGGGTCCTTGCATCTTTAATCAGGAACTCCTCTGTCAGAATATTTTATTTATCACTGAAAGAATAATGCCAAGTTGGCATCTATTTTATTCCCTTACTGTATCTTTTTTCTTTTTTAAATAGCAAATCTAGCAAACAAGACCTTAGTTTACTAAGATTCGATGGATTTCAGTAGGGCTGATAACTGTATTAATTTGCATTAACTGTCCATATTCTAAAGTAGTGCCCTGAAGCAAGATCGAAACATGAGATACCAATGGCAATTCATTTTGCTTATAAGTTTAGGCATGAGAGTGACTGGTCCAGACAGAAGAACTGGTTCTATCCCCTGAATCCGCCACTACCAACTAGCAGTGGCTTCAAAAATTATAGGGGTGTGTGGGTAGAAACCAAGATTGGTAGATGGGAAGGAAGGGAGTACTTGGATTGATACAGAGTGAATGAGGAAGAGGCCTCAAACATCTGCCATTGCCTCTAGAACAACCACTGCAACTAATTTTTCCTCTGTAACTTTGGTGAATTCACATAAACTCTTGAATCTTTAATTTACCAGTTGCGAAACAGGAATAGGATACTCAAAAAGGAAGTTACTAATAATGGTCTGAAGGTGGTGGTGGCTATGAGTGGTTATGAGTGATTTTTATATTGTTCTTTCTGCTTGTCTGTTTTCTCTGGTTTTTCCAAAATAGAATTTAAAGCATGTTATAAAATTTAAATATTCTATGATTTTTATACATCAAAGTTTCCTTAAGATTGAGTTAAGGACTAGCTACTGATGAATTTTTTGATGAAAAATCCATGTTTACACATGGGTTTATAGTAGAGGAAGGAATTCATCATTGACTCAAATTATAGTCAACATTCGTCTACGGTCAACACTGCTTCTCAATGAATTCTAAAGCTTCTTCCAGCAGGAAAATTAAATGATTATGATATCTTTACTACTTTCTTCCAATACATATTTTCCAGTGACCATGATGGTACAGAAATACCATCAGGGCTTACTGTCTGACACGGGGTTAATGAGCAATATAGAAAAGTTCATCAATTCAGGAAACTACCTAAAGGTCATGATTAATTACATTTTCAATAGCCTTTAATTTTTTTCAGGATAACGATGGTCATAAAGAAAAAATGATTTTTAAATTATATTGAATTAAATTAAAATGATATAACTAAAAACAGAAAACAAAGATGCAAATGTATACTTAATACCAAAGAAAGTCTTATTTTTAAGTTTCTATCTCTCCTTTAGACACATATCAGCATATGTAATGACACATTTCATTAACATGCATGTACAATCTTCATCATTTCCACTTGGAGTTCTTTTTAAGCTTTTTAATAATTTGAGTGCTATTAATGGTTATGATAGAAATGTTTATGCTTCCCATGTATGGATTTATTATTCAGCTGACATGGGCTTGGATTTTGTTGGTTATAGTGTAACTCACTTTCTCTTCTAGAATATTCATTTTCTCAAAGTCACAAGATATACATTTAGTTTAGTAGAACAAATATTTACAGATAATCAGACATGTATATAGCACTGGGCTAGGTATTATGTGAGAAAAAGAGAACACAGCCCATTCCCTCAAGAAAAGTAGACCATCGGTGACACTTCTAACATGACCACTTCTTCCCTATTGAGACAGGGCTGTCAGCTAGAAGTTAGGGAGCCCTGAAGAGCTCTAGATGTCCTTGGTAATACTTCCTCTTCCCTGCCTTCAGGATGCCCCAAGCCTTGGCTGCCCACGGACAAATCCAGGTTGGAAGCTGCAATGAGAGCTCAGTACCCTGTATCACAACTTATCCCAACATGCTGTCACCCGTTTGCTTCAGTCACCACCAGGATCCAAGATGCCAGTTCACTTATTCCTCATCTATTATCTTATACCTGTGTGTTCAACAGGTATACAAATATGACTCAGTTTCTCACTCCTTCACAACCCTAAACTCTTGACCTTTGTAACTCACAGCCTGTCATTTGCAAAATCCCCTAAATGCTCACCTCTTCTCTGAACATTCCCATGATCTAGCCCTACACAATCTGGCTCCTGCCTACTTCTACCAGAGGAAGCCCTCTCCCACCCCTCCTCTCCACCTTGATCCTTCTACCATAAGCACTCTAGTTTTCCTGCTGTTTCTGGAACTCCCCAGGCTCCTTCCTGCCCGTGGCCTTTGTACTTGTCAGCTCCGTTTGGTATACTCTCTTCCTACACCTTCTCCTGGCCACTGCCTTGTTCACTCAGGTCTGTATTCACACATCACTCCTCAGGGAGGCCTTTCCTGACCACGGATCTAAAACAGCCACCACCCCTCACACCTATCGCAAGCTCCCACCCCACCATTCTCTATGCTTTTCCCCTGCTTTATTTCTATAGCACTTATTACACCTATCGTAGTCTCTATTTTGTTGGTGTATTTCCTGTTATCTCATTATACTATAAACTCCATTTGGGAAAGAACGTTGTCTCATTCATCTCTGCATCTTCTATGCCAAGAACAATGTCTGTGGCAGTTCCAGCTGCTCAACAAGTATGTGTTGAATGAATGAGTGAATGAGTATTTCAGAATTTTCAGAATGCCCCAGAAAAAAATTCATGGTTATATAAGTTTTAGAAACAGTAGATATATAAACCCAGTTTTAAAGACTCACAGGACACATTTGCTTATGCAAGGCTATGTCAAGTCTCAAAGCAACAAACCCATTTAATTCCGCATTTCAAAATTAATTTCATCATGGTACCCTTTTTAAGCCTCACCTATAAATATCTATAGAATCAGAATTCCATTTGGGAAAGATTGCTGTTGGCAACTGAAATCTGTTGAGGATACTTTAGAGGAGAATGACATCTCTTGACCTCTGGACAATCCCCTACTTCCTTCCCTTTCTTCCATCTCCAATTTCCTAATTTCTTTTATAGGCCAGAACAGAACCCACTCTCAGGAGTCTGGGCACTGGGAATCTGGGGCTCACTTAAGAGAAAGTCTCTCTGTTGGTGGACACTCAAGAGACTCTGTTACCCAAAGAGCTACACTGAGGTGAGCAATGTGTCACCCAAGCTTATCTCACATGGGTGACAGGAACCTCCAGTACAGCAGTATCCAGCCTTGCCCCAGTTCCAGCCTCCTCCAACATAAAACTCCCTTCCTCATGGTAAGATATGAGGGTTGGAGGCCATTGTTAGGAGAGTGAGGGTAAATCCCCTTGCCTCTTCAACTTGCTACTTTTTACCATTTTTACATGTATCCTGGGAGTTAGGTTTAAAGGCTTAATTAGATTCAGGTTAACATTTTTGGCAAGGGTGGAGTCAGCTCCTTCTTTGGGCGAACTCTGATGGAAGTTATCTGTGATCTGCCCCTCGGTGGGACCTGGCTGCACTCTCTTTTCCACGTCACCTCCATTGAGTATCAGGTCTGACTTGGGCTCAGAAGCTGAGTCTGGTGGCCTCATGTATTCATTGCCTGTTACATATAAACTGAAGTTCACAGCATTCTCTGTCTCCTTGGTATGCTGTAGGCATGGGCTACAGTTAATTTTATTTTCTCTTTACCAATTAAAACGATGCTTTCCCCAAATAAAGCATATTATTATTTTAAAATTTATGGACCCTGTGAATTTTACAACTGACTTTCCCCCTTGTTTGGGAAGACTGAGAGCTGGATTTGCTCCTCTATAAACCAGTATATGAGCTATGCTTTTCTGTACATTCTTGTGAATTAACTTCATCCCTGGCTTAAGCTTTCTATTCTGCTTTTGTGTTCAATTCTCCATCTATTTCTTTTTCATCTTGTGTATTTCTGTAAGCTGCCTTGGTTCCTTAATGGAATGAGGCAGGAATGTAAATCCACAGAGCAGCAGAGTGTTTGTAGGCATAGGAAGATGCCGGCATGTGTTGACATACTTATTTGCCTATCTTGCAAAGTTTAATCATCAGAACTGAAGGTCATGAAGCACTGCACCATACTGGGTAATGACATGGCATTTCCATTGGCATTTAATGGTAAATTGCATTGCCTTTCACAGTACTAAAACTGTTGTTGTAGAAGAAAGAAATACTTTGGATTCTGGAAATTAAAGCAAATGGGAGAAATAATGTAAACCACCTTATCTATTGGAGGCCAAAGTTTCAAGCTTGTATTCTGGCTGGAACTCTCAGCCTAGTGCTACCCAAACCCATCTGACTTCCAGTCCTCAATTTGCTCTTCCTGAGAGGGAAGGTGGAATTCTTTAAGAATTGTGATCTTTCCCTGAACGTGTTTTAAAATTGAGGACGATGGAAAAGAAAAAATAAAATGAGTATCAGACACTTTGCAATTAGCTATTTAAGAGAAATACATCTTAAGTAAGGAGGAGCTAACGGAGTCTTTTGTAGCCTACACAGCTCTGAGCTGACTCCCAAGTTCAGCTTCAGGTATTATCAGGCTGTCGACAGGTCAAGAAAGAAGACATGAGAAGAGCTGGCCCCTGCGTATAGAGAACACTAGCCTTGTCTTCCATGCTCACTTGTCTCATCTGCTTGAGAACTTCATTTCTGCCTGTCTTTGGGCTGTTTACCCCATAAAAGCCCAACTTTGCTATTCTGAATCTTGGATCCTTGCCCAAGAGATTAGTTAATGCATTTGTGTACATGGCAGTGTTGAAAAACAAAAGTTGCCAGGCAGCAGAAAGACAACCAACCATCCTCCCACAAACATGACTTTAGATCTTGGTTTGAACAAATCAAGTAGTGTGATGTGGAACAAATTCATACACTAGAAGGAAGTTCCTGGATGGCCTGGATTTCTGTCACCCCAGTGCCTGGAGCAGAGCTTGGCACTAAGTGGGAGCTCAGTAAGTATTTATTTGTTGAACAAATGAGAGGATGCTAGGAGTTACATAGGCCAGTACAACTTCGTAGCATTGGTGTTTAATGGTCACAGATCACAAAGGCACAGATCATGTCCTGTGCTGAAAATGAGTTAACAAATTCAAACAGGCTGGAGCTGAGCTGTCCCCTATTGCCCAGAGCTCCCAAATACCAATTGTTTGCTTTCCTTCCTTTGCAGCATTGGGAGCCATTCAGTGACTTAGAAGACGATGTTAGAGTGTGAGAGGTCACACAAAGATATGAGGCTCCTGAGTGTTCAGCTGACAGCCCCACCCCACTGACCAGGACAAAGGTTGCCCCTCTCTGCTTCTACTGCCCCCTTTTTTTTTTTTTTTTTTGAATCGGGGTCTTGCTCTGTTGCTCAAGATGGAGTGAAGCAGCACAATCTTCTCTGCTCATGGCAACTTCCATCTTTTGGGTTCAAGTGATCCTCCTGTCTCAGCTTCCCAAATAGCTGGGATTAAAGCGGGCACCACCACACCCAGCTAACTTTCGTATTTTTAGTAGAGACGGGATTTCGCCATGTTGGTGAACAGGCTGGTCTTGAACTCCTGACCTCAAGTGATCCACCCGCCTCAGCCTCCCAAAATGCTGGAATTACAGGTGTAAGCCGCTGCACCCAGCCTGCTTCTACCCCATGTTCTGAGAGTTCTGCCTGTGGCTTCTCCTCTGCAAAGTTACCTCCAACCTTGTCTTCAGCCCTGTTTCTCCTGATGGAGCCAGTGTAGGAAGTGGTGGGTAGGCAGTGCGTCCTGCCTCCAGTCCCTGGGAAGGTCCCAGGCCGCTCTGCCTCTTCTGTCCCTCTCATGCTGTAGGAGCTGCCAAGGACAACCTTGAGGAAAGGCAAAGGCGTTCCTCAGCCTGCCAGGCGGTGTGACCTGTGTGGCCCTTGCTCTGCTTCCCAGCTTTGGTGTTGTTATTTCTTTACCTATAATGTGTGTTAAACCTAAAACTCCATTCCCAGCTGCTGCAGTTTAAAGCTATACTTAACTCTCTAATAATAAGCTAATATATGTTGGTGCAACACTTTGCACTCTGTGGTCCAAAGATCTGAAGAACATTTTTTTATTCCCCCCGAAAATGTGAAGAACATTTTTTTTTAGTCAGGATGCATTTACATAGCACCTGTGTAACAAAATAAGACTCATTACTTGGCAAAATGCCAGAATTTCATGTTACAGCGTTGTCAAACTTTTAAAAGACAAACATTAACTTTGCAACATTTCTGTCAGCCTGACTCCTTACTTACTAACTTTTGGAGAAAGGAAAAGAAAGATCATAACAAGCAATGACCAAAATTTGCTTAATTGACACCATAGTGTTCATTACATAGCTTAATCTTAATTTAAACTCTAGTGTAATAACTAAAAGTTGGTTTGTTTCTCCTTATGCTGTATGTAACAGACAGGACTGACTAGCTTAAGGAAAATATGAAGAGCTGCTGGGGTCGTTTGATGAAAGGAAGAGTTGACCAGCCAGAGAACCAGACAGCTCTGAGGCCTCAGCAATGGAGGCCTGGGGACCTGCTCTCCAGAGTGCTGTGGTAGAGAGCGCCTCTGATACGAGGCGCTCCTTGTCCCTGTCCTTATCTACTCAAAAAAAAAAAAAAAAAAACCCTAGAAAAAGCACCCGACTGGCCCTGCTAGCGTAAGGGGTCACCCCAAACCAGTTGCTGAGGTCAGAAGGGTAAGGTCATGTGCCTGGGCCGTGGCCCCTGGAGGCTCTCTTCTGTGCGCCGGCACTGTCCCCAGAGAAGGAATCAGCCAGTGAGGCAGCTCCCCAGGGTCTCCACCAAGGGAAACACAAATGTTCTTCTTTAAAATGAACCAAGTAGGTGGGGTGCGATGGCTCATGCCTGTAATCCCAGTACTTTGGGAGGCCAAGGGGGCAGGATCCCTTAATCCCAGGAGTTTGAGACCAGTCTAGGCAACACAGGGAAACCCCATGTCTACAAAAAAAAAAAAATTTTTTTTTAATTACCTGGACATGGTGGGGCATGCCTGTAGTCCCAGCTGCTTGGGAAGCTGAGGCGGGAGGATTGCTTGAGCCCAGGAATTTGAGACTGCAGTCAATGGTGATTGTACCATTGCCCTCTGGCTTAGGTGACAGAGCCAGACCCTGTCTTAAAAAATAATAATAATTAAATTAAATTAAAAAGAATAAAATGAACCAATGGTGGCTCCTGTTGGTGTAATGTCGTGTTGAGAGATGCAGGGAATGTCATTAACTCGACACTGTCACTCCAACAGGCTTGATCTCACTATTTCGTTAACACTTCTAAGGTGAAGTGCTAATGACTTTTATTGGTTTAGGAGGACAATAGTCAGTGTGCTAGTTTGAAAGAAAAGTTTGGGGAAAACAAACATGTATCCTTCCTTAGGGAATATCTACATAAACATCCAGACTGCTAATTCCAGACAGCTGTTTATTTCACAGGCCAGTAAGCCTGCTAAGTCAAAAAACGGACATCTCCTTAGCAGGAGGCATGTGTTAATATTTAGGTATGGACGACTAATGCCATTTTGAGATGTCAACCATTAATTAAAAATAACAAGTGCTATATCTAAGAATAACAGGCAGATTGATCTGTGGCTATTAATTAGACCTAGCAAGCAACATGATTTTATCTTCTGTCAGTTAGCTCTTAGTAATCAACATTGTCAAAGGAAAGTGACTTTTATCAGCATGGAATTAAGGGTGCTGGGCACACAGTTTGCTTAATCTCAGTTTTGGAACAACAAATTTCTCTTTCAAAATAAAAGAGATGAATTACAATGATATACTTTCCTTAAGCTAGCACTAACACAATTAGGAAGATTCTGGTCCTCCCACTTAAGCACTGAGGTAAGGGGGGCAGAGGTTGTCTGGAGTCCTAATTAGCTCATGTTCTTCAACCCACATTTCTTATCCAGTGATGAGAACCATGGGGAGAAAGCCTCCTGGCTTCTTACCTTTTGGTGCTCTACTAACAGAAGAGAAACAATCCTGAGTGTTCACCTGCTGACCTAATGATGCCAACAGTGAAGAGTCCAAGCACCAAGATATCAAGGAGAACTGAATCATGCAATGTTTATGGTGAATGCTGAATATCACAGAATGTCAGGAGTTGTCCAGAAGAGGGTGGGAAGATGAAGAGTGAAGATGCGGGAAATTATTTGCTGAAAAAAAGTTTGATATAATTCATTTGTAATTCCCAATGTTTGGTACTATCCTACGAGTAGAAACGTGAATACTTTCCATTTCCTCTGTGGCTATTAATCTGTTCACCCTTTTTAATGTCTTATAAAGTACACTTTGGAAAGTTATTTTTTTTAGAAAGTCATACATTCATCTACATTTACAAATTGACATGAAGTTGTACATACTCTCTTACAAAATTTTAAAATATCCATATTTGTAGTTCTAACCCTTTTTATTTTTAATGTTTGTCTTTTTTTTTTTTTTTTTTTGCTAAGAGTTGTCTCTATTTTTTCTCTTATTGATCAAGTCTGTTGGGTTTTCCTTTTTTAGTCTTTTATCTAAAGATTTTACTAATTCTATCCTATCCTTGGCTAATTCGGATGCTCTGCTTTTGTCTAGCTCTAAAATACTTAGTTGATTTATTATTAATCTTTTTTCTTATACATGTAAGACAATATTATTTTTCTTCAAATATATTACTTGCTACATAATAGTAACATAATACTCTAATTGTTGCTTATTTTTAAACAGCTTACAAGTTCAACCTGATGCCTTTTTTTCCAGAGATATGATTTTAATCTACTCAGAAGGATGGATTAAAATATCACATCCATTAGATTTATTTTTCCTGTCCTTTGGTTGTTCGTTTCTAATTTCATTACACCATAGGAGGTTTCCACTGTGGGCTCCACAGACAAAATGAAACCCATGGCACAAACAAGGAAGTTTCCTGACAGTGTAGTTAGCACCAATGTGAGCCGCTAAACTCACAGCTAATGAAGGTTAAAATCTCAAGAATAATCTGTGTCACTGATGGAATTACTGTGTGTATAATTTTATGGTTTCAAAGAATATTGGCTACTTCTATTCTTGACTTTCCATCTTTTATGCTTTATGAAAAATGAAAGTCGCACAGATTAATCCCAAACTTCAGAATGATTAATTTTCTTTTGAGGCGTCACAAACTCTGCTTGCTTTTCATTGTTGGGCCTGGACTGAACTCCTCATTAGAGATATATAGAAGTGGGCTTATACTGCTTGCTTTCCAAAGCTGTCCTTCAACAGCATCTTATCCATGAACCAGAAAGCTGTGTGTGTGTGTGTGTGTGTGTGTGTGTGTGTGTGTGTATTTTAATACTAATACTAGTGCCCCATCTGAGAGATTCTGACCCAGTAGGTCTCTCATGGAACCCAGCACCTATTGTTTTTTAAAGAAATTCACAGGGGATTCTGATGCACAGCTAGGTTAAGGATCACTGTATTAATAAATTTAACTAATACAAAAATGCTAACAGAAGTACAAGTACCCATTCCTTAACTTTCACAACATTGTAATCTCTCTGCAGATTCCTTCTTTCTGACTATAAAACATGCTGTGTGTTCCCACCGTAAAAACAATGCCACACAAAACAAACCTCTACTGATTTTATCATCTCTACACTTCCCTAGAGTGATTGCAATCCATTTATTTCTTCTCAACCATTTCTTCCTGAACACCCTGACATCTTGCTTCTCCCATGCTACTCTTTTGGTCATCATCACTCATGTCCAAAGAGTCATTTATCCATTCAACAAGTATGTATTGAGCACCAGTTATGTTCTAGGCACTGTTCTTAACACTGGAAATTTGGCACTGAAAACAATGGACAAATACCCTTGTCTTGATGAAGTTTACATTCTAGCAAAGTGAGAAAGAAAAACGAACAGAGGTAAATTACACAGTATTCTGAGAAATACATATTATGAAAAAAATAGAGCTAGGTATAAGAGATCAGAAGTGTATATGTGGGGATGGAGTGGAGGAAGCAGAAATGTCAAATAGGGTGACCAAGTAAGGCCTTAGACATTTCCCTCAAGGGGAACAACTCTTGAAGGAGGTGATGGTCTGATCCATGTGATTATCTTGGGAAAGAGCATTCGAGGCAGAATGAACAGCCAGGCCGTAGACCTGAAGTCAGGAACATATGTGAGAAAAAATAAGGAGGCTAATCCAGCTGGATCAGAGAAAGTGAAAAATTGTAGTAGGTGAGGCTGGGGAGATAATAAAGGACATAATAAAGACTCTGGCTTTGGTCTGAGTGAGACTGGAGACCACTGGAGGGTTTGGGACAAGGGTGTAATATGATTTGACTTAAGCTGTAATAGGATTACTCTGACTGCTGTGCTCTGAATAAACTTATAGGAGACCAAAGGTTGGAGCAGGGAGCCCAAGTTGATAGCAGTTGAAGTGCAGAAATATAGTCAGATTCTGGATATATTTTGAAAGTAGAATCAACAAGATTTTGCTGATTGTTGAAGGAAGTGGGACTGAAGAATAAATATTCTTAAGGTTTTGTGGCCTGAGCAAGGGCAAAGAAGTTTCAGAAGGACAATTAGAATTCAGTATTAAACATGTGAAGTTTGAGGTGTTTATCCTACAGTCAAGTGGAAATGTTGGGTAGGCAGTTGGATATATAAAGGCTTGGAGCTTAGGGAAGAGGTCTCTCCTTGAGATACAAATTTAGGAGTTTTCAGCATATGGAAAAGAGCCACAAGATTGCATAAAATCACCATGGAAATGAATGTAGAGAGGAAAAGGAACCTAGGACCAAGGACTCTGCCCTGGAACACTTTAAGTGTTCATGGAAAAAAGAAATACCAAGCAAAGAACACTGGGAGTAAGGTGGGTAGAAAACTCAAGACATTCTAATTTCCTGGAAGTCAAGTGAAGGAAATGTTCCAAGGAGATGGAAGTGACCTTTTGTTTCAAATGTTGAGGAAAGATTGAGAAGGATGAGGGCTGAGAAATGACCATAGGATTCAGGAGAGTGGAAATCACTGATGCACCTGACAAAAGCAGTTTCAGTGGAAAAGGTGGTGGGAAAGGCTTGATTTTGTAACCAAGTTCAGGCTCATCCTACTCATCGCACAACAGCCAATAAGTAGGGAGACAAGGAGTTGGAGCAAGGAAGGCAACTTAATTTTGGAAAGCCAGTAAACCGAGAAGATGGCCGACTAACGTCCTAAAGTACCATCTTAAATCAGAACAAATTTCAGGCTGCTTTTATGTTAAGGGCAAAAGGAAGAGGAGGGGGTTGGGACAAAGAAGTGACCAATGAGTACAAATATGTGGGCACCAGTAAGAGTCCAAGGGCTTTGGGAACTTCTTTGTGCTTGGTCAGGTCACAATGCACCTATAAATCTTTAATAAAACATAATTGTTTACATACTTCCTCAATAATCACAGAATTAGTTTCAAAAACTACATGATTCCTGTTTTCACATTTAATCTCAGTGCTCTGAAATTATCCTAGCCTACGTGTAGCAATGGGTAAAGGTCCCTTAAATGAAAATGGAATTAGTTATGTTAGTTCTTTTGATGTTTTTCTGTTACAATTTTAAGGACTTAAAGGATGGGCACTGGTGACAGCAAGTATAGACAACACTTTTGACGAATTTTCCTGTTAAGGGGAGAAGATAAATAGGGTAGTAAAGCTGTTGCAGGGAGTGAATTAAGGAAAGTTTTTTTGTCTCTCTTTAAGATGGAAGAAATATTATTAAGTTTACATGGTGATGGGAATGAATCAGTACATAGGAAAAAACTGATGAGATGGGAGAGGGGGAGGAATTACCAGTGTAATGTCCTTAAGCACGTAAGAGATGCCTGGATCTAGGGAAATGATTTTAAATAAAATAATAAACAATTTATCTATAATACCGGGGGAGAAGATAAAGAATTTGAGAATAGCTGGTAGGTGGGTAGATGCAGGTGAGAGTTTGTAAAAGTTCTCATTGAATAGCTTCAATTATCTCAGTGAAGTAGGAAGCTAAATCTAATCTCAGTTCTTAGGTGTGTAACCATTCTATAGCAACTGACAATATTAACTACTTCTTCCTTCTTAATATTCATTCTACTTTCAGCTCCCGTGACACAGAAAGTTCCTAACATTCCTCTTCTTCTAATTCCTCTGAAGAATCTTTTTATCTATCTTCCTATCCCTTAAATTATGACACTAAATATCTTGTCCTCAACTCTCTTTTACCACTTACTCCTTTGGTGACTGTGGTAGACATTACTAGTGTTCACTCTGTTTCTCATCTTTTCTGGACACCCATAAGACTGTACTTCCCAAGCCCCTTCTAGTGGTTAAAGCCATGTAATTACTTCTGGCCAATGAGCTGCAAACAGGAGTGATGTCACTTCAGCCTGAAGCCTTTAATTACACTATAACCCTCTACTTTCTGTATTCCCTTGCAGTCATGATTAAGAAGGTCTCACGATCCAGATGATACAACTGCAAGAAGGCAGAGACTGTAAAATGCTGGAATGCTGAGTTGCTACATGGAAGACAGTGCCCTAGAGGGTCACCCAACACAGAAAATCTTGGCATAAGAAAATGTTCCTTGTGTTAAGACACTGAGATTTTGGGGTTATCCTAGCATAACTAGTCTAACTGAATGGCACAGTGACCTACTGGAGTGGTTCTCAAAATTTTCAGCCTCAGGAGTCTTTTCACTCTTAAAAATTACTGAGAAACCCAAAAAGCTTTTGTTTATGAGGGTCGTATTTGTAGACAGTTACCATACTGGAGATTATAATTGAGAAATTTTTAAAATATTTAGTAATTCACTTAAAAAGAAGAGTAAACCCATTACACACTGATACATGTATTTTATAAAAAATAATTATATATTTTAAAGAATTTAGTCAGATGAATGGCATTGTTTTACATTTTTGCAAATCTCTTTAATGTCTGTCTTCTCTAGAAGACAGGTAGATTCCTGTATCTGCTCTCCTATGTTGTTTTGCTTAAAGTACATGGAGCAAACCAGGCCTTACACAGATATGTAGTTGAAAAGGAAGGAGTATTTTAATAGGCTTTTCAGGTAATGGTGGATATTCTTCTTGATGTCACAAAAATAGACAAATTGCAGTTTCTGGAAGATTAGTTGAAATATGGAATCTGAAACCATATTAATGAACTTAACAGACTCTGTTACATTAAGTCCATTGCTTCATCTTACACTTTGACTGGATCTCTTACCCATGCCTGGTTTTATAACATCATACACTGGTTATGTGGAAAATGTTGGCTTACTAAGTTTTGCAGCTCTTCCAAATATTGATACATTTTATTATATCATATCACCTACAATATCATCAGAATAGTTTTTAGAGTTTTGAAAAGCTATCAAGCTAATGGTGATGAATCCAAGTTCTTCCAAAATTCTGATTTTTGCTTAAAAGCTCAAATTTCAGCATTACAGCAAATACTGTTGGTTGTTTTCCTTGAAAACAGGGCTCATTTAGTTCATGTTTGATAAAACATCTGCCAAATACTGAAGTTTGAATAATCATAATATGTCTGCCAGTCATTCTTTCAAGTAAAAATTTTGTTCCATAAAAAAATCTGTTAGTTCATCCTGCAACTCAATCACACCAAGATTTTCTCATGACTGAGACTGTATATACTTCAGTATACAGCCAGAGGGGTATTTCTGTTACACTCTAGCTTCTCCTTCTCTGACTGGTCCCATTCTATCCACTATGTTATTTGAATGCTTGCCTCATTGCCTTTGTAAAATCTTTTACTGTAGATACCATTTCTTTTTCTTTTTTGTATCTTTCATGGTATTTAGTAGTCACTGTCACTGAATGAATAAATATCCTATTGTCCAGAATAGAGAGTAAGCACATTGAAAATAGGGACTCTATGTTATTCTTTGAATTGCTGACACCTAAGACAGTATCTTGGGCACAACAGAGTATAAATGTGGTTGTTTATGATGATAAAGTTTATTATGTACATTATATTAGGGTGGCCAATAATAATCTCAATCATAATTATTCCTTATCACTTTACTTTCAGTACATATTGTAGAGGTGAAGCTTTGTAGGCTAGGTTTGTAGATTGGCAGGAAAAGATCCCCCTCCCCCACATGCACACACCATTATGGACTCCTGGCCAACAAAGAGACTGAATGGGAATGAGGTGGTCTCACAGAGCAGGGCTGGATGCAGCGTGCTGGTGGACAGTTTCCCCCTCAGTGAGGTGTGCTGGTGACACTGAACAATTAGTTGTAAGAAACTACCCATTTACTCTCAGCTTTACATCAACATTCTGGAGTAATTATGCTCACAATCTATCTGCTTTCATTACAATGAATGTTTAGGATCCTCTAGTTCTAGAAACTCAGTATCAATAGGGCCATCCTCAACCAGGGGAAAACACCAAAGTCAGTGTTCAAGTGTCCCCCAAAACTCTTCAGGTCTCCAGTTTCCCAGGGTCCTAGAAAACCCATCCCCCCTCAAAAGTTTAGCCAGAAAATATTTGCTTTTAAAATTAGGCACATAGGTGAGAAATGTATATATGATAATTTTTACCATGACAGAGGAGGCTGGGATATAGTTTCAGTTCCAGGAACACCATGACAGGGAGAATTGGCTCTTATCCACTGTATAGAACAGCAATTAATTTAAAAAATCAAGCTTTGTTAATGGTGCTCTTGAGACCACTGACAGCCTAATGTTACCGGTTTTCCCTCTGTTTTGGAAAACACAGATCTAAACACAGTCCAATTACACTTTCATTTTCATTACACTTCAGTCAATTAAGCTATACATTTATTTATACAATAGTTATACTCAAAAGTGTCTTCAGGATGATTATGAAAGTTGCATTAAAACTGTATCGTTAAAAGCAGCTACCATGAACTATTACATTACTACGAAGAATATCCTTTGATATTAAATATTTTTTTCCTTCTAAAAGACTGGTATTACCCTTTGCATTACTTTTTTGTGACAGATTTATTGAAATATATAGTTCACGTGCAATGAAATCTACCCTTTGAAAGTGTACAATGCATTGTTTGTAATATATTTACAGAGTTGTGCAACCATCACTGCCATCTAATCTTAGAACATTTTTATCACTCAAAAGGAAATCCTATACTCATTAGCAGTCACTCCCCATTCTTCCTCCCCAAGTCCCTGGCAACCACAAATTTGCTTTCTGTCTTTATGGATTTGCCTGTTTTGGAAATTTCATATAAATGAGTTCATACAGTATGTGGCCTTTTGTGTCTGGCTTCTTTTACTTGCCTTCAAGGTTCATCTATCTTGTAGCATGTATCAGTACTTTATTCCTTTTTATGACCAAATAATATTCCATTGCACAGATATACCACGTTTTGCTTATCCATTCACCCAGTTGATAGTTGATAGACTTTGGGTGTTTATACTTTTTGGCTGTTAAGAATAATGCTTCTATTGACATTGTGTACAGTTTTTATGTGGAAATGTTTTCAATTCCTCTGGGTATATACCTAGGAGTAGATTATGTAACACTTCAAGGATTAAGTTAGTGGCAGGGATGAGAATAAGTTAAATATTACATTCGTAGATTTGTTATACTACCAAGGCTAAAGGGACATTATAAGGGGAAAAATAGTTCCCAAATAACAATAAGAGATAAAAATCAGAATAATAGGTTATAGTCTAGAGAAATGTTTATCTTATTCTTGTTCCAGTTTAAGTAAATATTAAATATTGTATAATTACTGGGAGATATATTTTAAAGCAATGAGAAAATATTATTATAAATATGTTTTGATCTTTTAAGATATAAATTTTTAGGTTCCTTTAGAGTAGAAAATAATAGCATTTAACAAAGATTCTTTTGGCTTAGTGATTTATGATTTCAATAAATATCTCCTGCTCTGTGTACACAACCCAACTGTTATTAAAGATTCTAAACTACATTTTAACAATTCAAAGTCACGTAATATGAAGAGCATTATAGGGCTTAAAGTAGTTTTAGAACAGAAATACAGAAAGATACTTTGTAAAACTGGAGAATAAGTGGTTTCTTCTTGATATGGGAGGCCAGAATCTTGAACTTTCAACTGGCAAACAACTTGCTACTTTCATCTGAGGTCAAAAAAACTAAGGCAAAACTAATGCCATTTGAGAAAGTTATGTCGTTTCTCTATTCTTAATATAAAGACAGCACACTGAGAGTTAAAATAATCAGCTAGGACTTTAGTTTGAAAAAAAAGGTCAAGTTTTTTGAGTTTTTTTACTTTTAAATTCAAACATACAGTAAATTGCAGATGTGGAACACAAAATAACATTCCCTACATGGTGAACATTTCTCTTCTACAGCCTAGTTGAATCTATTTTCAGTACCCATTTGGAACCAATCTTCCCAAGTTTTGAAGGATAAAAGTAGTAAGTGAAATTGCAAAGCTCACATCTAAGGTACTAGAAAAAAAACGCCATTATGTAATGGCTGCATTTTTTAAAGCCTGGTTCTGCTTACAGAATTACTTCAGTAACAATGAAAAGAGGCATGTTTTCATGTACTTTGCCTGGTTATACTTGCAGAGTACTCCATAATCTTTGGAAAAAAATTTAAAAAGACCAAAGTTTTATGCAACCTATGGCTTTTACTTTTTATTACCAATATACAAAGTACATAAAAAATATCCATTTTTACTCTACCTTCTCTGTCTTCCTATTTCCAGATGCTTTAAGTAGGAAAGAAAAGGCAAGGCAACAAAAAATTCCATCTATTATACTGAAGGCTGACGTTTCAATGTCTCATTTGTAAAGAGTCAGTAGTAAAAGTCATTAACTATCAAAAGAAGGAAAATAACTGTCACTTAAGTACCTCCTTAGTTCATAAATGTTTTCCCACAAAGAAAAAGTAAATGTAAGGCAGATATGACTACAGAAGTTAGTTACTATTTTCTTTTCATAAACCTTTTTGCTTCTTTCAAAAGCTCTTCCACATCTTCCTTCTCTTCATCTTCCTTTCCTGGTTCCCAGTCAGAATCTTCATCTGTTGGCTCATAGTCTTCTTCCTCATCATCTAGAAAGCTGTCGTTCAGGTCATACTCATTGGGTTGCCCAACATTATCATTATCTTCATCTAAAACATTTCTCACTGCAAAACAGAAGATTGGTACACAACACATCAATCACCACTCAACCTGGGATGACAGACATCTACCTATAAAATGTCTTTCTGCATCCAGAGGATTAATTTTATTAATGCATAGCTTACCACTACAAATTTCTGGAAACGGCACTAAAATGATGCTTTGTTATTTATTATTCTAACTTTTCCTACCATGAGGCTCCTGAAACTAAAATGACCCATGAGATTAATAATAATGGTTCCTTAATCTCATAATCATATTCACAACATCCCATCTTCCCATGTGGTAGAATGTATTTTTGTCCCAATTATTCACTGCCCCTTCCTGTGATATGATTATACTTCCTCACTTCTCAGTGATTGCTCAAAGAAATGTGAGTGGAAATAGTGTGTGTCACTTCCAAAAGGATGCTTTAAGACTCTTTCTCTGGTTCTGCTATTGCCATTTCCCCTCTGCCACAAGAACAGCATGTCCCAGATAGAGGCTGATCCCTCAGCCTGGATTCCAAGATGAGAATACACATGGCACAGGGCCACAGCCAATTCACAGCTGCAATAAGGAGAAATACACTTAAATAAGTGTATTTATTGTTATAAGGCACTGAAATTTAGAAATGTTTGTTATCACAGCAAACCTAGCAAAAGCTTGCTGACACATCAGGGCGTGAGCTTAGATACTTTGGAAAGTTTAGTTTTATAGGTCTAAGATATTCTTACAGTTCATGTTTCAGTAAGACTAGGAATGCCATAATAATAGACATTAGAATTTACAGATTTCTAAGTAATATTATAATACTAGAATTCTTCTGTCTCCAAATTCATTTCTTCCCCGATCTTACTCTTTCCACAGCGAGCTACAGAGTTGCTTTAAAATAAAGCAGTGAAAGACTCTAGGACAGTGTGGAACATTTAAGAAACAATTAGGAAGATTTCATCTAGAAATCTGAATGGCAGAGGACAGTCCCTAATGAACAGCAAATGTATAGGTTAAAAACATTAATGTCTGTACTTTAGTATACACTTTGGTTAACATCTTTCTAAAATGTTCACATGCAACATATAGTTATAATTTTAAAAATAAAGTCAATGAATTGGGAAAAATGAGAAAAATGACAAAGGAAGTAATGTATCTGTCCTTTTAACCCTTATAGCCCAATATATTTATATTTTTCTTAATATCAGTACGCATTCCAGAAAGGATTTGAGACAGCTTATAATAATAAAATGCTAATAAAGGTAGAAACCAAAAACATAAAAAGCAGAATACACATATGATAACCTCAATTTTTAACACAATTATTAAAAATAGAGCATCAAATTTATCCCCAAGATTCTTGGTAGCCAAGGCTAAAAAGGCAATATAATAACTTGCCCAATTATCATTATAGTAGGAAGCTCACCAGTTCCTTAAGGAAAATCTTGCATTACATATATCTGTATATACAGCTCCTGTAAACATCTTGAGGGCATGTTTTATGTCTAATCTCAGTTACCCATATTTTTAAAATAATAAAATGCATTTTTTAAAAATTGGAAGGCAGTTTGCAGTCGGGAAAGGGAATGAGAAGGAAAGAACATCAATATCTCTATTTTTGTCTATTTTCCTCTTGGAAATACCTTATACACATAACTTTTTTTTCTAAGATGTGAATGCACATTATCACATAACATGTCCTAATGATATCTCAATAAACAGTTTCCTTTCAGATTCAGAAATCACTTACCAGCTTTACAAGAAAAACAGATATAAAGGTGAAACAACTCCAGGTTCTCTGCTCACTTCATTGGCTGCTCCTTCTCAGTTTTCTTTGCTGGATTTTCCTCATCATCCTAATCTCTAAATTTTAGAGCTGGAACCTCTTCTCTAACTCACTCCTTAGATGATTCCATCCAGTCTTATGTCCTAAATTCCCAAATTCACATCTTAAGCCCTGACCTACTGCCCTGAATTCCAGACTCATTTATCTGGATACTTAAGCATTATCTGTACTTGGATGACTTACAGGCACCTGGAATATAACATTTCCAGAACATAACTCTTTAGTTGCTTTACCCAGATCTGGTCATTCTATTTATCAGTCTTGAATATATGACTTCTCTAATCATCCAACCATCTAGTTGTTTTAGCAAGAAATCTTGTAGTCATCCTTTAATATCCCTCACCGAGAACCCAACATCTAATACCTCAAGAGATCCTGTTAGCTTTACCTGCAAAGTAAATCCACCACTTCTGATCACATCCACTCTAATGCCCTGGCCCCAATACTATCATTTTCTTCCTGAATACAATATCCTCCTAACTGGCTCTCTTGCTTCCATTCTAGTCTATTCTTCACAAAAAAAAGTCAGAAAACCTTCCAATAGCTTTCTGTCTCACTCTAAATAAAATCTAAAGTCTTTATTTACAGGTCTCAGCTTTGAAGACTCTACTCAACTAGCCCACTGGTAGTTTTCTGATCTCATCCTATGCCATTCTGTTTACTCACACTGTTCCAATTCTATTTGCTCTTTGCTATTCCTAGAACAGTCCAAGCATGGTCATCACCAGGGATTTTAAATTCATGATTCCCAACGCCTGGCATATTCTTCCTTAGATAATCACCTGGCTTGCTCCCTCCTCCAAGCTTTGGCTCCAATGTCAAATTATCAGAGTGCTTCTTTTACCATCCTGACATGGCATTCCCCATACCATGTACACACCCTTGCTATTCTGTCCTCCTACACAGCTTATTTTTCTTCTAATTATCAACACATGACAACAAATAATTGCTTGTGTGTCCACTGCCCATCTGTGTACAATTCTGCAAGAGCAGGGCTTTGTTTCTACTGTGTCCTTAGCTCAGACAACAGCGCTTAACATGTGGGAGCACTTAATAAATATATTTGTTGAATATATCAATGAATGAATAAATGAACCATTTGCAAATCAACTACTGAACATCTTTAGTTTTACAGAAACTCTTATTTTAGCCTACACTTTTGATCACTAGCCTGCCAGTCAATATAATGAATTACATAAAAGACTTTAATTCTGCTAAATGAAGCCTCAGTGAACCCTGGAAATATTTAGCAACTTATTAAGAAGCCTCATTTGTTGAGGCAGTAAGACCACATTAATCGGAAGAATTTTGTTTGTTTACTCAGAAAAAAGTTTATATCTGTCATCACTTACATTTTATGTTTACCTTTACACATTCATGTTCTTCTTACAGGAAGTCCAGAATCTAACAAAACCATCTGTAACAGAATTCAACGTGGCTAGTAGCCAAATGTAATCCACCTTAACTCACATGAACAGGTACTTTTATACTTTAAGTGAAAACACTTGAAGAGCCAAGTCATGACATGAGCACAAAGTCAGCTCTAGAATTCAGCTCTGTGTCCTGTTAGTGGTGTCACACAGATCCTTCATAACAGGGTTATAAATGCTGACATGTGATTATCTTTGTGGGACCAATTATTTAATAGATTATACTGTGGAAAATTCAATTAATAACTTTAAATGTTATATAAAACAAATGCTACCTAGATGACTTTCCTTTTTAAAAAATTGCTAGTAGAGTCTGAAGGTGTTTTTAGAGAAATATCCAATTCTGCCTTTCAGTGTAACTGGGCCAAAAAAAAAAATTAAACTTTACTTACCTGGAAAATACTCTGAATACTGATTTTTACAATAACACACGTATTCTCATTACAATATTCCCAAGTAAATTTATCTTAGAAAGCTTCCTTTTTTTTTTTTTTTAATTTGGGTTAACACTTCTAAGTCCAGGTAAACTTGAAAGAAATAAGTCTTTTCTCTATTTTTGCCTAGAATGCTTATAAATTTCTTCCTGCTAGTTACTGCTGCTCTCATTTGATTGTCTATGAGAACCTGAAGTTGTTCCGGCTTTTTATCTGTTTTTATTGTAAAGCTGTTAAGTGATTTCTGAATCTGAAAGGAAACTGTCTTATTGAGATATCATTAGGACATGTTATGTGATAATGTGCATTCACATCTTACCCAACAAAAAGACTCTTTAAAATAGCACAGTTTAAGAGAAAGAGGACTAGACCAGGGGTTAGAAGTCCAACTATCTGTGTTATAAATGAACTCATGACAATGAACAAGTCACTTAACCTAATGGAAATTACTTTTTTTTTTTTTTTTTTTGAGACAAGGTCTCGCTTTGTTGCCCAGGCTGGAGTGCAATGGCACAATCTCGGCTCACTGCAACCTCTGTCTCCCGGGTTCAAACGATTCTCCTGCCTCAGCCTCCTGAGTAGCTGGGATTACAGGCCCCCGCCACCACGCCCAGCTACTTTTTGTATTTTTAGTAGAGATGGGGTTCCACCATTTTGGTCAGGCTGGTCTTGAACTCCTGACCTCAGGTGATCCACCCGCCTCGGCCCCCCAAAGTGCTAGGATTACAGGTGTGAGCCACTGTGCCTGGCCGGAAATTACTTTTTAAACTACACATCAAACATTAAATGATCACAAAGATATTTCTAACTCCAGAGTTCTAATTTTAAGGCCACAACAGGAACCTTTATTTTCTCTACAAATCAGTGAAGTAAAATGAAATGTGGACAGGGATTGACAGCTTGACTACTTGAAGCCAGCACTGGAGAAATAAGCTGTCACTGGTTTGTAAACCCTGATGGGTAATGCTGATCTACCATGGTGATGAAAAATAACTTTTAGAAAAAATAATAAACTCTTTAACATGTTTAAAACAACATATTATTTACTATATGGGATTAGAATGTGGTAATTTCTGATTTTTTTATATATGCAGAGGAATTTGTAATATGAGAATGACAATTCTAAATGTTTTTCTGATATTTCTTTTACAATTTAAAATTTCACTGTTAGTTCTTATCCCAAGAACTAAGTCTTCAAACTACTGCAGAGTATACTGTGTGACATACATGCCAGAAGAAATGTTGATTTTGCATGGAGAAAAATCTTTTCAAATTGCAGTGTTTTGTTTTGTTTTGTTTTGTTGAGACAGAGTGTTGCTCTGTTGCCCAGGGTAGAGTGCAGTGACACAATCACGGCTCACTGCATTTTTGACATCCTGGGCTCAAGTGATACTCCCACCTCAGTCTCCCAAGTAGCTGGGAACAGAGGTGTGCCCATCACCACAACTGGTTAATTTTTTTTATTTTTTGTAGAGATGTGGTCTCACTCTGTTGCCCAGGCTGGTCATGAACTCCTGGGCTCAAGCGATCCTCCTGCCTTGGCCTCCCAGAGTGCTGGGATTATAGGCATGAGCCACCACACCCAGCCAAACTGCAGATTTTTACCAAAGTTTTTTGGTGTTACATCTAAGATGACAGGTGCTTCACAGCAGATTAATAGCTTAACATTGATAATTCTTCATGTTTTCTTTTCTTTTACTTTCTATTAAATCTTAGGACTAATTAGGATGTTAATTTTTATTAAGTAAATAAATATTTTGCCTCAATATTCCTAAAGATGAAAATTTACTATATCTACAAGAACAAACATTTTTAATAACGCTTCATTTTACTATTAAAGAGTAATTTTTTTAAATGCACTAAGCAACTAGTTGGTATTCATATTTTATTTTGTATATTTCTGATCTACTTTATTATATATAAAGTTCATTTCTTTTTATAATTCCATTGCATCAGGCTTTCTCATATTCCATATTCTCTTAGCTTTCCACACATTAAGCAGCAGTTTATAGAATTTCATGTAAATCCCACTAAGCCTCCTTAATAGTTTTCTTTCTGGATCTTTTAGTTTCAACTTCTGAATAAAAAAGTATATATAAGCACATACATGTATACAATTGTAGAAATAGAGAAACCTTAAAGTAGCTATCAGTGGAACATTCTAAATTTTCACAAATGGTATCAATCACCTAGAATAATACATATCACATAATAATAGAGGCCAGAAAGGAGGACCCCAATAATTAGATAAAATATTGATGATAATTTCCTTTAAATGTTGTCAACAGGTGAGGCAGCTAAAAAAGAATAAAATTCTTCAGAATTGGGAAAAACTACTTTAAAGTTCATATGGAACAAAAAAGAGCCTGCATTGCCAAGTCAATCCTAAGCCAAAAGAACAAAGCTGGAGGCATCACGCTACCTGACTTCAAACTATACTACAAGGCTACAGTAACCTAAACAGCATGGTACTGGTACCAAAACAGAGATATACATCAATGGAACAGAAGAGCCCTCAGAAATAACACCACACATCTACAACTATCTGATCTTTGACAAACCTGAGAAAAACAAGAAATGGGGAAAGGATTCCCTATTTAATAAATGGTGCTGGGAAAACTGGCTAGCCATATGTAGAAAGCTGAAACTGGATCCCTTCCTTACACCTTATACAAAAATTAATTCAAGATGGATTAAAGACTTAAATGTTAGACCTAAAACCATAAAAACCCTAGAAGAAAACCTAGGCAATACCATTCAGGACATAGGCATAAGCAAGGACTTCATGTCTAAAACACCAAAAGCAATGGCAACAAAAGCCAAAATTGACAAATGGGATCTAATTAAACTAAAGAGCTTCTGCACAGCAAAAGAAACTACCATCAGAGTGAACAGGCAACCTACAGAATTGGAAAAAATTTTTGCAATCTACTCACCTGACAAAGGGCTAATATCCAGAATCTACAAAGAACTCAAACAAATTTACAAGAAAAAAAAACAACCCCATCAAAAAGGGGGTGAAGGATATGAACAGACACTTCTCAAAAGAAGACATTTATGCAGCCAACAGACACATGAAAAAATGCTCATCATCACTGGCCATCAGAGAAATGTAAATCAAAACCACAATGAGATACCATCTCACACCAGTTAGAATGGCAATCATAAAAAAGTCAGGAAACAACAGGTGCTGGAGAGGATATGGAGAAACAAGAACACTTTTACACTGTTGGTGGGACTGTAAACTAGTTCAACCATTGTGGAAGACAGTGTGGCAATTCCTCAGGGATCTAGAACTAGAAATACCATTTGACCCAGCCATCCCATTACTGGGTATATACCCAAAGGAATATAAATCATGCTGCTATAAAGACACATGCACACGTATATGTTTACTGCGGCACTACTCACAATAGCAAAGACTTGGAACTAACCCAAATGTCCAACAATGATAGACTGGATTAAGAAAATGTGGCACATATACACCGTGGAATACTATGCAGCCATAAAAAAGGATGAGTTCATGTCCTTTGCAGGGACATGGATGAAGCTGGAAACCAACATTCTCAGCAAACTATCGCAAGGACAAAAAACCAAACACCACATGTTCTCACTTATAGGTGGGAACTGAACAATGAGAACACTTGGACATGGGAAGGGGAACATCACACACTGGGGCCTGTTGTGGGGTGGGGGGAGTGGGGGAGGGATAGCATTAGGAGATATACCTAATGTAAATGATGAGGTAATGGATGCAGCACACCAACATGGCACATGTATACATATGTAACAAACCTGCACACTGTGCACATGTACCCTAGAACTTAAAGCATAATAAAAATATATATATATATTAAAAAAAAAAGAATAAAACAAAATCTTCCTGGTACTGGTTACTTTTGCATTCAATAACTTGTGCAAAAATTGTAGCACTCGAAAAAGTGTGGAGACTTAAATAAAATTTTAAACCAATTATATATACAAGAAACTTAACAAATGACAGGAGTCCAACCTACAAGAAACAGAATGCACTATATAAACTGTTACATGTATAGAAGAACCCTATAGATGAAAGTGTTTTAGGGGTATTACAAATCAGAAATTAAAGAGTAAGAATTTAATGTAGTTATTTTAATGTTGGCACTATATTAATAATTGTATTATCTTGTTATATATGTTCTTATGATACCCCCACCTCAAATTCAACATGTTTAAATGAAAGCAAAAACAACAAAACTCCCCAGTTCACCCTATTCTCTATCATGTGTCTTCTCCAGTCTCCTGATAATGTGTACTATAATCCTGAGTCATCCTGACTTCATTTACCTCATCCCCATATCACAGCCAACTGATTAGTTGGTAAATCCTCTTGATTCATCCTTCAAAAATCCCTCTTGTATCCAATCCAACCTCTCCATGTTCATGATGGCCGCCCTAGTTCTAACCCTTTATTCTACCTAACTAATCTCCAGGCTTCCCCTTCTCTAATTCAAACTGTATTCACCAGCTTGATTTTGGTAAAATATTGGCTCATCATTATTTGCCAAAGTGCCCATGTCTTTGGTCTGGCTGTTGAGAGCTTCCATAATCTAGCTTCAATACACCCTTTTAGCATCAGCCACAGTAGCTATAGAGACTTTCCACATCAATTAAAATGATCCACTTGCTAACTCCAACTACAACACTTCTACCTTGATGTCTTTGATTGATCTATTTCTCACTTTGCCTGTGATGTCCTATACCAATCTCCCACACAGCAAAGAAACAAAGGTGACTGAAATCCTACCATCTTAAAGGCCAACTTTTACTTAAAATTCTCATATCAAGTCTACCTGATAATCCCCAGCAGAAAGTACTCCCTCCCTTTCCCTGGAGATTTCAGAGCATCTCACGGCAAGTTGGGAGACCCAGAGCTGGTTCCCATAACCACAATTACGAGCCGGCTCTCATCTCTCTGTAGCTTTGCTCACATGGAAGACATTCAACAAAGGAATATGTGAATGTGTGAGTAAATGAATCAATACATAGCTGAGATTAACATTTGGGGGTACTGTTAAATTTTAATGATTTGGGATACAAGAAAAACAAGTATGTTAGAATTCTGTATTAGATATCTCTAAATCAGAAAAATACAATGATACCTCAACATTTAATATTTGAAATACTCAAAATCCCCAATTTTTAGGTTTTGTAGGGTAAGAGATGTTCTGACTATATTGCCACATAGCAACTTTTGAAAGTACATTAAAAATATGACTAAACCTATAGCCTTAAACTTATTCCTTTAAAATATCTATACTTCTATTAAAAATGCTTTTCAATAAAGTTTTCCTTTAAAAAGTTAATTGTCCTAAAATATGTTCTTCATTCAAAAAATACTTCAATAATTTCAAGAAATTTTTCAACAAAAATTCAGATATTTTTAACTATGCTATATGATGTGTAGTCATAGTTTTTAGATAAATATTTCCTATTTCTATAAAGTTATATAAATGTGTCAAATGCTCTTGCATGGGACAATGCTATAATTTGTCAACAATATATACTTTTAATCAAATACAATTACATTATTTCTAGAAAGGAAGACTTTATTAAACTACCATAACTGCCACACCATGAGATATGACCACAGTAAAGAAAGTATAATATATAACATGTAACCTCCATACTATGTTAGCTCAGATAAAGGGAATATTTTTATGTCTGGAGTACTAAAGCACTAAAGTGTGTTTCAATAAGAAATGTCAAATGGAATTCCCTTACAGTGAAATCATTTACTTTCATCACTTACTTGATTACAAGTCAGCTGTTTGTATGCACATATAAATGCAAGTGAGTGCAGCCTGGATAGTATGCATTTTATTTTCTCATTCTGTGAGCAGAAATATTATGCGCTGAATCAGCCTCTGTATTATATGAATGATATGAAAAAGCCAGATTTTATTAAAGAAGAAAAATACAGTTTAGAAGCATAACAAACAGAAGGTAAAACAGATTGAGGTAAGTAGGACAGAAGGACATTTGATGGTTGCTTCTCTGGTGTCTCTCCCCCTCCTCTCTTCCTCAAAGCTCTAGCTTTTATTGGAGATGGCTATGGTTCTGATGAAGGTGACTCCATTCTGGTTTCAGGAGCGGTACAAACTAATCAGTGGCCATGGTGATTGGATCAAGGTTAAGACTGTGATCTAATCCAGTAATAAAAAGTGAATTTTCTGATTTTTCCTAGGAATCATGAGGGTCAAAGTTGTTTGTATTCCTTACGGGTGATTATCGTCCCAGCTGAATAAGGACACATAAAGTCCCTCGTTGGAAGAGGAGCCAGCCTTAGGATGATAATGACCCCTCTAAAGACAGAATGAAGGAAAAAATTGGGTCTTTGGGGACACTATTGACATTATTAATGAGCCAAAGCAATATAGCTTATCTAAATCCAGCCCTAGCTCTGGACGTTTTAGTTACAGAAGTCAATTATCATTTAGGCCAGTTTGAGATTTTGCTTTCAGGTACTTGCAAACAAAAGAATCCTAAGAGATACAAGGCAAATATATATTGTGGACAATGGGGAAAGCATTTGCTATACAAAAGGGTCACAGTTGTGTTTTTTTTTAATATAAGAAAAATCATTAAAATCAGCAATTCAACAAATTCACAGAAGCAGAGATTTTAAAATATTTTCATAATAACTGGAAACTAGGTTTAATAGGAAAATCATTTAAAGGTTTCATTTTGAATTTTCTGAAGTAAACTTACTTACCTGGAAGCGTATTATGTCTATATTCTATCTTGTGCTGGGGATTCTTCCTGAAAGAAGAATGCAAAAATAAGAGCTAGTCTTCCAATTACTAAAAGTTGATGACTATTTACACTAAACCAGAACACTGACTAACTTACAAATAAACTTAGGACCCAATAGGCCTCTTATGAAAAAGCATTTGTTGTTTAATTACAATATTTCCTGTGTGCCTACTCCATGCCAAGCACATTTCTAGATGCAAAGATAGAGTGATGAAGAAGACAAAGTTCTTACCTCAAGAACTTATACTCTAGAAAGAGGGAAAAGACAAAATATATATTTCCATAATATATCATATTTTTAAACTGTCATGTATCACATATATGCAAATATAAAATAGAATCCAAAACTATGACACAAATATCAAATATGTATTAAGTACATATGTGCCTACAGTATTAAAAAATTCTAAGGCTCTTCTTGAATCTAAAGAAAACAGTATTCTTTCAAAAGAACACCAATCACTTGTTATGAAAAAACACAAAAGTTAATTTTGTTGATAAATTCAGATAACATATTCTGAAGTCAAACAAAAAAAACATATTCTGGAATCAAACAAAAAGTGTTTGAAGATCTATTTTTGATTATACGTACTTATGATCCCTTCTATTATTTTGTTAGTTAAACAAATGTTTGGGTACCCTATATGTACAAGACATTCTCCAAATATCCCAGCAGTAAAATCCAAGGCAACAGATTCATCATGACCAAACTGACTGGTACCCCTTTCTTAGGGAACTGACAAAGCACAGCTGGGGTACACTAACAACAGATATGTGCTGAGGTGACAACTTTCGAATATACCTGTGTCAGGAGTGATTATTTTTACATGACAAATGTTCATTTGTTCATTCAGCAAGTATTGGCTGAATGTTTCACTATATTCCGGCTCTAAGCAGGCAATGAGGATAAAATATTTAACCAGATACACATTCTTGCCCCTAAGGAGACAGAGTCTGGGGGCAGGAGCAAGGTAGACATTAAAGAAGCACTTTCTTCACTGAAAAATAAGAACATCTTCTGTGAAGATAGGAAATACTCCTTATAATATATCTTTTAGGGCACAGGAACTAAGTCAAGCCTTAAATCTTCTCTTTCTCAGGCTAAATAACATTCGTTCTTCATTTTCTTTCTTTTCAATAGGGCAAGTAAGGCAATTTTTAAAAAGTATATAACAGGTAAAATATGACTTTAAATTTTTCTATAAATCCTCCCATTCAACTTTATAATTCCACATCTACTGCAGTGGAGAAAAATGGCCAGTCTCAGGAAGTGGATCTCTAGCCCCGAACCTAGTCTATGAGTCATAGGATGTAAATATGTACTAGGAATGATCTCAGAGCAGATACTTGCCTCCTCCAGGTGACAGATGAGCAATGTGAGCCTAAGGAGATGAAGTTCACCCCCAGGTTTGTGCTTTCCAACTTGGGTAACGAACATATTAAGAAAGACGTCCAGGCAAAATTATGGACTACATTCTTAAAATATCTCTGAAATAATCAGGCGATTAAATTTTCCACTTATAAATTCCTTTATGAGTCTATTGTAAAAAAATGTATCCAACTGCTTTTTCACCATTTAAAAAAGTATAGTGTGTTTAAAATATTTCATAATAAAAATTATACTTTAAAAATATTGCATTTTTTCCTCCGTGCCTTCGATACTATTGTGATATTGGTAAACAAAGTAAAATAATTTCTAACAACATAGAACCATCTGCTTGAAAAATATTTGTCTTCTTGTTTCCAGCACTGCCTACTATATTTGCTCCAAATATTAACTTCTTTTATCTATGTATGTATGTATGTATGTATGTATGTATGTATGTATGTATCTATCTGTCTATCTGTCTATCTAACTATCCATCCATCCATCAATCCATCTGTCTTAGAGACAGGTCTCACTCTGTTATCCAGGCTAGAGTGCAGGGCACAATCATAGCTCACTTCAGCCTCAAACTCCTGAGCTCAGGTGATCCTCCCACCTCAGCCTCTTGAGTACAGCTAGGACTGCAGGTATGGGGTCATTGAGCCCATCCTAATTTCCTGTCCCTCCATCATAATTTGTTGGGCAATAGGAAGTATTATAAATACATAAATTTAAATTACTTGATAAAACCAAGAAAAATAGAGTGTTATTGCTTTTGAGAGCTGTGATAATCATGAAATCTATTTTCCGAGATAGGTTTTAACTAGTGTTACTTTCAAGAGTTTCAACTGATAACCCTGGAATCTTTGTAATGCTATCCAACAGAACTTTTTGTCATGAGGGAAATTTGCTCTGTGTTGTCCAATAAAACCACTAACTGTATGTGACTGTTAAGCACTTGAAATATGGGTAACAAAGCTGAGAAAATGAATTTTAAATTGTATTTAGTTAATTCATATTTAAATGTAAACAGCCACATGTGGCTAGTGGCTATCATATTGGACAACAGTTTTAATTCAAAAACCAAGAAAAGAGTGATCCTCTCTCCTCAGCCAAGATTAATTACAATTAATCCTTCTCAAACCACAGCCAAACACCCTCTTTCTTATGAAGTGACTCTCAAACGAAGTAAACATTCTATAGGTAGAAATGCTATGATTGAAAGTATGAGGTTAGTGACTATAGTCAGAAAGACCCCATTGGAATCCTGACTCAGCCACCTCCCTGCACGCTGTCTGAGCTTCAGTTTTCCCACATGTAAAAGGGAGATAACAACAGAACCCATACTCACAAGAAGCTGTTGTGAGGATTCATGAGATAATGCAAAATAAGTCTTTAATCTAAGGGCTTGGTAGGTGTTAAATAAATAATGTTAGCCTTTGATCCCTTCATTATTAGCTCAAGAAACAGTTACAGAATACTTATTACATGCCAGGCCTTGTGTCAGTGTGACACTCATCCCTAATCTCTCTTCTTTCTGGTAACTTTTCCTACAATGCAAGTATTAAACACAGTGCAAAAGTGTAACTCCACAGTTAATTAAGGTCCTAATTCAACAGCTTTGAAAACTGGAAAAAAGATTCTATACAAGATTGTGTGTTTAGCATAACTAACCCAAATTTGACCTTTTGATGAAAAAGAAATTTAAACTTGAAAATAAAATAAGCTGTACAACTTAGTTGTGATGAAGACAGCTGCAAATGAACAAAGCTATGGTGACGATTTGTGGGAAGATCTTTCCTACTGACCATGCTGGTGCAGGTCACTGACTTAATTAAATTCAGTCTTTATTAAAGTATAATTAGTGCTGGGCATCAGGAACGGAGAAAGATAAAAATGGGGAACATTAATACCAAAGATATTTTTCATCTTTACTTTAGAAAAAATGGTTACTAGTCATTTGAGATTTTCAGTAAATTTTATTTTGAAAAAATTTCATACCTACTTTAAAAAGCAGGCAAGACTAGTACACTGAAATTCCATATATCTTCATCAAGATTTTTCAAGTGTTAACATTCTATATGGGTGTCTTACTGTTATTATCTATCTATAATCATTTGAGATTAAGGCTTTTCCTCCTTCTTTTAATATATGTTTGCTTCGGGTACCAAGCAGTTCTCTTTTCCTGCTTTGCCCTTAACAGTTAAGTAGGATCATTGAAAAGTTGAATATGGTCTTAATTGTTTGCTACTTCAAAAGCTGCTTTAGAAATGCTCAAGTAACTAAATGTCAGGCTTTTTAAATAAAGTACAGTAATGAAACCTAAGGAGTTAGAGACTCAAGTATGGTTTAAGCACCAAATACCGATTAAACAACTGCTGACATCAGTTGTCAGGCTAGAAAGATTAAAAAGGAGAGTAACTTTTTAAGAAGAGAAAGTGAAGACAGAGTATCACAAAGTGGGGGAGTGGGGTTCAACTTAAAAGTTTCAGAAGGTAGTTCCTCATTCTCTATTATCCTGGAAAACATTCCCAGTTGCACTCGCATGCACCATCTGCATCCACCAACCTCACATCCTACTTAGGAAAAGGCAAGTCATTTCAGAATAAATGAGCAAATAACTATGAAAGAAGTGTTACATTTAATTATTCCAAAAAGGAAGAGCAGAAAATGTAATGTGAAATTTTATATTTTAAAAAGGGGAAAAAATGTTAGGTACATGTACAGGTTTTCATCTGCCTTAGAAGGGGAAAGTTGTTTCTTTGAGAATCTTCCATCCTTTCCTAGAACGTGCTCTTTTCATAAAAAGACAGGTAAAATACTGTAATGCAGACCAGAAGAAACTAGCTGAGTTGGTGTTTTTCAACTGGACACTGAACTTCCAACCTAAAGCAAAAGAAATAATATCGATAAAACTTTGCCAGCTATTTCACTGAAAATGAAGGAAAAGAGTATCTATGACAGGCTCAAAAATTTGCTGTTGGGGTATTTATTCTCTTTGATGGTAAACAGAACTCACAGAATAGATGGACTTTAACAAGAAAATGAGCCCAAACAGAAAAGATAGTTTATCACACACAAAATCACACACTCAAAAACAAATTTTAGATATGTTTGGTTTACATAAAAATTTAAATGCTAAATTGAGTCTTCAAAAGCTACATTCTTAAATTATCTTTTCCTTCAAGGTCCTTCATAATCTCAGTGCCAATTATTAGCAGCTCAATCTTTTGTTTCTACTCTAGGGGAGTACTTTGTGATTCTTCCCCATTTTTATGAACTTGTTCATAGCTTTTTTGCCAAGTATATTCTTCTAACTCTATACTACTACCTAAGTTCAAATCATATCGCTTTCATGAAAGTAACTTTAATAATCACTGGGAAATAGCTCCAGAATATATTGTCTATATTTACCACTTGGTACCTACCATGTCATTTCTTGTCCTGTCATCTAAATTTTCAGCACACATACAAACACACACTTGCACATGTATGCATTATCTCTATCATCTGTCAAATCAGCGGCTGGAGGGCATGAGATTTTTCTTAAACTTTTTAATATCTTTCATAGCACCTACAAAAGTATCTCTCTCCAGCTGGTTTTCAATTACATTTTTCACAGATCAGTCCATCTATTAGAATATAATCAACCTTTTTCCTTCAAAAACATGTTTTAAATTAAGCTTACACATAAGTTTTCAAAATGAGTTTTGTATCCTTTGACCAATACCTCTCCAACCCACCCCTCCTTCCAGCCTCTAGTAACCACTATTCTGCTTCTATGAGTGGGAAGTTCTTAGATTCCACATATAAGTGATACCATGTGGTAACTGCCTTTCTGTGCCTGGCATATTTCACTTAACATAATGTTCTCTAGGTTCATCTACCTTATCACAAACGGTATCATTTCCATCTTTTCTAAGGCTGAATTGTATTCCATTGTGTATATATACCACATTTTCTTTACCCCTTCATCCACTGATGGACACTTACATGGATTCCATCATTTGCAACACAAACCAGAAGTTTAAAATTCTCATTGGTTGGAGTACAAAAAACAGTTTCTAATAATTTCTGGACTAAAACTTTCTCGAGTTAATGCTAACACTTATAATTTTTTATTTTTAGTAAACCCTAATCTATAGATTCCAATGATTTTCAGAAATCTACCCTTTGAAAAACAGTTTTTCTGTGGGATATGTTCCAGGGAATGGCTATTCTTATCAGGTTAAAGATACTGTCAATGTGCTGAAATCGCTCTGCACTCACACCTATAAAGTTAATAATCAAAGTACTCATTAAATCTTCTTACACAAACCCAAGACTAAAATATGTCAGAATTTCCTGCCATTAACAACGCACATTACTTCCTCAGGAAACAATGAAAATATGACACTCATATTAATCAGACTCTATTGCAATCAGATTCCTGAGATACAGACTGCTCCGCATTGTAAGACACTTAGCTCTAGTCAATCAATCACTCAGTTCAACCAGAAACACCAAGAGTCCTCCACAAATGCTGAAGATGTAGATGCCACAGTGTCTTGGGCCTGTTCTCATCTGGCAATTTAAACTTTGGATCACTAGCATTATGTTGTGAAAGGGGCTCAGATTTCAAGATCAGGAGAGCTGAGCCTAATTCAAACTCCACTGTTTATTGGTTGTACAAGTTACAGCAACTCCTTTGAACCAACTCTCTTTCCTCATCTGAAAAGGAGGGATAACACTGTCTACCTCACATAAGATTGTTCCAAGGGTTAAAGTAGTGTGTATAAAAATCTGCATGCTATTAAGCATTTTAGAGATATCAGTTATTCAGATAGACATAAAAATCAATTTTACTTTAGGATATTCAACAATGGCTAGAAATCCTATGTGCTGGTAAAAGTCACTGTCAATTAATATTAAATAGCTGAATTTTTCCTTCAATAATATATAAAATTCCTGCTGAATATTTTCCCTGTCATATCTCACACATTTATATAATATTTTCTAACATCTGTCTATGCATATTCCATTTTCGAAAGTCAGTTATTTCATAACAAGGCAAAATACCTTTTGCATGTAACTCTAAGTCAAAGCTAAATGGCAACTCTGTACAACTCTTTGGGGGAATACGAGCATTTGAAATAACTTTCAAGGGCAATGCCAAATTCCACCAGATCTTTTTCCTAACAATGAAGAGGATTACTTAATCAGAGCTCATTCATAAAAGATTTACATCAACCTTTTTCTCAAATGGCATTTTCTGTAACTCAGCCGGTCTCAAAGTCCTTTTTGTTTTTTTCATTGTTAATTATTAACAGTTTGAGATCTAAACATAAAGCTATATAACCATAACCACATCAGATTTTTGTGAGCTGCTGTATTTTAAAATATGTATTTTCAAAAACATTATTCTGATTTTAATGATGTAGGTGCATAAGTAACAAAAAGTTTAGGTAATAGCTTATTTAAATACTGTAAGGAACATAGTAGTTTATAAATTTTTCCATTATGACAAAGTTATAAATCTTTGTAATTATAATAAACCAATGGAAAATTTGACCCTAATATTTCCTGATGATGCTCCTACAAACCATGTTTAAATAGAAATAAATAAAACAGTCCTATTGCCATCCATTTCACTCAAACTGTCTATCAATAAAAATTCACTGAATACCTACTATATGCCAAGCACTGTTCTAGGTTCCAGAGACTCAGTCAGTAGTAAACAAGCAGAGAGTTTCTGCTTTCATGGGGTTTATATGCTGGTGGATAAGACAGTAAACAAATATATATTTATAATTTCAGGAAGTGATTGCCATGAAGAAAAATAAAGAGAAGGATATAGAGAGTGATTGAACATACAGGTAGAGAGGTCAGAGACGGCATTTCTGAGGAGGTATATCACACACATATCTGAAGGAAGAACACTTAAGGAAGAGGAAATAGCAAATGTCTTTATATTTGCTGAGGCCCTGATGTGAAAACAAGCTAGGATATTGGGTAAAACACAAAAACATAATGAAGATTGATACACTTCAAGGGGTATAGTAAAAATGAAAATAGTAGGAAATGAAGTCAGGGAACTTGTAAGCCATGACAGTTTGTTATAGGAAGCCACTGGAAAGTTATGAGTAAGAAGATACCATGAAACGACTTATCTTTAAAGAATTGCTCCAGTTGCTATGAGGAGAATGAACTACATGAGGACAAAAGAGAAAACAGGGATATCGGGAAACTACTGCAGTATTCCAGGCAAGAGAGGATGGTGGTTATGACTGGGGTGGTAGAGGGCAAAGGTAGAGGACCTAAGAAATGAACAGGTTCCTAATATATTTTAAAGGTTGGAATGGCAAGGACTGCTGATAGACTGAATGAATGATGTGAAGGAAAGAGAAGAGTCAAAGGTGCTTCTTGGTGAAGCACCTGAATACTATGTGAATGGTGGAGTCATTTACAGAGGTAAAGAACACTTGGGAAAGAGTTGTTTTCATGATAAAAATCAAGAGTTCTGACTTAGAGGTGGTAAATTTGATCTACCTATTACACAAAGTGGAGGCACTTAAACATATGTATCTGAACCATTAAATTGAATTAGCTCGCCTAAGAAATAAGAACAGAAAGGAAGAGATCTGAGAACTGAGCCCCGTGGCTCTGCAATATTTACAAGTAGGGAAGAAAAAGAGGAGACAGAAAAGAAGGCTAAGGAAGGGTAGCAGGCACATAACTGAGCTGACTTTATGAATATGAAGACACTGCTCTCTGCTCTAGATCTCTCCACAGTGAATCAAGACCCCCCAGAGCACAAGCAATCCACCTCTGTATTTTTCATGTTTTCACAAGAAACTGAAACCCAGGAAAATCAACTAGCTGATGCAAAGTCATGCTACAGAATTAGCATAACCATAACTAGAACCTAAGTCTGCTAATTTAAAAACACTTTATCACTTTGTCATAAAGAAGTACCTAAAGATTAACTAGACACTGGTAGCAACAACAGAATAATAGTTTTTAGTTTTATTTACTTCCAAAGATTTGCTAACTTAACACCATGATTGTAAATGAACCTGAAGAACTGTTTGAAAACCAAACACCATATGTTCTCACTTACAAGTGGGAGCTGAACAATGAGAATACATGGACACACTGGGGGGAACAACACACACTGGGTCCTGTCGGTGGTGAGTGGTCGGGGCGTAGGCAGAGGGAGAGCATCAGGAAGAATAGCTAATGGATGCTGGGCTTAATACCTAGGTGACGGGTTGATCTGTGCAGCAAACCATCATGGCAAATGTTTACCTATGTAACAAACCTGTGCATCCTGCACATGTACCCCAGAAATCAAAATAAAAGCTGAAGAGAAAAAAAACAGAACTGTTTTACATAAGCTCCTAGATCAGTGACTAGAACATTTTAGATGCTCAATATTTACCCAGTGGAGAAATGAACATACTATATTTTTGTCCTATCAAAACAAAATGGTTTATCTTGCATTTTTGAAATTCAATATGTATTTTAAAACCTGAAGCAAAACCATAAATCCCACATTATCAAAAATCTAGGTTTCAAAATTTAGAAGAAAAAGGAAAATGTTTAAATATGGTCTTTATTAAATAAAAAACAAGTAAACCAGCATAAAATAGTAAAAAGTACTCACTTTGTTACCTGATAATTACTACAATTTACTATGTATGCCAAAATAACTCTGAAAATTTTTATATATGTGTAATTAACAGTAAATATAACAAAGAAGAACAAATTTATTATTATGAAAATTAATGCACATTAAATGAAAAACAAAACCACGGAAGACATTCCAGTAAATTTTGTCAAAGCTACATGAATATAATTGATGTTGTTACTGTAATTTCTAAATGAAGTTTAAAAAAATTACAGCGGAGTCTTATGTAAAACTATGTAGCAAGTGATTAATATTTAAGATAGTTTTTTTCCAAGATCATATTCTTATGTACAATTAAAGAACTGTAAGCATGGCAAATGATGATAAGTTACTTTCTATATATGCAGAACCTATAAAAATGGATTAAGGTGCTATCAACTTTGACTATTTTTTTTTTTTTTCAGATGGAGTCTCATTCTATCGCCCAGGCTGGAGTGCAGTGGTGCGATCTCAGCTCCCTGTAACCTCCACCTCCCGGGTTCAAGTGATTCTCCTGCCTAAGCCTCCCTAGTAGCTGGGACTACAGGTTTGCATCACCACACCAACTAATTTTTGTGTTTTTAGTAGAAATGGGGTTTCACCATGTTGGACAGGCTGGTCTTGAACTCCTGACCTCAGGTGATCCACCCACCTCAGCCTCCCACAGTGCTGGGATTACAGGTGTGAGCCACCACGTCCAGCCAACTTTGACTATTCTTAACTACAAATAGATTGATAGCATCACATGACTGATTCTGAAAATCTTAACTACCTGATAACTAGAGGTCTCCTTATGAAGATTTATTTTTGCTTCATGAAATATAATCTGGATTTATACTAAACAACACACATTCTTATTTTTTGTTAAGTGGTTTCTAAAAATCATTATCTTGCAGCTTGAAGTGTACATCTGCAGATATAGTCAGCCCTCATAGCTGGATTCAGCACCTGCAGATTCAACCAACTGCAGACTGAAAATGTAGTTAGGTCTACAATGATTGCATCCTTACTGAACATGTACAGACTTTTGTTTCTTGTCATAGTTCCCTAAACAGTAAAGTACAATAACAATTACATAGTATTTACATTTTATTAGGTATTTTAAGGAATCTAGAGATGATTTAAAGTGCATGGAAGGATGTGTGTAGGATATATGCAAATACTATACTATTGTACATAAGGGACTTGAGCATCCCCAGATTTTGGTATGCCCTGGGGTCCTGGAACCAATCCCCTGCAGATACCAGGGACAGATTGTACTTTCTGTCAATTAAGATAACATTACAACAACTTGGAACACTTTTCAAAAATAAAAGAGGAACTAGCAAAAAATTTTAGATCATATCAGGATCAGCAAATAAAAAATTATTGATTTACTCACCATCACATATATGTCTTGAGAAAATGGAATTGTGCTTGTGGTAAAACATTGTGTTCTGTCACACTACACAGGCCATGTTGCAGATTCAGTATTACACTGAGAGCACTTATAGTTGATAACTGACACACCTCCTAAGGCCTTCCCTCTCAGAAGACATTATAATTTTAAAAAATAGGACACTAGCTTCTGAAAGACATCAAGACACCAACATTTTCATCTGCATGACACATGGTAGCCTAAGGTTTTGTAATCCAAGGCAAGGTACATGATTGTGACTTTACATTCTTACACCAAGTTGGTTGAAAATAGACTCCATTCATATCAGTGTGTTTATATTCTAAGATAAGTGCTTAATTCAACAAGTAAGAACAGGAATACACACTGCATAAAATCCTATTATTCATCAGAGGAACTGAATGAGTCAGAGGGAAGAACAGCAATCACTGGACATTAAGTATCCAATGTTCTAATTCAGACAAGTGCCTTAAACTAATGAAATCCATTAAACTGAGTGAGTCTTCTGATAAACAGCAGTGGACAGCACAAAAAGAATAAATTAGTTGACAGGCAAGATACCTTTTTTTATTAAATTTTTTTTATTTCCATAGGTTATTGGGGAACAGGTGGTATTTGGTTACATGAGTAGGTTCTTTAGTGGTGACTTGTGAGATTTTGGTGCACCCATCACCCGAGCAGCATACACTGCACCCAATTTGTGGTCTTTTATCCCTCACACCCTTCCCACTTTCTCCCCAAGTTCCCAAAGCCCATTGTATCTTTCTTTCTTATGCCTTTGCATCCTCACAGCTTAGCTCCCACATATGAGTGAGAACATACCATGTTTGGTTTTCCATTCCTGAGATACTTCACTTAGAATAATAGTCTCCAATCTCATCCAGGTCACTGTGAGTGCCATTAATTCATTCCTTCTTACAGTTGAGTAGTATTCCATCATACTTTCTTTGCACTGTTTATCCACTCGTTTATTGATGCGCATTTGGGTTGGTTCCATGTTTTTGCCATTGCAAATTGTGCTGCTATAAACATGCGTGTGCAAGTATCTTTTTCATATGACGACTTCATTTCCTCTGGGTAGATACCCAGTAGTGGGATTGCTGGATCAAATGATAGTTCTACTTTTAGTTGTTTAAGGAATCTCCACACTGTTTTCCATAGTGGTTGTATTAGTTTACATTCCCACCAGCAGTGTAGAAGTGTTCCCTGTTCACCACATCCACACCAACATTTATTATTTTTTCATTTTTTGATTATGGCCATTCTTGCAGGCGCAGGGTGGTACTGCATTGTGGTTTTGATTAGTATTTTGATTAGCATTTCCCTGATCATTAGCATTTTAATTAGCATTTCCCTGATCACTAGTGATATTGAGCATTTTTTCATATGTTTGTTGGCCATTTATATATCCTCTTTTGAAAATTGTCTATTCATGTCCTTAGCCTACTTTTTGATTGGATTGCTTGTTTTTTCTTGCTAATTTGTTTGAATTCATTGTAGATTCTGGATATTAGTCCTTTGTCAGATGTACAAATTGTGAAGATTTTCACCCACTCTGTGGGTTGTCTGTTTACTCTGCTGACTGTTGCTTTTGCTGTGTAAAAGCTCTTTAGTTTAATTAAGTCCCAGCTATTTATCTTTGTTATTATTGCACTTGCTTTTAGGTTTTTGGTTATGAAATCCTTGTCTAAGCCAATGTCTAGAAGGGTTTTTCCAGTTTTGTCTTCTATAATTTTTACAGTTTCTGGTCTTAGATTTAAGTCCTTGATCCATCTTGAGTTGATTTTTGTATAAGGTGAGAGATGAGGGTCCAGTTTCATTTTCCTACATGTGGCTTGCCAATTATTCATGCACCATTTGTTGAATAGGGTATCCTTTCCCCACTTTATAAACACAAACATCTTTGTTGAAGATCAGTTGGCTGTAAGTATTAGGGGTTTTTTTCTGGGCTCTCTATTCTGTTCCATTGGTCTATGTGCCTATCTTTATGCCAGTACCATGGTGTTTTGGTGACTATGGCCTTATCGCATAGTTTGAAATCAGGTAATGTGATGCCTCCAGATTTGCTCTTTTTGCTTAGTCTTGTTTTAGTTCCATATGAATTTTAGGATTTTTTTTTCTAAAACCCTAAAGATTCCTCCAGAAAGCTCCTAGAACTGATAAAAGAATTCACCAAAGTTTCCGGATACAAAATCAATGTACACAAATCAGTAGCTCTTCTATACACCAACAGCAATCAAGCTGAGAATCAAATCAAGAACTCAACCCCTATTATAATGGCTGCAAAAAAAAAAAAAACTTAGGAATATACCTAACCAAGGAGGTGGTTTCTTCTACAAGGAAAACTACAAAACACTGCTGAAAGAAATCATAGACGACACAAACAAATGGAAACACATCCCACGTTCATGGATAGGTAGAATCAATATTGTAAAAATGATCACACTGTCAAAGTAATCCACAAATTCAACTCAATTCCCATCAGGCAAGATACTTCAAATGAAAACACCAATTAGTTCTTTCAAATTACCATTTTTTCATGTTGAATTTAATTTTGTTAGATTTAAAAAAGTATAACAAGTCACAGAAAATGTTAACAATGCCTGTAGTATAAGTAGTACAAGTAAAATTTAATAATTACAGATCCTTTTCTAAAGATCAACCTGCTATATTAGCAGGGCTGTGGTAATCTTTATTTTTACTATGGTATACATTTACATATATGATCCATATCCTATTTTTTTCTCATTTTACTCATGGGATGGAATGGCTACAAATGAAATATATACCCATATACGTACAGTTTTTATGTTTACATACTTGCTCTACAGTGATAAAACTTTGAACCTATAAGACAATACTTGGAAATACAATATACTACCATATAAATGTAGGCATTGATATGTAGTATAATAGTAAGATTATCTAACATGGCATACAACATCTGAGATCACCTAGGTGTATAAAAAAGGAAACTGACTTGCACACATTCCAGTGATTAAAAGGTAGGACTGGGAAGCAAAATAATAATAATAACAAAATATGAAATCAACCTAGCATTACACTTAAGGGAATAATTGTTTTTACTTCAGAATAATTCTTACACTGTTTTGTGAAGGCAAATTTTTAAAGATAAAAAAGCAAGTAAACATGTTGTAGCTCATGAATTTCATCTCTCTTCCAAATATGTCATCTGTCATGGAAAACAGGCTTATCACAACTCTACTTTGGAATACATATCTTTCCATTTTTCTAAATATAATCATTTATTGCTCATTTTGATGGCTTATTTTATGATCTGTGGAACTTCAATATTTTTTTCTGTGGCTACAGGAAAAACCTAGCATGCATATGCATGAAAACTCACTTTTAAGCAAACTAAATTAGTACATTTTATAATTCTGATACACTGGGCATATTTTCTAGCACTAAACAGTATATAGCTAATAAAAATAATATACTTCACAAATATACCCTCAAAAATAATATACTCTCACAAATCAATATTTTTAAAAGAGTAAACTGATTATAATATAACTAAACTGAACATTGGTTTAGTTTCAGCAATGAAACAAAATAAATCTATTAAGTATGTTTTTTGCTCAATAATGATCATGTGACAACAGACAGTTTGTAAGGATTTCTATTATTTTGCTGACCTGGAAAATTTATGATTTCTTCAAAGTTCCTTATCTAGAGGTACTTTGAAAACTCCAAATATTATTTTTAAAACTCCAAAATATTATTTTGACATTTGGCTGAAAAGACAACCCCCCAGTGATACTTTAGAAAGCCAAGACTAACAGTCGTGGAGTCAGGCAATGCCATGGAGAAATTCTGGTCTCGAGGAGGGAAGAGATTTGGTTTTATCTCACCAGCTTTGGGGTCTTACACAGCTCATTTAATCTTTCTTAGTTTACATCCCCTTATTTTTAAAGCAGTAGGCAGAGTAATCAATCATATCTAACATTCTCTAAAAGTCTCTCTGAACTGTAATTAAAATTAACAAGAGAAAAAAATGTAAGTTTTTATCTGCAACCAGAATCAGGACACAAAGCAGTTCAGTAGGTGAAGAAAGCACCATATCTATACGTATACATCTACACGTATCTACAGACATGAAAGTTTTTATTAGCACATGTAAGCTAATTGGTTTTGGAGTTGTTTCTCTTGACTAGCCCCTTCTCTGACCTATTTTAAAAAGACTGATGACAAGAAGACAGCAATTTTTGACATTACTATCCTAAGCAAGGCTTTGTATTTTGTTTTTATTCTTCTGAAGAATAGGCATTATTTTTATTTTGCTTCTGAAAAGAATGTAGGACCTCATGGTAGGAGAATACTCTTTTTAACAACAGGAAAAAAAAGCCTGATAGGCTGTAAAAATCACTTTTATGACAGAATTGTGAGAGCAATGAAAATTTTAGATTATCTAAAATTCCAGAGATTTAATAATGACAGTCCTTCCTTTGTAAGCTGACAATCACAGGCTGCTTTCTTCCCTGAAGATATTTGTCAATTCTTGGTATTGGTTAAGGATAAGATTTAAACCAAGTGGAGAAACTATTCAAAGAAAGAGCTCTCATAGAGTTGTCATGACCATCTGGAAACAAATGGAGCCCCAAACACAAAGCTGATTTTTCCCAAGAAATATTTGTTGAGTTCCCTGAGAGGTGTGAGAGGCTGAGGGTCTGAAATTTCAAAAAAGGCAATGTGAAATATCCAGCTCAAGTCGTGTTTCAGAGACAAAGTCCCACTGGAGGGAAGGTATTTGCAACAAACATAACTAGCCTCCCCTCAAGAAATGAACCAAAATTTAAGATGCATGGGTAGTAGGCTAATAGGCTAAGCTCAAAATCGCCAAAGGAAAGTTTTATAGCTAAGAATACAGACTTGCCTCTCACATAAAAGTCGGGAAAAGCCATGCCAAACAAGCAGAAATAAAACAAAAGTGTACTGAGTTTTAATAAAACTCCAAACTAGCTACTATCTATCTAAATTTCTGACTGGACAGAGATGACTAGCCCCTACCTGCCAAGTAGAGGTGGTATCCTTACTGATGGAAGACAACATCTAGGGTACCTATAGTTCTTTTCATTAAAATATGTTAGAATTGCAATAAAGCGTTGCTAGACACAAAGAGGCAGAAAAATATGACCCAACAATCAAGAAAAAAAAAAAAGAAGCAGAACCAGAAATGTTGGTTCATAAATAAGAACATTAAAAGAACTAAGATTAATATGTTTTTTAAAAAAGAGTAGAAAATTGGGGAAAATGAATTAAAAATGGATAGTTCCACCAAAATTAGAATTGGCCAAAAAAAAAAAAAAAAAGAAGAAGAAGAATTAAATAAACATCCTAGAACTGGAAAATACAGTATCTGAAATTAGGAACTCTTTGAATGGGCTTAACAGCAGACTAGAAGAAACATGTGGGACATGGTCAAAGGGTTTAAAATATGTTTAGTTGGAGTACAAGAAAGAGAAAAGATAAAATAGAGTAGACACAATATCTGATGAGATAATAGCCAAGCAGTCTCCTCAAACTAATAAAAGGCATTAACTTGCAAAAAAGCTCAGTGAACCCCCAAATAGGATGGAATACAAAGAAAAATATACCTAGGCACGTTAGTTAAACTGTTAAAAACTAAAGGCAAAGATAAAAATCTTAAGAGTGGTGAAAGAAGAGGCACATTGATTTAAAAATATAATGGCAATAATAATATAGACAACTGAGTTTCAAGAGAAACTATGGATGCAAGAGTCCATGGCATGACATAAATGATAAAAGAAAAGGTATGCTAAGCTAGAATTACATACCTAGTGAAAACAGCCTTTAAAAATTTAAAATAAGAACACTTTCAGACACACAAAAATGTAAAGAATTTCTTTTTAGTAGATCTTCACTATAAGAAAAACGCAAAGAAGTTTTTAAAACTAAAAGAAAAGGATCCCAGATGAAAGGATAGACGTTTAGGAAGAAATAAAGGGCACTCAAAATAATAAATATGTAAATAAAGGGAATGTTGATGCTTAAAACAATTTTTAAACAATAATTACAATGTCTTGTGAGTTAATGTACAGAGGTATAACTATATAATAACAATGGTTTAAAAAGACAAAAGAGGAAGTAAATGAAATTAAAGTGATGTAAGGTTCTTGCACTGTTTGGGAAATGGTAAAAGCACCAACAGTAAGGTAGATTGTAATAAGTCACAGATGCCTATGGAAATAAAGTGTGGCTATTGAAAAATTAACAGAGGAGAAAAAAACAGAATGAAAAACATTTAATCCAAAATAAGTCAAAAAGAGGAGAATAAAAAACAAAGAATATGTAGGATAAATAGAAAACAAATACAAAAAAGAAAAAATTAAAATATATCATTAATAGTATTAAATGTAAATGGGGTTGGTGTGGTGGCTCACGCATGTAATCCCAGCACTTTGGGAGGCTGAGGTGGGCAGATCACTTGAGATCAGAAGTTTGAGACCAGCCTGGCCAACATAGTGAAACCCCGTCTCTACTAAAAATACAAAAATTAGCCGGGCGTGGTGGTGGGTGCCTATAATCCCAGCTACTCAGGAGGCTGAGGCAGGAGAATTGCCTGAACCTGGAAGGCGGAGATTGCAGAGAGCCGAGATTGCGCCACTGCACCCCAGCCTAGACAAGAGAGTAAAACTCCATCTCAAAAAAAATGTAAATGGACTAAGTATTCCACCTAAAACACAGATACTATCAGACTGGATTAAAAATAAAAACCAATGAAGCAACTATATGCTCTTTATAAAAGACATGTTTTAAATATAAGAACAGAAGTTGAAACTAAAAGGATTAAAAAAGATATTACACAAACACTAACCACATAACCTTGGGTAGTTATATTATATTAGACAAAACAAGGATTCCACTTTCAATAATGACAGAGTAGATTATATCGGACCAACACTCCGACAGGTTACAATTACACTCTGGAAAAAATATTAAAAACAATAATCAGAAGGTAGTGGATAGCTACCAAAAGCAAACAGAAACTGGAGAGTCAATATGTGGAAGAAAGATACAGCTCTGAGTAAATTTCCCACTTTTATGGCTTTTTCACTGAGGACAAATTTACAGCTGGAGTACTAAGAAAAACTGACAGAATTAAGCAGAGAAATAAACAAACCTATAATCATAGTGAAGGTTTTAATATTCCTCTCTCAGTAACTAGTAGAACCACCACAGGAAAAAAATCAACTAGCAAATATATAAAAAATTCTGAACAACACTATAACCATTTGACCAAATCGACATTTATAAAACCTTACTTCCAGCAACTAGAGAATACACATGTAAGTGCACACCATATGTTCAATAAAAGTCACCCATATGCTGGGCCAAAACAAATCTCAATAAATTTCCAAAGATTTAATTTCCAAAGTGTGTGCTATATAACCATATGGAATTAAATTATAAATCAATAATGATAATTATAATAGATATTAGAGCAATTCTCAAACATTTATAAATATCAAAGTAGACTTTCAGGTAAAAACATTTTAGAGACTAAGAGGGAAATAATATTCAAAGGACCAGGCAACTTTCACAATTTTTAGAACTGATATCTGATCAACCCTCTAGTTCAAACTATAAATTATTAGGAAATACAGGAAATGTGATTAATGACATCCTGAAAATACAATCAACAAAATGCAAATGATGGAATCCTCTTCAGAACAAATGATTAGCTTTCTTCAACAAATATATAGCAAGGAAAAAATGAAGAGAAACCTATTGATTAAATAAGTTAAGAGACATGGCCATCTTTTGCCATGTAGAATTTAAGCAGATCCTGATTCAGATAAACTGTTAAAAAAAATGACACTATAGGGAAATGTAGATACTTGACAGGATATTGAATAATATTAAAGATTTATTTAATAACAGTGTTGTGGTAGGTTTTTAGAGCTTATCTTTAGAGATACACCCTAAGATACTCATAGATAAAATGGGATGAAAAGATATGGGGTTAGGTATTTGCTTCAAAATAATACAGGGATGGGGTAGCAAGTGGTTTGGGGATTGATGAAACAATATTGATCATGAGTCGATAGCTGCACAAACTAGGTGATGGATTTCACTAGAACTTATTCTACATTCTCTCCACTTGTGTTTATGGATAAAATTCTCCATTACAAAAGTTTTTTTTTAACAAATGAAAAGGCATATCACCACAGTGCCACGAATTATATACAACATGAGCTATGAAAGGTGGCTTTGTTCCAAAATTATAAATAAATATATAAAAGTATGTTTGTTCTACAAGTACATCTCAACACTGTTTCATCAACACTTGGCATTTGATGATTCTTTGGAAAAGAATTTGTTGAATGAATAAATAGGAGAAAACAGTTACTTCAAGGTTATATGTTTATGTGTGTGTGCATGTGTGTCTAATGTCCCTGATTACTAATGACACTGAGTATTTTTTCATGTGTTTAATATTTGGATTTCCTTTTGGGCAAAAAGGCTATGTATGTTACCAAGCAAAAAGCAATAGCAATTTAAAATATTTTTTCATGTGTTCTAGATATATGCTACTGTCAATTATGTGGGTTGCAAATATATTTTTTCTTACTGTGTGCTTTGTTTTTATTCTCTTAATGTTGTGTACTGATGGATTAAAAACACCTTACTTTTAATGTAGTCAAATAATTAAATGTTTTTCATTTTAATTAATTTTTGTTTCTTGTTTTAGAAAATAATCCCTGCTCTGAGATCATGAAACAATTCCCTTATATTTATTTTTAAAGCTATATTATTTTTAATTACGTTAGAGAAGACACCAATTCATCTGGAAGTTATTTGTTCAGATGACTGCAGAGTTTTGTCAGTAATGTTTTGAGTTATCTAAACTTACCTTCCTTCTTAAACAGTAAAGTGGAACAAAAGGCACAGTTGATTCCATTTTAGTCTCTGGATCCATTTTTTATTCAACAAAGATTTCTTGAACATCTATCTAATGTAAGTCAGCAGTCTGTTAGATATTGGAGATTTAACTGTAAATAAGTTAAGTGTAATTCCTGAATCCTGACTTCATTTATAGTTGTAAAATAAGTAATTACAATAAATTTAGATGGCATATTAGTTTGTTCTCACATTGCTAATAAAGACATACCTGAGACTGGGTAATTTACAAACAAAAAAAAATAAAGCTATATTATTTTGTTTTTTACATTTAGTACTATGAGTCATCTGGAATTCAGTTTTTGACTATGGTGTGATATAAGGGTCAAATTTTATTTTTTCTTCAGATGAATATCTACTTATCCCCTTATAATTAATTGAAAAAATTCATTTTTCTCAATACCTGCAACGTCCCTTTTCATAAATATGTCACCTTACATATATAAGCCTATTTTGAAGTACCATTCTGTTCTGGTCATGTTACTTTATCTTTGTGCCCATACCACACTGCTTTAGTAACTATAAAGTATAACACATCCTGCCACCTATTCTTCATTATGTACGATTGTCATGGCTATTTTTATCCTTTGTAATCCATATACATTTTAGAATCACATTGTAAATTTCTTTATAAAAGCTAATATGATTTTGAATCAGTTTGTATACAAATCCATTTGAGGAAAACTGGTATTTTGACACTACTGAATAATTCAATCATGAACATTTTGATCTTCATAATTATTTAGGTCTTTCTGAAAAACATTTTCTCATTTTTACATTTAAAGTTTTATAGTTTTCTTCATAGAGGTTTCTACGCCTTTTATATTTATTCCTAAGGACTCTTTACTTTTTGATGTTATAATCTTTAAAAAATTTTATTTTCTTACCGGTTAATGCTGGAATATACAAATACAATTGGTTTTATATATTGATTTTTGTATCCAGTAAGCATCCTAAGCACTTACTAAATTTATAACTCATCAGTGGGCCACTTTGTATTTACTGCATATACAATAATACCATCTGTTAACACAAAGTTTTATTTCTTCCTTTGCAATCCTTATCCATTTTCCTTTTCTTGTCTTAGTATACTGTCTTGAATCGCCACATAATGATGAACTGAAGTGGTAATAACAGGCATTCTTGTCTCAGTTCTGATTTCAGAAAGGAAATTTTTAATATTTTAAGTATAATATTTGCTATAAATTTTTTGTAGATATTCTTTTTGATATTAAAGAAGTTCCCTTCTATTCTTACTTTATAACAAGTTTTTTTCATAAATGAATGCTGATTTTGGTTTGTCAGGTTTTTTTCTTTCCAATCATCTATGGAGATGGCTTTTCTACTTATTCTGATGACATGGTAAATGAATTTATTTTTTAACATTAAAACATGCATTCCTTAGATAGACCCTATTTGGTCATATTATATTTTCCTTTTTATTTATCACTTGATTCTCATAACTTTTCTCCCCTCAGGATATTTACAACTATGTTCAAAAGTAAGCTTATCCTATAATTTTTCATTCTTGTATTATTCTTGCTGGGTTTTGGTATCAAACTTGTGCTGGTCTCACATCATGAATTGGGAAATACACCCTCTTTTACTTTCTTTGGAGTAGTCTGTGTAAAAATGAAGTGCTTCTTCTTTAAATGTTTGTTAGAACCTGCCATTAAAACCAAACAGATCTATCACTTCTTTGTGGAAAGCTTTAAATTATATATTCAATTTCTCTTATATTAACTCAATTTTTGATTGTATCTGTTTCTTAAAGTTGTATTTTTCTAGGAATTTGTTAATTTCTCCAAAAATTTTCAAGTTTATTGGTAAAGTTGATTATAATGAACACTTACCTTTCAAAAAAAGTATAAGTCATTCTCCTTTCTGGTCCTAGAAACTTACTTTGCCTTCTCATTGAAAACCACAATCACAGAAATAGAAACAACTTCAAATAGCCCAGTAGGTTCAGCAATCTGTATTTAAAATTATCTAAGAAAGATGGCTGTCTGGAATTAAAGCTCTGTAAAGCTGAAATCACTACTTTTTTCTTTGATAGTTTGTTTCATTTCAAGTTCATTCATCTATTAAGCAAAGTTGCAAGATACAAAGATGAGAGTCCTTGCTGTCAAGATACTTGCTGCCTGTAGGAAAAGATGTTCTGATAAAGAAACAAACATAATCTCATGAGATAAATCCTACTCTGTGCATGATACGGACAAGGACAAGATGCCATGAAAACTGAGAGGAGAAGTATTCTTACTCTTCCTTTAGGATTGGACTTTCTGTGTTGGCAAGAATAGTGGAGTAGTAAAAGTTGAGGAAGCAGAGGGATGCAGAGATAACATCCCAAATAGATTTATATGTCACACCTAGGACATACAGAGTGAATTAAGTGTATATTGGGGTAGCATCAACAGCTTTTAAGTGATCTAATTTGCATTACAGAAAGTTGGAAATAAGGAAAAATTTCAGGCACTCGTAGATGTGTAACTTCAGTAATTCAGAATTAGCTAAAAGAAATATCATCCTACCTATTACCAACATGAAAACCTGTAATCTACAGAAGTTTAAAAATGAAAATTAAAAGGCTTGAGATAACAAGCTGCTGTCAGTTTCTCCTAGATAAGTAACAGAGATAAGAAAGAAAAGGAGTGCAGCCAAACATTCAGTTTCTATACCTATAACAGGATGGTCCATAGGGACATTCAGGCCGGTCATCAGTCTCATCTTGGCCCACGATTTGTACACCTCCATAATCACTATCACCAGGATGGCTAAAATGTTGAAAATGAACAGGATTCTTCCTAGGAGGGCGACAAATATACTGTCAGAAAAAAAAAATAGGATATTCTAGATTTTTAGTGGATATAGCAGGAAACCAGACAATCCACATCTGGCTATCCTTGAACATAAACCAACATGCTACATTGATGACATAAGCGCAGATTACATCAACATGCTAAATTGATGACATAAAGTTGATGACATAAACTCAGTACAGGACTCTCACAGTAACATACTACATTTCTGGTGTCATGTGATGAGCCATGATATCAATAGACAACTTGCAAACATTACTATATATATGACACATATGTATGTAAGCATATAACATAAATATCATAAATATATATAGCTTTTCAAAACTTTTAATAAAATGAGCACATATATTGTACCCTCTGCTAAGATAAAAAACAGAACGTTTCCAACATCCTAGAAAGGTCCCATGTGCCCTCTTCAATCACTAAATCCATTTACTACGCAAAGGTAACTATCCTAACTTCTAAAAGTGTTTTTCAAACTTTTCGGTCTCAAGACTCTTACACTAAAAAAAAGATTAAAACTCCAGAGAGCTTTTGTTTATATAGGATATTTACCCTATTAGAAATTATAAATGAGAAATTGAAAAAGTGCATTTATTGACTTAAATAGAACAATAATAAACCCTTTACATATTATCATAATAACATGTCTTAACATAAATAATTATTAACTTCCAAGAAAAAATTATTGTTTTATACTATGGAAATTTATTTAATCTCTACTTTAGAGAAGGCATTTGGCTTCTCATGCCTGCTTCTGCATTCAATCATTAACAACAACACATAACTTGTGGCCTCTGGGAAACTCCACTGTACACTTGTGAGAGAGTGAATGGCAGTAAAAAAAGGCATTCACAAAAAGTCACAATATTATTATGAAAATACTTTTGGGTCGGCTGTGGTGGCTCACACCTGTAATCCTAGCACTTTGGGAGGCCGAGGAGGGCAGATCACTTGAAGTCAGGAGTTCAGGACCAGCCTGGCCAACACGGTGAAACCCCATCTCTACTAAAAATACAACTAGCCGGGCTTGGTGGCGCACATCTGCAATCCCAGCTACTCAGGAGGCTGAGGCAGGAGAACTGCTTGAACCCAGGAGGCAGAGGTTGCAGTGAGCCAAGATTGTGCCACTGCACTCCAGCCTGGGTGACAGAGCAAGACTCCATCTCAAAAAAAAAAAAAAAAAAGAAAATACAATTGACTTAACAGATTTCTTAAACGTGTTCTGGGGACATCCAGGGATCTCTGGATCATACTTTAAGAAGTGATATTATAAAACAACAGATCAGTATTGTCTGCCTTTGAACTTAAATGAAAATATATACTAGTATGCACTTCTTTGAACCAGCCCTTTTATATTTATATGATTAATTCATGTTGTTACATGTAGCAGTAAGTACGTTTTCAATACCATGTAGTAATAGCATCATCCATTTGATGATGGTATTATAATTTATCCATTTTACTACTGATAAACTTTTGGGTTCATTTCAGGTATTGACTTCTATAAGTAATACTGCAATGAGCATTCTCGTATAAGCCTTCTGATGCACATCTATATGCATTTTCCTGGGGATATAGTTAAGAATGGTCACAGGGTATGTATATGCTCAGGTTTGATAAATATTGCCAAATTTCCAAAATGACTGTATTAATTTTCACTCCCAGTAGGTTATTAGAGTTCCAGTTTTTCAACAACCTCACCAACATTTAGCACTGTTAGGTTTCTTTTTTGTTTTTTCACATGGCAGTATTTATAGCAGAGAGTGGCAAACCATGAACAGCAGGCCAAATCTGGCCTACTGCTTTTTTTAAACTGTGCTAAGAATATATACGTAACATAAAATTTACCATCTTAACAATTTCTATGTGCACAGTTCAGTAATGTTAAGTATATTCACATTGTTGTGCAACCAATCCCTAGAATTTTTTCAACTTGTGCAACTGAAAACTCTATACCCATTAAACAACAACTTCCCAGCTCCTCCTGTCCTCCCCGGAATCCACCATTCTGATTTCTGTTTTTCCCCACAGGCACTGGTAACTGCCATTCTAATTTGTTTTTATGAATCTAACTACTCTAGATACCTCCTACAAGTAGAATTATGAAGTATTTATCTTTTTGTGACTGGTTTATTTCACTTAGCATAATGTCCTCAAGGTTCATACACATAGGAGCATGTGTCAGAATTTCCCTTCCTTTTAAGGCTGAATAATATTCCATCATATGTATATACCAAATTTTCTTTATTCCTTCAATAATTGATGGACATGTGGGTTCCTTCTACCTCCTGGGTATTGTGAATATAGTGCTGCTATGAACTCTTTGAGATTCTGCTTTCAATTCTTATGGATATATACCCAGAAGTGGAATTTCTATATAATAGGGTAATTCTATCTTTAATTTTTTTGAGGAACTACCATACTGTTTCCCACAGTGGCTACACCAATTTACACTCCCATCAACAATGCACAAAGGTTCCAATTTTTCCACATCCCCATCAACAATTGTTACTTGTTTTTCATTTCGTTTTTGAAAGCAG